>NC_000011.10:94057323-94684537 GCF_000001405.40 Homo sapiens
CATTATTTCTTCAAATATTTATCCCACACTTTCTTTTTGTTGTTCTCCCCTCTTTCTGCAGACAACTGTTATACACATGTTAGTAAATACATTGTCCCACTGGTCTCTGAGGTTCTGTCCATTTTCTTCTATTTCCCCCACCTCTCTTTTTCAGATAGGATAATTTCTATTGATCTAGCTTTAAGTTCACTGATACTTTCTTTTGCTTTCTTGAATATATTGTTGAGCTCCTCTAGTATTTTATTTAATTTATTGTACTTTTCAATGCCAAAATTCCAATTGGATTCTTTTTAATATTTCTATTTGCTTATTAAGATTCTCTATTTGTTGAGTTGTTTTTCCCACTTTTCTTCAGCCCTTTACACATAATTCCTTTTAGTTGTTTGAACATATTTATTATAGCTGCTTTGAAGTCTTTCTCTGCTAAATTCAACCTATAAGGACATATAGAGAGATAGTTTCCACTGGCTGCCTTTTTTTCTCTATTAATCACACTTGCCTGTTTCTTTGTGTTTCTCATATTTTTGTTGTTCTTGAAAACTGGATATTTTTAAGAATATAATGTAGCATATCTGGATTCTCATTCCTTCATCAACTCTAGGTTATTTTTTTTGCTTGCTTCTTTGTTTAGTAACCTGTGGGCTAAATCTGTGGATTATCTTTCCTATAGTGTGTGGCCACTGAGATGTCTGCTTTTTTTATTATTTATTTTTATTTTTAAGCCTGGCTTCTGAGAGGTCATTCCTATGTCTGCTTAGCTCAGTGGTCAGCAAATGATTTGAAGAAGTTGTGCCTAAGCATCTTGAGCCAATAAATCTTATATTCTCTGCTAGTGGATCTGTGAGTGGTTAGAAAACCAGTGCTGTAGAATCCTACTCCTCTTAGCTGATGTTCAGCAGTTTCAAGCATAAACATTGCTATATGTTTTTATTCAATTTCTAGATACCAAAATGGTTTGTTATTTTTTTTAAATCAATTTTGTCTAACTTTATAGTTGCTTTTTTGGGAAGAGAATTTGCTGACTTCTTTGCTCTCCTTTAATAAGGTTTTGTCTTTGCTACAGCTGTAAGCTTAAAAGTCTTGAAGTCTCTGCTTAATTCAACTTAGTGTTTGCTGTGAGCCAGACACAATACTGGGTTGCAAAGAAGAGTAAATATACAGTTGTTGCTTCCAAAATATCATCCAGGGGAGGGGTAGAGAATGGAACTTAGAAGTGGGTTGAGCGGGTGGGGCTAACATTAATTGAGCAGCTATTTTATGCTAATGCCTGAGCCAGACCTCTTATATACATTCCTTCATTTAATGATAGAATGAACTAGTGCTTTCTTGACCTACATCTGAAATATGCTTAAGTATTAGGACTATTTAAAAATAAATTTTATTGTTTTTTAAATTTTATTTTTATTTTATTTGTTTTATTTCTATAGAGATGGGGTCTCGCTATGTTGCCTAGACTAGACTCAAACTCCTGGCCTCTAGCAATCCTCACATCTTGGCATCTCAAAGTGCTCATATTACAAGTGTGAGTCACTGCCTCACCTGGCCTGGTTTTTGCTTTAATATAAAAAAGTATAAAGAAGAGGAAAATTGCACACAATCTGATTCTTTACATATTCACTAAATTAGTTCAAAATAGAAAATTAAAGTGCCAAATGAACATGGTTAGAAGTTCTTAAGAGTAAAGAGGTATAAGAAGAAAAGTTAAAGCCCTGCTCACTTGTCTTTCACTCCAAAGGCAATAATCTTAAACAATTTCTATGAATTTTTCACAGACTTTTTTCTATACATATATTAGCATGTATGTATGTGTATATCCTTGCTCATTTGTATAAAAGGGATTATGCTATAATGCTTTCTGTTTTTCACTTTTTACTTTGTCTTGGAGATTTTCTCATATTAGTACATATAGTGAGACTTGCATTTAACAATTGTGCAATATCCCACCATATGAACATATCAGTTCAGTGCTGATAATTATTTAGGTTGCTTCCAGTTCATGTAATTTGAAAAATAGTTTCAAGTATGTTTGTACAATACATTATTACAAATAAAATTGCTGGTTGTATATACTTTCTTTGAATAGGAATTGGCAAGCTGTCTTCTGAAAAACTGCAAATTTTACTCTCTGCCATTTGTTTATGAATGAGCTTAATTCTCCCATGACCCCATCAATCCTCAAAATTCTCAAATCTGATGGGTAAAAAAATTGTGTAAGTTTTAAAAGCTCACACAGCCTAGAACATATATAAGCAAATAAATAGTGTTTTATACTTTCATATTGTTAATGACACCATTGATCAAAAGCCTTAATAAATTCTTTTGAAAATGACTTTCAGAACAACTTAATAAATTACCTATCTCCAAGTCACGTCTTCCTTTATATTTATACTTTATTTTTGATTCCCAGTGATATTCTTCAACTTGAGTGGTGGCACAAAGGCTCTGTTAGGGGATTCTCTCTCCTCATTTCAGTAATAGCCTTCAATAACTCCTAATAATAATAAAAACAAGGCCCATTAAGTAAATTGTGAACATAAGAATTTCTAGAACAATTGTTATTTGTAGTGATTTGTATCATATAATCAATTCAAAATAAGTGATCTCAATCGAAACTTCGAGACAAGTCCACTGCTTACCCACTCTCACTCAACTCCTGAACCTCTGTATATAAATCTCTCCATATAGAAAAGAATCTTCCAAGCCATGCATTTTATTCAGAGGGCTTTGGACAAAGGCAGTGTAAGGTAATACCACTCAGTCATATTTTATTATATATATATATATATATATATATATATATATATATATATATATATATATATATATACACGCACTGGGGTAGATCTTGAAGATACGATCATGAGCAAAAAGAAGCCTGGTATTTGCTTTAATGCAGCTTACAGTCTAACATGAGAAAGAGACATTAGTGAAGCAATCATACATACACACATATGCACACATGATATATATATGTGTGTGTATATGTATACACATATACATACTATATATGTGTGTAAATATATATATGGTGTGTGTGTATATATACACTTACATATACACACATATAATTAAAAACTTAGGCACATGTTATAAATGAATAAGATAGTTTACTGAAAGGCTACTATATACCAGGCACTGTGATAAGTGCTTTATAGATATCATATCCTACAAGTCTCAACAACTCTTAAGAGGTAGGCATTTATGATTATCACCACCTAACAGATAAGAAGCTAAGAGTCATAGAAGAGAAGGAAATTGCCCAAGCTGCATACCTAACAAGTGATGGAGGTAAGATTCCTTTCCAGGCAGTCTAATTTCAGTGGCTGTGAGCTTAACCAGTGGCTCTACTGCCCTTCTCTCAGTGTGAATGCATTTTAGATAACTGACCCAGTCCAGGGAGTTCAGGATTGCCTGAGCCAGACCATGCTGGACCTTCTAATCTATATTAAACACATTTGACCTTCATCCCAACACTGATGGGAAGCAATGAAATGATTTTAAACAGGGAACAATAGAATTATATTTAAGATTTGAAAAGATCACTCTTGTGGTAGCTTGGAAAATGGATTAGAAAGGCTAGAGGAAGGGAAGCCAACTAGGAGGTTACTACAAAGTCCAGGTGAGAGATGATGGTAGTTCAGACTAGGGATGTGATGTTGGAGATCAACATAAATAAATGGATGCATTTGAGAAGAAGCGGAGATAGGACCCTGTGGTATTTTGGAAATGGAAAGAGAGGAAAAGGAAGAAAAATGCTTCCTTTGTTTCTGGCTTGTGGCTGAATATTGGTAGTGCCTTTTACTGGGAGTAGTGGCAGTGGCTGAGGACCAAGCTTGGTAGAGGAGAGCTAATGATCCCTGGAAAAGGTTGCATTTGCAATCTTCTTGAGATTTACAAGTAGGGATGTCAAGCAGACAGTTGAATATCAGTGTAAAGTGCAGAGGTAAGGTCCTGGCTGGAGATAAACATGGGGGTCACTGGTGTGTGGCTGATGGGTGGCACTGTGGGGATGAGTGCTATCAGCTGAGGAGAAAGCACAAGGCATGGAAGGAAGAAGCCAGCGTTATACTTTGAGGATTTCTGACAAAAAAATGGCAGATACAAGAGAATGAACTGGAAAAGTGGACTGAAAAAGAGTGGTCAAAGAGTATGATGTGATGTCCTATGAGTCAAGGAGGGAGGGAGCTGACAATAGTATCAAATGCTGCTGAGATAACATAGTTTTTTTAAATGTCATTTGGATTTAATGGATGAGGGGCAGCTCTCTGGATTTTTTCCTATGTCCTGTTCCTCTATCACGTTAGATAAGTATCAAGTGAGAAAGCGGCAAATACATTAATTTAACTTTGAGTACAAATGATTCTGTCAAAATACTATTGAGTATTATATTCTCACCTCGTATTGAGAGAAAATGTAAGAAATTGTTTTAAAAAGAATGTTTTTGCATCTTTTGGAAAGCATTCTTGAAAACATTGAAGACATAATTCATTACATTACTGAATAATTTATATATAATAATTTTCTTGAAAATACTCTCTCAGAATCTAGTACTAGCAAAAAGTTCCTTTCTCTTAATGAACTAGTAAGTTTCCCTTTACTGGACAATGAAAGAGTATAAGCTAATTATATTGACCTAATATATATTAACTCTATATCTAACAATATAACCTAAATATAATCAGGAAATTCAGAGCTACAGTTAATATGAATGGGCTGTAACTAATTATGTAGCATATAGGTTTATTTGTAAAGTGGCTCATATTCTTTTTAGAATAAAAGTAATTAAAAGTATGTAAAGGAAAGTTAAGTGAATAAATAAGTAGAAAATAGTTTGTACATTATATTGCCAGTAACTTTGATGGGAAGTCAGGTATAAATAGATTCAAATTTGACTCAAGAACATGCTAGGAGTGTTACCTTAACTTAATAAAAAATGAATATTAATACTTTTCATATGGGATTGCTTTGAAAAGTAACTGTGATAATGTATACAAAGTATCCACTATAGTTGGCACATAATAAGGGCTTAACTGTTGTTGCTTTCTCATGACATCTTTCTCCAAACATCAAACCACGCTTTCATGGTAGAATTTGTTAAATGGTAACATTAGATTTTTTAGTTTTATCTTTGCTTTGGTTTGTCTTGGCCACACTGGCTCTTGCTGTGTTATTTGAATTTGTATTCCTAATGCCTAGCACATTGGTAGCATGTGTTCAATATTGAATTCACATTCTTGAATGACTGTGTAAATGAATGAATGGCAAATGGATGTGGAATGTGTGCACTTCCATCTCCTTCTCTGTCCCTTACCATCCAGCTTTTTTTTTTTTTCAGTACCAGTCTAGCTCCTCCCGTCCTTTAAGGCCCCTTAAATCTCACCTCTGTTGTAGAGCTTCTGATAACTATAATGTGCACAGACTGGTCTCTGTCCTTTTAGCCAGGTGGTTTTTATCCTATTTTTAGCAGTCGGCTTTCCTTAATTGAAAAATCATGTGCCATCTTGGTTTATGAAACAGAGAGTAAGGGGCTGTTCTGCCCCTGCCCACTCTGTGGTGGACCCTCTACCTTGTATAGCACAGGCATCCTCTGGGGTATGCCATATATTTTGACCCAAAATGACATTCAACACATTCACTTTGCTTTATTCTCCAGTTGTCCCATGTGTTTAATACGTATTCTAGTCTGCCCAACAGAACTATATGATCCCCAGAGGCAGGAAGAATGTCTTACACTTCCTTCCTATCTCTCATGAGACCTACACAGGTGGTGAATCTGAAATAAGTCCCCAAGAAGTGTTTATTCATTATTTCTTCTTAGGCTTCTCCTTCCCTTCTTGAGTCGATGTCAACTGAGGGGAATTGAAATCTTCCTGGTTGATATGGTAGCCTCATCAGAAAGAGTCCTTATTATGAACATTTATTAAGTTCCTAGTTCTGTTCAAAACACTCTGTATACATTGCCTCATTTAGTTCTTATATCCCTGTAGGATAGATATCAACATTTCAGTTTTACTGATAGAGAACAGAGACATTGAGAATTTAAGTAACTTGCCTCAAGTCCCATAGCAAATAAATTTTAATTCAGTTATGTTTGATTCCAAAGCTCTGGCCCTCTCTACTATAGCATGTGATCTCTCTGTTTTAACTATGTTTTACCTTTTTTTTTAATTTTATTTTTTGGAAGGAGCCCTATACCCAGATGGAACATCTGGAAGGAACAAAAATGATGACATGGTTCCTCCTGGGAAAAACTACACCTACGTCTGGCCGGTGAGAGAAGAATATGCACCTACTCCAGCCGATGCCAACTGCCTGACCTGGGTGTACCATTCGCACATCGACGCCCCAAAGGACATCTGCTCTGGGCTAATTGGGCCCCTGCTGGTCTGCAAGGAAGGTAAGGAGCTTTGTTTCCAGGTAACTAGGGAGTTGAAATGTGAATAAGATTCAGGTCTTATTTTGCCTACCTCCTTTGCTCCACACAGAATGTGCCTCTTCCAAATTTCTTTAGAAATTCTGACATGGAAGATCAATCTGACACCATAGCAGAGGGCAATAATTCAGATTTTTGTCTAAGAATCATCACAGCATTCTGAGACTTTATTGTTATTTTAAAAAATGATATTTCATAACACAATGTATAGAAAAGTGAGAAATTTAGTCAAATGACCAGTAATGCCTTCTGCTTCATTATTTCACCCAAATAATCATTTGCTATTTTATCCCTTATTAGTTGACTTAGCATGTCTGTAGTTTGTCAATAAAATGGACTCCCTTTAGAGACAGCCAGTCTTCCAAGTATGTGATTATGAAGATTTCTGTTTTATGACTTTTCTCTTCTATGGCTCTGTCATCTCCATTAAAGCCTTTTGCTGATTTTATATGGTGGGTTATCCTTGTAGGTATAGGTCTTCACCAAACTTCACACTTGCCTGACACTATTGGAAGGAAGCAAAGCTCATCTTGATTTAGTTCTTTCTCTCTACTCTTTTGAATGTGCCTGACAGGTATCCTGAATAGATATTCAGGGACACGGAATGATGTGGATCGAGAGTTTGTTATAATGTTTACTCTTGTGGATGAGAATCAAAGCTGGTACCTCAATGAAAATATCAAACATTTCTGCACCAACCCTGATTCAGTTGACAAGAAAGATGCTGTTTTCCAGAGGAGTAACAAAATGCATGGTGAGTACCTCCCATGTTCCCAAACGTATACCAGGCCTTTTATACTATAAGGTACTACAAGGGATAAAAAATACACAGAAATGTTGATCTGAGTTTGGCATGATTTATAACTCAGGGATGACCATGGTTAGAAAGTGATACAATACATGACACATGTTTGAACCTGAAACAATCTGAGGGGGACAGAGCAGTGGATGCATGCTAAATTGGGCATGCAGTGTGGACAAAGCCACAGGGCTTTGGGAAAATGGAGGGATCGATGTTATATTGTAATTGGAAAAGAATCGGTGCCTGAGGTGAGCCCAGAGCATGGGTGGGCTTAGACTGACTGGAAGGAGAAAGGAGAATGAAATCATCGTTCTATAATAATCCTGTGTTTTGCAACATTTTGCTTCATCCAGTAACCATTTTCTGAGCCGCTGATAAATTTTAAGAACTGAGTTATGCATGGGGTTTAAATAAGCACTTGTGAATTCATTATATTTCCCAGGCATTCTTTACATCAACAAAATTTACTGAGCATGCACTATACATCAGACTCCATATTTGTTCAAAATAGTGAACTTCTATAGTTACTTCATTAGTTGAGATGGGGCACTTACTCATGCCTGTTTTGCAAAGCAGTAGCTTAATGTAGCATTTTAGGATTTTCTTAGAGAGTTCTAGTGAACATAAAGGAAATAGTCAACCTACATATCCCACCTTATTCATTGACATATCTTCTCCTTCTATTGCTTCTCTGTCTCTCAGAATTGTTCTAACCAAGGTATCCTCAATATAGTCATAAAATCATAAGAGGAATAGAAGGAGCTGAAGATCATCTAACGTCTCCATTTTACAGAAGAGAAACTGAGGTCAAGAGACTATCAATGACTTGCCTAAGGTCAAAGTGATAATTAATGCCAGAGAGTTTCCTGAGAGAAGTCCCATAGCAAATAAATGTAAATTTGGCTGTGTTTGATTCCTAGGCACATCAAGGCATGATTGTCAGTACATTGATTATTTCCATTGTATTGCATGCCTTCTTTTTTCCTTCTAGTGGTATTTTGGCAACCTTATGTGTAGTGATTCTTGGAAAATATTTTAGGAGGAAAGGAAGTAAGGGAGAGAAGGAAAGGGGAAGGCAGGGAGGCAGAGAAAACAATGAAGGATGGAGTCAATGAAGACATAAATTCAAATCATTGCTGTGACCAGTTGTAATGCATATCCTTTACAAAATGGGAGTGATGATCTCAAATATTGCAGAAAACTACTAATTGTGATTACTTAAGACTCACCTGCCCAAATAATTCCTCTTACTCTGTATTTATTCTTTTGAAGTGAAAATGTCCAACAAAATGAAATGAATTACATAAGCAAACATAGATTACATGTATCATAAAAAGAAGCCTGTCCAGGCACAATGGCTCATGCCTATAATCCCAGCACTTTGAGAAGCAGGTGTGGGAGGATTGCTTGAGGCCAGAAGTTCAAAACCAGCCTGGGCAACATAGGTAGATCCGTTATCTACAAAAAATTCAAACAAACAACAAAAAAAATCAGCTGGGCATAGTGGCACATGCCTGTGGTCCCACCTACTTGTGATGCTGAGGTCAGAGGATTGCATTAGCCCGGGAGTTTGAGGCTGCAGTGAACTAAGTGCCACTGCACCCCAGCCTGGGTGACAGAGCAAGACCCTGTCTCAAAAAACAAAAACAAAAAACCCTAGCCTGTATGCTGAAGTAGATGTGTGTTTGCAAACAATCCTTCAAGACTGGAAAAGGGTGGGGTATTGTGGCACACGCCTGTAATCCCAGCACTTTGGGAGGCCAAGGTGGGAGGATCACTTGAGGCCAGGAGTTCAAGACCAGCCTGGCCAACATGGCAAAACCTGTCTCTACTAAAAATACAAAAATTAGCTGGTCATGGTGGTGGGCACCTGTAATCTCAGCTACTGGGGAGGCTGAGGCACAAGAATCTTTTGAACCCAGGAGACAGAGGTTGCAGTGAGCTGAGATTGTGCCACTGCACTTCAGCCTGGGTGTGACAGAGCGAGACTCCATCTCAAAAGAAAAAAAAGAGAGAGAGACTGGAAAAAGAGACCTAATCAAGTAAAGGAAAAAATTTAATTAAAAAAATCTAGACTATGGAAGATAATTAATATGTACAAGTTTTATTGATCAATTTATTTAAATTTACTAAAATAATTTAGAATTAATTGTGCTGCCTAAGTCATCAGGCATTTCAGCAACAATTGCTTTTAACTCAGTTCGAACTTAAGAAGGGATATTGTGACTTTTTAAAGCCCTGAATCAAGTTCTTTTCTGAACTTGGTCAACTCCCAGCTGCCATTTAGATGGTTTTAAAGTATTCGGTCCTGGATTTACGCCATAAACTTAATAAGATTCTGCTCCAGCAACATGTAGTAAAAACTGTTTTTCTCTTGGCTTTTTAAAGTAAACAAACAAACAAACAAAACAGTTCTCATAAATTCCTTTTAATCAATTCCTTTTCTTTCCATCTTACTACATGCTTTTGTCACTTCATTAAGTAGATACTATGTGCCAGTTTTTCTGCTAGGTCCTGATAACTGTTAAGATGAACAAGACAGGGTTTCTAGTTCCAAGGAGCACAGAATCTGGTGAAGACAGCAGATATGCCAGTGAAGGATTATGACAGAAGGTGACTGAGCCTCCTGTAAATATGAGCAGCACTCTGTTTTCTCCTGACCTCATATTGCGTTCCCACAGCAGCTCCGAGGCTGTTCTCAGTGTATGCTGATCTTCACTTTTATTGAGTGTTTTCTCTGGAAAAAGGCCAATAAAAACATTTCATTTCTCTTTTGGACAATATATATTTCTAAGAGCCAGGTTTTTCTGCACCAAAACCTTACAACCAATGGTCTGCACTGGTTTTCCAGCCATGCTTAAGCCCGTATTACCAACATTTCTGGTCCCAGTCGCCTCTGCAGGGGAGTCTCTTCCACTAGCGTGTTTCTGTTTCCAGCCCTCAATGGATACCTCTTCGGAAACTTCCCGGAGCCTGATATGTGTGTTGGAGAATCTGTGTCCTGGCACCTATTTGGAATGGGGAATGAAATAGACATCCATTCTATCTATTTCTATGGTAACACCTTCATCAGCAGAGGGCATCGGACTGATGTCGTCAACCTGTTCCCAGCCACCTTCCTTACAACAGAAATGATAGCCGAGAATCCTGGGAAGTGGATGATAACCTGCCAGGTCAGCGACCACCTACAAGGTAAAAAGGATAAAGACCAGAGTTGATATGTTTAGAATGGTACAATCAAACCACACAGTCACTAGTGCTCATCCAGTACCTACTGTTAGATAGAGCCTTGTATGTACTATATTTAATTAGGTAATAAATATACAGGAAAATATAACGCTCATCTCTTTGATATTCTATCAACAGATATTTATTGACCACTTCTGTATGAAAAAAGTGGGGAAGTGATTAAAAATTGATGAGACCTTCGAGGAACCTGTAGTATAGTTGTTAGACATAGTTAGACATTCACAAAATGAATACGATTTAAGGCAGAATGAGATAAATGCTCTTTGGGTGTTGCAGTCACTACTCTGGAGCAATCAGAGGGGCTTCCTGAGGAGCTGGCTCCTAACATGAGCCTTGAAATATGAGTAGGAACTGAATAGATGAAGAAGGAAAGAAAGACTTTTGAGGAAGCAGCATGAACTGGGAAAAACACATGTTCTTTTTGAGCAACTGTAAGTAGAGTAATAAGGTTTTAGCACTGGAAAGGACTTTCTGGATAATAAGGACCAATCCCCCCTCGAATTATTTAATTTCGTTTTGAACATCTCTTGTGAGTAGTTATAGCAGCTCATCTCATCTCTGGACTGCTCTATTGGAATGTTCTTCCTCAAATTGAGACAAAATCCATTGACCTATAGCTTCCTTCATGTCCTATGATAGGTGCATGATAAACATTTGTTGGCTTAAATGCCTGTTGAATGACCTGGTCCTGGTTTCTTCAGACATCATACACTATGTCCTTTCTTAGCTGGACCATAATGTTCCTTACAGAGAAGTGATGACAGAAGAGCCTGGGAGGCTCATCAGGCCCCTTAGCAAAGCTAAGGAGGTGGGGCTGTGTGATCCTTAGCTCTTTTGGCACACTAGTGACATAATCGGTGCAGTTATTTAAGAAGATAAATGTATGCATGCAAGAAGGACTTGATGGAGGAATTCTGACCACTGGATGCTAGTTAAGAAGCATTTGACAGTGTTAGAGGTCTAACACCTAAACGTCTGCCCTAAGATGATGAAACCAAGACAGAAAAAATATGTTAATGGAATAGACACAGAAGAAATAATGTCTGATATTTGGATACTAACTTCCCATAGTCACTAATAGGTGCAAAGATCCAGCTGCTCAGGGCTGCTTTTGTAACACATTCTTGTTCCTGTCCACCTTCCACAGTGAGTCATAGCATTAGTCAACTGCAGTATCCCAATTACATTCAACTGAAAAATTAATCAGTTAATATGTACTAGATGCTCTTCTGGGAAAACAAAGATTAACAAGAGAAGGTTTCTATTCTCAAAGAGTCTTATGCTGTTAAATCTGGGAAGAAACTGTAGATTTAAAATCAAGATATTAGCTGCCATTTGAGACTAGTAAGATCGCTAAATTAGCCCGATAGTTGTGGACATAAGCTAGTATTTATACGTTCCCTGAAATACAGTATTTCTAAATTGTCCATGCCTTCAGAAAAAAGTTATTGTAAAAAAATTAGAAAATACATATAATTGGAGGTTTTTTAACAAATAGAGACAGGGTCTTGCTATGTTGCCCAGGCTGGTCTCAAACTCCTGGGCCCAAGCAATCCTCCCACCTTAGCCTTTCAAAGTGCTGGGATTATAGGCATGAGCCACTGGATCTGGCCCCTATAAATTGGTTTTAAAATCAGTAGTTCCATAATAGAAATATTTTATATTCACATTTTGGTGAATATCTTCCCTATTTTCTATTTCTTAATATGTAAATATATATGTATTTTAAAAAATGAAATCAGTCTATTAATGCTGCACTGTAGCTAATTTTTCTCATTTACAAATATATCAGAAACACATTTTCATGTCGGTGAATATAGAGCTTACTTCATCATGGTTAATACTTCCAGTGTCCATTATAAGGAGATTACATCTTGCTTAATCAATACTCTATTGCTTAATGCTTATGTTTCCCACCAATTTTTTTGCTATTATAAACAGCACTGATGACTATTATTTATAGATGTTTGCACTTTTGTCTGAACATTTTCTTAGAAAAACTCCTAGATTTAGAATTTCTGGGTCAAAGAGTATGATTTTTTTAAAAAAGCTATGGACATACATTGCCACATTCTCTTTTGGAAATTGTTATTCTTCTACACGAAGTGTATGAGTATGGCTCTTTCCCCATTCATCTACCAACACTGAGAATTATTAGTCTTTCTAATCTTTACTAATCTGATCAATGAACAATAGTATCATTTGAAAACTGTTAAGGTTTGAGTACTATTTGAGTACTGTTAAGGTTGAACCTCTTTTTCATTTGTTTATTGGCCAATATTATTTATTTTGTGAATAAACTATTTCTGTTCCTTGCTCATTTTCTATTGGAGATTTACTTGTTTTCATCTTTATCTGTAAAAGTGATTTACGTATTAATCTTTTGTCATATGTGTCACAAATATCCCTCCTGTTGCCATTTATCCTTTTTAAAAAAACTTTCTTTATGGTCCAATTTTCTGTACAGAAGCCTAAATGTTCAAGAGCCAAATCTATCAGTCTTTTCCTATATGATTCCTTTTGTGATCATTTATGCCTCAGCTCGTGGTTTTCCTCTGTTCTGCAGCTGGTATGCTGGGGCAATACAATGTTGATAACTGCAAAAGTGATATTTTCTACCCCAAGATGAAGGGTCAACAGAGGCGCTACTTTATAGCAGCTGAAAAAATTCTTTGGGATTATGCTCCTCAAGGCTATAACAAATTCAGTGGTCTTCCTCTAAACGCCTCTGGCAGGTAAGCACCCTTTGTTGGTGTTTCTAAGCCTCTCGTCAGAGAAGCATGTGTTAGGCTTTCTCTGTGATCTAATTTGTATTCCAACCACTGCTCTGATGAGCTTATACTGCATAGATGGCATAATGTAGCTGCTTAAGGTGTTCTTAATACTGCAAAAGCACTGCTGAGAACTGGTAGAATATTTTTTGTTTTGTGACTTGACGGCTGAATCAAAACACTAGATCATTCACTCATTGATCAAACATTTCTTGAGTAGGCACTATGTGCAAACTATAGTGCAAAGTGCCATTAGAAATACTAAGCTGACAAAGAATAGAGTAAGGCCTTTACACATATGGAGCAGACAGTCTTGAAGAGGGAATGACAGGAGATGGAGATGACCTGGCCTAAGAGGGTTACCCTTTTTGGTTCAAGGATATCCTGATTTAAGTTGTGTCCCCTTTATGTCCTACAAATATTCTTTTCCTTTCTATTCAGTAAAATGCCATTTTTCTTTCAAAGCCTTACTCTAATGTCACCTCTGAAGTGAAACCTTTGACTCTTGATATAAATGAATTATGTTCTCTCTGCGCTCCCATAGAATATACTATTTAAAAAATTAATCTAGCAATTTATTAGGTGGATCTGGACTCCTGTGACTTGTTAGTATATAATCATATGCAAAGTTGTCTGTGAAGATACTAAAAAATGTACAGTGTGATATCAAGAA
This sequence comes from Homo sapiens, assembly GCF_000001405.40. Lineage (NCBI taxonomy): Eukaryota > Metazoa > Chordata > Mammalia > Primates > Hominidae > Homo > Homo sapiens. Next base: position 94,071,252 of record NC_000011.10, read on the forward strand.
TCCTTTTTTATATTTAAGGGAATGTTTTAAAAATTCTCTTTGTGATCAATAAAACATCATTTGTTTCTTTAATTGTACATTTTATTCATTCATTCATTCATTCATTCATACTTTCACTCATTATTCTACCAAACGGATGCACTTGAACCCTGTCTAAAGAATTTGTGTGAACCATATGTGAAAGACTCTGATATCAACATTCTCTATTGACTAGTATTTCTCCATAAACAGAATAATGAGAATTAGCATTCAAAATTGTCTTAGGAGCCTTCTAGAATTCTGAAGTGCCTTCTGAAATAGGAAAGATTAAACTATATTCAATCAATGTTTAATGTGATATATGAAAGCACAAAGTGCAAGATGACATGAGGGATGCAAGGATATCTAAAGCAATAAAATGCAGAGGAAGAAGCTGGGTTCACAAGAGTAGAGAAGTAACTGCAAGTTACAAATAAAAGTGAGGTGAGTTGTCCTGGTAGTGAGTTATCTGGATGCTCAGAGAGAGCTAAGCTGGCCAGGGAACACATTATAGAGGAAGTGAGACTTAAGCAAAATCTTAAGGAGTGATAGAATTTATTTAACTGAATAGGGAAGAGAGGAATTTTAGATGGAGGGGTTGATGCAAAGCACCTGTGGCATGGGAGGAATGAACAGATGAGACTGCAGTAACAATTTGCATAGAAGAATGGGCACTGGCATGGAGAAATAGAGAATTGGGGTAAACGGGATATCAATTGCAGAGGTCCTTTAATCTTTTTGAACATTATTTGATTGGCAATTGGAAGCAATTGAAGATTTTGGAGCAGGTAAATAGCAATAACAATTGCCATTTTGGAGATTAATGTATTAAGTGAAAAAATAAGCACAGTCTTGGCCATTGAAAGTAATTTGTAATCACGGTCTTGGCCATTATGACCATTATGGCTTACTTTTGCACCAATCTAATAGTTGTGTGTCTATGCTGAGAAGAAAAGTGAATGAGCCAGTATCAGATAGAGGATGCAGTTCAGAGGTTCATATAATGGGCTCCACCCAGTGTGATTAGGGCATGAACTGGGGTCGTGGTAGTGGGAAGAAAGGAAAAGAAAAGATGCACAAGGAGGATAGAAAAGGAAGAGTGCCAAAAAATTTTACAAAGTAAGGATGAATGAGTTAAGGGAATGAAGCAGAAAAAGAAAATCTACGTGGCTGCAAGAGTGATGGCACCATTGATGGAAATAAGATAGTATAGAGACAGTATTAGTCAGAATTTATATTATCATATTCACGACTTGGAAATTTTGCATTTCATGCATATGGTTTATATGGTAGCCCTCCAATAATTACACTATTTGATTAACTAGACACTCCATTCCTTAATAATGCCAGAAATCAAAGAGCTTACTAGATGCAGAGAATATTCATATTAATATCAGCAAGAGAGAGAGGGATGCTTATTCTGCAGAGAAACCAGTTAGCTCTTTGTTACTTTGTAGAACACCATTCTGGAACTCTACTATTGGTAAATAAGGAGTTTACTTGTGACTGGTTCAGTGCTGGACCTCTTGGGAAGAAAGTACAATGGCTGAGAGAAATGAGCTTGAGTATCACCCAGCCTCTGAAGACTTTTAGGGCTGGTTAACTATTCCTGGGAACTCTGTCAAGGCCTGTGCTGTCTTTTCTGGGGACATGGGTGGGCGAGTGGACTAAAAGTGATAGAATGAAGTTCTATAATTAAAGTATTTGGTGGATATGTTGAGAAGTGTCCTCAATCACATTCCTATGTCTTTTCAGTGACTCTGATCTCTACTTCACACAAGGGGACAACAGAATAGGAGGAAAATACTGGAAGGTTCGGTATACTGAATTTGTTGATGCAACTTTTACTAAAAGAAAGAGACTCTCTGCTGAAGAAGCCCATCTTGGAATTCTTGGTACAGTAAAACCATCCCCCATGCATTGAACCCAGGGAGATGTTTTAGCTGGGCATGTACATCTGCACAGAATGACTCTTCTGCTTTACTTCTTTCTGTCTCTTTTCATTCTCTTCTCTCTCTTCTTCTGGATATTTTTTCAGGCCCAGTCATCAAGGCAGAGGTGGGTGATACCCTGTTAGTGACCTTTGCCAACAAAGCCGACAAGGTCTATAGCATTTTACCCCATGGTGTGATCTATGACAAGGCATCTGATGCAGCCCCAAACCTAGATGGTAAGTCTCACTCTGGGCTTAGGGAGGAAACAGGACGGGTGAGCAAAGCACTTAGAAATAAACAGTCCTGGTTCAAATCCTGGTCCTTTCCATTACCTGCCCTGAGAGCTTGGGCAATCACTTAAACTTTCTGAACCTGATTCTCTCCTGTCAAATGCAGATAACAATACTCACCTCACAGGGCTTTGGAAAGGGATGGAGAGAATTTAGGACAAGGTCTGGCCCATGGTAGGTTCTTAGGAAATGTTCATTTCTTTCTTTTTTTCTCAGCAATATAGTAAATCTCAAAAGTAAGCTACTTTCACAGTCACTTCTTTTTCTCTAAGATGGAGAGCTTTTCAGTTGCAGGTTGCATAGGATTCTGCAGGTGAAGGCTGAAGGGAAAATTTGATTTCTAATGGTTTGTTGACATCGAAATCTTACACATGGTCTTTGCTCTGTATCAAATCAACAAATATATTTATAAAAAACAGTAATGTGTGCTTATCATCTGATATGGCCTCTCCCCATCACAGAGTACATGGCATAGGTTCTCTAAATGTAAGAAAGGTAGCTGTTGCCCAGTGGCTGTGGGAACTCTAATCCATTCATGATACTGCTCTTGGGAAACTTCTAGTTCCTTGGTACTCATCCCTATTACTGCAGCAGACACCCTGGCTTCCTGGGATACTCTTCACACTCGAGTGTGATGCCAGGCCCAGTTGAGAACAGGTTTTGTGGTGATAGTGAGGGGACAGAAGAGAAAGGAATGGAAGAGAATTCCCTCTCCCTGGACCCATCCTCACCCTCTCTTGCTGCGGTAACAATTCCTAAAACCATCCTCTCCTCTTTGGTCAAAATACCAAAATGGCTGCGTGCAGTGGGTCATGCCTGTAAGCCCAGCAATTTGGAAGGCTGAGGCAAGAGGATCTCTTGAGGGAATTCAAGATTACAGTTATAATCATGCCACTGTACTACAGCCTGGGTGACATAGCAAGACCTTGTCTCTTAAAAAAATAAAAGAAAAAAATGCTCAGAATGACTGTGTGTGTGTGTGCAGAAAGAACACTAGAACTGACAAAATGTTTGTTAACTCAGCAAACATACTGGGCACCTTTTTGCAGAGCACTGGATAAAATGCAGAATGAGCCTCTGGCCTTGTCTAGTAGGAAAGAATCAATGTGTTTTTTGGCAGTACGGTGTAAGGGTTAAGTGCACAGTCTTTGGAATCAGACAAAAACTGAGTTTGAATCCCAGATTTGCTATATATCAATGTCATAACCTTGGGCATTCACTAAACTCCTCTATCTTGTAGTTATTTGGATGATTTCCAAGTTCAGTCTCCTATATTTCAAACTCTTTAAAGATAGGTTTCTTGCTTAATTCTTTTGGGTATCTTCTGCAAGACCAAGTGTAATATATTCTACATAGAAAGCATTCCAATGATATTTTATGAATTTTCACTTAACTGTTGAATGGGCCACTATCAGTCTTTTAATATTTGCTAAGGCTGGCATTTGAGCAAGAAATTGTATGGGATTTATGAAGAAGATAATCCTTTGATTTAAACTTTTATCTCATAAGCCAGCAGATTGTGGCAGTGGCCTCTTCTGGTAGGATACATAAGAGAAAACCACTCTCCTGGTACAAAATTCTTCATCATCAGAGGGAGGCACCCAGGGCTGGAAGACCCAGTCTGACCAATGTAATGTTCTTGCCTGTTGTTTTGAATAATTGTTTTGTTTATATCCTCAGGATTTGTGAAACCAGGGGCGCATGTTAAACCAGGTGAAACCTTCACATACAAGTGGACAGTGCCTGAGAGCGTAAGCCCAACTGCTGGTGATCCTCCCTGTCTGACCTATCTTTACTTCTCAGCAGTTGATCCAATTAAGGACACCAGCTCTGGCCTGGTAGGGCCTTTGCTAGTCTGTAAAAAGGGCGTCCTCAATGCTGATGGGACACAGGTAGGCCATTGAGTGTCACCAGTTCTTCTCAGGGTTGTATGTGGGAGAGATCCGCAAGAGCCAGAGACGAGACAGGAATAGTCAGTTACAAAAAGCAATTTGTCTTTCTTCCTCTTGAAGTAGATTTCTACATAATGGAGATTTTATTTGATTTTCTGGTGAAAATGTAAGATCTAAATTTATAGTTACAAATGCCCACTCAGGAACCTAGAATCTCTGCTTGTTGTGGTTAGGATTTGGCAGGCCTCTTTTTCTGTGTGCTGCTTTTATTACAGAATCTTTAGAGATCCACATGGAATGCTAATTGGAATTATTCTTCTTGGACAAGGTTTCTCAAATCAAAATTACTTGGGGACCATTTAAACATCCATTATTCAGATACTACAGACTAATTAAATCAGAATCTCCAGATGATTCCAATGTGCAGCCAACGTTGAGAACCACTGTGACCCACAACTGTAAAATGAAAGTTAATCACTATGGCTGAAGGAAAAAGAAAGCATTTAGATAACTTCTTGCAAGTCCCAACTTAGAGATTTGAATTGTTCAACTGATTAGTGTAGCGAAGCATAGCCTTTCAAGCTATGTCTACATGATATTAAACATATTAATGAAAAGAGAAAAACAGTCATTTAAGCATCTATTTTACCAATCAGAAATAGCAAGGACATTTATTTAAATGGTATATTTTATAATTTTTGGCATTGTGTGGCTCCACTTCTGGACTCAAAGGAATTTCCAGATTTAAAAAACACAAAATATCTTGATCCTATTTGGATTTTCCTTTCTCTACATGAAGGAACAATCCCGGAAATGTCTATTGCATGTGTTATAAGACTGAATGTTTATGCTGTGCCTCAACAAGCACACAAGGCAAAGCGGAATGATTATTCATATTTTAAAGCTGAAGAAACTAAGGCTCAGAGACATTGAGTAGAATTCCAGGAAATACACCTAGTAAGTAGTGAAAGTTGGCAGTAAAACACAGGACCTTGAACATCCAACTTTGTCCTTTTCCAATGCATCCTCTTGCTTCCTCGCAGCTAAATACCTAAGCCAAGGAGATGTAGTGCCAGAAAATGTTTGAAAGGTAGTGCTAATTTTGCCCCCGCTGTGTCCGTTTAATGGTACCTTTGAGGTTTGCTAGAAGCACCTCATAGTCTGTGGGAATTGTTGCCTAAGCCAAATACTATTCATGGTCAGTCCACTTACACAAAATTCATGAAAAAAAAAAAGTACCCTGAAACATCCTATACCTATAACTTGGCTGAGAGAGAAAACCATTTGGCCAGATGGAAAGGTATGTTCAATTCAAGAGTTACTTATGAAATACCTGCTATGTGCCAGGCCCTCTATAAGCAAAATGGTCAGTCTTCTTCTAGGCAGGTGGAGAGATGAAAATGGGAATAAGTGTTTGCGTCTCTTTCCAGTAAATTGTCATAAATTCTCCCAGTGGTGAATGGTCAGGTACAGAATGTCATTTACTAACACCCCTAGTCCTCCACACTAACCATTCAGTCAAACTCCCTACTCCCATTCTGTTTCTCTCTTTGAATCCACCTCTCTATAGATCTCACACTTTTTTGGAAATAATCTGACTTATGAAAAAGTAGAAAAAATTTACAAAGAATCTTCATGTACCCTTCACCCAGATTCATCAACATTTGATCTCATTTGCTTTATTATTATCTCTCTTTGTTTTTATGGGTTATTTTTCTGAACTGTTTGAGAGTAGGTTGTAGACATAATGTCTTTCAGTGTGTGTTTCCTAAAAACAAGGACCCTCTCTGACATAAACAAAGTAAAATTATCTGAGTCAGAAAATTAACGTTGACATTATCAAATCTACATACATTTTAAAATTTTGCCGATTGTCTCATTGATGTTCTTTATAGCAAAAGAAAAACATGTTTTTCCTGGTCCTGGGTCTGATCTAGGATCATGCATTGCATTGAGCTGTCTCCTCTTTCCCCCATGATTAATTTCTTTAAATTTTTTTTATTTTTAATTTTTGTGGGTACATAGAACTTGTATATATTTATGGAGTACACGAGATGTTTTGGTACAGGCATGCAATGCATAATAACCACATCATGGAGAATGGGGTATTCATCCCCTCAAGCATTTATCCTTTGTGTTACAAATAATCCATTTATATTCTTTTAGTTATTTTCAAATGTACAATTAAGGTGACTATAGTCACCCTCCCCATGATTAATTTTATCACAGGGCACCAGGCATGATTTTTCTAAAGTGCAAATGAGATCAAGTCACTTTCCTGTTCAACACTTCCAGTGGTTTCCTGTCACACTTAAAACAAAAATCAACACTATTTAGACATGCCCCAGCCTCTTGTTCCCACAAGTGGGCACCACGCTCCCTCATGCCCACTTATGCTCCATCCACATTCTGTTCCTCTCTCAGGCCAAGCTTGTCTTTGGCTTTGGGCCTCTGTACCAGGCTCCTTATGCCTGGAATGTCATCCCCTGACCTTTGCGTGGCTAGTTCTTCTTGTCACTCCTCAGAGAAGCCTTCTCTGATCACCAGGCTAAGGTCACTTTCTTTTATATCACCTGATTTTACTATCACTTACCACCATAAGACAGTTTCCTTGTTTATTTATTTGCTTATGTGTATAGTATGTTTCCTCCTACAAGAAGATAAGTGCAATGGAGCAAGGACCTTGCCTATCTTATCTTCCTTTCCCAGAACAATGCATGGCACATTGTTGACATGCAACAAATATTTCTGGTTGGATAAATGCAATACAGGGTAAGTACTCTTATCCCCAAGGTTAAGAAGTTTAGTTAGCAGAAAATGCCATATTACACACATCTTAAACATTGTGTGGCCTGCAAACAAACACTGAAAATTCCAGTGCAACCTCATTTAGAAAACTCATTTTCCTTATCCACATTTCAATACTCAGAGTTGTGTAATGGGTTATGGTTTAGACCTCTCACCTTTCTTCCCTGCTGCTGTGGGAGCCTACTATGTACTAACATATACTGTTCACAAAATAGCTGTGTGCTGCAGACACCAGCCACTACTCAGATGTTCCATATATATATATATATATATATATATATATGGAGAAAGAGACACACAGAGAGATATTTATTATGAGGAATTGGCTCATATGATTATGGAGACTGATAGATCTCAGCACCTGCAGGCTGAGTCAACAGGCAGAAGACCCAGGAGAGCCAATGGGGTGGCTCCAGTTAGAAAGCTGACAGGCTCGAGAACCAGGAAGAGCCAACATTTTAGTTTAAGCATGAAGGCAAAAAGAAGCCAATGTCCTAGTTCAAGGACAGTCAGGTGGGAGAAATTCCCTCTTATTTAGAGGAAGGTGAGCCTTTTGGTTCTTTCTATTCAGGCCTTCAACCAATTGGATGGGGTACACTCATGTCGGGAAGTACAATCAGTTTTATTCAGTCTACTGATTCAATTGTTAATCTCATCCAAAAACATCCTTTCAGAAACATCCAGGATAATGTGTGAGCAAAAATCTGGGCACACTGTGGCCCAGTTAAGTTATTCATAAATTCACCATCACTCAGGGTTCTGTCACCTTCCTTCTAATGTTTTCTTGGGCTAACTTCCCACCCTCATTAAACCCAGTTACCCTCCAAATACCTGTCAAGCAATGAGGTTCTTCAATGCAACTCCTTTCAATTGTTCATTCTTCTACTATGGATGATTGCAGTCTCACCTAATAATAACAGCACTGAGTGCTTAATATTTGTCAGTTGTTGCGTTGAGTGCTTTAGCTAAGTCATCTCATTTAATCTTCACAAAAAACATGATGTGGGGACTCCTATTACCCTCACGTTGCAAGTGAGGGAATTAGGGCTTAGAGAGGATAAATCACTTGCTCCAGGCTTCACAGTGGGTGAACAGAAGAATAGCATTAGAACCTAGGTTTTTCTGTTCACATAGCCCATGATCTTTTAAAATATATTTTGATCCTTTATGTTCTTCCAATTTTTAATATTTTATTCTGAAAAATTTCAAGTCTTCATTGTTTTCTTCTGTAGCTCAAGCTTTTATACCACTGCCTTCTAAAGCATCATGTAATTAAGGAAATAACTATATATAAGGAATAGTAGGCGCAAGGAGTACTCACCTCGTTGATGAGGAGTTAGGAAAGCATCACAGAAGTGGGCAGCTAAGCAGAACCATGAGGTTGCTTAGTGGTTTGCAAGAGAAAAGAGTGGCAGACTATCAAAGCTGAGGGAATACATGCATGAAGGACAGAGGGATGCAGAACACAGCAAGTGCAGAGGGTGACAAGGAGCTTGGCCTTGCTTCAAAGTGCCAGGAGGAAAGAGTCAAGAGATGAGGCTGAACAGGTAGGCAGGAACCGGAATACCATTAGATGAGACTGTATTGTCCAACATAAGGAGAGAGATATGGTCAGATGACATTGCTGAGGGTCCCTCCAGAGCATGCAGCAGGATGAAGGTGGCTTGGGTGGGGAGCATGTTAGAGACAGGAAAGCATTGAGGGATAGAAAGGATGGTCACCTCCATTCTTCACAGAATTAGAAACAACAACTTTAAAATTCATATGGAACCAAAAAGGAGCCCATATAGCCAAGGCAATCCTAAGCAAAAGGAACAAAGCTAGAAGCATCATACTACCCGACTTCAAACTATACAACAAGGCTACAGTAACCAAAACAGCATTGTACTGATACAAAGTCAGACACATAGAGCAATTGAGCAAAATAGAGAACTCAGAAATAAGACAGCACATCTACAACCATCTGATCTTTGACAAACCTGACAAAAACAAACAGTGGGGAAAGGATTCCCTATTTAATAAGTGATGCTGGGAGAACTGGCTAGCCATATGCAGAAAATTGAAACTGGACCCCCTTCCTTACACCTTATACAAAAATTAACTCAAGATGGATTAAAGACTTATGTGTAAAACCCAAAACTATAAAAACCCTAGAAGAAAATCTAGGCAATACCATTCAGGCCATAGGCACAGGCAAAGATTTCATGATGAAAATGTCAAAAGCAATTGCAACAAAAGCAAAGTGTGACAAATGGGTTCTAATTAAACTAAAGAGCTTCTGCACAGCAAAATAAACCATCATCAGAGTGAACAGACAACCTGGAGAGTTGGAGGACATCTTTGCAATCTATCCATCTGATGAAGGTCTAATATCCAGAATCTACAAGGAACTTAAACAAATTTAAAAGAAGAAAAACTCATTAAAAAGTGGGCAAAAGACGTGAACAGACACTTCTCAAAAGAAGACATCTATGCAGCCAATAAACCTATGAAAAGAAGCTCAACTTAACTGATCATTAGAGAAATGCAAATGAAAACCACAATGAGATACCATCTCACGCTATTCAGAATGGCAATTATTAAAAAGTCGAGAAATGGCAGATGCTGGCAAGGCTGTGGAGAAATAGGAACACTTTTACACTGTTGGTGGGAATGTAAATTAGTTCAACCATTGTGGAAGACAGTATGGTGATTCCTCAAAGACCTAGAACCAGAAATACCATTTGACCCAGCAGTTCCATTACTGGGCATATACCAAAAGGAATATAAATCATTCTATCACAAAGATACATGCATGTATGTGTTCATTGCAGCACTACTCACAACAGCAAAGACATGGAATCAACTGAAAAGCCCATGTCTTTTGACAGGCTGGATAAACAAATTGTGGTACACGTACACCATGGAATATCATGCAGCCATAAAAACGAATGAGATCATGTCCTTTGCAGGGACATGGATGGCACTTGAAGCCATTATCTTCGGCAAACTAAAGCAGGAACAGGAAACCAAACAATGCATGTTCTCACTTATAAGTGGGAGCTGAACAATGAGAACACATGGACACAGGGAGGGGAACAACACACACTGCGGCTTGTGGTGGTAGGGGTGGAGGGAGGAAGAGCATCAAGATAAATAGCTAATGCATGCTGTGCTTAATACCTAGGTGACAGGTTGATAGGTGTAGCAAACCACCATGGCACATGTTTACCTATGTAACAAATCTGCGCAGACTGCACCTGTATCCCAAAATTTTAAATTAAATTGAAAAGAAAACATAGTCATCTCTCTGGTCAGTTCTAAAGGAAAGCATACTGCAGCGATCTGTGATGCTGTGTGATCAGATAGGCTCAAATAGACTGATTAGGAATACATGCTGTGGGAAGTCATATCCATTGTCCCCTCACTATCCACTCAAGTTAACATAATTTAGCTAAGTCTCGTCAGTTATATGAATTCATTATTTCACTCAAAAATGTATACTTGATGCCTGCTTTTCCAGGCATTTTTCTTGGTGATGCAGGTACAGAGAGGAATCCAAAGTGTTCCTATCCTCATGAAACTCACATTGCAGTAGGAAAAAGTTAAAAAAAATAACTTCATAAATAAAATAGTTTCAGGTGGAGATAAGTGCTGTGAAGAATAAAATAGGGTAAAGTGAGTGAGTTTCTGGGCAGAAGATGGAGATAAGTTTAGAAGGATGGTTAGGGAAGACCACTCTGAGGAAATGACATGCAGAAAAGTGAATTGAGGAAGGGAGTTCTTCAATTCATGTTCCACAACACATGGAAAGACCCTGAGGCAGGAATGAGGTTGGTGTGTTCGTGGAAGGGCAAAAGGCCAGGGTGTCTGGAGCAAGCTAGGAGGTGAGTACAGGGAAATGAAGTCAGAGAGAGAAGCTGGGCCAGGGCTGGCAGGTCAGGGTAAGGAGAAAAAGTCCTTGAGGACCAGCCTGGCAACAGAGGCCAAAAGAGTAGAAAGCCTTCTAAGCAGGGGCTGATTTCCTTGGAGGACGGATGTAACAAGAAAGACAAATTTTCTGAGTGGGGAATAAATTCATCAGAGCAACATTCAGTATCTTTATTTAAAAATGACCTGCGAACTCTTGGGCTGATGTTGATCTGCCCTGACTTATTAATATTTTGTGTGAACTTTGAAGGAAAGCAATTCTGTGAATTCCTCCAAGCTGTACCTTTTATGTATTCATTTCTTTCTTCTCTGTAGAAAGGAATAGACAAGGAGTTTTACCTACTGTTCACAGTCTTTGATGAGAATCTGAGCAGATATTTTGATGAAAACATTCAGAAGTTTATCTGGCATCCCTTCAGCATTGACAAAGAAGATAAAGAGTTTGTGAAATCCAACCGAATGCATGGTATGACAAATGACATTCCCGCCTGTAAATGAAAGGCTGACTTGCATTAGAAGTGAAAATGATTGGTGTGTTTGAATTATATTAATTTTGGTTTCTTGGATATTGTTCTTGGTCATGAGTAAGTTATTTCATGCCTTCAGCTTTAGATGGTATGGTGAAACCTCCCTATCTCTCAGAGATGTGAAATTTAATACTTCTAGAGCACTTTATCAGCCTTAGATGAAGGAACACAAATTTTAAACTAGCGGCCAGGCACAGTGGCTAACACCTGTAATCCCAGCACTTTGGGAGGCTGAGGTGGGCAGATCACGAGGTCAGGAGACCAGCCTGGCCAATATGGTGAAACCCCGTCTCTACTAAAAATACAAAACTTAGCTGGGCATGGTGGTGCGTGCCTATATTCCCAGCTACTCAGGAGGCTGAGGCAGGAGAATTGCTTGAACCCGGAGGTGGAGGTTGCAGTGAGCCAAGTTCGTGCCACTGCACAGCCTGGGCGACAGAGTGAGACTCCGTCTAAAAAAAAAAAAAAAAATTTAAACTAGCCAAGTTCACAGTATATCATAAATGTAGAAAATTACTGACAAACTACTCTCCCTTGGGTTCACAATAACATTAAGTCTGAAAACCAAAGTGACAATAGGAGATAATCATTACATAGCAAAGTGTCTATAATTAAGTAGTATGAATGATTTAATTAAGTAGTATGAGTGACTGGTGAATGTTAATTTGTGAAACACTAGCTGTTCCTATCCCAGATCTTCATTTGAGAGGAATTACTTAATTCTCTCTCCCTGTCTCTTTGTATCAAGTGTTACAATAGCAAACCACCTGCTAATTGCTTGTGAGTAACACAGGATGTCATTACTCTTAGGCATATTACCTAAGGTAGCAGAGTAATGAGAGTCCAAACTCAATGCCTGCAAGAGTGTGCAGTCAATAAAAGTGCCCGAAGCAAGTAACGTAAGACAACAGGTGCTAACCTGCTTGTTTTAGGACCCAGCATAAAATCTATTTATTGCCTTTTAAAGCATTATGGAAGAATAACAAAATAGCCCTTAACCTCCCTTCCTTGCATGGAAGTAAAAAATAGTCCAAGGTTACAAGTGCCCCATGGCAACCAGGTCACAGACCCTATGGTCCCAGATGCTCATTTCCAACAGAGTCCCCTCTTGTGCCAATGGAAAGCATGGAGTAGTACATTTCAGTGTCATCTTCTACAAAAGGTTTTGCTGTAACTGAATATGAATATTGTTTCCAAACTTCTTAGTAGACAATATAAAGGGGAAATTAAGGTGGAAATAAGGAAATATAGCAGTTTCTTGGTGGAGAAACTAAATTGTAAAAGAAATTTATCATCAAAGAGGTTGGTCTTCATTTAAAAAGATAATAAACAACTGAATGAACTACATCAAATCCAGCCCCACCCTATTTTGGCAATGTGAAACTACTTTCATATTTAGAAATACAATATATAGTCCAGGCACTGTGGCTCATGCCTGTAATCCCAGCACTTTGGGAGGTCAAGGTGGGAGGATCACTTGCATCCAGGAGTTCAAGACCAGCCTGGGCAACTTAGTGAGACCCCATCTCTACAGAAAATACAAAATTAGCCAGGTATGGTGGTGTGCACCTGTAGTCCCAGCTGCTACTCAGGAGGCTGAGGTAGGAGGTAGGAGGATCTCTTCAGCCCGGGAGGTTGAGGCTGAAGTAAGCATAATGGCTCCACTGCACTCCAGCCTGGGCAACAGGGTAAGACCCTCTCTCTGTTTAAATAAATAAATAAATAAATAAATAAATAAATAAATAAATATATAAATACAGGATATATCATTGTTAAAACAAAGTTCAAGGCAAATAATGCATCTTAATTCAAATGTCACATTAATTATAAACTAAGTTCTAGCTTCAGTCTTGCTTGCAGGGAGTGGAAGGAAGACAGCAACAAAGCCAAAAAGAAAGGGCCTGACATGGTGCACAATGCTTTGTGTTGTGTTTATTATATAGTCTGTATTCAAAATATGTTTATTGAAAGAAAGAATGGATGAGTGACTGTTGTAGAAAGAGAGGCTTTAAACAAGCATTCCAAGGCAAGAGAAGATTCTCTACCAGCCAGCCAAGGACTGAATTTATTAGCACCTTGATTTATACTCAGATTTCATTAACATTTGATGGACAAGATTTAGATCATTTATTTGCAAAGACATTATCAAAGATTTTTTTTTCATAAAATGTGGTGTCCTTCTCAGAAGTGCCAGAATTTCTTGGAATTTCTACCAATAATCCCAGATCTGAGTACAATTACCAAGCACCACTGGTTTTGCAGACACAGAAATATTAGGATAGTACAAAAGTAATTGCGGTTTTTGCAATTACTTTCAATGGCAAAAACTGCAATCACTTTTGCACCAACCTAACAAAAAGTAATTTTATTTGACAATGGGATTATAACAGAAGGTCACTCATGTGCATGATAATAGTTCCTTCCTGCTATAGGCTTAGTAGAGAGCAGGAGGGGGGTAGAAATATTTATTTCTCCAAGAAACATCAAGCATGAGACACAATTATGTGCATTTACCAGTCAGACATTGCGTTATATCATGGCTTTCATCCCCATGGGGTGAGAATGCGGTTTCTAAATTCTTGTCAAGGCACTTTTTCAGATAGCCACTATCAATGGATTGGGGTTGATGTCAAAGATAAAAACAATTTGCCACTCTGGAAGCACAGAGGGTCTTCATATCTAACTAATCATTATTTATTAATAAAGTCCCTCCAGTAATTGTACTGGGGTAAGGAAGTACGAGTTATCATAAAGCAAATTTATTTACTCAAAGACTAACCTCATATAAGCTTAAGTACCCCCTAAAAAACAATCCTTCTCCACTAACTGCATATGCACATATACTGTCAATTGATTTAAAAATCTTTCAAATAATGCTGAATCCATGTAATCAGTAAAAGCATGTCTGATAACTTCTAGAATCAAATGCAAAGCCCACTGGCAAATGAGGGTCTTGTAGAATTCAATGAATTAATAACTGAGGAAGAGACATTTAACAAGGGAGATCATAGGAAAATAACCACAAAAGAAAAAGATTTTCATATCGAGAGCCTTAGAGAAGAGTATGGGGAAATTATTTCATAAACAATCTGATTTATCCCTTAGTCATTCTTAGAATTAGTGTCCTTGCATATGTGTTGTTAAAGATAACATTTAAATAATTTCCTTATATTTTCATTATTCATTGTTAATTTTGGTCTCCATTTTAAGTGGATTCACCATGTGGCTTTTCCCTGGTACTGTTTATTCTCTGAAAACAAGGATCTTTTGTAAACAGTTTACATATTTGAAGCTCCCCTGCCCCATACACACTGATAATTTTTCACCGTCTTTCTTCTTCCATTTAGCTGTTAACGGCTACATGTATGGCAACCAGCCAGGCTTAAACATGTGTAAAAGGGATAGAGTTTCCTGGCATCTGATTGGATTGGGCACTGACACTGACATGCATGGAATTGTTTTTCAAGGGAACACCATCCACCTACGAGGGACTCACCGAGACTCCCTGGCCCTGTTTCCCCACATGGCCACAACAGCATTCATGCAGCCAGACCATGCAGGTAAACTTGCTGGGTCCATCTCAGGTGACCAGATTTCTACCTTCAGGCTCATCCTCTTAGAGTTCTCCCACAGAAGAAATTGGTAGACTTTGTGCACTTCAAGTGGTGTAGAAATAGATATAGTCTTGATTAGAATCAGAGAATCCTGACTTATTAGTCCAAACACATAGTATAAGGGACAAAGGGGAAATATCTAAAATAGCATCCACAAAACAGAAGTGGGAGCCTTCTAAAGTCTTTGGTGCATAAATCCTAGGAGAATGTTTTTGATTCACAGTCCATAAAAATTCAGCCCTGATAAAGTGGATATGTTTTGCTCTCATTGAGCATGAACATAATTTCAGTTGCTTCTCTGAAGCATCTACCAGGCATGGACATCCCAGTGGATGCTTCCAGATTACAGATGTAGCCATAACTGCAGCCTGGTCTCTCTTCTGTAGGTACTGATAACAGCCTTTTGATTGGGGGAATTCTCTGTTTTCATTCTGTTGGGCACCCTTGGTTTCCCAACAGGGCAAGCTGCATTGGATCTGGAATTTATGGAGACCCCTGTATAATGCCAGTACCTGGAACTTCTTCTCTTAGAGATTCCAAGCTAATGAGATAATTGGGGCGTTTTCATAAAAGATCTAGAGCAACACGTGGTAGCACATGCTAATCACTGCATGAAAAGTGAGGAGAACAAGCCCTATAGACATTGAACATGTTTTTCCAAACCAATTTTTTCATCAGTCTTAACAAGAAACCAATATGCTACCTAAGATGAGTACTTGCTGTTTACTAATGGATGTTCTACTTCTTTGCTTTCCACTGGAACTGCAGTTTAGATGTCTCTGTGTCATCAATTAAGAACTTGAGGCTTGGGCTTCAAAATCTTTGCCTAAGGACTGCCTGAGACTAGGAGCTCCATAGTCTTTTCTATGTGAACTTTTCCTAGTGTCCAGTCTCTGTACATTAGTATAGTTGATCAATTATGAATTACTCAAATCAAGAGATGCCTTGGACACAACTTTTTTTTTTAATACGCTCTTCAAGACCAAAGAGAGGAGGGGATTGGGAAATAGCCAAATCATTTTAATTCATAGAAATAGGCACTCAAAGTTAGAGCTGCCCAGAATAATTTTAGAAATGGAGCTACTTATTCTAGTGCTTTGATCATTACTCCATGTGTCCTATACATTTCTAAAGAGCTTCACAACAGTGTTTTCCAGTTTATGTTTGGTGATAAGCATAAATCTGTGACTGCTTAAAAGCTTAGTCATTTCACCAATTCCTGTCCCTTACCTATAAGTCAAGAAGGAGGGTGCTCAAGAGTGGGTAGAGTAGACTATATGCTGCAACTCAAACATTTCCATGTTCTTCTATTATTATTATCATTATTATTAGTTTTGTTTTCTTCTTCATGCTACCTTGTCTAAGATCCTCTTTGTTCTTAGAGGAGACAATTCCTCAACTATTGAAGTGCCATGATCAATACATAAAAAATAGGCTTCCTGGAAAAAACAAATGTAGGGGACAGTCTTTCCAAGTCTGTCTTCAAAGGTATCTTCTCTGTGGTTTCATATAAAGACCCTTCCTCATGTGTCCTCATCAGTGCCTGGGTGTGCTTGGTACCCATTGAATCAACCCATTGAATTTTTGCTCATCTAAAAGGAGTAACTAGGCGATGTTTAGACAACAGAGTTACATGTATAGCAAGATAGAGGATACCTCTGTACATTGTAGAAGGTTAATGAAAGGTACACTCATCCCTCACCTCTAAAAACAGAGGCTACTAGAGAAAGGGGAGAAAGATTTATTGATCCAATATTTTCATTGAGAGTTAATATCTTCAATAATTTTATCTGTCTTATGTGATTTTATGGTGAGTTAAGAAATATCTATCTGATGCCAATGCATCTAGAAAATTCAATCTAAAAATTACATAATTTTTGACAGACAGGATTGTCAGTATTATGTAGAAAAATCTAATTGATTGTTTTTCTGTTTTCTGTTTCCTTTTCATTTAGCATAATGTAGACCTATCATTGGAAATGAGAAACTTCTTTGCTCAAGGGCTTAATGAAGTAATACATTTGGCTTTAATAATAATAACACTTACATATTTATTGCACTTTAGAATTTATGAAATCCTTTAGGGCAAAATACTCATCAGAAATATGGCTTAATTTGAACCTTGTCTAGGATAATCATCTTACAGGTAATTAGTTCTTTTTAAACTGGGCTGGACTAAGACAGTCATTGGTGATTTTCCAGGACAGACTGTCTTCTAATAGGTGTGAATTATATGGGAGACCCAGAAAAGTCATTTCTTGGTAGCAATATTGTAAGTTTCTTTTTTTATAACAAATGAATTTTGGACAGTATCTTTCTCTCCACAGAAGTAAATATATTCAAAGTAATCTATACCCCCTGGGGTCTGATTTTAAACTACTAGACAACTGGTATTTTAAAAATCCACCTAACTGGTTATTTTGTAATAAAATATGCAGGTTTGCTAAAAACAGACCATCACCAACAAAAATACCGAGCACCACACTCAATGCCGAGCCATTTCTCTTGCAGGTATTTTTAGGGTGTTTTGTGCCACCATGCCCCACCTCTCGAGAGGCATGGGTCAGATCTATGAGGTCAGCAGCTGTGACAACAGGGACCCTTCTGAGCAGCGGTACGGGATGATAAGAACTTTTTACATCGCCGCTGAAGAAGTAGAATGGGATTATGCCCCTAACAAAAACTGGGAGTTCGAAAAGCAGCACGTGGACGCAAGAGGGGAAAGGTACCACAGGCGCCGCCGCTAGGGCTCCTCGGTGGGATCGCGCATGCTCCGTAGGTCTTTAGTAAGTGTGGCTCCCTGCAAATTCCCAGGTTGTGTCTCCACAGTTCCGGCCGACAGAGACTTTTACTTATGTGCACAGATTAGGGAAGCTGCCCACCTCGGCCTCCGGAAGGCAGCGTGCGGTGTCTCGCAGGCCCTCGGCGGGCTCTGCTGGGTGGTCATGGGATGCAGGGCGTGCCTGGGAGTGCGTGTGCAGGGTGAAAAGGCTGAGGGAAAGAGGCAGATCACATGGTTATAGTGGGGCTGGGAAGACAAAAAGGGCCAGAGAAGGCAGAGAGGGTGTATGATGTGGGGTGAGAGGATGGGCTGCTGTGGATGCAGGACCTCAGGAAAGGTTGAGGCTGAGCCACTGGCAGAGCGCTGCTCTAAGTGGGGGACCACCAAGGAGGGACAGGAGGCCATTGCCTTGTAAGAGACTCCGGGATCGGGGTAGGAAGAACAGGTTTCTCTACTAGGCCCTGTGCCCAGAAAGTCTGCAAGACTGGCCCTCCCTTAACAGTGCTGTTGGCCAGTGATGCATGCCCAAGACTCAGCAGCTCTCAGGCCGCCAGCAGCCTTGTAAGCATTGCTCCTCCAGGGCGCTAAGCCCAGAGTCCAGGAACCAAGATCCCTAGGGTGCACTGGGATGGAGTTAAACAAGGGAGAAGGCAGGCGCAGACCACAGACCTCCTCCCCCAGGGCTAATCCCCTCCCTCCACAGCAACCCACTGCCTGGTATTACTGTTCTGATATGCAGATGAGGAAACTTGGACGCAAAGAGTTAAGGCGCCCAACTAGACATTGGCAGAGTTAGAACTGAACATAGATCTTTTGAAAGACAAATAAATCCACGTTCTCTCCGGCACACTACATTGTCCCTCCTGGCCCAGTTCCTCTTTGTTCTTTATTGCCACCTACCCTCGCCCCCTGCCACCATACTCCCCTCCCCTCACCTCATAGACATCCTCCGTGGCTGCGAGACAAACACGACATGCTACTGTTCCTATCTTAACACAAGTATTTCTTTTCTTATTTATTGGCCTTTGTTTTGAGGGGCTGTACTTATGGAAAAGAGATTATAATGGTTCTACCTTCTGGATACTTTTTTTTTTAAGATTTCCCTTAAGAACAGGAGAATTTTAAATCCATTCAATTACTCACTAACCTATTTGTTAGGCCAAACACCTGTATTCTGCAAAACTAGTGCTGCCAATACAAGCTGAAGACTGGTGCTGGTACAGTGGAAAATGAAATGAATTCCAATCTGGCCCTTTCTAAAATGATTATTTCATTAAAAGGCTACCATAACTAAAGAAATAATTGTATAATAACTTTGTCATGTGTACAAT
Organism: Homo sapiens; assembly: GCF_000001405.40. Lineage (NCBI taxonomy): Eukaryota > Metazoa > Chordata > Mammalia > Primates > Hominidae > Homo > Homo sapiens. Next base: position 94,090,357 of record NC_000011.10, read on the forward strand.
CTTAGCCCATGAATGTATAAAAATATAGCCTTTATGATGTTCATACAACTAATATGAACTCCTACTTTAAGTCTCCATCCCACGGGGCTAGCAGGAAGGTCTAGCTTCAGTCTTCTGAGACTCCCTCCCAAGTGACATAAGGAGATAAAATGTGCTGGTGGGGAAGGGGGTGCAATGCCATAATTACACCTTCCCCTGTCACTCTGATTCTTGCCCATACATAGATGAAAGCAAAGTGAGATAAGGACAAGTTCACATGTTCAAAGTTTAACAAATGCTGTAGATAACAATTCAGTATGGAATTGAAATGGCAGTTCTCTTAGGGCACATCTGAGGCATGTCTGTAGATAAGAGCCCAGTGACACATACCCCTTCTGCACCCTAGTTTCTATGTGTCTGCCCTTTGTCCCATGGCCATGGTAGGAGCCCATCTGGTTTTTGAACCATTTGTGGGTACAGGCTATCCCTGAGACATTTATTATCCTGGTCAGCACAGGCCCTCTGCCCCACCTTGGGACCTAGAAGTCTTTCTTTGGGGCTTCCTAAAACATGCTGGGAAGGTCTCAGCATCCCAGAAAGCCAACAAATGGGACCATCGGTACAATGTCCAGGGGAAGTTTATGCAGTGGGAGGAAATTTGAAAACAGAAATTAAGTTGCTATGAAAAAATAAAGTTGTATTCCTAGTACTCCTGAGCTTGTAGACTGATAGGTGTGTGATTTAGTCATCCTGAGATTCTCCACAATAAACCACTGCCTATTGAGCAGCTACTGTGGACCAGGCATTCTGCTAGGGATTTTACAAACCTTATCTGACATAACCCTTACAACACACCTGACCTACTCCACCAGTTTTTGCTCAGCATCTCTTGCACCATTCTCACAAGATGATGAAAAAGCAAGTGCTTATATAGTGCTGAACATGGGCCTGACATGTGCTTTACAGATACTGACTCACATGACCCTCATATCAATTCCATGAGGTAGAGGAATTATTATCAGCCTGGTTTGCAGTGGAGAAAGCTGGGAAACGGTGGAATGTGGCTACAGGTTCTGCACTGGTCACTACCACATGTAACTGGGTCTCCTGAAAAATGAAAGTAGAAGAAAAGTTCTCTTCCCTTGGAAATCATACAGTCTAGGGTGGAAGTATACATGCATTTATTAAATACCTACTATATGCTAGACATTGTGCAATGTGCTGGTGAAACAGTATGGAGGATAGACAAGGTCCTTTCCCACACAGAATTCCTGGTCCATGGTAAGACTTTAGAACAAGTATGTTCTATGAGAGGGGAAGGGTAGAGTGCAACAGGAGATATGGCAGAAGCACACAGCCCTGTCTTGAGGAAAGGTAGGGAGAAGGTTGGTAGTCGGCGGGGGCTTCTGGGAGGAAGTAGTCTTTGAGTTGGGACATGAAGAGTAGTCCACTTGAAGAGGAAGGAAGCATGTTCGTGGCAGAGGGAACAACCTGTGTAAAGGCCTGGAGGTGAGGGAGAGCACATCATGTTCAAGAGAGTGAATGTTTAGAATGACCAGAACATAGAGCCTAGGGGCTAGTGATGGGAAATGAGGCTCAGGAGGTGGCAAAAGCAGACAGTGAGGCTTGAGAGCCAAATTGAGGAGTTTGGCAGTGGGAAATCATAAAAAGGCTTAACATCAACGTTGTTAAATGTATAGCTTAGGATCCCTCTGCCTGCAGTGTGTGAATAGAGGGCAAAGAGGAGTACAGGTGGCAGGGAAAATGATTAGGAACAATTCCACCCAACCTAGGTAAGTATTACAAGTGGCTGAGATAAGAATGAAAGCTCCCTCAATGGAAGGGGTGGGTCTCACTGTATTTTAGAGATAAAATTAAAAGATTTTAAAAATCTGTCTTTTGTGATGATCTGCCTTGGTAATAGATGAAATGTACTATACATGTAAGGTACGTATACAGTCTATCCTCGTTATTTGTAGATTCTGCTTTTGCAAATTTGCCTACTTGCTAAAATTTATTTTTAACCCCAAAATCAATTCCTGTGACATTTTTGTGGTCATTTGCAGGTACATGTAGAGTGGCAAAAAATTTACGTTGCTTGATGCACACATTTTCAGCTGAGGTCAAACAAGGAGTCTCTCTGCCTTCTTGTTTCAGCTCTCATACTGTAAACAAATGTCCTTGTTTTCAGATTATTTAGTGCCATCGTTTTTGCACTTGTGTGCTTTATGTTGGTGCTTTCACTGTTTAAAATGCCCCCTTAAACAGAGTTTTGAAGCAGTGTCCTCAGTGTAAGAAGCCTCTGATGTGCCTTATACATGTGAGAGGGGCTTTGTTCCTGCATGAGTTACAGTGCTGTTGGCTGTTGAGCTCAGTGTTAATGAGCTCAACAGTGTTAATGCTGTTGAGCTCAGCAATATATATTAAATAAAGTGTGTTTAAAAAGAAACAGACATAAAACAAGGTTATATATTGATCTGTTGATGAAAATATTGTGACCAGAGGTTTGCAGGAACCTAACCCTATATTTTCCCTAGGAACAATGGTTCAGTCTTTATTAGTCCAGTTATCACAATGACTTTCTAGAACATAACTAGGGTGAATAACAAGTATCAACTGTATCTATCTATATTTGTATATGGATGTATACACAATACATGACTATGGTCCTTCTTGAGATCCTTCAAAGTGGAAAAGCATTACCATGTACAGAAAGATGCATATGAAATCTGGAGAAACTCAGGGTGGTAGAGGGTGGACGTGTATGTGTGTGTGTGTGTGTGTGTGTGTGTGTGATGACACACACATGAAGATGCAAGTGTGTAAGGTTAGATGGTCCCAGAAGAGAGGCGCAACCTCAAAGGATACTTAGGAGTCTCTGAGGTTGGCCCTACTCAGTGCTTAGCAGAAGATTACAACCGTGATTTCCAAGGGTGGGCCATGGACTGGTGCTGGGCTGCCCATATCAGAACTGAAGGAGCTTTAAAGTGCAGATGCCTGGCCTCACTCCCAGAAAGTATGGTGCAAAAGGCCTGCTCCCCAGGGAGCACTTGATCACAGCCAGGTTTGGGGAGCACTTCTCCAGAATACCCCTGAATCACTTAGAAGCGCTCAAAGCTTTTCTGCTTTCTGACAACTTTAATTTCTGATGCTTCTGATTTGCAGACATGGAGATATATTTATGAACCGCACTGAAAATTGGATTGGCTCTCAGTACAAGAAGGTGGTTTACAGGGAATATACGGATGGAGAATTTGTGGAGATCAAAGCCCGACCACCACGAGAGGAGCACTTAGAACTCCTGGGTATGGCACAGATTTCAGGCGTGCACTGTCAGCCCCAAGCATGTGCATGCACACATACTCATGTGTTCTGTTACACTTGTGGCTAAGAAAGGATAGAAGAAACAGAGTAGCTTGACTGCATTCCTCCAAGTGTAATATCTTCCTGCTCTACCATTATCAGGGAGTGTGCTGAGTGCTCAACTCATACAAAAACTAGTCATAATAGGACTACCAGATAATACACAAATAGGAATCCATGACATCAGGGCAGTCTAACTGGTGTATGATACCCTAAAGCTTCTTTCCAACCCCTATACTGAGCCAGGAAATTTTCTTTTAAATCCTCCAGCAGATATATATATATATATATATATATATATATATATATATATATAAAACTTTAAGTTCTAGGGTACATGTGCACCACCTGCAGGTTTGTTACATATGTATACATGTGCCATGTTGGTGTGCTGCACCCATTAACTCATCATTTACATTAGGTATATCTCCTAATGCTATCCCTCACCCCTGCCCCTACCCCACGACAGGCCCTGGTGTGTGATGTTCCCCTTCCTGTGTCCAAATGTTCTCATTGTTCAATTTCCATCTATGAGTGAGAACATGTGGTGTTTGGTTTTTTGTCCTTGCGATAGTTTGCTGAGAATGATGGTTTCCAGCTTCATCTATGTCCCTACAAAGGACATGAACTCATCATTTTTTATGGCTGCATAGTATTCCATGGTGTATATGTGCCACATTTTCTTAATCCAGTCTATCATTGTTGGACATTTGGGTTGGTTCCAAGTCTTTGCTATTGTGAATAGTGCCACAATAAACATACATGTGCATGTGTCTTTATAGCAGCATGATTTATAACCCTTTGGGTATATATCCAGTAATGGGATAGCTGGGTCAAATGGTATTTCTAGTTCTAGATCCTTGAGGAATTGCCACACTGTCTTCCACAATGGTTTAACTAGTTTACAGTCCCACCAACAGTGTAAAAGTGTTCCTATTTCTCCACATCCTCTCCAGCACCTGTTGTTTCCTGACTTTTTAATGATCGCCATTGTAACTGGTATGAGATGGTATCTCACTGTGGTTTTGATTTGCATTTCTCTGATGGCCAGTGATGATGAGCATTTTTTCATGTGTCTGTTGGCTGCATAAATGTCTTCTTTTGAGAAGCATCTGTTCATATCCTTCACCCACTTGTTGATAGGGTTGTTTTTTTCTTGTAAATTTGTTTGAGTTCTTTGTAGATTCTGGATATTAGCCCTTTGCCAGATGATTAGATTGCAAAAATATTCTACCATTCTGTAGATTACCTGTTCACTCTGATGGTAGTTTCTTTTGCTGTGCAGGAGCTCTTTAGTTTAATTAGATACGATTTGTCAATTTTGGCTTTTGTTGCCATTGCTTTTGGTGTTTTAGACATGAAGTCCTTGCCCATACCTATGTCCTGAGTAGTATTGCCTAGGTTTTCTTCTAGGGTTTTTATGGTTTTAGGTCTAACATTTAAGTCTTTAATCAATCTTGAATTAATTTTTGTATAAGGTGTAAGGAAGGGATCCAGTTTCAGCTTTCTACATATGGCTAGCCAGTTTTCCCAGCACCATTTATTAAATAGGGAATCTTTCCTCATTTCTTGTTTTTGTCAGGTTTGTCAAAGATCAGATGGTTGTAGATGTGTGGTATTATTTCTGAGGGCTCTGTTCTGTTCCATTGGTCTATATCTTTGTTTTGGTACCAGTACCATGCTGTTTTGGCTACTACAGCCTTGTAGTACAGTTTGAAGTCAGGTAGCATGATGCCTCCAGCTTAGTTCTTTTGGCTTAGGATTGACTTGGCAATGTGGGCTCTTTTTTGGTTCCATATGAACTTTAAAGTAGTTTTTTCCAATTCTGTGAAGAAAGTCATTGGTAGCTTGATGGGGATGGCATTGAATCTATAAATTACCTTGGGCAATGGCAGTATGGCCATTGGGAAATGGCAGTATGGCCATTTTCATGATATTGATTCTTCCTATCCATGAGCATGGAATATTCTTCTGTTTGTTTGTGTCCTCTTTTATTTTGTTGAGCAGTGGTTTGTAGTTCTCCTTGAAGAGGTCCTTCACATCCCTTGTAAGTTGGATTCCTAGGTATTTTATTGTCTTTGAAGCAATTGTGAATGGGAGTTCATGATTTAGCTCTCTGTTTGTCTGTTATTGGTGTATAAGAATGCTTGTGATTTTTGCACATTGATTTTGTATCCTGAGACTTTGCTGAAGTTGCTTATCAGCTTAAGGAGATTTTGGGCTGAGACAATGGGGTTTTCTAAATATACAACCATGTCATCTGCAAACAGGGACAATTTGACTTCCTCTATTCCTAATTGAATACCCTTTATTTCTTTCTCCTGCCTAATTGACCTGGCCAGAACTTCCAACACTATGTTGAACAGAAGTGGTGAGAGAGGGCATCCCTGTCTTGTGCCAGTTTTCAAAGGGAATGCTTCCAGTTTTTGCCCATTCAGTATGATATTGGCTGTCGGTTTGTCATAGATAGCTCTTATTATTTTGAGATACATCCCATGAATACCTAATTTATTGAGAGTTTTTAGCATGAAGCGCTGTTGAATTTTTTCTAAGGTCTGTTCTGCAGCTATTGAGATAATCACGTGGTTTTTGTCTTTGGTTCTGTTTATGTGATGGATTACGTTTATTGATTTGCATTATGTTGAACCAGTCTTGCATCCCAGGGATGAAGCCCACTTGATCATGGTGGATAAACTTTTTGATGTGCTGCTGGATTCGTTTGCCAGTATTTTATTGAGGATTTTTGCATCAATGTTCATTAGGGATATTGGTCTAAAAGTCTCTTTTTTGGTTGTGTCTGCCAGGCTTTGGTATCAGGATGATGCTGGCCTCATAAAATGAGTTAGGGAGGATTCCCTCTTTTTCTATTGATTGGAATAGTTTCAGAAGGAATGGTACCAGCTCCTCCTTGTACCTCTGGTAGAATTCGGCTGTAAATATGTCTGGTCCTGGACTTTTTTTGTTTGGTAGGCTATTAATTATTGCCTCAATTTCAGAACACGTTATTGGTCTATTCAGTAATTCAACTTCTTCCTGGTTTAGTCTTGGGAGGGTGTATGTGTCGAGGAATTTATCCATTTCTTCTAGATTTTCTAGTTTATTTGCATAGAGGTGTTTATAGTATTCTCTGATGGTAGTTTGTATTTCTGTGGGATCAGTGATGATATCCCCTTTATCATTTTTTATTGCGCCTATTTGATTCTTCTCTCTCTTCTTCTTTGATAGTCTTGCTGGCAGTCTGTCAATTTTGTTGATCTTTTCAAAAAACCAGCTCCTGGATTCATTGATTTTTTGAAGGGTTTTTTGTGTCTCTCTCTCCTTCAGTTCTGCTCTGATCTTAGTTATTTCTTGCCTTCTGCTAGCTTTTGAATGTGTTTGCTCTTGCTTATCTTGTTATTTTAATTGTGCTGTTAGTGTGTCAATTTTAGATCTTTCCTGCTTTCTCTTGTGGGCATTTAGTGCTATAAATTTCCCTCTACACACTGCTTTAAATGTGTCCCAGAGATTCTGGTATGTTGTGTCTTTGTTCTCATTGGTTTCAAAGAACATCGATTTCTGCCTTCATTTTGTTATGTACCCAGTAGTCATTCAGGAGCAGGTTGTTCAGTTTCCATGCAGTTGAGTGATTTTGAGTGAGTTCCTTAATCCTGAGTTCTAGTTTGATTGCACTGTGGTCTGAGAGACAGTTTGTTATAATTTCTGTTCTTTTACATTTGCTCAGTAGTGCTTTACTTCCAACTATGTGGTCAGTTTTGGAATAAGTGCGATGTGGTGCTGAGAAGAATGTTTATTCTGCTGATTTGGGGTAGAGAGTTCTGTAGGTGTCTATCAGCTCTGCTTGGTGCAGAGCTGAGTTCAATTCCTGGATATCCTTGTTAACTTTCTGTCTCATTGATCTGTCTAATGTTGACAGTGGGGTGTTAAAGTCTCCCATTATTATTGTGTGGGAGTCTAAATCTCTTTGTAGGTCTCTAAGGACTTGCTTTATGAATCTGGGTGCTCCTGTATTGGGTGTATATATATTTAGGTTAGTTAGCTCTTCTTGTTGAATTGATCCCTTTACCAGTATGTAATGGCCTTCTTTGTCTCTTCTGACCTTTGTTGGTTTAAAGTCTGTTTTATCAGAGACTAGGATTGCAACCCCTGCCTTTTTGTTTTCCATTTGCTTAGTAGATCTTCCTTCATCCCTTTATTCTGAGCCTGTGTGTGTCTCTGCACGTGAGATGGGCCTCCTGAATACAGCACACTGATGGGTCTTGACTCTTTATCCAATTTGCCAGTCTTTGTCTTTTAATTGGAACATTTCACCCATTTACATTTAAGGTTAATATTGTTATGTGTGAATTTGATCCTGTCATTATGATGTTAGCTGGTTATTTCACTCATTAGTTGATGCAGTTTCTTCCTAGCATCGATGATCTTTACAATTTGGCATGTTTTTGCAGTGGCTGGTACTGATTGTTCCTTTCCATGTTTAGTGCTTCCTTCAGGAGCTCTTGTAATGCAGGCCTGGTGGTGACAAAATCTCTCAGCATTTGCTTGTCTGTAAAGGATTTTATTTCTCCACTTATGAAGCTTAGTTTGGCTGGATATGAAATTCTGAGTTGAAAATTCTTTTCTTTAAGTATGTTGAATATTGGCCCCCACTCTCTTCTGGCTTGTAGAGTTTCTGCTGAGAGATCCGCTGTTAGTCTGATGGGCTTCCCTTTGTGGGTAACCCGACCTTTCTCTCTGGCTGCCCATAACATTTTTTCCTTCATTTCAGCTTTGGTGAATCTGACAATTATGTGTCTTGTAGTTGCTCTTCTCGAGGAGTATCTTTGTGGCATTCTCTGTATTTCCTGAATCTGAATGTTGGCCTGCCTTGCTAGGTTGGGGAAGTTCTCCTGGATAATATCCTGCAGAGTGTTTTCCAACTTGATTCCATTCTCCTCGTCACTTTCAGGTACACCAGTCAGACGCAGATTTGGTCTTTTCACATAGTCCTATATTTCTTGGAGGCTTTGTTCGTTTCTTTTTACTCTTTTTTCTCTAAACTTCTCTTCTCACTTCATTTCATTCATTTGATCTTCAATCACTGATACCCTTTCTTCCAGTTGATCGAATCGGCTACTGAAGCTTGTGCATTCATTATGTAGTTCTCGTGCCATGGTTTTCAGCTCTATCAGGTCATTTAAGGACTTCTCTACACTGGTTATTCTAGTTAGCCATTCATCTAATCTTTTTTCAAGGTTTTTAGCTTCTTTGCGATGGGTTCGAACATCCTCCTTTAGCTTGGAGAAGTCTGATCGTCTGAAGCCTTCTTCTCTCAACTCGTCAAAGTCATTCTCCATCCAGCTTTGTTCTGTTGCTGGCTAGGAGCTGCGTTCCTTTGGTGGGGGAGAGGCACTCTGATTTTTAGAATTTTCAGCTTTTCTGCTCTGTTTTTTCCCCATCTTTGTGGTTTTATCTACCTTTGGTCTTTGATGATGGTGATGTACAGATGGGGTTTTGGTGTGGATTTGCTCTCTGTTTGTTAGTTTTCCTTCTAACAGTCAGGGCCCTCAGCTGCAGGTCTGTTGGAGTTTGCTGGAGGTCCACTCTGGACCCTGTTTGCCTGGATATCAGCAGCGGAGGCTGCAGAACAGCGAATATTTCTGAACAGCAAATGTTGCTGCCTGATCCTTCTTCTGGAAGCTTCATCTCAGAGGGGTGCCTGGCCGTGTGAGGTGTCAGTCTGCCCCTACTGGAGGGTGACTCCCAGTTAGGCTACTTGGGTGTCAGGGACCCACTTGAGGAGGCAGTCTGACCATTCTCAGATCTCAAACTCTGTGCTGGGAGAACCACTACTCTCTTCAAAGCTGTCAGACAGGGACATTTACGTCTGCAGAGGTTTCTGCTGCCTTTTGTTCGGCTATGCCTTGCCCCCAGGGGTGGAGTCTACAGAGGCAGGCAGGCCTCCTCGAGCTGCGGTGGGCTCCACCCAGTTCGAGCTTCCCAGCCGCTTTGTTTACCTACTCAAGCCTTAGCAATGGTGGGCGCCCCTCCCCCAGCCTCACTGCCACCTTGCAGTTTGATCTCAGACTGCTGTGCTAGCAATGAGTGAGGCTCCTTGGGTGTGGGTCCATCTGAGCCAGGCACCGGCTATAATCTCCTGGTGTGCCGTTTGCTAAGACCATTGGAAAAGCGCAGTATTAGGGTAGGAGTGACCCGATTTTCCAGGTGCCATCTGTCACAGCTTCCCTTGGTCGGAAAGGGAATTCCCTGACCCCTTGTGCTTCCCAGGTAAGGCGATGCCTCTCCCTGCTTCGGCTCACGCTCGGTGGGCTGCACCCACTGTCCTGCCCCCACTGTCTGACAAGCCGCAGTGAGATGAACCCGGTACCTCAGTTGGAAATGCAGAAATCACCTGTCTTCTGCGTCGCTCACACTGGGAGCTGTAGACTGGAGCTGTTCCTATTCATCCATCTTGGAACTACCCCCTAAGAATATTTTAAGAAATTGAGAGAAAATTGAAAATAATAACCGTCCAACAAATTTTAGATTTATATATACCTTTCTCAGAAAAGCAATTAAAACCATGGCTTGAATCAGCAAGGAATTGATATGTGTGGCCAGACCACCAACTGTCAGTGTATCTCCCTGTGAATGTAGAATGCACCAGATACCCAAGAGAGAGCCATAGGGATCAGGCACTTCTGAAATGGGAGTCTACTGACCATGAAGCAGTGCACAAGTCATGCTGCCACAGGCCCTCTGAGCCAGGTGTGGGCTCATCTCCATTGGCACCCAGCCTGGTTGCTTCCAACAGAAATGCACACACCAGAGGGGCTGAAGAGTGCTTGTCTCCTTGGGTAAACAAATATTGAGAAACAGAGTTAGATGTGCATTTGTGAAGTCACTATATTAATCATAAATTAATACATAAATGATTTTATTTCCCTCTACTCTTTCAGATTCCTTTTACACACATTATTTCATTGGATCTTCATTATTATTGTCATCCATTTACCAGATAATGAATAATTTCAGACTTATCAAAGGTTATACACAGGGGGATTACAACTGAAAGTCACCATATCATGTGGATATGGCTTTTCCTGGAGATGATTTCTCAGTAGTAAAAAAGCATTTACCAAGTACTTATGGTGTATCAGTGCACTGAAGTAAACACTTTTAGATACATTATCTTATTCAACCCTTACTATAATCCCACATAAAAGTTATTACTAAACTGATGTTACAGATGAGGAAACTGAAACTCAGACAGATTACATCACTTACCCAAGGCCCCTCTAATAAATGAAGGAAGCAGAATTTAAACCCATTGCTAAAGACTACATGATATTTAATACTACACAATGTTGCTCTCTAAAGTGGAGTAGAGTTATATATGCCTTTCTCGGAAAAACAACTAAAGCCAAACTATTTTATTTGACTAACTACTGCCTATATTTAAATTACACTAATGTTGAAAGAGCAATAATAATGCACACAGGCCTGTGTTTTGCCTTTAGGCCCAATGATTCATGCTGAGGTGGGCAACACCGTCCTGATCATATTTAAGAACAAAGCCAGTAGGCCCTACTCCATCTCAGCCCAGGGTGTGGAGGAGATGGATAGTGGAAAGCAATTCCAAGTGCCCATGACAAAACCAGGTAAGTTGTGTCAGAGGTCTGCTCCATCTTGAAGAAGAACATTGGCGTCAACTCTTTTCTGGTCTCAGAGGTGTCTTAAAGAGCTCATCTTAATGTCAATGTGTTTCAGCCATCATCTAGTCACTCTGGTATGAGATCATCATTCATCCAATGACCAAATGTTTAGGAATTTCTAGGGTTCCATTAGAAACCTCCATTAGGGACCCCATTGTCAACATCCCCCACCAGAGTAGTACATTTGTTGTAATTGATGAACCTACATTGATACATCATTATCCCCTAAAGCCCATAATTTACATTAGGGTTCAGTATTGGTGTGTATACTCTAAGGGTTTTGACAAATGCACAACAACATGTATCCACCATTTTAGTCCTATAAAGAATAGTTTCACTGCCCTAAAAATTCTCCGTGCTCTGGTGTTTATTTTTTCCTCTTCCTTAACCCCTGGCAACCACTGATCTTTTTACTGTCTCCATAGCTGTTCTTACAGTAGCTCCCCCTTATCACGGTTTTGCTTTCCTTAGTTTTAGTTACCTGAATCAATCTTGGTCTGAAAATATTAAGAAATTTTGAGATAACTTCAATTAGAGACAATAAAAAGATATTTTGAGAGTGAGAGTCTACATTCACATAGCTTTTATTATAGTGTACTGTTATAATTGTCATATTTTATTATTAGTAATTATTGTCAATCTCTTACTGTGCCTAATTTATAAATTAATTATAGGTATGTCTGTATAGGAAAACACATAGTATATATAGGTATGGCACTGTCTGTGGTTTCAAGCATCCCCTGGGGGTCTTGGAATGTATCTCTCCTGGACAAAGGGGGACTACTGTAGTAAACATAAAAATTAACACATTAACTGCCTTCAAAATGAAGCATTATCCTGTGTATTTAATGACATTATTTCATTTAATCCTCACAACAATTAGAAAACTATGATGACCAACCCACTTTACAGATAAGGATACTAAAGGTTAGTGACATTAGGTAGCTGGTCAAATGTGGGATAAATAGGAAGTCATAGGGTTGAGATTTGGAACTAGGTCTCTCTGATTCTGGTTCTCACCAGATCTCACCTGCCCACTTGAGAAGCTTTTAAAAAACACTGGCACCAGAGTCCTAGACCCTAGACTCTCTGATTTCACTGTCTGGGGTGAGGCCTGAGCAGCAAGGGCTTACAAAGCTCCCTGGTGACTCCCATAAGAGGCCAAAGCAGAGGTCCTTGATGACAAAGATGTGCTCAAGGACAGCTCTTGGGAAGGAGATAAAACATTTAAGGAGGAAAAACAGTGAGGTATAAAATGTTTTTATTTCCTGAATACACACCAGTTGACAATAGAAAAATGCAAACTAGAGGGAAGGCTGGAGCCTGAAATGACAAATCTGCCATTTCATTTTGAAATAGTAGAAATCAAGATGGGAGTTTAATAAGAACATTTGTAATGAATGAGTAATTCTCTCCAGCAATAAACATTAATGAAAATATATAAAGACCTGCTTATATTTCTTCAGATAAATCATCTGAAACACAGATAATTCTAATAAATTTTTTCCATTTCATTTATTACAGGAGAAGTAAAAACTTATAGATGGAATATCCCTAAAAGATCCGGTCCAGGGCCTTCTGATCCCAATTGTATTCCATGGGTTTACTATTCAACAGTAAACTTTGTGAAGGTAAGGTGGAGAAAGCAACCAAAAGGCTTAAAATAATTTGGATGAAAGTTGACTACTTGGGTCATCACAATTTGGGTTGGTATATGTGAAAGCGTATAATGATTTAGAGCAAGGGTCTCATACTATGGCCCATTTACGAAATCTAGACATGCTGGACGTTTACATTGTCAATGGTTGACTTGAGTAGCTGCAACAGAGACTATATGGCCCACAAAGTCAAAAATATTTACTATCTGGTGATTTTTTTTTTCCCAAAAAAAAAAAAAAAAAAAAAAAGTTTGGTGACCCTTGACTTAAAGTATGGGGAATAAAAACAAAATCCCAATGTTTCAATTACCAAATTTAGAACTTAAAAAGATAAAAGGTTTGAAGCAAAAGAGGATATGTAAATATACAACAATAAAATAAATATAACTTAGAGTACAATTTATGTATGGTTTTGGATGTGTGAAATCTGTTTATTTTAAATGCATTATTATCAGGGCTACTAGGGCTCAGGAGAAGAAAGTTCACTCTAAACATAGTAACTGAAACTACAAAATTGTTTGAATGATTAATGATCTAACTTTGAAATAAAAGGCAAAGATTCAACATTGAATTTGAGCCAGGTATGTGTATGTAAAACAACCACAGTCTTTAATTACATGCCATAAACCAAAGTCCAATCTAAAGTCGTTATTTGATGTAAAATGTAAGCATTGCCTATTAAAGAAAAAAAGGGAGGGATTATCATAACCTTCCTCTTAGGTATTAGATGGCTTGTATTAATGTCTTTGAGTTATACTGGACAGTTCTAGAGTTCAGGAGATAGAAATACAAGGCACTTGAATAAATAAACTTACATATGAGAATTATGGGAAAATCCAAATTTATTTATGCATCACAACAAATACTTATTGAGCACTTGTGATGTGCAAATGACCCCACCAAATACTATGAGAGATGCAGATACTCTTGTCTTAAAGAAACTTATAACTTTGTGGGAAAATAATATGTCCACACTTGTAACTGTAATAGAGCTCTGAATCTGGTGAATTCTATAGGAGTGGCAGGCTAACTAAAGTACTATAGAAGGTTTTGGAGGGAGAGTCTAGGAAGAAAGAGCATTATGAGCACAGCTGAAAATAGGGAAGTAGAGGGAGTGTTTGGGACATGTTGAGAGTCCCATTTGGCTATCATATGGGGTCCAGTAGTAAATCAAGGGGTAGCCTAAGTCAGAAAATTTCATTAGGGGAGCACATGGAGGGCTCACAGACCTGCAAGGGTTTGTATTTAATTCTGTAGGCCACGGAAAATCACTGAAGACTTCTAGATACGGGAGTATAAAGATTACTGTGATGGTGGTCAACAGGATGGGCTGGAGGTGGGGTGAATCAGAGCTGAGAGAAGAATCAATTTCTAGTCCAGGGTGAGGTATTATGACCCTACACTAGAATGGTGGCAGGTGGAATGAAATATTATTAAATTACTTAATGGCTCTTTTAACTCAGTTTATTTTTTCTTCCAGGATACGTATAGTGGTTTGATGGGTCCTCTGATTACATGCCGAAAAGGAGTCTTGAATGAAAAGGGAAGAAGAAGTGACGTTGATTATGAATTTGCTCTCTTGTTTTTGGTATTTAATGAGAATGAATCCTGGTATCTGGATGACAATATTAAGAAGTATCTCAACAAAGATCCACGAGATTTTAAGCGCACTGATGATTTTGAGGAAAGCAACAGAATGCATGGTATATCCAAAGTTTAAAAAGAAGCCTATGTTGAGATAAGCTCATAGGAATTCCTGTAAATGTAGGAGGCTCCCAGCATCCTTCTCTGAGCCTTTCCTCCTTCCCAGGGGCACCTGGACTGAAGAAAGTCCTCTAATGCTTTCCTTCAGACTGAACCAGCCTAGCCACTGATTGGCTGGCAGCAAAGTCATTGAGGCTTTGTACTAACTTGTAGGGACATGTATTTCTGAATCCTGGGATCTCTAAGCTCTAAGACTGTAAAGTAATTCTTTAAAAACAAATCATCATTTATTGTCATATTTTTATAAGAATATGCCATAACTTCTATTTGTTTAAATTTAAGGGCCAGGTTTAATTGTCTCTGGGATATGAAACACTACCATCAAATTTCTGTTTTAATGTATCTGTGTTACTTCTACATAATTTAAGGTAGTTTGTTGGTGGGAGTAATGTGTTCACATTGACACATCCACAGTTTCTCACCAACAGCTATTTTTGACCAAAAGTGCACAAAAAGGCCTTGCCCAAGGTCACAAAGCTACTTGTTAATATAGATTAGAATATAGTAGCCTGATTCCCCATTCAGCTACTCTTTCCCCTACCAGTTTTGCTTTCTTCTCCTAAAGATGTCTTAGTATGCTCTCCATTTTTAATGAATGCAGGTCATTTGGTTGCACCACAATGCACAGAATCAAAAGTCAGTAGACAGTGGAGGAGTGGGAGTCACCATCATGTAAACTCAGTTTGCTTTGGTCATTGTTAGGTCATGAGCTCAGCCCGTGTGAAGCTCTCTTTTATTTTTGGAGATTCAGCCAGGCTTAAACTATTCTCAACAAGTGAAATATTAAGAAAATACCTTCTAAGTCACTCAATTTTTATTTACATAAACTTGTTTATGCCTTGATTTGTTCTCTGTAGAGTGGTATAAATCTGACTACCTCTCCAATGAGACTGTATTTCCCTTCATAAAGAGATTATGCTGAATAAACAAACAAAACACTGCCACCAAGATACGGCTTTAAAACTGCTATTTCTCTGTTCTCGCTCTCTTTGTAGAAGGATTTCTCAGTTATCTGAATTTTGGGTCTAGAATGGTAGGACACTGCTAGGGGTGAGTGAGATTGTTGCATGTTTACTAGACAGATGAAAATATCAGTGACCTAAAGATCTTCTGGAAACATTTAAAAAATCAGCTTATCTTTTAACTAACCAAAGGTTATTTTCTTATCACCTTTTAAAGCCATTAATGGAAAGATTTTTGGGAATCTCCATGGCCTCATAATGAACGAAGATACAATGACAAACTGGTATTTGTTAGGGATAGGAAGTGAAGTGGACATACATACCATCCATTATCATGCTGAGAGCTTTCTTTTCAAAGTAAGTATAAGGAAAGTGCTTTGGGAAAGACGTTTTTGAACTAACAAATTCAATGTATTTCCAGTGGAAAATAAGAGTTACTTGGCAATAATGCTTGTGAGGATAGGTGAGAATGGAACAGAATAATGTGATTGTACCGTTTCCCTGGTGGATATTTCTTTTCTTTTTTTTTTTTTTTTTGAGACGGAGTCTTGCTCTGTTGCCCAGGGCGGAGTGCAGTGGCACAATCTCAGCTCACTGCAAGCTCCACCTCCCGGGTTCATGTCATTCTCCTGCCTCAGCCTCCCGAGTAGCTGGGACTACAGGTGTGTCCCACCACGCCTGGCTAATTTTTTTTGTATTTTTTAGTAGAGACGGGGTTTCACCATGTTAGCCAGGATGGTCTCAATCTCCTGACCTCGTGATCTGCCCGCCTCGGCCTCCCACAGTGCTGAGATTACAGGCGTGAGCCACCACGCCAGGCCTGGCTATTTCTTAATATGTATATGTATATTATTGTGCTTATAAAAATCTCTCCAAGCCTCAGGTGAGAGTTTTCTCATTAGTGATCTGGGGATAACTCTGACCACCCTGGAATATGCTGTTAATATTGTATATGAAACCACGGACACTGACAGCATTCGTCCCTTTTCCTCACCCTTCCTTTTTTCTTTCCCTTTCCTTCTCCCCACCCTTTTCTTTTTCTGTGTGATTAGCTAACAGAATAGCTCTATCCAGTAAAGGAGCTATTTTGAGCTCTGGCCTAAGCCCTGAAACTTTATCTTGACTTTTGCCCTAGTGAGCTGGGCTGGACCATGTGTGACTTTCTACCCTCTAGCATCAAGCTGTACCATATGGGTGGTGCTCACTGTACAGCAGAGCCATCTGGGGAACTATGTAAAAACCCAACTGCCAGGCCCGACCCAGACCTGCTGAATCAGAATCTCCATGGAAAGGTCCAAATAGTCTGTCATCCGAAGTTCTCAGTGCTTTCTACAAGGAAGTGGAATAGAAAAGAACAATCATATCCAATGTGTGGAGAAAACTGGAATTGATCTTTTCTAGTTAGACACGAATAAACGGTAACTTTAATAAAACATTTAATATCCTTTCTCCTTTGTATATTTCAACGTTGTTTACGACACCAAGTATTAGCCTGCTATGATTAGAGTTTCACATATTAAATGGCTATGCTGCTTTTCAGAATTTGGCTTTTTTAAACTCACATTTTAAAAATTATATTAAAAATTTATAAAATTTAATACACAAAATTATAAAAATTTACATATACACTTTAAAAATAAGATATAATTTACATTGAATACAATTCACCATATTTAGTGTACAGTTCTCTTTTGATAAGCACATACAGTAGTGTAACGAACAACAATCACAATATAGAATACTTTTATTTCCCCCACAAATTTTACCATTGCACCCTCTAGTGTCAACTACTTCCCCATACTTAACACTTGTCAACCACTGTCTCTATAGTTTTGCCTTTTTTGAAAGGTTATGTGGAAATCATAGGTTGTAGCATCTTGAATCTGGCTTGTTTGATTTAACATAGGCATTCAAATTGTATCCATCTTGTTATGTGTATCAGTGGTTTGTTTCTTGTGACTGTTGAGTAGTATTCCATTGTAAGGATATAATGCAGTTTGTTTATCTATTCTCCTGTTGAGGAACATTTGAGTTATTTTCAAGTTTGTTTATTACAAATCAAGTCATTACAAACATTTGTGCACATGTTTTTGTGTGAACATATGTTTTCATTTTCCTTGAGAAAATACCTAGAAGTAGGATTGCTAAGCCATGTGATAAGTGTATGTTTGATTTCATAAGAAACCACCAAACTGTTTTCCAAAAAGGCAGTATCATTTTGCATTTCCAAGGAAATATACGAGAACTCCATATGTTGCACATCCACATATGCAGTTGGTATTTTTAGTTTTTATTTCATTTTTTTCCCTTAGGCATTCCCTCCTTGGGGAGGGGATATAGTGGTATCTCATTGTTTTTCATTTACATTTTCCCAGTGGCTAATGATATTGAGCATCTTTTCATGTGTTTGTTTACCATCTGTCATCTGTAAATCTTTGGTGAAGTGTCCAAATTGTAAGCCCATTTAAAAAAATTGGGTTACTTGTTTCCTTATTGTAGAGTTTGAGGGCTTTATATATTCTGGATACAAATCCTTTTTCAGTGATGTGACTCACAAATATTTGCTTCCAGTTTGTGGCTTATCTTTTCATTCTCTTAACAGCTTTCAAATAGAAGTTCTTAATTTTTGATGAAGTAAAATGAAGTACAATTTTTCTTTTTTCTCTTTTATAGATCATACTTTTGGTGTCATGTATAAAAAATTTTGGCCTTACTGAAGGTCCCAAAAAAGGTCTCTGTTTTCTTTTAGAAGTGGTATAGTTTTAGATTTAGGGCTCTGATACATTTTAATTTTCATATGTGGTTCAAGATATGAAATAAGGTTCATTTTTTTTTCATATATATGTCCAAATGTTCCATCACCACTCATTGAAAAGATCATCTTTTTTTCCCACAGAATTGACTCTTTACTTTTGTGAAAATCATATTGACCACATATATGTGGGTCTATGTCTGGGCGGTCTCTTCTGTTACACTGGTTTATACTCTGCCCTTTCTTGAATGCCACAATGTTTTGATTACTTTAGTATTATAGTAAGTCTCAAAATCAGATGGTGATTGTTTTAGCTATTCTAGATGTTTGCCTTCCCAGATAAATTTTAGAAATAATTTGTTGATTTTGATTTTTAAAATCCTGTTGGGATTTTGATTGGTATTGCACTGAAGCTATACAATGGGTTGGACAGAACTGACATAACAATATTGAGGCTTCCAATCCATGAACATGGTATATCTATCGTTTAGCTCTTCTTTGATTTCTTTCATCAGCATTTTGTAGTTTTCAATATAGAGATCTTGCATATACTTTGTTTTATTTATTTATAACTAAGTATATAAAAGGCTTTGGTAATAGTGTAAATGATAGTGTTTTTATTTTGATTTATAGTTGTTTATTGCCAATATTTAGAAATATAATTGATATTTGCATGTTGACCTTGCATCCTGCATCTTTGCTAAACTCACTTTAGTTCCAATAGTTTTCCTATAGATTTTAGGGGGATTTTCTATGCAGACAATCATGTTGTCTGTGAATAGACATGGCTTCATTTATTTTCAATCTGTATGTCTTTTATTTCTTTTGTCTTACTGCAATGGCTAGGACCTGTAGTGCAATTTTGAATATGAGTGGTGAAAGTGGACATCCTCAGTTTGTTCTTAATCTTACAAGGGGAGCATTTAGTCATTCACCTTTGAATATAAAGTTAGCTGCAGCTTTTTTGTGGATCCCATTATGAGGTTGAGGAAATTTCCTTCTAAATTTGCTCAGAGTTTTGATCATCAACAAATGTTAAATTCTATCAAATGGTTTTTCTGCATCTATTGAGATGATCAGATGCTTTTTCTTCTTTAATCTGTTGCTGAATTACATTTATTGATTGTGGAGTTTTTAAACACTTTTTCATTCCCAGGATAAACCTTACTTGGTCATGATGTATTATTCCTTTTTGTGGAATTGATTTGCTAGTATTTTGTTATGGATGATGGTATCTATGTTCATGAGGAGTATTGATTGTAGCTTTTTTTCCTCACAAAGCATTTGTTTAGTTTTGGTATCACAGTAATGCTGGCCTCATAAAATGAGTTGGAACTGTTCTTTCCTCTTCTATTTTCCAGAACAGTTTGTTTACAATTGGTATTATTTCTCCATTAAATGTTTGGTAGAATTTGCCAATAAAGCCATCTGGAGTTTAATTTGTTGGAATATCTTGAAGCAATTACAGTTTCTTTAATAGATATAGTGCTATCCAGGTTATCAATGTATTCTTGAGTAATCTTCAGGAGTTTGTGTCTTTTAAGGGATTTGTTCATACCATCTAAGTTGTACAATTTTTGGATAAGAGGTGTTTGTCCAGTATTTCCTTTTTAATATTTGTAAGATTTTAGTGATGTCCTCACTTTCATTCTCAGTATTTTTAATGTGTCCTTTTCCCTTTTCCCTTGGTTAGTCTGTCCAGAGATTTGTATTAGTTATCTATTGCTGCATAACAAATTACTCTAAACTTAGAGTAATTCTTGGATCAGGAATTTGGGATTAGTTTAACTAGTTGGTTGATTCAGAATCTTTCATGAGGAGGCAATCAAGATGTCGACTGGAGCTGCAGTTTTCAAAGGTTTGACTGGAGCTGGAGGATCCACTTCCAAACTTACTGATATGGTTGTTAACTAGAGGGTTCAGCTCCTGATCATGTGGATAAGACATGAAAACTGGCTTCCTCCAGTGAGTAATCCAAGAGAAGAGGGTGACAGAGTATCTAACACAGAAGTAATGATAACCTAATCTTGGAATTGGAATGCCAGCACTTCTTCCACATGCTATTGATTTCGCATACCAACCCTTATACAATGTAGGTAGGAACCACAAAGGTTATGAATACCAGGAGGTGGGGATCATTGTGGGCCATCATGGAAGCTGGCTACTACAGAATTTATTGATTTTATTGATCTGTTCAAAGAATCAGTTTTAGATTTCTTTGACTTATCTCTATTGTACTTCTATTCTTGATTCCTGCTCTTTCTTATGTCCTTCCTTTTGCTTACTGTGGGTTTTATTTGTTTTTGCTCTTCTTTCTGTTCTTGCTGTTCTGAGCAAAGAAGGCTACTAGCTGTTGTTTTTTAAAACGTTTTTGCAGATAGATAAATCTTACCGAGAAGATGTGTATGATCTCTTTCCTGGGACATTCCAAACCATTGAACTGTTTGCAGATCACCCAGGGACATGGCTGCTACACTGTCATGTGTCTGACCACATCCATGCTGGCATGGAGACAACCTACACGGTCCTTCGTAACATAGGTACGGTTGTCTGTCAGTGATGCCAGATGATGGCACCGAGCTTCCTGTAGACCCCCAAAACAGGAGGCATGACAAAAACCCAGATATAGCCCTCAACAAGCTCAGAGTCAAGTAAGAGAGACATATATGTAAATATGTAACTATAATCAAGTATGCTATGTGCCGTAGCAGAATGCAGAGTACAGGGCTTAATAGCAGCAGTAGGAGTGAATGGGTAACAGTTGGAGGATATGAGCCAAAGTTTCACAGAGGCCATGATGCTCCAGATAGACTCAGTGGGTGAGCAGAAGTGGGAAAGACAGCTGGGGCAGGAAAGCATGTACATGGGAATGAAGTAGCACAGTAAGAATCCAGAAATGATTGGCAGATACTGATGGGATAAGTCCTCGCTGGTGAAATGAAATGACTAGTGTCATGAAAAGAATCCCCTTCTGTTGTTAATAAAACAATGAACTTGTTTTCTTTGTGCAGACAACAGGATTCCTTACTCCACCACATCTCCTGGAGTGGCATCTCACCCAGCCACGGTGCCATCTAACGGTAATGATACCCTCTCCCCATGTAAATGAGTCAACATTTCACCCCTCAAAAATGTCAGGGGCCTGACAAGTTTATCTTTTTCACAGAACGACCTGGCAAAGAGCAGCTCTATTTCTTTGGCAAGAATCTGGGTCCAACAGGAGCCAAGGCAGCCTTGGTCATCCTTTTCATCATTGGACTCCTCCTTCTAATCACCACGGTGATTCTCTCCCTCAGACTCTGCTCTGCAATGAAGCAGACAGATTACCAGCAAGTCCAGTCCTGTGCTCTCCCCACGGATGCTCTGTGAACCATCTGGTCTCCCTCAACAGGAAAGGGTGATGTCCCACAGCTGGCCAGATGGCAGCCAACAGGGAAACTGGACCAAGGCATCACTCACCAAGGAAGGTTGACACTGTATCCTGGATCAGCCTTCTGATCCTCTCAAACATCATCCAAAGCAATTTGCTTTTATTTATTTATTTTTAAATGGGCTGCGAATAATCCTCAGGTATAAAACACAGAAAAAGGAGAATGGGCATGGCTGAGAATGTCAACTCTTAGTCTATTCTTTGGTTGGATTCACTGAATAGGAGACACTCTGAAAGATATCTTTATATTCCATCTTTTATAATTCTTGAACAGTGCTTTCTTAGCTAACCACCAAAGTTTCTAGGTGAACAGCTTCTAGAAAAAGTTAGAGTGCCTCAGACATTTAACTGGAAGGGCACTACTTTTTCAACATTGTTGCATAACATGCATCCCTTGGTTCTGTGGAAAATATCTTTCTTAGGAGTTCTTGGCAATGTCTAAGTCAGTGTCTGCTGATAGAATTAGACCAAATAAATTTTTTGGAGGCTTTAACCAGCTCTCCTGGCCTTTTCCTCTTTGATATAAATAGCCTGTGCAGTGCTTGTTTTAAAAAGCAAAGTTATACGTTTTTTAAAAAATTGCTGCTGTTTTTATTCAAACCTGTAGAAATACTTGAATGTTTACAACTCACTTCATGTTACATGTTTTTACAATATGTTTCTGTGGCAATGTTTGTACTTTCAAAAATCAAGTAGAGAAATTGTATTTCTACTGCAGACTGTGGGAGGGCTGAAATCTGTAAAAGAACATGTTAGGCTCTCCCTTTATGAATCAGGGACTCCCTGAGAGTTTAGAGCAAGCTTTCTATCAGGGAGGGAAGCTTTGCAGGAGGCAAGTCTGGGCTTGAATTTGGAGTCTGATTTTTCATTCAGTTAGAGGGAATCTTTACAAGTCCTCATCTTCTATGAAATTATAACATTCTCATTGTATGAGAAACATCAGGAGGAATTTATCAATGTAGGTGACTAGATAGGAGAAGGGACCTCTAAATATCCTAGATTCTATGGCTTTTAAAGACATACCTCTTCATGGAAGGAGAAAAAAGGAAAAGGAAAGGTGAGAAAAAGATAATCTTGGTGGCAGATTCTCTTAAACCATTAAACCAGCTTTGAAAATTAATAAATAATTTCCAAGGTTCAAATGCAAAAAAATTATTGAACAACTAAACTCAACCCATTATGAGGCAATCTACACTGTCCATACCTATGCTTAGACAGTAGGTGTAAGATTGATAAAAGTAACATTGTTTATTACAAGACTGAGAAATTGCTTTTAGCTCTGGGCGAGATGCCCTGAGATTCCAATGCCAATGCTAGATGAGTGATACTGGTATGCCTGCCTTAGCAGTGGGTAATTTGAATGTCAAAGTGAGTGACAAGGACCTAAGAAATATTCTGGTGGAGGGACCTTTCACACTGTCTCATCTTCATCTTCATGAGGGGAAATGGGTAATTGGATAGAAGCTATAGTCTTAACATAAAAGGGGATGCAAATGCTAATAGTTCTGTTCATAGTTTGCTTGAATGTCATATCAAACAGCATACACAAAAGATTTTGAATTTCAATCTGCTAACCATTGACAATGTGATTTCATAGTACATGTTCTACAGTTTTCATACATGTGTAGGCTGCATAATTTCATAATTATGGTAAATGCCTTATTTATTACCCACCTTAGTAAGACAAGTTGTTCAGTTGTTTTTTTTTCTTTTCAGTTTATTTTTTTAATGAAAACAAAACCACAAAGTAGTTTGATTGCATCATTTATCATTTTAATAAAGTGTCACATAAGGTGGCTATTTGCATGGTTATTTTCACTTAAAATTATCTATCACTGAACTAGGGGAGGTGGTTAAAGTGGAATTAATTTTTAGATATTTAGGGGCTATGACTATGCCAATGACACTTGTTAGAGGAAATGAAACAAAATAGTGTATCTCCACAAATAATATGACTTCTCAAACATTGTTTCCTCAAACATAACTACACTCCTTGTTCTCAGCCTCACTCTTGAGAAAATCAACTCTGCCTTCACTTACACACATATTTCTTCCTATTACAATACACGTGTCCCTGCTCCTAGCAGGACAGTCTCTTCATTTGACTTTGGGTCTCATTGCTTCTTGCTTTCTCAAGACTTCATTCCCTTGGGTATCCATTTTTCCTCCTGCATCTTTCTATGAAACCATCAGCAATGTCCGCCATTAAAAACAGAAAGCAATGTGCTGTCTTATTTAACTCTATAACCCCCTCCGACACAGTTTCTCTCTTCCTTTGATAGCAGAACATAGAGGTATTCACACTTGGTGCCTGTACTACCTCACCCCATGCATTCCTCAGCCCATTCTGATGGCTTTCAATCCAGCGTGCCCAGCCCCCACACCCCAATCTGCTGTGGTAGAGATCACCAATCATGATGCCATTTCCAGTGGCTTCTTCTCCATCTTTATCTTACTCAACCTCTCAGCAACAAGAAACAGCTCCTTCCTTCTGAACACTCGGAGTCTCTAGTCCCTTGGCTCTGCAACATGACTCTCTGCCAGCCTTCCTTCTTCCTCAATGACTATTCCTTCTCAATCTCTTTTTCTAGTTCCTTCTCTTCTGTCTGACCTAAATGTTAGCATGCCTCAGAACTTGACACTGGGTCCTTTTTCGCTTTTTACCCTCTGTGGTAGGCTGAATATTGCCCCAAAGATGTCATGTCCTAATCCCTGAACCTGTGAATGTCACCCTATGTGGCAAAAGGGACTTTGCAGGTATGATTAAGGATCTTGAAGATAGGAAATTTATACTGGATTATCCATAATGGCCCTATATGTAATCATGAGTGTCCTTATGAAAGAGAGGCAGTGGGAGATTTGGCTACAGAAGAAGGCAATATGACAACCAAGACAAGATGCCATGCTGCTGGCTTTGGAGATGGAGGAAAGGGCCATGGGCCAGGGAATGCAAGGAATGCATCTCCAGAAGCTGGGAAAGGTAAGGGAAAGGATTTTCCTCTAGAGCCTCCAGAGAGAGGTTGGCCTTGCAGATATCTTGAAACTGATTTTGGACTTCAGAGGTCCAGAACTGTAAGAGAAGAAATGTGTGCCAACAAGTTTGTGGTAATGTGTTACCAGCCACTCCATAGTTTATTTTATCCATCCTTATGATCGGAAAACCATTTTTATGCAAACAAATTCAAAATGTATTTCTCTAACCCTGACCTTGGGCTGCAGATTCACACAAATCCTGCTTGAGTAGGGCCACTGCAGCAGTCCCCAAACCAGCCTCTCCATCATCACTACTGCTCCTTTCCACCACTGTCCACACATTGCCTCACGTTTTTCCAAATTTCATCACTTTCCTGGTTACTACCCTTTACTGTCTTCCCATTTCACTTTTAATAACATCCAAACTCTTTACCTTGGTCTTTAAGACCCAGCTTGACTTGGCCCATGCCCACTCCTCCAACTTCTTGAACTCTGCTCCAGCTTTCATCCGCTCCTATACTCTGCTAGTTCTTTCTTGCCTCAGGGCCTTTGCACATGCTGCTTTCTATGCCTGGAATGCTCTCCCTCCCTAGCTTCCTCATTCCCTCTCTGTATTAGTCGGGGTTCTCTTAGAGGGACAGAACATATATATATATATATATATATATATATATATATATATATATATATATATATGTAAGAGGATAATAATACCGGTCTTGTGCTTTAAGATGATTAATCTGCCAGTCATGTGTAGAATAGATCATTTTATATATATATATATAATATATAATGATATATAAACTCATTTTATATGTATATAATGATATAAAAACTCATTTTATATATATATATAAGTTCATTAAGTATTAACTTACATGATCACAGGGTCCCACAATAGGCTATCTGCAAGCTGAGGAGAAAGGAGAGCCAGTCCAAGTCCCAAATCTGGAGAACTTGGAATCTGATGTTCGAGGGCAGGGAGCATCCAGCATGGGAGAAAGATGTACGCTGAGAGGCTAAGCCCATCTCTCCCTCTCACATTTTTCTGCCTGCTTTATATTCACTGGCAGCTGATTAAATTGTGACCAATGGATTACGGGTGGATCTGCCTTCCCCAGCCCACTGACTCAAATGTTAATCTCTTTTGGCAACACCCACACAGACACACCCAGGATTAATACTTTGTAGCCCTCAATCCAATCAAGTTGACACTCAGTATTCAATATCATATTCTCCTAGCTTTTCTAGTTCACATGTGGGTTCCCCTGACTTCCCTCTCTAAAGTGGGTCCTTCCCTCTGTTATTTACTATCTTCACTGTTTTCCTTTGCAGCACTTATTACAGGACATAATCATTTTATGTCTGTTGGCTTAAGTTTTGTCTGCCTCTTTGGCTGGAATGTAGCTCTGTGGAAGCAAGGATGCCTGACCTGTTTGGCTCAATGTTGCATCCCCAGCAGAGATCATAGTACAAATACATAATAGTTTATCAGCAAATATTCATTGAATGAATGAATATATAAAGAGATTAGGCAGTCTACTGAACTTCACTATTTTGACTTAGACTATTTTGGTTGCAAAACTCTCATATTCAAATGTCAAGGTTCTCAAACAAGTAAAACAGAGTTCTGAGAGACTGCCTATGAGTTTCACAACCTACCTTGGCTTCTTTTTTGTTTGTTTAAGACAGAGTCTTGCTCTGTTTCCCAGGCTGGAGTGCAATGGCACAATCTTGGCTCACTGCCATCTCCACCTCCTGGTTTCAAGCGAT
Organism: Homo sapiens; assembly: GCF_000001405.40. Taxonomy (NCBI): domain Eukaryota; kingdom Metazoa; phylum Chordata; class Mammalia; order Primates; family Hominidae; genus Homo; species Homo sapiens. The sequence goes on from NC_000011.10 coordinate 94,116,702, forward strand.
TCTCTTGCCTCGGCCTCCTGAGTAGCTGGGATTACAGGCATGTGCCACCATGCCTGGCTAACGCCTGGCTAGCTTTTGTATTTTTAGTAGAGACATGGTCAGCCAGGCTGGTCATGTTGGCCAGGCTGGTCTCGAACTCCTGGCTTCAAGTCATCCACTGGCCTCGGCTTCTTAAAGTTTTGGGACTGCAGACATGAGCCACCACACCTGGCCTCCACCTTGGCTTCCTTCTAACAAATGACACTGGGACAAGGGGAGAGGCAGGTGGACATGGGAGGAGGATGTGTGATTTAATCCCTAAATGTATAATTATTAAAAAGTGATGTCATCAAAAACAAAGCATGAGAAACAGCCAGGAGGAGCTAAGAAGACATGCTGATGAAAGAAACATACTGTGGTACCCTAGATGGGCTCCTGGAACAAAAGGATATTAGGGGGAAACTAAGGAAATATGAATAAACTATGGACTTTAATTAATGTACCAATATTGTCTCATTTGTTGTAAGAAATATACCACACTAATGTAAGATAATAATAATAGGGGTCTTGTGTTTTAAGATGATTAATCTGCCAGTCATGTGTAGAATGGATGCAGGAATGGGGTATATGGGAACTCTCTGGGATGTGTGTGTGTGTGTGTATGTGTGTGTGTAGAGATAGAGTCTGGCTGTGTCACTCAACCTGGAGTACAGTGGTGCAATCACAGCTCACTGCGGCCTCAGACTCCTGGGCTCAAGCAATCTTCCTGCCTTATCATCCAGAGTAGCTAGGACTACAGGCACACACCACCACACCTGGCTATTTTTTAAATAAAACTTTTTGTAGAGATGGAGTCTTTCTATGTTGCCCAGGTTTGTCTTGAACTTCTGGCCTCAAGTGATAAAGTCTATGTTTTAAAAAAACAATGTTATCTACACTCTCATTTGACATGTTAAAGTCCTGTGGTTGGTAATGACAGCTATCAAATGCTAAATGCCACCAATGTGGCAGGCACTGTTACATACATTATCACATTTGATCCTCAGAACAACCCATGAGGTCAGAAGCATTATCCCTATTTGGAGAATAGGGAAATTGAGGCTTAGAGATTTCCAGCGACACAGCCTTAGTCATGTATCAAGTAAGTGACAAACCCAGGAGTTGAACCCAGGGTCTTCTCATTACCCTGAAAGAATGCTGGCACATGTCAGATTGTCTGATTTGATTTTTACAGTAGGAAAAAATGGTTCCCTTAGCTACCACACCCTTCTGTGCTACCCATTTCTATCCTCCAGACCACAGCACCAGTTTGGGCCTTTGTTACTTCTCCTTTGCCAAACTTTGACAGCCTCTTACCCAGCCTCTCCATCTCCACTCTCTGCATTCCAGTCTATTGTATACATGGCTGGCAGATTAATCATCTTAAAGCACAACATCCTTTATATTCCTCCCTTCCAAAAACCCCCTAATGCCTACTGAAAAAAATCTGAACTACCTCCTCTGCCCCAACCTTTCCATCTTTGACTTGGCCCTATACCAGTGTCCAGTGGCTCTACATCCTAATGAGAGGTGAAGCCAGCTGGGCTTCTGGGTCAGGTGGGGACTTGGAGAACTTTTCTGTCTAGCTAGAGGACTGTAAACACACCAGTCAGTGCTCTGTGTCTAGCTAAAAGTTTGTAAACGCACCAATCAGTACTCTGTAAAAAAGCACCAATCAGCGCTGTGTGTCTAGCTAAAGGTTTGTAAATGCACCAATCAGCACTCTATAAAAATGGACCAATCAGCACTCTGTAAAATAGACCAATCAGCAGGACGTGGGTGGGGCCAGATAAGGGCATAAAAGCTGGCCACCCGAGCCAGCAGTGGCAACCCACTCAGGTCCCCTGCCACACTGTGGAAGCTTTGTTCTTTCGTTCTTCACAATAAATCTTGCCACTGCTCACTCTTAGGGTCCGCACTACCTTTAAGAACTGTAACACTCACAGTGAGAGTCTGCGGCTTCATTCTTGAAGTCAGTGAGACCAAGAACCCACCGGAAGGAACCAGTTCCAGACACATTTTGGTGACCATGAAGGGACTATTGCCTATTGCCAAGTGGTGAGTACCATCGGACCCCTTTCCCTTGCTATTCTGTCCTATTTTTCCTTAGAATTTGGGGGCTAAATACTGGGCACCTATTGGCCAGTTAAAAGTGACTAGTGCGGCCACTGGACTAAAGACACAGGTCAGGCTTTCTGGGAAAGGGCTCTCTAACAACTCCCGACTCTTCGGAGTTGGGAGGGGTGGTTTGCCTGGAACCAGCTTCTGCTTTTCCTGTACTTCTGGGCTGAGCCAAGTGTCAACAGAGAGGAAAGTCATTCAGCTCTGGGGTCCTGACAACAAGTTGGTTGACCCTGCGGCCATGAGCAGAACTCTCAAAGTCATGTCACCCAAGCGAGACTCGCCCATCTATCCTATCTATCCTGACCCTTGCCTACTGGGTCCTAATGCCTGTCAGACAAACTTCCTCTCCTCTCTCTTCTCCAAGGCTAGTCCTGCTTCTAAAAACCACTCCTTGCCTCTGGTGCTTTTCTAGTTTCTCCTATAAGAATGATTTCTAGTATAAACTTCAGGACTCTATTCCCTTCTTTAGGCACCCAGACTCACCAACCAGAAAGACATAATTTTTGCCCAAAGCTCCATCATAGCGGGGACTACCTGGAATTTTAGGATCCCTCCTCAGACAAGCAGGCCTAACAAAAGCTATTCCTGAAGCTAGGATATGGGGAGCCTCAGAAATTTTATCCTTCCTATTCATATAAGTGAGGACAAAAGGCATCACTCTTCCAACTCTGGAGTTCCTGTCCCTCCCTCAGGGTATGGCCCTCCACTTCATTTTTGGGGAAAAACATCTTTATAGGACACAAGTAAAGTCCCAATACTAACAGGAGAATGCTTAGGACTCTAACAGTTTTTCGAGAATGCATCGGTAAGGGCCACTAAATCTGATTTTTCTCGGTCCTCTTTGTGGTCTAGGAGGACAGGCAAGGGTGCGGGTTTTCGAGAATGTGTCTGCAAGGGCCACTAAATCTGACCTTCCTTGGTCCTCCTTGTGGTCTAGGAGGAAAATTAGTGTTTCTGCTGCTGCATCAGTGAGTGCAACTATTCTGATCAGCAGGGTCCAGGGACTGTTGCGGGTTCTTGGGCAGGGGGAGAAACAAATAACCCGTGGGTGGTTTTTGTCTTTCAGATGGGAAACACTCAGGCATCAACAGGCTTACCCTTGAAATGCATCCTAAGCCATTGGGAGCAATTTGACCTGCAAAGCCTGAAAAAGAGGCAGCTCATTTTTTTTCTGTACTACGGTCTGGCCCCAATATTCTCTCTCTGGTGGGGAAAACTGGCCACCTGAGGGAAGTATAAATTACAATACTATCCTGCAGCTTAGCCTTTTCTGTAAGAGGGAAAGCAAATGGAGTGAAATACCTTATATCCAAGGTTTCTTTTCATTGAAGGAGAACACACAACTATGCAAAGCTTGCAATTTACATCTCATAGGAGGACCTCTCAGCTTACCCCCATATCCTATCCTCCCTATAGCTCCCCTTCGTATTAATGATAAGCCTCTTCTAATCTCCCCCACCCAGAAGGAAACAAGCAAAGAAATCTCCAAAGGACCACAAAAACCCCTGGGCTATCAGTTATGTCCCCTTCAAGTTGTAGGGGGAGAGGAATTTGGCCCAACCTGGGTACATGTCCCCTTCTCCCTCTCTGATTTAAAGCAGATCAAGGCAGACCTGGAGAAGTTTTCAGATGATCCTGATAGGTACACAGATGTCCTACAGGGTCTAGGGCAAACCTTTAATCTCACTTGGAGAGATGTCATGCTACTGTTAGATCAAACCCTGGCCTTTAATGAAAAGAATGTGGCTTTAGCTGCAGCCTGAGAGTTTGGAGATAACTGGTACCTTAGTCAAGTAAATGACAGAATGACAGCTGAAGAAAGGAACAAATTCCCTACTGGTCAGCAAGCCATCCCCAGTATGGATCCCCACTGGGATCGTGACTCACATCATGGGGACTGGAGTTGTAAACATCTGTTGACCTGTGTTCTAGAAGGACTAAGGAGAATTAAGAAAAAGCCCATGAATTATTCAATGATGTCCACCATAACTCAGGCAAAGGAAGAAAATCCTTCTGCCTTCCTCGAGTGGCTATGGGAGACCTTAGGAAAATATACTCCCCTGTCACCTGACTCACTAGAGGGTCAATTGATCCTAAAAGATAAGTTTATTACCCAATCAGCTGCAGATATCAGGGGAAAGCTCCAAAAGTGAGCCCTGGGCTCTGAACAAAATCTGGAGACATTATTAAACCTGGCAACCTCAGTGTTCTATAATAGGAACCAAGAGGAACAGGCTCAAAAGGAAAAGCGAGACCAGAGAAAGGCCGCAGGCTTAGTCATGGCCATCGGACAAATAAACCTTGGTGATTCAGACAGGACAGAAAATGGAGCAGGCCAATCACCCAGTAGGGCTTGTTATCTTTGTGGTTTACAGGAACACTTTAAAAAAGATTGTCCAACAAAAAAGAAGCCATCCCCTCGTCCACGTCTGCTATGTCGAGGCAATCACTGGAAAGTGCACTGCTCCAGGGTGCAATGGTTCTCTGGGCCAGAAGCCCCCAACCAGATGATCCAACAACAGGACTGAGGGTGCCCGGAGCAAGCACCAGCTCATGTCATCACCCTCACTGAGGCCCGGGTATGTTTAACCATTGAGTGCCAGGAAATTAACTTCTTCCTGGACACTAGCGCGGCCTTCTCAGTGTTAATCTCCTGTCCTGGACAACTGTCTTCAAGGTCCGTTACCATCCGAGGAATCCTGGGACAGTCTGTAACCAGGTATTTCTTGCACCTCCTCAGTTGTAATTGGGAGACTTTGCTCTTTTCACATGCCTTTCTTGTTATGCCTGAAAGTCCCACGCCCTTATTAGGAAGGGATATATTAGCCAAAGCTGGAGCTATCATCTACATGAATATGGGGAACAAGTTACCCATTTGTTGTCCTCTACTTGAGGACGGAATCAACCCTGAAGTCTGGGCATTGGAAGGACAATTTGGAAGGGCAAAAAATGCCTGCCCAGTCCAAATCAAGCTAGAAGATCCCACCACTTTTCCTAATCAAAGGCAATATCCCTTAAAGCCTGAAGCTCATAAAGGATTACAGGATATTGTTAAACATTTAAAAGTTCAAGTCTTAGTAAGGAAATGCAGCAGTCCCTGCAACATCCCAATTCTAGGAGTACAAAAACTGAATGGTCAGTGGAGACTAGTGCAAGATCTTAGACTCATCAATGAGGCAGTAATTCCTCTATACCCAGTTGTACCCAACCCCTATACCCTGCTCTCTCAAATACCAGAGGAAGCAGAATGGTTCACAGTTCTGGACCTCAAGGATGCCTTCTTCTCTATTCCCCTGCACTCTGACTCCCAGTTTCTCTTTGAGGATCCCACAGACCACACATCCCAACTTACGTGGACTGTCTTGCCCCAAGGGTTTAGGGATAGCCCTCATCTGTTTGGTCAGGCATTGGCCCAAGATCTAGGCCACTTCTCAAGTTCAGGCACTCGGTCCTTCAGGATGTGGATGATTTACTTTTGGCTACCGGTTCAGAAGCCTCATGCCAGCAGGCTACTCTAGATCTCTTGAACTTTCTAGCTAATCAAGGGTAAAAGGCGTTTAGGTCGAAGGCCCAGCTTTGCCTACAGCAGGTCAAATATCTAGGCCTAATCTTAGCCAGAGGAACCAGGGCCCTCAGCAAGGAACAAATACAGCCTATACTGGCTTATCCTTGCCCTAAGACATTAAAACAGTTGCGGGGGTTCCTTGGAAGCACCAGCTTTTGCCGACTATGGATCCCTGGATACAGCGAGATAGCCAGGCCCCTCTATACTCTAATCAAGGAGACCCAGAGGACAAATACTCATCTAGTAGAATGGGAAGCAGGGGCAGAAACAGGCTTCAAAACCTTAAGGCTGGCCCTAGTACAAGCTCCAGCTTTAAGCCTTGCCACAGGACAAAACTTCTCTTTATACGTCATGGAGAGAGCAGGGATAGCTCTTGGAGTCCTTACTCAGACTCGTGGGACAACCCCACAACCAGTGGCATACCTAAGTAAGGAAATTGATGTAGTAGCAAAAGGCTGGCCTCACCATTTACAGGTAGTTGTGGCAGTGGCCGTCTCAGTGTCAGAGGCTATCAAAATAATACAAGGAAAAGATCTCACTGTCTGGACTACTCATGATGTAAATGGCATACTAGGTGCCAAAGGAAGTTTATGGCTATCAGACAACCGTCTACTTAGATACCACCTGCTACTCCTTGAGGGACTGGTGCTTCAAATATGTACGTGCATGGCCCTCAACCCTGCCACTTTTCTCCCAGATGATGGGGAACCAATTGAGCATGATTGCCAACAAATTATAGTCCAGACTTATGCTGCCCGAGATGATCTCTTAGAAGTCCCCTTAGCTAATCCTGACCTTAACCTATATACTGATAGAAGTTCATTTGTAGAAAATGGGATATGAAGGGCACGTTATGCCATAGTTAGTGATGTAACCAGAGTTGAAAGTAAGCCTCTTCCCCCAAGGACCAGCGCCCAGTTAGCAGAACTAGTAGCACTTACCTGAGCCTTAGAACTGGGAAAGGGAAAAAGAATAAATGTGTATACAAATAGCAAGTATGCTTATCTAATCCTACATGCTCATGCTGCAATATGGAAAGAAAGGGAGTTCCTAACCTCTGGGGGAACCCCCATTAAATACCACCAGGAAATTATGGAGTTATTACACGCAGTGCAAAACCCCAAGGAAGTGGCAGTCTTACACTGCCAAAGCCATCAGAAAGATGAGGGAGAAGAGGCAGAAGGAAACCGTCGGGCAGATGCTAAGGCCAAAATTGCTGCCAGGCAGAACCTCCCATTCCTGCAAAAAACTGGGTCTTTACCAACTTAACATACCACCCTCGTTTTGAAGGAAAAGACCCTTTCCGACTTCTAAATATGCAATCATTAGCCAACTTCCCCATCTCTGATAGGACCAAGAATACCCTAACAGGACATGCGATACAACTTTTGCGTTCTTACATTTCCAACCTCACCTATTACACAAGCAATGAAAAGCCCATACACAGCCCTGTAACTACAAATACCATCTTAACTTTCCAAGCCCCTTTATGCATCCAATGCAACCTGTTATCAGGTCTGCTCCTGGGGCACCTACTACCACATCAGTGTAATTACACCATACAACTTCAAGCCCCAACTGATCATAGTAACTTCCAAGTCACTCAAACAGCTCCATTCAGACGGCTTGTCCACGTCTCAGGGGCCCCCAAAATCATCACCTCCTCCCTGCTTAACAAACAGTCCAGGTTTTGTAATGGCAAACATACTCTCTGCATGACCATTCACCCCTGGACCCCCTGCAGCAGTATCCCCACCACTAGTGAATGCCATCTCATCCCCTCTTTCAATCGCTCTCTCGAATGGTTCCTAGTAGATACAAAATGGTTTTTTCTCCAATGGGAAAATAGAACACAGGGAGCCACTCAGTTTGCTCCCAACACCCCTTTCCAGCCACTCATAGCAGCTATCTTGGCAAGTATTCTAGGAGTATAGGAAAATGAAAACAATAAACTCACACACCTTTATAACATACACAACCAGTTCTGTCTACCCAGCCAAGGTATATTCTTCTTATGTGGAATGTTGAACTATATCTGCCACCCCACTAACTGGAAGGCACCTGCACCTTAGTATTTCTAAGTCCCGACATTAACATTTCCCCAGGAAATCAGACCCTATCAGTACCCCTCAAAGCTCAAGTCTGTTAGTGCAGAGCCATACAACTAATACCCCTACTTATGGGGTTAGGAATGGCTACTGCTACAGGAACCGGAATAGTCAGTTTATCTACTTCATTATCCTACTACCACACACTCTCAAAGGATTTCTCAGACAGTTTGCAAGAGATAACGAAATCTATCCTTATTCTACAATCCCAAATAGACTCTTTGGCAGCAGCGACTCTCCAAAACGGCCGAGGCCTAGACCTCCTCACTGCTGAGAAAGGAGGACTGTGCACCTTCTTAGGGGAAGAGTGTTGTTTTCACACTAACCATTCAGGGATAGTATGATATGCCACCTGGCGTTTACAGGAAAAGGCTTCCAAAATCAGACAATGCCTTTCAAACTCTTATACCAACCTCTGGAGTTGGGCAACATGGCTTCTCCCCTTTCTAGGTCCCATGGCAGCCATCTTACTATTACTTGCCTTCGGGCCCTGTATTTTTAAACTCCTTGTTAAATTTGTTTCCTCTAGGATCGAGGCCATCAAGCTACAGATGGTCTTACCAATGGAACCCCAAATGAGCTCAACTAACAACTTCTACCGAGGACCCCTGGACCGACCCGCTGGTCCTTTCACTGGCCTAAAGAGTTCCCCTCTGGAGGATACTACAACTGCAGGGCCCCTTCTTTGCTCCTATCCAGCAGGAAGTAGCTAGAGCAGTCATCACCCAATTCCCAACAGCAGTTGGGGTGTCCTGTTTAGAGGGGGGATTGAGAGGTGAAGCCAGCTGGGCTTCTGGGTCAGATGGGGACTTGGAGAAATTTTCTGTCTAGCTAGAGGATTGTAAACACACCAATCAGTGCTCTGTGTCTAGCTAAAGGTTTGTAAACGCACCAATCAGTACTCTGTAAAAACACAGCAACCAGCGCTCTGTGTCTACCTAAAGGTTTGTAAATGCACCAATCAGCACTCTGTAAAAATGCACCAATCGGTGCTCTGTGTGTAGCTAAAGTTTTGTAAATGCACCAATTATCACTCTGTGAAATGGACCAATCAGCGCTCTGTAAAATGGACCAATCAGCAAGATGTGGGCGGGGCCAAATAAGTGAATACAAGCTGGCCACCAGAGCGGCAAGCTGCTCAGCTTCCCTTCCATGCTGTGGAAGCTTTGTTCTTTTGTTCTTCACAATAAATCTTGCTGCTGCTCACTCTTTGGGTCCACACTACCTTTAAGAACAGTAACACTCAACACGAGGGCCCGTGGCTTCATTCTTGAAGTCAGTGAGACCAAGAACCCACCAGAAGGAATCAATTCCGGACACACTATTTTCCAACAAGTTCTCCATCTGGCTTCTATTTTAAATTCATTAAAAGTAGGATAACATCATATGGAATGTAAAAAATTGCCAAAACTGAGGGCAATTTATGCAACTGCTGAGATTCACTCCAGATCCTCAGAGGAACTTGCTATGTAATGAAAAAAGAGATACACAATCCATCATCCCATCACAGGAGGCAAAATGAACTAACTTCTAGGCCAGAGGAGAGAGTAACAAGGGAGGGAAGGATTCATTACAACTGGAGGATCCTGGAAGGCTTCCTAAAAAGGGGGCATTTGAGCCTAAAAAGGGGCCATTTGAGCCTATCGGATGATTAGCTTTTGGCAAGGAAAGAAGGGAAATGGCACCCATGATTTCCTGACTCCCAGAAAGCCCCTGTCCCAGCTCTGAATGTCCCAACTGACACATTCTCCCAGGCCCTACTTATTCTCTGCACCTCCCTTGGTATACCCCACTTTTCACAATAATCACTCTTTCTACCTTGCATTATAGTTAATTGTGTGCATGCCTTATTTCTCTTGCTAAGCCATAAGGTCTTTGAGGAAATGGAATCCATTCACTTCATTTCTGCTTCCCCATCCACTGAGCCCAGAACTGGCCCATCACCAGCCTCTAATATATGCCTGGAATGTATGGATAAATGAGTGTGAACTGGGCCAGTTTTAAAAAGTGTTCAGATTCCTTCAGACATTTATTTAATAATATGAATTAAAACATCAACTCTGTGTGAGGCATTTGTGCTAAGTGTTGAGGATAAAAGTGGTACACATGGGCATGGGCCTACCCTCAAGAAGCCGATCACATAAAGTGGTGGCAAACACTAAATAAATGAATAAATATTTGTTGAGTTGCAATGGTGACTATTTTTAAGAAGGAAAAATAGAGAACAATGACAGATGAAATGTACCTAGATTCACAAGGTGCCAGGCACTGGGCACTACCCACGTGTTAACTCATTTGGTCCTTATCACAGTCCTAAGAGGTACAACCTTTTTACAGATGAGAAAACTGAGACACAGGAGAGTCAAAGAACTCCCCAAGACTAATAGCTAGTAACTAGTGTGGCTAGTATTATGGGAGAATTTCACAAAGGGACCTAATCTAGTCTGTCTACTTAGGGAAGGCTTTCCCAGGGAAGTGACATCAAGCTGAGGCCAGAAGGGTGAATAAAGGTGGGCCAGGCAAAGAGGCCACTGTGGGGAGTGTTTTGGGTGGGAAGGCCTGGAGGAGGCCAAGGGCTTAGCTAACTTGAAGAACTGAAAGGAAAGCAGTGAAGCTGGTGGTGAGGTAGGCAGAGGCCATGCTAAGAAATTTGTATTTTATGCTAAAAACAATGTACACTTTAAGTAGAAAAGATGATCCGACTGGAGTTTTGAAAAGCTCATCCTGGCAGCTGTAGAGGAGAATGGAGGGGGACCCTGTCTCACATATTTCCTATATGTGGTTAGGAGACAGGATGGTGAGTTGAATTGGGTATTGGCAGTGCAGGTGGAGGGGTGTCAGATTTGCTATATTTAGGAGAGAGAAGCAAGAGAATTTGAAAATTGGTTATGGCAGCTGTGAGAAATGGAGTGTTGAAGATGGTGCTCCAGGATTCCGACTTGGGTGCACAGGTGGCTGGTGGTACATTTAGTAAGATGGGGAAGATGGAGTTCAGGTTTAAGGGGAAGATGAAGACTGAAGTCCTGGCCGTTATGAGTTTGAAGCCCTATGAGCCATCTACGCGGAGAGAGCTGTATACGCTCTTGGATGTGTGTTTAGCGGCCAGGCTGGGGTGGAGAGGTACATGTGGGAGTTGAGGCTTGTATCTGTGGACCCACAGAGAAGGGAGCCAAGCCCTGCCCCAAGGAGCCCTCATGTTTGCAGGTCCTGCCTGCTTCAAATGTTACTGGTGATAACCTACATGTCACATTTGACAGGGCTTCCAAACTAAGCCATCTAAGAAAGGTCTTATGATTCATGGCTTAGATCCTGTCCCTGAGTAAAAAATCTTACTGTGAGTCCTTCAAATCCTTTTGTCAGTTCCTCAAACTGCTGATGTACTGATTAGTATGTAAAATACTGACATTGAAAAGAACACTGACTTGTTTCTGAATCATATAAACTTTGATTTTCTTGTGCACAAAACATTTTAGCCTGTATGTTGTCATCTGCAGCCAGTGACTGTAACCTGTGTACCATACCCTCCGATGAAAAAAATCCCACCTCTGATATAAGGGGTCCTCCTCCCTTTTCCTAAACTTTCTTCTAAAACCCTTCCAACGTGTAACAAATTTTGAAACATGCCCAACTTTGCTGGTAAGTCTTCTTGGGTGGATCCTCACATTTAGCTTCCAATAAATCAAATTATTTCTACTTCAACAGCCTTAATTTCCGTGGACACTGGTCAGAGTATTTCCTCCTGTCTTTCCATCATCCACTTCCTATGAGCTGTTCAGAAGCAGCTCTCTGCAGCCCCAACACCCACCTACCTGCAGGCCCCCCTCTCTCTGCTGGCTCCCGGAACAAGGCTCTGATTGGGATGGCAGAGGAAAGAGAAACGGGACCAGCAGCGCTACTCAGGCCTCGAAACTCCACACTCACTACCGTTTCCGCGCCACCCTCTCACGCGGAGCTCCTGGAAGGGTCCAGCGCTCCCTCTGCAAGGCACCGTCGGTCTACACCGCTCGATTGGCCTTTTATGGCACTGACTGTTCTTTGAAGCTTTTGCAGCTCCTTCTAACCCGATTTCACCGTGTTGGAAATGTTGGGGGTGGGGCGTAAAGGGGGCCATCCCATCCACAGAAAGAGTCGCTTGCAGAAATGATTTTAAAACTCCCGGGTGCCAGGACGTGAGGAGAATCCGGCAGGGAGGGACGGGAGAATTTCCAAAGGTGCCGCTCAGTGGGAAAATCCCTTTGTCAGAGAGTGGCCCGAGGGGCGCGGAATGCAGCCGCGCCCACCCCGCCCCGCGTCACCGCGTCTTCCGGAAGCTCCACGCCCCTGGGTACTTGGTTTCCCCGCATGGTTCCGGAAGAGCGCGGCGCAGCTGGCTGTGAGCGCAGGGCTATCCCGGCGGCCGCTTCGGCAGCCAGGGCGGCGCGGAGGGGCAGGGCCAGAGGGAAGCGCTTTGTTCCGCGCGTGGTTCCCGCGCCTGGGGGTGCGCGGGAGAGGCGCGAATCCGAGTGCCGCGCGCGGCCCGGGGACTTGCACGGGCGTGCGGGGTGGAACCGCAGGAAGCGGAGCTCTCGGGTTCCCGCCCCGCCCCGCCCCGCCGGCGGCGGAGGCAGCGAGCGCGAGAGCCCAGCGGAGTCGCTGGGAGCCTGAGGCACCGAGACACAAAGGCAGGCGGGATGCGGGAGCAGGCAAAGGGAAAGCGAAAGCCGCGCGCCCGGCCGGTGACTGGGTGAAGGCGCCGCGCAGCTTTCCCGACGCCGGCTGTACCCGGACCTCCTGGTCGAGCCTGGCGCGCCGCAGCCATGGCCATCGCTCAACTGGCCACGGAGTACGTGTTCTCGGATTTCTTGCTGAAGGAGCCCACGGAGCCCAAGTTCAAGGGGCTGCGACTGGAGCTGGCTGTGGACAAGATGGTCACGTGCATTGCGGTGGGGCTGCCCCTGCTGCTCATCTCGCTGGCCTTCGCGCAGGAGATCTCGATTGGTAAGCCTCGCCCAGGACGGAGGGGAGTGGCCGCCCCGGTCTGGCCCGGTGAGCTGCGATTTTACGGCTCACAGGCCCGAGTCTGGGTACGCCCAGCTGTGATGGTCGTGAGCGTCAGGAAGGGCAGTGGCCCCAGTTTTATGGTCCAAAGCGTTCTTTGCCCAGGTGTTTCATTGGTACCCTGGTCTACTCTGCTCGCATCCCTACTCCTCAGTTCTTTTGTTCCTCATGCCCCTCTGATCGGACTGTGGCTTATAGTTTATGTTCCACCCTTAGAACTGGCACCTTGCCACCAGATTTGCCAAGAATAGCTGTGTCCCCGTTTTTCACCCCTGTCTCCTACATATTTGTCCAGCCGCCTAAAATTTTACACCAGAGAAGTTCCTGAGTGGCTACATGGAGGATGTGAAGACCGGTGCTCCATGAGAAGTGTGTTCTTTCAGTGTCTTACATATAATTGGTATTTGCTGAGATCTTAGCTCTCTAGGGTTGTGAATGATAGGAAATATCTGCACTTGGCAGGCATTAGAGGGATCCTCAACTTGGACGGTCTTACAAATGTGAGATGAACAAGTCCCCTTCCTGTAAATTATCATTTGAGCTTCATAACAGTTGTGTGAGATTGGAAAGTCTGGTGGTTTGGGCAGGATCACGTGGCTACGTGCCTTACCTTCCTCATCAGCTGTTCTGACTCTCCACACAGGAGAGAGTGTTTATGAACCAACAGGAAGGTAGCGCAGGAGGGTTAAATACAGTTCTGTGGCAGGGGAAGAGAGAGGACCCAGTGCGGCTGGACTTTGGGAAAACTTTTGTCAGAGGGTGGGTGGGATTTGGACAAGAAGGAGTAAGACCTTTGTTAAGGTTTTGAGATGGCAGAGAATGTTATATGTTCCTGGAAAGAGAGACACAGTGACTCTCCTAGCCAAGGCAGGAGGATAAGTCAGAGTTCCTGGAGTCTGAGAGTGAATATGGGCCTGGGTCAGCCTGGAACAGAAGAGTGTAGGCTGATGGTTTCAGAACTGTGAAGTTATTGTTTGAGCAGAGGACAGACTGGTTGAATGATGGTGGCATTTAGGGTCTGGGAAGAAGGTGAGAGGATGGGGCCTGGAGGGCTGGGTGCCAGAGAGCAAGGCATCGGCTGAGGTCTTGTGCACAGAGGGTGTGAAGAGTGGAAGAAAATGGGTGGGTGATTGCTGTGCGATCAAGGAGTAAATAAGCAGCACTTGAGTACCTAGTATTTAATAGGCCATGAACGGCAGTACTGGTCAAACGTGCTGCGGAGGTTGTATGTCTGGGTGAGTGGAGTGTGGTGTTGGTGGTGATGGGAATTGTGAAGTTGAGGGAATAGTTGATTAGGAAAGAATGACTATGAGTGTGATTTTGCAATCTGCAGCACTAAGTTGTTCAGCTTGGCAGGAAGTTGCCAAATTCATTGTGGAAAATAGTTTTTAGTTTTCCTGCTCTTTGCGCAGGCATAGTCATCGGGATGTTCTTTAAGTTTCCATTTGACAGTGGATTGAGGCTTCCAGCTGAAAGCAAAACCACCAAGTAGCATGAGTCCTGGAGATAATCTCTCCCTTTGGTCAATTCCTCCTTCAGTACTGGCTGTGTGCTGAACTCGGTGCTGACCTCCAAGGACCCGGGAGTAAAAGAGGCATGATCCCTGTCTTGGAGGTGCAAGTCTTGGGTACCTGGTTGGGACAGAAAGGCAGGAGGAAGGAGTTAGTCACCCTCTGTGACCAATCTCCACCTCTAGCACATGTACTAGAGGGACTCCTAAGGCACCTGTACCTGTAATGCCTTAGATACGTCTAAATTGGTGGGCTGTCTGAGAGGTATTTTTGGGGTATTGGGAGTGGTTTTAACTAGCAAGAGTTTGAGCTCATGCTGTGTGCATAGCACTGTTGTGTGCTGAGGGAGATGGGAAAGGATTTTGAGACCTTGTTCTTGCCCTGCCCTCTCCCTGCCCTGTGGCAGTTTACTATGCAGTTGGGCACTAGAAGGTATCTGTTAGCAGGTAAGTCATTCAGCTGTGTGTAATTCAGCACCCAGCCAGGTGTTGAGCTATGAGCTCCAGGCTGGTGAAGGTTGGCAGGCACTTGGGTGAGGAGCTGTCAAGCAGACTCCCATGTTTTCTGAAGTGTTTTCAGGAGTTCCAGGGGAGGACAGACATGTGGGATGAAGCTAACAGGACCAGGGAAGACCTATTAGATTAGGTATACATTTAGATAAAACCAGAAGAAGGGCTTTTGAGAAGAGGGGAGAGGTACATAGATTAATACATGGAGTTGGTACAGTGGGAGGGATCATGTCATGCAGCATTTAATTTTGTGTAGTTAGTAGTATGCACTCAGCCAAAAACAAACCAAAAAAAAGAACAGCAATAAAGGGAGAATGAAGTAATTGAAATGGAGCTGGCACTTTGCCCACCATATTGGCCAGTGAACTCAGGCCCCGGGAAGACACTGAGATAAGGCCTGCAGACTTAAAACATGGCTTCATCCTTCCTCTGTTGATAATTACTGCTTCCCTCTCTGGTGCTTGGAATACTCTTTTGTTGAACTTAACACAGAGCTTTATAACCTGTCTATGCATGTTTTGCATGGAGATTGAAACTACTCTATAAACATTTGTTGTGAATTAAAGGTGATAGCTTTTGGCATCATCAGACCTTGCTAATTGATTGTTATGTGCATGATGCTGTACCTTGGCAATGGGGTGTCAGACACACGTAGGACATAAGAATCTTTCCTCTGGAAGCACGGTCTAGTAGAGAAGTTGAACGCATAACCCTCCTAATGCAGGATTCATGGAACCTGGGCAGTGTCAGAAGTGTGTACTAAAGCCTGATGCTGTGGAAAGGCAGAAGGAGGGGTTTCTTCTGACTCATGAACAGTGAGAGTTTCAGGGCAGAGTTGGCCCCTGAGGCAGGATTCCAAGTGTGTGGAGCAGTGTTGGCTGAAGCTGAGACGTGTGAGACAACATGTGGCTGCTGGAGCTTTAGTGGCACCGTCACATGGAGAGGTGGGAGCCAAAGTAAGGGTCCAGGGGCTCCACATGAAAGAAGGCATAGCAAATCCCATTGTTTTCCTGTTTGTGTTGGGGGGGTGGTGTGTGTGTGTATAAAATTAGAAACGAGAAAATCAGCTGTAATTACATGTTTTTCCTTTTTCCACCTGTATGATAAACTAGTATATATAAGAATTCATCTCTTTTGATATAAAATCCCCTCAAGCGTAAAATAAATTATATTTTCCAGTTACTTTCCAAAAATTAAATTTTCTGTCAACTGTTGTTTGATAAAATAGGGTTCAAGTTGAAACTTTGTGGCGATTTTTCCTTTAAATAAATGATTTTTTACTTTAAAGAAAATCTATTAAATCAAGAAATGTGCATGGATTGTGCTTTAGATTTAAGAGCAGGTTCTCTGTGGGGGTGGGAGTGTTGTAGGTTAGAGAGAGGGAATGTCCTCATATGATAAAATACTTGGCTTCATATTAAAGGCTTCCGTTTGGTCTTTGGCCTTTTCTCTTAGTAGTTCAGCCCACTGGGCTCCTCTCAGAAAAGAGGGACTGAGCCTGCCTGGGCCACAGAGACCCATGGGCATAGCAGCAGGCTGATCTTTATCAAGCCCTGCTGGGTGCCAGCATGGTGGCTGCAGGTGAAGCGTCCACTCCTCAGAGGTTCTGGCCCCTTCCCTCCCACAGCAGTTCACGCAGGTCCTGCATGGTAGGCACTGGTGTGGGGCTACCTGGGCTGGTGGGGACTGTGTTGGGGACAGAGAGCAGAAGGGACTCTGCCTTGCTCATTCACCAGATCTTGGTCTGGCTGCCCACAATCACAGGTTGAGGGTCACTGCAGAAGTGATGTGGTCTGGAGGGGCATGGCAAGGCTGGTGCCATGGTCAAGGTGGAGGCAACTTTGGTAGTCTTTGCGGCAGCCACTCATTGGTCCAGATGTGCCCTGTGATAGTGAGAATTACAAGCAGAAACCCTCCTGAGGGAGTGGCAAGGAGACTCTTCTGAGTTGTGCCTGGGAGCATTTTGAAGGCTTTTGGACAGTGAGATACTAAGGATTGAATGTAAGAACTAAAATGTGCACCTGTCTGGTTAGGCCTGATACTTCTAGTCAGCCTTTCTAAAATACTGCAGGTGTGCCTCCTCTGAGATTCAGCTGGGTAGGGGGAAAATAAGTGACACACAGCAAAAGACAGTTTAATTGTGAGTTTGGGCTAGAAAGGCTGTGTGGTGGGAGCCAGAGAAGGGAGAATCAGTGGTTTCACCAGCCCTCATTTTTCCTTCCTCTTGTCTTCTACCATGTCTTGCCCTCAACAAGTGCTCCATAGGAATTTAGTGAAGGAAGTGCCAGAGCACACTAGGGAACTCTCCCAGAGTGGCTGTGCTGAGGGAATGGACGGAGTGTTCTGGATAAGGGTCCCAGTTGCTTGGAAGTGCGCCCTCTGAGTGCCATTTAATGATACAAGTGCTGTCCTGGGTCAGGCCTGTCCTGGCCACCTCCCAGACACCTGCCTCTGATGATAGCAGTAAAGGATGCACATCGTCATGATAGGTAAGTTGTCCCACTTGATTTATAAGCTCAGGTTATATTGCGTGTGCCTCAGATTCTTTTTTATGTTATTTTTGTGATGAGGAAGAATCTGTGTTCAGAGTGCAGAATGGTGTACTGTGGAAGAAGGATGAGTGTGATCTGTGTGGCTTGGGTACCCTATGGGTGTCACCTTGTGCAAGCTGCTGGGAGACAGTGCCTTGAGGCCCTTCATTTCTAACACATCTACTCTCAGATGCCTCTAGAAGTGCTGCACATTTCATTGATGGGGGGAGAGGTTTAGGAAATGGCTGGGCGACAGCTTTGTGTAGAATATAAGCATGATTGCATGACGTGACCTTCAAGCTCTGAAATTCTAGAAGTATTTCTCTAAAGTTATGAATTCCCTTAGTGTGCTGCAGTTATGGACTGAATGTTTGTGTCTCCCAACCGCAAAATTCATATGTCGAAGTCCTGATCCCCAATGTGATGCTAATTGGAGATCCCTTTGGGAGGTAATTAGGTTTGGATGAGATTATGAGAGTGGGACCTTCATGATGGGATGCCCTTAGAAAAAGAAGAAATCCCTCTTTCTCTCCCCCCTCCCTCTTCCTCTCCCCCCTCCCTCTTCCTCCTTCTCTCCCTCTTTCCCTCTCTCTCCCACTACCCCCCTTCCTCTCTTCTTCCCTCTTCCTCTCTCCACAAGTGCGGCCACAAGGAAAGGTGTGTGAGCACGCTGGGAGAAGGGGGCCATCTGCAAACTAGGAAAAGAGCTCTCACCAGACACCGAATCTGCTGGTACCTTGATCTTGAACTTCCCAGGCTGTGAGAAAATAACTGTTGTTTAAGCCACCCAGTCTGTGGGATTTTCTTACAGCAGCCTGGTTGAAGACAAAACTATCAACAGACCAGACTCTGAATGGGATTCATGTTTAAGGGGTCTTTTGACAGGGCCTCCTGTGCCCTGCGCTTAGGGCTGTACAAGGCCTGAGGCGTCAGGGGCTGCTTTGATTCCCTGGTGCCTCATGTGGCACATATCCCCTGGGAAGGAGAGCCCGTGTCTCCTGCCAGGATGTTTCTGGCTGGCTGGACCAGGTGGGGAGCTGGGGCAGCCAGTAGTCTACTAGGGAAAGGGTGTCTGGTCAGCCGGGGACCCTGCCTCCCTCACCCACTGACCTCTTAGTGGGCAGCCACCGTTCTGGGTAGAGAAGGACTTAGTCTTTCTGAGTTAGCACTGCTCTTTTGCTATCATTACAGGGCAGGCATTGGGCCAGCCCCAGTGAGTCAAAGGATAGATATAACTGCAGCTGCTTCCAATATAGTTTGCTTGGAGTTCCCCTTTCATTTCCTGCAACTGAGTCAGCGGCTGGGTGGCTTAAGTTATCTGCTCTGTTGTGGCTGAATTTAGACCTGTCTTTGGGAATATCTTCAGGCTGCTTTTTAGCATGTACCAGCTGGCAAAGCAGATCGATTCTTTTCAGGGTTGTCTATCAGAGTGGGCCAATATTTAGGGTCTCATGGCATAGGTCCTATAATAGAACATCTTCAACTCACACTAAACCAAAGAGCCAAGAGAGACTCCTAACCCCTCCAGAAGGATGCATGCTGTCCAGAGAGTCTACTGTTGGATACATGTTTTACTTTGTTAATATTTTTCTTGTACAAGTAGTAGCTAAATACATCATCATGGTAAAGGATTCATAAATCTCTTTCACTATGTGCTGAAGGTAGGTGGACACTTTGTGCAGCCTTATTGCTGTACTTTGTCTGCATTAGCATAACGTGTACACCTTATTTTATTTTTTAAAACAAATCGAGTCATACCATAGTGGCTTGCTTTTTCTCACTTAGTATGTTTGGAGAGCTTTCCGTGCCAGTACATAGGTGTCACCTCACTGTTTTATAATAGAACAGTATTCCATAGCTTAGAATATACTTACAATTCATCTAAGCAGTCCCCTAATGATGGACATTTACTTTCTTTCAAAATTTCTACTCACACATAAAGCTTGTTTGCATGAAAATCTTCGTAAATATTTCTCTCCTCCCAGCATTAAAAGGAAAGGAGACTAGTCGCAGCAGTATCAGTTTCCAGAAGGATGACATCATTTTCCGAATAGTTTTGCATTCCTGCGTTCCTATTTGAAATAAGTGGAAGAAAAAAAAAAACCACTGCCCTGTACACTATCCAGCTCTGACTCCCTCAAAATGTGACTGCATTAGAAGTTTGGAAGAAGCATTTTGATGTGCTCTTGGTTTTAAGAAAGAAAGGGCCTCCTTCAGGGGGTAGAATTGCAACTTTAAGTAGAACTTCATGATACATGTTCTCCTAACACTGTAAGTTTCCTTCCTAACATTTACCATAACTTGAAGTTAGGTAATTACTTGCATACTTATCTGTTGAATACTGTAAGTTCATTTAGGGCAGGGACCATGTGTCCTTAAAACTTGATACATATCGGCCGGGCGCGGTGACTCATGCTTGTAATCCCAGCACTTTGGGAGGCCGACGTGGGCGGATCACGAGGTCAGGAGATCGAGACCACGGTGAAACCCTGTCTCTACTAAAAATACAAAAAATTAGCCAGGTGTGGTGGCGGGCGCCTGTAGTCCCAGCTACTCAGGAGGCTGAGGCAGGAGAATGGCGTGAACCCGGGAGGCGGAGCTTGCAGTGAGCCGAGATCGCGCCACTGCACTCCAGCCTGGGCGACAGAGCGAGACTCCGTCTCAAAAAAAAAGAAAAAAACTTGATACATAGAAGTATTAGGCAGCTCTCACATTGCTATGAAGAAATACCAGAGACTGGGTTATTTTTAAAGAAAAGTTTATGTGGCTCATGGTTTTGTGGGCTGTACAGGAAACCTAGTGGCTTCTGCTTGGCTTCTGGGGAGGCCTCGGGAAACACAGTCATGGCGGAAGGCAAACAGGGAGCAGGCACGTCTTATATGGCAGGAGCAGGAGCAAGAGAGAATGGGGGGAGGTGCTACACATTTCTAGTGGCTCACACCTGTAATCCCAGCACTTTGGGAGGCCAAGGCGAGCGGATCATGAGGTCAAGAGATCGAGACCATCCTGGCCAACGTGATGAAACTCCGTCTCTACTTAAAATACAAAAATTAGCTGGGTGTGGTGGCGCATGCCTGTAGTCCCAGCTACTTGGGAGGCTGAGACAGGAGAATCGCTTGAACGCGGGAGGCAGAGGTTGCAGTGAGCTGAGATCATGCCACTGTACTCCAGCCTGGCGACAGAGCGAGACTCCTTCTCAAAATATATAGACAGATAGATAAAACCTGAAAATAGGCCTTAGGACCTTCATGGACTCTAGGTTTGGATTAGCAACATCCCTTTAAAAAACCATGCAAACACCTTTTTTCTGCAGCTGGTTGCTTTCTTGGATTGCTTCCTTGTCAAACCCCTAACTGAGGCAGCGAGAGCTTGGTCCAAAGTGGAGAAAGGGAGGCAATTTGGGGGCATTTGCCCTGGCTAAGCTAGGAACTCTGGGCGAGGCAGGCCCCGCTGCATGCTGTGGGGTTTCTGGGGGCAGCAGGGAGACATTAGTTACTTGGGGAGAAGGGGGCCTAAAGAGAATCTACCATCTGCTTGGTACCAGGCACACCTAGTTCTGTGGGGGGTGAAAGGGGTGGTGGGGAGGGGACGCTGTTGTTTTTTAATAAATTCTCTATAAAGCTCACACTCCTTTTTAAAATATAAATATTTATATATGTATATTATATCATTATAAAGATAAAACTTACTGTAGAAAATATGGAAAATACAGAAGAGAAAATAGCAGTACATCTATAATACTACCAGGGATAACTACTATTCTTGAAAAACCAAACACTAAGTCAAGGCCATGTTACCATGTTCCTAAATTGTTGTACATGATTTTTTTTGTTGGCAGTGACATGGAATGTTGTGCACGTGTCAAAATTTAACTGTTTCACAAGTTTTGTAATATAAATAGCATTGTGAAGAACACTCCTGTACATAATAAACCACCTCTCTAAAGATCTCAGTATTTCAAGTGATTGTATAATTCTAATTACAAGGTCAAAGTATACATAGACATTTTTAAGATTTGACTGGTGTGGTTGGGTTGCCCTCTGGATAGACCCCCAATGGATACTTCTCCCCGCAGCTGAAGGAGTGGCTTTCCCCACAGCTGGCAAAAGTTAGTGGATTATCGTCCACAGCTTAATAGGTGAACAAAGGTGTGCCATTGTTTTAAGTCGCATTTATTCAGTTACGGCATTGAATGTTTTTTCGTATGTATTTTTTCCATTTATATAATTCTGTGAATTGTCTGTTCTTATCTTTTGCTTATTTTTCCAAGGGGATGTTGGTTTCTCAATGGGTTTTATTAACTATTTCTATGTTTCAAATATTTTCTAGCTAGCCTTTATTGTATTTTCTTTTCCGGTTGTCCGTTTCCTTTGAATTCTGTTTATGTTAAGCATTTTTGTTTTTTAATTTTTAATTTTTGTTGGTATGTAAAGGTATATATTCATGGGGTATGTGAGATATTTTGACACAGGCATACAATGTGTAATAATCACATCAGGAGAAATTGGGTATCCATCTCCTCAAGTATTTATCCTTCGTTACAAACAATCCAGTTGTACTCTTTCAGTTATCTTAAAATGTAAAATTAAATTATTATTGACTACAGTCACTCTATTGTGCCATCAAATACTGGATCTTATTCATTCTATTTTTATGCCCATTAACCATCCCCATTTCCCCTGACAGCCATCCCTCAGTAACCTTTACAGTATAAGTTTTGATAAGCAGAAGTTATTTTAAGTCATCAAAACTACCCATCTTTTAATTATTTCTTCAGTTGCATTATGATTAGACTGTCATAGCCCATCCTTAGGTCTATCAGTTTTTTAAAATGATCTTTAATGATTTTATTTGAACATTTACCTCTACAGTCTGTTTTGTTCTTTTGGTGCTATAAGTCAAGACTCTAGCTGATAATCCCCCCATTGTCATTTATTGAGGAACCCGTTCGTTATTCATTGATCCTTGATGATTTCCCAATCATATAGTCAACTCAAGTAAGTGAGCCTATTTTTGGGCTGTTTATATTGTTCCACTGGTCTATTAATTTTCATGAAAATACCAGACCATCCATTTTGTCACTGCTTTCATACTGGCTTGTTTTTAGATGTGAGTAGATACCTAGGTAAATTAAAGTTATAAAATATTAGAATCATGACAGGGAAACTGAAGCTCAGCAATCTAAGTGAGTGACTTGCTTGGCACCAATTGTCACATCGCCTTAGCAGATTAATTTCTCATAATATATCAGATATTTAAAAGGCTCTTGAATTATAGGAAGAGCATCATTATCAGCAGGATCCTTACTGGAAACTTGTCAGGCTATCTCACTATTGGACCTTTTAAAATATTGTAGTTATGAGGAACACTATTTTGATATATAATAAATATTTATTTGGTCTTTGGTTTCCCAGCACTCTGCTGATGAGGTCACTGATGGCAGTGGTCTCCTGGATAGCCTTGTGAGCCAGGCTTGTTGCCAAGGGAACCAACTATGTGATTAGAGGGTTGAGACTCTCAGCCCCAACCCCTGACCTCACGGGAGGGGAGAGGGCCTGAAGCCTGAGTTGATCACTAGTGGCTCATGATCTAATCAACCATGCCTGCATAGAAACCCAGGGAGAGGGTTCCGAGGGCATCCACGTTACATCCACGCTGGGAGGGTTGTGCATCCCAACTCCATGGGGACAGAAGCTCCTTCACTCAGGACCCTTCTGAACCTCGCTCTGTGTATCTCTTTACCTGTCTGTTCATTTGTATCCTTTAAAAGATCCTTTTTCGTAAATTGCCAATAGTAAGTAAAGGGTTTGCCTTAGTTTGTAAGTCACTCTAGCAAATGAATGAACCATAGGAAGGGGTTGTAGGAATCCTCAATTTATAGCTGGTTGGTCAGAAGTTCTATTACTGCTGTTCTTGTAATTGTGGGAAGCTGTAATAAATAATGGATGGGCTAAATAGAGTAGAAATGCTTTGAAAAAGATTACAACTTCCAGATCGGTTCAGAAAGTGGTGAATATTTCAGTATGAAGGATAAATAGGCTATACATGGACTTGGTGCTTCAGCTAATGAGACAGGCCCATTCATGGGTACCCCATGGCTGTCCTGGGGTGCTCACTGCATCAGCCCCAGGAGGTCCCCTCACCTTACTGCTGGTGTGGCAGTGGAGGGAGTTTTCCAGGTTAATTTTAATTTGCCAAATGTCTATATATGTCGAAGTTCAGACAGTAAGAGGAAACATTAAAGCCCTGCCCTTTTTTATGGACACACCTCAATCTCAGTTTCTTCCCCAGAGGTAACTACTGTTCCTGTTTAGTGCATATTCTTTTACAGTGCTCATTTTTTTGCAGTTTGCTCATTTATCTTTAATATGTCCCAGAGATATCTTCATGTTAGTGCATGCAGATCTGCCTCATCTTTTTAAATGTGCCACAATTTTCCATCATGTGACTATACCTCAATTCATTTAACCGTCTGTTTATGGGCTAGTATGTTCATTCCACTTTTTCCTACTACAAACAGTGGTTTAATGAACATCCTTGCATGTGCTTCTTTGTGCAGAATGTGTTTCTCTAGAGCCGTGGTTCTCAAACATTTTGGTCTTAGGACCCCTTTACACCCTTAAAATTTCTTGAGAATTCCAAAGAGATTTTGTTGTCTATTGGTATTTATCATATTAGAAATTAAAACTGACAGACTTAAAAATATTTATTAATTGATTTAAAGTAAACCCATTACATGTTCAGGTATAACATATTTTTATGAAAAATAATTATAAAACAAAAACTTAGTAATAAGAATAGCATTATTTTCTATTTTTGAAAATCTACTTAATATTTCATTTCATAGTAGATGACTGGATTCTGGATTCTCATTCATTATGTTGTAATATCCCACATCAGTAGCCCCCAAAACTGCACTGCATACACTCATGAGAGAACGAGAGTAGAAAGGTAAGTAACAACGTAGTATCGTGAACATAGTTTTAATGTCGTGAACCTCCTGAAAAGGTCTCAGGTTTCAGGGTTTCCAGACCACATTTTGAGAACCGTTGTTCTAGTGGGGTTTGAAATCAGAGGGACAAAAGTTGTGCACATTTTAAATTTAAAAGACACTTTCAACTGCCTTCCAGAATACCAGTTTACACTCCCATCACCAATATAGGCCAACCCCGCCCTACTTCTTTACCAATGTTTAATACTTTCAGAGTTTTAAATTTGCCAATCTTAATGGTTAAAATGCCATCTCATTGTTTTAGCTTGTAGTTCCCTATTTACACTGGGATTTCATGAGACACACATTTCTGGGCTCACTGTGACACTTGGCGGTGTCTGGTGACTGCCCCCTCCCTCCCCAGTGCCCACCTTTTTCTTTGGCCTGGGATGTTTGATCCTAGAGAGACTGACAGGTCTCCGCTTGTTTTCCTTGGCTTATGAAATACCCCTTCCTTCTGAAATCCATCTTAACTATTTTTTAATTAATTTTTTTAAGCTAAAATGTTTTTTTCAAAAAACCCTAGTTGTTTCACTTCTGAGCCCTCTGTTTCCTGTTTACATTTAGTCAACTAGCAAATATTATTTATTAGGAAATGTGAATAATGATTAAGGCATGAGTTATAAAGCCAGACTTCCTGGGTTCCAATTCTGGCATGGCACACATTGACTGTGAGACCTTGGACAAGTTACAGAATTTCTCAGTGCCTAGCCTCCTTGTCAGTAAATGGGGCAGTAATAGAATTCTCACCTGTGTCACAGGGTGAGAATTAAATAAATTAGCGCTCGAAGCACTGGAACGGTGTCTGGTACGTAGGAAGCACTCAGCGCAGGTTAGCTGCTAAACATCCCCTAATCCTGTTTTGGCCCTTTGACAGGTGACGACCTGGGGCTGCTGGGGTTGGGGAATGTGTCTGGGGCACACAGAGTGGGGCTAGAGTGCATTGCTCTTTCCAGAGCCTGGGTTCTCAGGCACTGCTGTGTGCTCTCTGCCCCTTCCTGTCGTGTGTCTGCGGGACACAGGACTGCGTGGGGCAAGCTCACAGCCCAGCTCAGAAGCTGCTGGTTTGTGCTGGGTCTCCGGCTCTGCTGCCCTAGGATTATCTTCCCTACCCCTTGGATTCCTGCTGGGGAGGGTGCCTAGTCTGTTAAGCGCCACCACCAACCTCACCCTCAGTTCAGCACTGCAGCCTCAGCTGGTCATTAGGAACATGGGT
This sequence comes from Homo sapiens, assembly GCF_000001405.40. Lineage (NCBI taxonomy): Eukaryota > Metazoa > Chordata > Mammalia > Primates > Hominidae > Homo > Homo sapiens. Next base: position 94,142,312 of record NC_000011.10, read on the forward strand.
GTATGGATTATAGTACCACTGGGGACTTGAAAACACAAAACACAGCTCCTCACCCTCACCTACCAAGCCCTCCTTGCCTTTACTCATAAATTTAAGTCTGGACTTCCCAGTCTGTCACCCCAGGATGTCCTTTATCTGACCCCAGCTTGACTGTGTGCTCCAGACACAGTGGTCTGCTTCCTGTCTTAAATGGGCTGTCAGCTTTAAGGACTCAGTGTTTTCTTGCGCTGTTTTCCAAGCCTAGGTTCCCTTCTCTCCTCCTTTGAGTACGAACATTTGTCATGGTTCAGTCATTACCCTTATGTGATTTGTTTTCATCTACAATAATTGGTGGTTTATATCCTTGGCTGCCTCCACTGGACTGTAAGCCCTTGGAGGGCTGAGACCAAGTCTTCTTTATCTTTGAATCCCTTGCATTGCATATGGTACCATGTACATAATAGCCCAGTGAATGCTTTTTGGGTTAAGCGCCACACAGTTGAGCTGAGTGCCTTAGGGAGAATACCTGTGCTCTGTTGCCCCGTGTAGAAACGGGAAGAATGGAGCCCTGGGGAGGGCGTGCTCCTGGTATAAAGGCCATGTGGCATTAAATACCCAGCTCTGATGAAAAAGTGTGGATGTCCCTTTTCTTTTTTGAGGTTCCTTGAAAAAGTGTTTGCCACTCTAGCATCTGCATCTGTCATGAGTTTTTGTCTATTTAGAATGCCCTTGTTTGCAAAGAGATCTCATGACCAGTTGTCTACATAATAGTAACAGTCATTGTAAGTCCTTTTCATGTTGCCAGAGTCACTAATCTTTGTTTCAGTACTGAATTTAAACACTCAAGGCCTTGTCCTACACAAAAGGGTTTCTTTGTCGCAAGAACTACAAAATCCAGCTTTTAAAAGGCATCTTTGAGGGAGAGATGATGCAGAAGGACTTAATGAAGTTGGATCTAGTTTCAGGCTGTGGCCCCTTTAAATCTAAGATCCCAGTTATCCAAGGAGGCCTGCTTTCATGATGTGTTTGCTCTAGTATTGTAGAGGATAAGACAGATGGGTAAACAAATAAATATGAAATTCATGATAAGTGCATGGAAGAAAGTAATAGAGGATGCGACAAGGGAGCCCTCCATTCTTCTATCTCCAGTGCTTACCATGTTGCCTGACAAAGAAATAAAAATACTAGTTCCCATTTACTGAATTCTTAACTGTGTGCTGGTACTATAGCAGACATTTTATTTAATCCTCCTGGGAATTCTGTGAGGTTTTACTAATAAGAAAACCTCAGAGAGGTTAAGTAAGTTGCTGGGAAGTAAAAGAGAAAACCGAATGTCTATTGAATCTAATAGAATCTTTTTTAAAGCAACATTCAGGAATAAAGACTCCAGAGAACCTCTATTTATAGAACACTTACCTAACTTTTCCCCTTTAAGCTAAAAGTCCCTCCTCCATATCTTTTTTTTTTTTTCTTTTTGAGACAGTGTCTCTCTATATTGCCCAGACTGGAGTGTAGTGATGGGAACACGGCTCACTGCAGCCTTGACCTCTGGGGCTCAAGTGATCCTCCTGCCTCAGACTCCCATGTAGGTGGGACCACAGGCGCACGCCACCGTGCCTAGCTAATTTTTAAATTTTTTGTAGAGACGGGGTCTCACTTTATTGCCCAGACTGTTCTCAAACTCATGGCCTCAAGCAGTCCTCCCAAAGCGCTGGGATTATAGGGGTGACCCATGGTGCCCAGTCCCCCTCACCCATATCTAACTGGATTTCTGCTTGTTTCATGCACATTAGGCCTTTGTGTCAGTGAAGACCAGCTGAAGAGTAATTTTGTTCTAACCCTTCTTCTACTTGAAGAAGTCTATTAAAGCTGCCCCTTGGCCTTAAATAGTCTGTTCCTTTAACATTTTTCTGAAGTCAATCCCTCTTCTTCTCCCTCCCCCATTTTTTTTCCATCATTCATTTCTTACAATGCAAAAACCAAGACCAAGCACATTTCCTCTAGTGAATGTGTGACCAGTCTGGGGTTGCTGCAAGGATTCACTTCCCAGCTCTCACATGTCACATTCCTGTTGTGACATTTTTGATGATGTCGTTTTTTTGATCTGGCCCTTTCCTTCCATGGGTCCAGCTTCTGTCTCCACCAGGTGAACTCCACCTGGTGCCCAGTCCCCTCCACCCTGTCAGCAGTCTTTCTGACTCCACACAGAGTAGCCTTAGGCGCTCTGGGTGGGGTTCTCACACTCCAGCCATTGACTGCAGGTGGCTAGTCTTGTCAGCTCTGTGGTTTTTAATGAACTTGGGCCTAGAGCTCGGGACCAGGTTTCTGGGGAGATTGGTGCTGGCCCTTTCTTGCTGCTGCTTGTGTTACGGGCTGGCCTGGCATTCCACAGTGCCCATCCTTCTCCACTCCACCCAGCCTCCATGGCCTGTCTGCACCTTCTCTCCTCCCTGGCCATTCATCCTCAGGGTGTCATAGGTGTTGGGGAAAGAGTATGACCACACACTCAGGGCTGAATTGCAACTTGACCAAGTATTAGCTGTCTTACTTTACTTAACCTCTCTGAGCCTTTATTTCTCCTCTGTAAAATGGGTATAATGATAGCTAGCTCACAGGTTTCTTTTACTAGGTTGAATGAGAGAATCTAATTCCTGTCTTATAGTAGTATTCAGTAAATACCGTCTCCCCCTGATTCTGTGATGGAAAGGAGCTCATATGTCTGATCAGTACATAGGGGAAATGATATCAACATAATATCATATCAGTGTAACTAATCACATTGGTTATATGTGATTTTTTCCAACATGTGAATGATTTGTGCCATCAAGTAACAACATGTGGATGAAGCAAGCCAAAGAGGACTATAGCGTGTACGTGATGCCCCGCTTTCCCCTTGGCTTTGTTTGACCATGTGTTCCATCTTAGAAATGCTGTTATACAGTACTCTCTGCTCTTTGTGCATTTAGTCCTTATATGTGTAACTTGGCAGCCTCAACCTTTCTTTATACACCCCTTAATTGTGCAAGCATGTTTTTATCAGGATTCTAGTGCTGTTGGTTTAAAAAAAAATTGCATAGATTTTTGAGTGATCTGCCCCAAACCTATATGCTCCAGAAGCACTGTTATTTTCGTGGCTTTGCAGAACACGTTTGTGAACATATCAATAGTTGTATAGCAGAGATATTTGGTTTTCTTTTCTTCCTTCCATCTAGCTTTTTGCATTCATGGTCATTTCATGGAACCACAATCTTTGGCCTGTACCAGGCTGGGACCTAGAAGTGATAGAAGAGATTCCTTGCAGACATGTGCTGTGACTGTATCTTCATACCATCTCCTGAGTTATTGCAATAGATTCCTGTCTGGTCTCTGCTTCTGTTCTTGACCCCAGATAGTTGTTGACATAGTGTCCAGACTAAACCGTTTAAAACAAAAATCAGAAACTACCTTTGCTTTAAGAATTCTGAAATTATTTTGTGTACAGTTTGGGATTGAGTAAATGAATAACTATAGATACTGTTGGGAGCCAGGATTCTCACTGTGAAAGAAGAAAGAACAAACATGGGATGGGGGAAGATGAAGAAGAACCCAGTGGTAGTGGATTAGAAGTAAAAGTTTCCATCTCAGTTTACAATTTTTTATAAAAGATTTCTTTTCTAGTTTCTGCTGAAGGGCCTAGGAACAATGGCATCTTAGTAACAAGGAGCACATCGAGCACCCAAATAATGGTTTTAAAATTTCTTTACCCACCAAAAGGAACCCAGAGCTCTTTGCAGAAATGGCCAGTTGCAGAGTGGAAACAGAAAGTAGACGACAAGCCCAGAACATTTTGTACCAGGATCCATGGGACTGCTCAGGAACTGAGGGGAACATGTCGAAGGACACAGGAGCTAGTTTGATAGGAACCATTTGAACATCAGAGTGAATAACAGTAATGGATTATAAAATATTGAATAACAAAGGATTACGTGAGTCCATATTGATACTAAAAAATCAAGAGAAAGCTCTTCTTAATCCATTGCAACTAATACATGTAGAAGGAGCAAATCAAGTTGGAAAAAAAATACTTATTTTGCAACCACATTTAAAGTATTTGATTCACCACTGGGTGAAAGTGTGTTCTGGGACACAATATTGACCCTGTCTGCGAGGATCCCTCCACAGACCACTTATCATTGCACAGGGGGAAAGGCACTTTTACGGCAGAAGAGACCTAGCAGGCAGCACCTTGACTAAGTGCCCACCATAGCTGATGTCACCCAGTTATGGGGGAAAGGTCATCCAATGCTCCCAGGGTGCTGTCCTGAGGACCCACAGCCCTTCCTCGGGATTCCTGCCAGCAATGCAGAATCTGGATTGGAGTTTGGAGAAACAATCAGACAGACCCAAAATGAAGAGCATTGCATTAAACAGGTGGTGCTCGCCACACACATTAGGGTCGCAAATGACAGAGAAAGACAGAGAAAGTTCCAGGATAAGGTGACTACAGAGATAGGACAACTAATGCAATGTGTAGGGCAGGACTGGATCCTGCTTGGATGAAAACAGTTGCTATAAAGGCTCGTTTGGGAGATCTGACTATAGATAATTGCTTGTATCTGGTATTTTAAGAACTTTAGTAATTGCACTAGATTATTTAAAGAGAATGTCCTTGTTTTAGAAGACACACACTTTTGAGAGTAAAGGGTCATGATCTCTGCAACTAACTCCCAAGCGGTTCAGAAAAGTAAAGGATATATTATATATGCATAGAGAGAGAGGGTGTATGGCAGAGTGTTAACACTGGTTGAATCTAAGTGCTGGGTATATCAGATTTCATTGTAATAGTCTTGTAATCTTTTGGTAGGTCTGAAAAAATTTTCAAAATAAAATATTTAATTTTAAATAGATGAGGTAAATAGAGCAAAATGTCAGTATTGCTTTAAACTCTTAGGTGTCTGTTACATTATTTTCTGTATGTTTGAAAATCTGTATTTATCATCTGTAATCTGATGACAAAAGTAAAATATATATATTTAAATACATCCAGTACTTTCATCTTAATATAACATTGAGTTCTTCTGATGCCTTTTTTCCCTGGTACCCAGGTCATGAACTTTTTTTCCACCCAACAGTGGTGACATTTACATTGGAATTATATGGGTTTTTTCTGTGGTTTAGACCTTGTGGGTGTGTGAGGGACTGGACTTGGTAACACAGGGAGGAAACCCCTCAAACTGCTACTTAGTTTTCTTGTCTGTCTATTCTTGTGGGTGTCATCCTGTCTTCGTGGTTGCTTGTGGCTGTCATCTCCAGCCCAGCCTCCTTCTCGTTTCTGTTGCTGCACTTAGCGGGCTGCGTTGTTCATACCGTCATTCCCAATTAAATGAGATAAGCCTCGCAGGTTCCCTTCTGAGGCCCAGCAATGTGGTCATTTGCTCTCTTTGGCTGTGGGGTTGAGTGGTCACATCATGGACCACGCGTTTGGCAGGTACAGACTATTAATTCTTCCCTCCATCTGGTGAGGGCAGTGCTGTCTTGACAGTGCCGTGTCTGATCTGTTGGACTCACAGGGGCAAACCATTCATTCTAAAATGCCCCAGAGTTATTTGTTGATCTATTCAACAGGGTTGGGGAGGGAAGCATCTGGGGCTTCTTGTAATTCATTTAAAAGGAAACATTTGATGATGCTCAGCTTTAGTTAAGGGGCAGGTGTTAGCCCTGATGTGTTCTCTTTAAAAGCCAGGCTTAGCTGTGGGAAAGAAAGACCTGGTGAACCAATGTGGTTTAAAGGAAAAAAAAAAGAAGTATTTCAATTCCATTTTTTAGTTTGGGCTGCGGAGGGTACTTATATTTTCTCACTGGTTTAAAACATGCATGTGCCTCAGAGTCAGTTCCCACAGAAGAAAAGTGAAGGCAGTAATGGACAATTTGGGACATCCAGAATATATTTAATTTCATGTGTTTGAAGCTAAAGATGGGTTTGGATTGAAGTCTGCTGGAAAGGTGAAAGGAGAGGAATTTGGCTTGTTTTTAGTAAGAGAAGTTATTCTGAGATTCTTGTAACATTATTGTATTTTATGATAGTTGAGAACTATAAGTATTGGGCAAGAATACCCTTCGGGGCAAACGTCATTTGGTCTTAGTATGTTGGGGTCAGAGGTACTTTAAACAAATTCAGACCTGTTTCATCCTTCTGAGTGCTTGTTGGTGTTCTGGGTTTGTTTTCAGAGCTGACCACTGTCCATCTCTTCTCTATACCACACATTCAGGGTCCTCTTTGTATGATTGTTCTCACTGAGAATTTATAATAGTTTTCAGATCTTTTGGCAACCTTAAAATATAGCCAGACCTTTCAAGTCTGGTGCTTTATGGGTTGTAATATAATCTACTTGGATCCCATATATATGGGGTATGTGTGTCTATAATTTACATTAAGGTGAATTAAACCAATTTTTTGTTGTGTAACTTAAAATCATTTCGCAGACTTTTAAAATCATGTGTATATGCTAATGATTGTACTTGATATAATCATCATCATATTCTCTGTTTTCCCTTTGAGCCTCCAGAACAACCCCAGGATTTTCTCTCCTGGCTCCTTCCTTCTCATCCCTCCATTGCTGACCTGATTTTCTTTAATAATTTATGCCTTTCACCTCCTCTTTCTTGTGTTTAAAAGGTAGAGAGAGCTGAGTTGATATCCCAGCTTCACAACCCACTAGCCACAAGATCACTGTGCCTCACACCTCACTTTCCTCACCTTTAAAATAGGGGTGAAAGTACACAGCAAGGGTTAGTTCCCTTCTCCTGCCTAGGAGCAGGATCTAACCCTGTGTTATTAATGCATGAGAATGAAAGAAAGCATGTTAAAGGAGAGGAACAAAAAAATGGGGGGCGTAGATCATAGCAAAAGTAAGCCAAAGCCCTCCTGCTGAAGTGGAACAAGAATGGAGAGCCATCCCACTGTGGTGTCTTTGAGAAACCTCTGGCTTGCTCACCCCAGCCCCAGTCCTATTTTTCTTTAGGCTATGTTACTTTCTAATCATTTATAGGTACAGGTCAAGGCTACACCAAGGGCCACCTGTGCTGCTGCTCAGGCAGAAGGTGTGACCAGCACCCTATGCTCCAGGTCAAGGCACCTGGAGGAGGGTGGATGGGGAGATGTCTGTGGCATGGATTGCCACAGACATTATTTAATGGATGTTGTGGCTACTTCCTCTGGGCCTTGTGAGCACACGTTTTCTCCTGGTGATCTGTTATTATATTTGGCCAGACGTACATAAATGTAAAGCCCACAGCTGCCTCTGCACTCTCAGCCAAGTGGAAGTAGTATTCTTTGTTGTTCTTGGCATAAACCTGAAACTCCTTTCTTTCTTTCCTGTACAGTAATAAAAGGCAGTGCATGTCTTGCAAAATCTGTTCCCTAGAAATTATAGCACACACTTGTTAAGCTGACACACAGTGGAGCAGAGCATGGGGCTGTGGCTGGGGATCTCATGGGACTCTGTTTTCTCACCTATCAAGTTGGACAGTGATATCTTTGGGGGATACTTTAACATTAATTGAGATAGTATTTATGATAGTACTTTGAAACTTTCAAAGCACCAGACAGATGTTACTTGGTACACAATCGTGCATGAAGTTCAGAGACAGAATATGTCTTGCCTGTAAAACCTTGATGTAGTACTAGAGGAGATAAGACATATATGTCTATGTGACATGGTTCAAAGTGGTTTTCTGCACATCTCTGATTTAAAGATGTGCAGAAAAGCACTGTGGGAAGTCAGTGGGGGAGGAAGCTTTGTGAAGAGGGTGATGCCTAAGCAGAGCTTTGAAAGATGAGCCATTGAGGAAGATGGTGTGTATGGGGCATTGACTTAACAAGCAGGTTCTGGCAAGAGGGCCTCCGGGCAGAGGGGATCATGTAAGGCATAGATCTGAGTGCATATCAGGCCTATACAAGCCACAGCCTTCATTGAGTTGGATTGGAGCATTGATTTGGATTTGTAACCCAGGCAGTAGGGAACCACTGAAAAATGTTGAGCCCCAGGAGTGGCAAGATAGAACTGAGCTCTAGGATGAATAACTTGGCAACAGTTTAAACAGGTGGAGAAGGGAGAGACTGGAAGACTTCCTGACTCAGACTACTTGGAAAACTCACGAAGATCTAACGTGTTTACCTCCCAATATTATCTTGAAGAGTAAATGAGATAGAGGATGTGGAAATACATTTGAAAAAATGAATCCGGATGGTCCCTGTCCCAAGCTTCCTGGCCCCCGGCCCCCTGGCAGCAGCTGATCACCCTGACCCCTTGCCTTTAGGTGCCTTCAGGCAGCCTGGGTGAAGGTGTGGGCTCAGAGCCCAGCTGTGCCGGTCCCCTGTACCCTCCTGCTTTGCCCCCCTCTTCACTCCTGCTCTTCACTCCCTATTTGTTGCCTGCCCCTCCCTGCCTGGCTCTTGACATCCTTGACTTGGTTTCCCATTTCTGGCCTGGGAATACCCAATACCTGGGGATTGATGTGTTTCTTTTTCTAGAAATGCCCTTGACCCTTCCCAGGAAGCTGTCCCCTTCCTGGCCACTTGGAGGAACCACCTACTTAGACCACACCCATTCCAACAAAGCCCTGGTCCCCAGGAGCTCCTCCAGGGTGGCCTTGCAGGGGTGACTGGCTTAGAGAGGAGTGCTGAGAGAAACTGGGAGTTGGATACAGATTTAAATGAATGCTGCTACCATTCACTAGCTTGGGTAGGGGATTACTGAACTACTTGGAGCTTTGGTTTACTCCAGGGGAAAAGGAAAATAATGATGTGTCTCTCCATTTGGTTGTGAGGCTTAAATGAGGTAATGATTTAAAGGGCTGGTTGGTGTCTAGTGAATATGAGTTGGCCACTGCCTTTTCTTCTGACTTTCCATTCCAGATGAAGACCATTTCTTAAGAGCTTCACATGTTTCTGCCCTCCTCTCTCTATTTTCCTTCTTCCTCTTTTGCAAAAGCTTTAGTATAAAAAGTGTAGTTATTTCTGCTCCAGGAGTTTCTACTGCTGCCTTGAGGGGGAGGTCCTCGAGATCCCAAGATAGAGCTTGAAGCACTCTTTCCTATAGAAAGAATGTTAATAAATGTTGGATACTTGCACAATGAGGACTTTGCCTAAGGAACATTCTGGGCCAGGCAGGCTTTCATGAAATCATAACAGCATTATTCATTTTCATGAGTGAGTACTTGGACAGATATTCCCAAGCAAGCAGCTTATCAGCATCCTTGCCAGAAACCATCTGATTGTAACCTGAGGACTATCTGTCCCCTTAGGTATTTACTGTTGCCCTCATAAGCCTTGGTAGGTGGTTGGCTTAGGAAGCATTTCACACTGATGCGGGAACCGTGTGAGCTTAGTGCCAAGTCCTGTGCTGTCCCGACTACTCATCTTTTTATAAAATCTAAGAACTTAAGTTTAATGGGATAAGACAGTCAGAAGGGACCTTGAAATATCTTACCTGTCCCCCACTCATATTTAAGCCATTCTTGAATGGCAAGAACTACCCCATTATAGAACACTTGCTGATGTTTGTGACTTTTCATGATGATTTCCTGTAAAGCCTCTTGCTGACAAGTCCTTTCTTGATGGCTGTGGGTGCACAGGCCCCTGATGGGGAAGAAATGCTCAGGGCTTTGCCGCATACCACTCCTACCACAAGAATATACTCTCCTGAAAACATCTCCATCACTTCTCTCTTGTACCATAAGCATAAAGGCCACTCCCTCCCCAGGCAAAGATGAGTGTCGAGGCCTTTTATGTGCCAGGGATTAGGGAAATCCAGCTCCGTAACTTCCCACTGTCCCTATCATTGCTCCATAGGGTGGGAAGGGAGAATGGTAGGCACATCCCAGTCTTTAAGGCAATATGAGAATCTACTTGTTGCTTCATCTAGAAAAATGTAACACTAATTCAGCAACTTCTGGGAACCAGACACCCTCGCAAGTGCTGCAGCAAGTTTTGTTTTTTGTTTTTTGTGTGTTTTTTTAATTTTTGTATTCACCACAACAAATCTGTAATGTGGATACACTATTAATGTCATTCCTATTTTAGAGATCCCAGGCTTTGGGAAATTAATGACTTATCAGCTGTGACTCACCCTGCTGAGAGTGGCAGAGTCAAATTTAAATATGACTCATGTCAGAGCCCAGTCACTGAGCACACTCCCAGGCTGTGATGGATGTGGAAGAGAGTGTGCCTGTCATGGAGCCTTAGCTCTGACCCCTATGCCTGTGACACACACACCTTTGAATGTGCCAGGTGGGGACAGGGGATCAGGGCTGGGCCAGGCAAGGCCTAGCGCCAGCCCCTGTGCTACTGGTGGGAAGGGGAGGACACAGCCCTGCCTGAGCCTTACGATCCTATTGGTCAGTTTCCCTCCATGGCCTGTGTGTGTCAGGAGCACAAAGAGTCTTCCAGATGGTAGGTTTTACAGATGTGACGGTAGCATCTGCAGAGAGATGTAATCTTCAGTTTGCAGAGGAGAAAACCAAGTCCCAGAGTCCCTTCCCAGAAGAGCGAGTGAACGGTAGAGCCCCACCAGGACCCAGGTCTTCCCATTCCCCATCTACCGCCCATCTGCTGTTGGGAGGTTTGCAGTCGTGAGCGTTTCCCTTCCAAATGTAAACCAGTTGGGCTGCAGTTTCAGCCTGTTTCTTCTTTAGTGTTACAGGAGGTAGGAAACCACTGATTTCCCATCCAGTGTTCTATTACCAATGTTCCCTTCAGCTTTCTCTTCCTCAGGCTAATAGTTCTTTGCTTCTTTGTTCTAAAAGAACTTGTTTTTTTAGTCCAATTTTCCGCATTCAGGTGCCTCACTGACCCTCCCACATAACCTTTCCTTTTTCTCAATCCTTACTCCAAACTAAACCAGGTCTCTCCACGCTTGCCTCTTGAATTCTGGGCTCTGGTTCTTTTCCTGCTTCCTTTTTCTTTGTATGGTAGTTCTACTTCTTTTAAGAATTTTTCCCCAACTGAGGCCAAGCTGCTATCATGACCAGTGTTGGCCAAAACCACTCTGTGATCTTTTGTTTTAATATGAACTTGGGTGTTTGTTTTTAGTTCTGTCCTAATGTCTCCACCTCCTGTCCTGGTGCTCCCTAACTTAGACAAAACTAAAAACATGTGAGATGGGGACAAGAGTCCAGGTAAGCTGTGTTTTCATTGGAAACTATCTGTTTTGCTTCTTAGGTACACAGATAAGCTGTTTCTCTCCAAGTTCTTTCTCCTGGCGTCAGGCTGCCTTTGTGGATTCATATTGCTGGGCGGCTGTTCAGCAGAAGAACTCACTGCAGAGCGAGTCTGGAAACCTCCCACTGTGGCTGCATAAGGTAAAGGGAGACATTTCCAAATAGAACCTGTTTGCTTTATAGATAAGGAAACTAAAGCCCAGGGAGGCTATGCCAAAGACCACACAGATATTGTAGCCAACCAGTGCTGTATCTCAGATTGTAAAACTGTAGCACCTTATAGTCAAAAAGAACCTCAGAGATGACTTGGTGTAGGCACCATCATTTAGCACAATGGGGCAATGGGAAGTGTTCTTTGAGTTTTAGCTCTATAACAGCAGGCACCTTTTGTGTCTTGACACCTTTATATCATAATGCCCAGCAGGATGTCTGGCCCGTAGTAGGTTCTTAGTACATTTTGAGTGTCTGAATGAGCATAGCTAGACAGTGGCAGAGCTAGGATTCATGCATAGCTTCTCAGCTAGCACCTTTTCTACCACACACAGGGTCTCTTGCAGAAAGTAAGGACTGACCTAGAGTTCAGTTGCTTCTAGCTGATACGTTACTGGAACATCAAAAAGCCTAGTGATGAGGCCCTCTGGGGGTGTTGGCTGTAGCACTGTTTTTGGAATGGATCCCTTTGCTTTTTGATAGATCCAGATACTGCAGGGAAGGGGAGATACTACACAAGAGACACCAATGTCTGGGTTCCACTCCACTTCCCATAGAGAAGAGGTACATTCTGTAGTCAGGGAAGTGGTGGTTTGTGCATGCAGGTGGCAGGGGATGCAGTGAGGAACTTAGGCAGCAGTTGATAAGTTTGTGCAGAAGAATGTTCTCTGAGTTATGAAGTGACTGCATTAGGTCTTCTCTGTGCTTCTGAAAGTAGGACTTTGTTTCAGCCTGTCATTAATTTCAACCACTGTTTCTTTTGTCCATTGTGAAAACAATTAGAATGTGTATCTTCTGGTATTCTTTTCTGCTGAAGAAAATATAGAATTTTAGCTTTCGAAAACCCAAAAGCCAAAGTTTGACTCTCTTCTGCTTTGACCTGCTTCCAGACACACCATCAGCATCCTTCTTCGTAAAAGGAATGATTTAAGGGAGCTATGACTCAGGCATGTTTGTTTATAGTTGACCCTTGAACAATGTGGGGGTCGGGGCACTGGTCCCCTGCACAGTCAAAAATTTGTGTGTAACATTTGACTTCCCCAAAACTTAACTACTGATAGCCTACTGTTGACTGGAAGCCTTACCAATAACATAAACAGTCAATTAACACATATTTTATATGCTATATGTATTATATACTGTATTCTTACAATAAGCTAGAGAACAGAAAATGTTATTAAGAATATTATAAGGAAAAGAAAATATATTTACTATTCAGTTTGTGCAAACGTAATTGTGGGTTTTGCCATTAAAAGTAATTGCAAGGTGGGTGAGGTGGGCGGATCACCTGAAGTCAGGAGTTTGAGACCAGCCTGGCCAACATGGTAAAACCCCGTCTCTACTAAAAATACAAAAATTAACCAGGCGTGGCTGGGTGCGGTGGCTCATGCCTGTAATCCCAGCACTTTGGGAGGCCGAGGCAAGCGGATCACTTGAGGTCAGGAGTTCGAGACCAGCCTGGCCAACATGGTGAAACCCCATCTCCACTAAAAATACAAAAATTAGCTGGGTGTGGTACGGGTGCCTGTAATCCCAGCTACTCGGGAGGCTAAGGCAGGAGAATCGCTTGAGCCCAGGAGGTGGAAGTTGCAGTGAGCTGACATCGTGCCATTGCACTCCAGCCTGGGGAACAAGAGTGGAACTCCATCTCAAAAAAAAAAAAAAAAAGCCAGGCATGCTGGTGCATGCCTGTAGTCTCAGTTACTCGGGAGGCTGAGGCAGGAGAATCACTTGAATGCGGGAGGTAGAGGTTGAAGAGAGCAGAGATCACACCACTGCACTCCAGCATGGGCAACAGAGTGAGACTCCAAAAAATAATAATAATAAAATAAATATATAAAAGTAATGGCAAAACGCGCAATTACTTTTGCTCCAACCTAATATTTATTAAGTGGAAGTGGAACATCATAAAGGTCTTCATCCTCGTTGTCTTTATGTTGAGTAGCTCAGGAGGAGGAGGAAGAGGAGAGGTTGTTCATGCTGTATCAGGAGCGGTAGAGGCAGAAGAAAAGCCCCATAAAAGTGGGCCCATGTAGTTCAAATTCATGTTGTTCAAGCGTCAACTGTACTGCTTGCCATTTTGCATAGTGGTGCCCTATAGTGACTCTTTTCTCCTTTTAGGTTGGGCTTTTCTCTTTATTTTCAGCCATAGGTGGGTTCTCGTCAGCTTTGCATGGTTTAGTAGCCAAGGCAACAAATAATAGGACTTGCAGTGTGAATGACCACAGTTCTAAAGTTTAACAGCTTGCTTTGTAAATCCAAATTTTTACTGTTGTAGTTTAAGTTCGTTTGTTATAGTGTTCTCATGAAAATAGAGAGTTTTAATGAGTCACTGGGCTGCCTTTGATGGATCCGCAGGAGAATTGTCTAAGAGTTGGCAGGGGTGTTAGTAATTATTTTAGAGCAAGAATAAACTGAAAGATTTTTTATCCAGATGTATTTTACATTTAAGGGTAAGGGAACTTTGAGGGATCTAGCCTAAAGGTTATAGGACCAGTTACTGACCAACACATCAGAGCTCAGATCTTCAGACTTCTAGCCCATTGCTCTTCTAGTCAAGGAAGGGGAAATCTGGAAACAGTATAGGTAGCCAAACCTTAAGTTACCTGGTATTAATGAGAGATTAAGAAACCCTCTTTCTGGCAGTGGAAGACTGCTTGTTTGAATGGAGGTTTATCTAAGTTTCTCAGCAGAGCTCTTGCCAGATTCACAAGGCTGGGGACAGAAATTGAAGTCAGGACCTGCCACGTTGGAAGGACCCTTATTAACACTCCTTGGCATTTGGTTGGGACTCTGAAAGGCTGTTCCTTGAGAATAAGGGGCGATCCAGAATTAATCTAGCTCCCATAGGGACAAGAGTCCTGATTTAAATCATTGCAATAGCAGTTGAATGACAGAGATCGGGGATTACGAGTGTCTGGTCTACTTGCCTGCCAGAAGTAAAAATAAATCCTTTCTGGAGGATTTTCTGGGTGTGATTATCATTCATCTTTTTTTAAAAAAAATTATTTTTCTCGTTTTTTTTTTTCCTTTTTTTTAATTATACTTTAAGTTTTAGGGTACATGTGCACAACATGCAGGTTTGTTACATATGTATACTTGTGCCATGTTGGTGTGCTGCACCCATTAACTCGTCATTTAACATTAGGTATACCTCCTAATGCTATCCCTCCCCACTCCCCCCACCCAAAAACAAGCCCCAGTGTGTGATGTTCCCCTTCCTGTGTCCATGTGTTGTCGTTGTTCAATTCCCAACTATGAGCAAGAACATGCGGTGTTTGGTTTTTTTGTCCTTGCGATACTTTGCTGAGAATGATGGTTTCCAGCTTCATCCATGTCCCTACAAAGGACATGAACTCATCCTTTTTTATGGCTGCATAGTATTCCATGGTGTATATGTGCCACATTTTCTTAATCCAGTCTATCATTGTTGGACATTTGGGTTGGTTCCAAGTCTTTGCTATTGTGAATAGTGCCACAATAAACATACATGTACATGTGTCTTTATAGCAGCATGATTTATAATCCTTTGGGTATATACCTAGTAATGGGATGGCTGGGATGGCTGGGTCAAATGGTATTTCTAGTTCTAGATCCCTGAGGAATCGCCACACTGACTTCCACAATGGTTGAACTAGTTTACAGTCCCACCAACAGTGTAAAAGTGTTCCTATTCCTCCACCTCCTCTCCCGCACCTGTTGTTTCCTGACTTTTTAATGATCGCCATTCTAACTGGTGTGAGATGGTATCTCATTGTGGTTTTGATTTGCATTTCTCTGATGGCCATTGATGATGAGCATTTTTTCATGTGTCTGTTGGCTGCATAAATGTCTTCTTTTGAGAAGTGTCTGTTCATGTCCTTCGCCCACTTTTTGATGGGGTTGTTTGTTTTTTTCTTGTAAATTTGTTTGAGTTCATTTTAGATTCTGGATATTAGCCCTTTGTCAGATGAGTAGGTTGTGAAAATTTTCTCCCATTCTGTAGGTTGCCTGTTCACTCTGATGGTAGTTTCTTTTGCTGTGCAGAAAGAAGCTCTTTAGTTTACTTAGATCCCATTTGTCAATTTTGGCTTTTGTTGCCATTGCTTTTGGTGTTTTAGACATGAAGTCCTTGCCCATGCCTATGTCCTGAATGGTATTGCCTAGGTTTTCTTCTAGGGTTTTTATGGTTTTAGGTCTAAGATTTAAGTCTTTAATCCATCTTGAATTAATTTTTGTATAAGGTGTAAGGAAGGGGGATCCAGCTTCAGCTTTCTATGTATAGCTAGCCAGTTTTCCCAGTACCATTTATTAAATAGGGAATCCTTTCCCCATTTCTTGTTTTTGTCAGGTTTGTCAAATATCAGATGGTTGTAGATATGTGGCATTATTTCTGAGGGCTCTGTTCTGTTCCATTGATCTATATCTCTGTTTTGGTAGCAGTACCATGCTGTTTTGGTTACTGCTAGTAGCCTTGTAGTATAGTTTGAAGTCAGGTAGCATGATGCCTCCAGCTTAGTTCTTTTGGCTTAGGATTGACTTGGCGATGCAGGCTCTTTTTTGGTTCCATATGAACTTTAAAGTAGTTTTTTCCAATTCTGTGAAGAAAGTCATTGGTAGCTTGATGGGGATGGCATTGAATCTATAAATTACCTTGGGCAGTATGGCCATTTTCATGATATTGATTCTTCTTATCCAGGAGCATGGAACGTTCTTCCATTTGTTTGTGTCCTCTTTAATTTCATTGAGCAGTGGTTTGTAGTTCTCCTTGAAGAGGTCCTTCACATCCCTTGTAAGTTGGATTCCTAGGTATTTTATTCTCTTTGAAGCAATTGTGAATGGGAGTTCACTCATGATTTGGCTCTCTGTTTGTCTGTTATTGGTGTATAAGAATGCTTGTGATTTTTGCACATTGATTTTGTATCCTGAGACTTTGCTGAAGTTGCTTATAAGCTTAAGGAGATTTTGGGCTGAGACAATGGGGTTTTCTAAATATACAATCATGTCATCTGCAAACAGGGACAATTTGACTTCCTCTTTTCCTGATTGAATGCCCTTTATTTCCCTCTCCTGCCTGATTGCCCTGGCCAGAACTTCCAACACTATGTTGAATAGGAGTGGTGAGAGAGGGCATCCCTGTCTTGTGCCAGTTTTCAAAGGGAATGCTTCCAGTTTTTGCCCATTCAGTATGATATCAGCTGTGGGTTTGTCATAGATAGCTCTTATTATTTTGAGATACGTGCCATCAATACGTAATTTATTGAGAGTTTCTAGCATGAAGGGTTGTTGAATTTTGTCAAAGGCCTTTTCTGCATCTGTTGAGATAATCATACGGTTTTTGTCATTGGTTCTGTTTATATGCTGGATTACATTTATTGATTTGCGTATGTTGAACCAGCCTTGCATCCCAGGGTTGAAGCCCACTTGATCATGGTGGATAAGCTTTTTGATGTGCTGCTGGATTCGGTTTGCCAGTATTTTATTGAGGATTTTTGCGTCGATGTTCATCAGGGATATTGGTCTAAAGTTCTTTTTTTTTGTTGTTGTGTCTCTGCCAGGCTTTGGTATCAGGATGATGCTGGCCTCATAAAATGAGTTAGGGAGGATTCCCTCTTTTTCTATTGATTGGAATAGTTTCAGAAGGAATGGTAACAGCTCCTCCTTGTACCTCTGGTAGAATTCGGCTGTGAATCCATCTGGTCCTGGACTTTTTTTGGTTGGTAAGCTATTAATTTTTGCCTCAATTTCAGAGCCTGTTATTGGTCTATTCAGAGATTCAACTTCTTCCTGGTTTTAGTCTTGGGAGGGTGTATGTGTCGAGGAATTTATCCATTTCTTCGAGGTGTTTATAGTATTCTCAGATGGTAGTTTGTATTTCTGTGGGATCAGTGGTGATATCCCCTTTATCATTTTTTATTGCGTCTATTTGATTCTTCTCTCTTTTCTTTATTAGTCTTGCTAGCGGTCTATCAATTTTGTTGATCTTTTCAGAAAACCAGCTCCTGGATTTATTGGTTGTTTGAAGGGTTTTTTTGTGTCTCTATTTCCTTCAGTTCTGCCCTGATGTTAGTTATTTCTTGCCTTCTGCTTGCTTTTGAATGTGTTTGCTCTTGCTTCTCTAGTTCTTTTAATTGTGATGTTAGCGTGTCAATTTTAGATCTTTCCTGCTTTCTCTTGTGGGCATTTAGTGCTCTAAATTTCCCTCTATACACTGCTTTGAATGTGTCCCAGAGATTCTGGTATGTTGTGTCTTTGTTCTCGTTGGTTTCAAAGAACATCTTTATTTCTGTCTTCATTTCGTTATGTACCCAGTAGTCATTCAGGAGCAGGTTGTTCAGTTTCCATGTAGTTGAGCAGTTTTGAGTCAGTTTCTTAATCCTGAATTCTAGTTTGATTGCAGTGTGGTCTGAGAGACAGTTTGTTATAATTTCTGTTCTTTTATATTTGCTGAGGAGTGCTTTACTTCAACTATGTGGTCAATTTTGGAATAAGTGCAGTGTGGTGCTGAGAAGAATGTATATTCTGTTGATTTGGGGTGGACAGTTCTGTAGATGTCTATTAAGTCTGCTTGATGCAGAGCTGAGTTCAATTCCTGGATATCCTTGTTAACTTTCTGTCTCGTTGCTCTGTCTAATGTTGACAGTGAGGTGTTAAAGTCTCCCATTATTATTGTGGGAGTCTAAGTCTCTTTGTAGGTCTCTAAGGACTGGCTTTATGAATCTGGGGGCTCCTGTATTGGGTGCATATATATTTAGGATAGTTAGCTCTTCTTGTTGAATTGATCCCTTTCACATTATGTAATGGCCTTCTTTGTCTCTTTTGATCTTTGTTGGTTTAAAGTCTCTTTTATCAGAGACTAGGATTGCAACCCCTGCCTTTTTTTGTTTTCC
Source organism: Homo sapiens (assembly GCF_000001405.40). Classification (NCBI taxonomy): domain Eukaryota; kingdom Metazoa; phylum Chordata; class Mammalia; order Primates; family Hominidae; genus Homo; species Homo sapiens. The sequence continues at coordinate 94,160,569 of NC_000011.10, forward strand.
ATTTGCTTGCTAGATCTTCCTCCACCCCTTTATTTTGAGCCTATGTTTGTCTCTGCATGTGAGATGGTTTTCCTGAATACAGCACACTGATGGGTCTTGAGTCTTTATCCAATTTGCCAGTCTGTGTCTTTTAATTGGAGCATTTAGCCCATTTACATTTAAAATTAATATTGTTATGTGTGAATGTGATCCTGTCATTATGATGTTAGCTGGTTATTTTGCCGTTAGTTGATGCAATTTCTTCCTAGCCTCGATGGTCTTTAGAATTTGGCATTTTTTTGCATTGGCTGGTACCATTTGTTCCTTTCCATGTTTAGTGCTTCCTTCAGGAGCTCTTTTAGGGCAGGCCTGGTGGTGACAAAATCTCTCAGCATTTGCTTTGCTGTAAAGGATTTTATTTCTCCTTCGCTTATGAAGCTTAGTTTGGCTGGATATGAAATTCTGGGTTGAAAATTCTTTTCTTTAAGAATGTTGAATATTGGCCCCCACTCTCTTCTGGCTTGTAGAGTTTCTGCCGAGAAATCAGCTGTTAGTCTGATGGGCTTCCCTTGGTGGGTAACCCCACCTTTCTCTCTGGCTGCCCTTAACATTTTTTCCTTCATTTCAACTTTGGTGAATCTGACAATTATGTGTCTTGGAGTTGCTCTTCTCGAGGAGTATCTTTGTGGCGTTCTCTGTATTTCCTGAATCTGAATGTTGGCCTGACTTGCTAGATTGGGGAAGTTCTCCTGGATAATATCCTGCAGAGTGTTTTCCTACTTGGTTCCATTCTCCCTGTCACTTTCAGGTACACCAATCAGACGCAGATTTGGTCTTCTCACATAGTCCCATATTTCTTGGAGGCTTTGTTTCTTTTTACTCTTTTTTCTCTAAACTTCTCTTCTCACTTCATTTCATTCATTTGATCTTCCATCACTGATACCTTTTCTTCCAGTTGATCAAATCGGCTACTGAGGCTTGTGCATTTGTCAGGTAGTTCTCGTGCCGTGGTTTTCAGCTCCATCAGGTCCTTTAAGGACTTCTCTGCATTGGTTATTCTAGTTAGCCATTTGTCTAATTTTTTTTCAAGGTTTTTAACTTCTTTGCCATTGGTTCGAACTTCCTCCTTTAGCTCGGAGTAGTTTGATCGTCTGATGCCTTCTTCTCTCAATTCGTCAAAGTCATTCTCCGTCCAGATTTCTTCTGTTGCTGGTGAGGAGCTGCATTCCTTTGGAGGAGGAGAGGTGCTCTGATTTTTAGTTTCCAGTATTTCTGCTCTGTTTTTTCCCCATCTTTGTGGTTTTATCTACCTTTGGTCTTTGATGATGGTGATGTACAGATGGAATTTTGGTGTGGATGTCCTTTCTCTTTGTTAGTTTTCCTTCTAACAGTCAGCACCCTCAGCTGCAGGTGTGTTGGAGTTTGCCAGAGGTCCACTCCAGACCCTGTTTGCCTGGGTATCAGCATCGGAGGCTGCAGAACAGCAGATACTGGTGAGCAGCAAATGTTGCTGCCTGATCGTTCCTCTGGAAGTTTTGTCTCAGAGGAGTACCTGGTTGTGTGAGGTGTCAGTCTGCCCCTACTGGGGGGTGCCTCCCAGTTAGGCTGCTCGGGGGTCAGGGACCCACTTGAGGAGGCAGTCTGTCCATTCTCAGACCTCCAGCTGCGTACTGGGAGAACCACTACTCTCTTCAAAGCTGTCAGACAGGGACATTTAAGTCTGCAGAGGTTTCTGCTGCCTTTTGTTTTGCTATTCCCTGTCCCCAGAGGTGGAGTCTACAGAGGCAGGCAGGCCTCCTTGAGCTGTGGTGGGCTCCACCCATTTCGAGTTTCCTGGCCACTTTGTTTACCTACTCAAGCCTCAGCAATGGTGGACGCCCCTCCCCCAGCCTCGCTGCCACCTTGCAGTTTGATCTCGACTGCTGTGCTAGCAATGAGCGAGGCTCCGTGGGCGTAGGACCCTCCGAGCCAGGCGCTGGATATAATCTTCTGGTGTGCCATTTGCTAATACCGTTGGATAAGCGCAGTATTAGGGTGGGAGTGACCTGATTTTCCAGGTGCCATCTTTCACCCCTTTCTTTGACTAGGAAAGGGAATTTCCTGACCCCTTGCGCTTCCCGGGTGAGGTGATGCCTCGCCCTGCTTCGGCTCACGCTGGGTGCGCGGCACCCACTGTCCTGCCCCCACTTTCTGACACTCCCCAGTGAGATGAATCCGGTTCCTCAGTTGGAAATGCAGAAATTACCTGTCTTCTGCGTCGCTCACACTGGGAGCTCTAGACTGGAGCTGTTCCTATTCGGCCATCTTGGCTCCACCAACCTCTCTTTTTTTTTTTTTTTTTTGAGACAGGGTCTCACTTTGTCACCCAGGCCTGAGTGTAGTGGCACAAACATGGCTCACTGCAGCCTCAATCTCCTGGGTGTAAGGCAGTCCTCCTGCCACAGCCCACCAAGTAGCTGGGACTACAGGCATGCACCACTGCATGTGGCTAATTTTTGTTATTTTTTGTAGAAATGGTCTCAAACTCCCGAGTTCAAGAGATCCACTTATCTTGGCCTTCCAGAGTGTTGGGATTACAGGCGTGAGCCACCACACCTGGCTTATTTTTCTTACTTTTTATTTTAATTTTTAAGTTTTATGGTTACATAATATTTGTACATATTTGTGGACTACATGTGATATTTTGATATAAGCATAGAATGTATAATGAGCAAATCAGGGAATGAAAGTGTTAGAAGTGGGCATCCTTGTTCCATATCTTAGAGGAAAGGCTTTCAGTTTTTCCCCATTCTTTGTGACACTAGCTGTGGGTTTGTTGTAAGTCTTCTTTATTATATTGAGGTATGTTCCTTCTGTACTCAGTTTGTTCAGGGTTTTTATCATGAAGGGATGTTGACTGTTACTGAATGCTTTTTTGGCATCTATGGAAATGATCATATGCTTTTTGTCCTTCATTCTGTTGATGTGATGTATCAAATTTATTGATTTGCATATGTTGAACTATCCTTGCATCCCTAAGATAAATCCCACTTGGTTGTGATGAATGATCTTTTTAATGTGTTATTGAATCAGTTTGCTAGGATTTTATTGAGGATTTTTATATCTGTGTTCATCGGAGGTATTGGCTTATAATTTTACTTGTCTTTGTCTGATTTTGGTGTCATGGTTAAGACTGGCTTTATAAAATTATTCCCTCCTCTAAGGATGGTTTGGAATTATTCCCTCCTCAGTTTTTTTGAATACTTTAAGTAGGGTTGGTGTTAGTTCTTTTTTAAAAGTTTGGTAGAATTTAGCAGTGAAGCCATCAGGTCCTGGGCTTTTCTTTGATGGGAGACTTATTATTACTGCCTCTCCCTTGTTACTTGCTATTGGTCTATTCAGGTTTTGTATTTCTTCATGGTCCAATCTTGGTAGGTTGTATGTGTCTAGAAATTTATCAATTTTTTTTAGGTTTTGCAATTTATTGGCATATCGTTGCTCATAATAGTCTTTAGTGATCCTTTGAATTTCTGTGGTATGAATGATAATGTCTCCTTTTTTGTCTCTAATTTTATTTATTTGGTCTTTCTTTTTTTTTTAGTCTGGCTAAAGGTTTGTTGATTTTGTCTTTTCAAAAAACCAACTTTTAAATTTTATTGATGTTTTGTATTTTTTTGGTTTCAATTTTATTTCTGCTCTTTAATAGTCTACTGAATTTGTGTTTGATTTGCTCTTGCTTTTCTAGTTCTTTAAGATCTGTCATTAAGCTGTTTATTTGAAGTCTTTCTACTTTTTTGATGTAGGTATTTATTGCTTTAAACATCCCTGTTAGTACTGCTTTTGCTATATCCAGTAGGTTTTGGTATGTTGTGTTCTCATTTTCATTTGTTTCAAGAAATTTTTAAACTTTATTCTTAATCTCTTCATTGACCCAGTGGTCATTCAGGAGCATATTAATTTCCATGTGTTTAGTTTCCAAAGTTTCTCTTGTCATTGATTTCTGACCTTGTGGTCAGAAAAGATACTTTTATGATTTCAATTATTTTGAATTTTTCGAGACTTGTTTTGTGGCCTAACATGTGGTCTATCTGTGAGAATGTTCCATTTGCTAAAGAGCAGAATGTTCTGCAGCTATTGCATGAAATGTTCTGTAAATGTCTGTTAGGTATATTTGGCCTACAGTGTAGCTTGAGCCTGATATTTCTTTATTTTTTGTCTAGATGATCTGCTCAATACTGAAAGTCGGGCGTGAAGTTCCCGACTATTATTATATTGGGCTTTATCCCTCTTTAGCTCTAATAATATTTTCTTTATATATCTGAGTGCTCCAGCATTGGGTGCTTATATATTTACAATTGTTACACCCTCTTAGTGAATTGATCCCGTTATCATTATATAATGACTTACTTTTTATCTTTTTACAGTTTCTGTATTGAGATTTATTTTATCTGATACATGTATAGCTATTCCCGCTCTTTTTTGGTTTCTGTTTGCATGGAATATATTTTTCAGCCCTTCATTTTCAGCCTATATGTGTCTTATAGGTGAAGTGAGTTTCTGGTCAGCAGCGTTTGGTTGGGTCTTGGTTTTTTATCCAGTGAGCCATTCTTTCTCTTGATTGAAGAATTTAGTTCATTTACATTCAATGTGATTATTGATAGGTAAGGACTTACTACTGCAATTTTGTTATTTGTTTTCTGGTTGTTTTGTTAGTTTCTCTTTTTTTCCTTTTTCTCTGTCTTCCTTTGTGTATAAATGATTTTTTTGGTAGTATGTTTTAATTTCTTGCTTTTTATTTTTATTTATTTTTTTTAATTTTTTAATTTTATTATTATTATACTTTAAGTTTTAGGGTACATGTGCACAACGTGCAGGTTTGTTACTAATGAGCAAAATAACCAGCTAACATCATAATGACAGGATCAAATTCACACATAACAATATTAACTTTAAATGTAAATGGGCTAAATGCTCCAATTAAAAATTCTCAGCTTTTTATTTTTTGTGTATCTATTATAGGCTTTTACTTTGTTTGCCATGAGGCTGCACATGAGGCTGTGATTGGAATTAAGTTATCTTCCGTTTAAAATAATTGGTTATGTGGCCGGGCACAGTGGCTCATGCCTGTAATCCCAGCATTTTGGGAGGCCAAGGCAGGCAGATCACATGAGGTCAGGAATTCAAGACCAGCCTGCCCAACATGGAGAAACCCTGTCCCTTCTACACATACAAAATTAGCCAGGCATGGTGGTGCATGCCTGTAATCCCAGCTACTCGGGAGGCTGAGGCAGAAGAATCACTTGAACTTACCAAGAGGCAGAGGTTGCAGTGAGCTGAGATCGCACCATTGCACTCCAGCCTGGGCAACAAGAGTGAAACTCTGTTTCAAGTAATATAATAGTAATAACTATTATTATTATTATTGGTTATGTTATTAACCAATTATTTTAAACTGAAGATAACTTAATTCCAATTACAATGAAAATAAAAAAACAAGCCAAAAGAAAACTAAAAAGTTCTGGACTTTAACTTCATCCCCCCCTCGCTTTCGACTTCTTGTCACTTTATATCTTTTTATATTGTGTATCTCCTAACAACTTGTAATTATGATTATTTTTGATACGTTTACCTTAGGGTCTTCATTTTAAGGTATGAGTGGTTTACATACCACAATTACAGTGTTAGAGTATTCTGTATTTGTCTGTGTACTTACTTTTACCAGTGAGTCTGTATTTTTAGATGATTTCTTGTTGCTCCTTACCATCCTTTTCTTTCAGACTGAAGAACTCCTTTTACCATGTCTCGTAAGACAGTTCTAGTGTTGATGAAATACCTCAGCTTTTGTTTGTCTGGGAAAGTCTTTATTTCACCTTTATGTTTGAAGGATAACTTTGCTGGTGATGATATTCTAGGTTGGAAGCTTTTTTCCTTTAGTGCTTTGAATATGTCATCCCACTCCCTCCTGGACTGTAAGGTTTCCACTGAAAAGTCTGCTGCCAGATATCTTGGAACTCTTTTATATGTAATTTGCATCTTTTCACCTGGTGTTTTTGGGATCCTTTCTTTGTCCTTCACCTTTGAAAGTTGGATTATTGTATTCCTTGAGGTAGTCTTGCTTGGGTTGAGTCTTCTTTGTGTCCTTTAACCTTCTCATACCTGCATATTATATCAGGCATCTATCTGGTGCTTTATTTTATTGTGACTGAGCCTGATATCTAAGTTGCAAGACAGTATCCTCTGTACTCTTTCCTCTCCTTTGCCCAAGTTGAAAGATCTCTCCCCAAGCTGCACTGCTTGGAGTTGGGAGAGAGGTGATGCAGGTGTTCCCATGGCTGGTACAGTTAATGTCGTACTGGGTCACATCCCAAGCCCACTGCTTCTAAGACCAGTGCAGCACCAGGGCTTGTCCAAGGCCTACAGTTACTATGTCCTGATTGGCACTCAGATTTATTTGGGGCCCTAAGTCACTTTAGTCAGTTGGTGGTGAAGCCAGCAGGAGTCACTTTTCTCCCACTGGGGCAGAAGATTCCCCTCTGGCCCAGGGCTGGTCTAAATGCTTCTTTTGTGGGACCTGGCAGAAGTCTGCCTGGTGTTGTGTGAGGCTTTGACAAGGCAGCACTGAGTTCCAGTGCAAAGTCGCATACTCATTTTGCTCTCCCTCCTTCAAGCACACGGATTCTTCTCCAGACTGCACTGCCTGGGTTTAGGGGAGGGGTGGTGTAAGCAGTGCAAGACCGTACTTCCTACTCTCTTCAATGCCACTTTCGTTGTTATGTTAAAACCAGGTACAGTGATTGCTCCTCTGATTTTTTAGTTCTTAGGAGGGTGCTTTCTTGCATGGATACTTTATATCTTTTTATATTGTCTATCTCCTAATGGGGGTCAATCATTGGAGGGTTCAATTCAGCCATTTTGCTCTGCCTCCTCTTATGTACTGTCAAATTCTTGCTCAGGTTTTTCACATATGATATTCAGCACTCACTAGGAAATAACTAGATGTACAAGAAAACCAAGAGAAAAATCAGAAATAGAAACAAACCTGTTGGAGATCCAGATAGTGGATTGATCAACCATGCATTTTAACTAATCATTAATCATATATTCAAAGAATTATGATTATATGGAGATTTTTTACGTAGAACTGACTGAAAACTGCACCAAAATAATCAAATAGAAATTCTTGAGCTGAAAACATTTAGTCACAGTTGATTTCAGCTAACGTTGATTGAGGGCCTACCATATGCTGGAATGTATGTGCAGTGGCAGAAAGCCACAGATGACATGGTCCCTTCATCAAGGAGCTTGTTGTTTAGTGGAAAAAATAAACATGGAAGAAGGCAGTGAGAGGGAATAATCAGCTAAATGGTAAAAGGAGAGTGTTTCAGACAGTAGTGAACTCTGTTAAATGCTGCTGCAGAGAAGCCAGTGCAGTCTGGGAGAAATACAACTTACTGGATTTAATGAAAATATTGGGGATCCAGCAGGAATGATTTTAGTGGAGAAGTGGGAGGCAGATGGCTGTGGTGAAGAGTGAATGGGAGGTAAGGAAATGAAGATGATTAGACAATTTCTTCACAATTTTTTTTCCCTTTTCATAAACTCTCTCTTCCTGATAACCAGAAGAGAGAGGAACAAGCTGGGTGACAACTGGAAGGAAAATACAGGCCCAAAAGCACAAAAAAAGCACTGTCTGGGAGGGTGGGAAGCACTTTCTGGGGGAGGCGTGGCCTGTTGGGGGCATTGGGGCCTTGATTAACTATGATGCAGGGTAGGCTAGGTTACAGGGGACTTTGAAAACTAACCAGATGGATGGGCTAAATGCTGGGGACAGCGGGAGCCATTGCAGGTACCTGAGCAGGGTGAACTTGGCGGTTCCAAGAGTTAAGCCTCAGTAATGGTGTACAGGAGAGAATAGAGGCAGGGAGAGCCACTTGGTAAGCACAGAGTGAGGGTTCTAATTAGGGAACAGAAAGGAAAAGAAGCAGTTTTGTCCAAGAAGGCAAAGAGCAAACAAAAAGCAATACTCTTATGTCTTATTGCTGATTAGAAGATCACGCAAAAGGATAGTCGAAAGTGACATCAAGGGCCTAGACCAGGGTCAGCAAACTTCTGCAGAGGGCCAGATCATAAAGTTTTTTTGTCATTGCAGATCACATGGTCACTGTCGCAGCTACTTAGTTCTGCAGAGTAGACATGATTGCTTGTGGCCAGATTTGGCTCAGGGGCAGCAGTTTGCTGATCCTTGGTCTAGAGTGACAGCAGTTGAGATCTAGGGTGACAGCAGTGGAGGTGGGAAGTGCATCTTTTCTAAGACTCAGGGCATCTTTTCTAAGATACGGAAGTAACAAGATGTGCTGATTGGACATGGGAAGATGAGAGAAAGATCAGGATTAAGGACATGACCAAGGTTTCAGGCACCGGATGGAATGACACCTTCATGACACTTGAAGAAGCCTGGTGAAGAAGCAGATTTTGGAGGAAAATCAAAGAGTTCTGCTTGAACATGTTGAATCAGGTGCTGTGGTCCAGATGATGTGTCAGGTGGGCAGTGAGATATGGTATCTGGAGATTGCAGGCTAGAATAGAGCTATAGATATGGCAGATTGTCAGAAAATAGATAGTGTTTAAAGCTATAGGAGTGGATGGTGTTTCTTAGGGGGTGATTATATGTAGACAGGGGCAAGGTCTGAGGGCTGCTCCAACATGGAGAGAGGGTGGGGTAGGACCAGTCAACAGAGGAGACACAGAGAGGTGGGGTGATGAGGAAAGTTAAACAGTGTGCTGTATGCTTGAAAGGCAGGGTATCTTGTAAAGAAAGATGGTGTCAATGTGATAACCTGTGTCAGATGCTGCCAAGAGTGCGAGTAAGGTGAGGACTGAGACTTAGGCTAACTCTACATTTGGGTGGTATCATGGGCTGAATTGTGTCCCCCAAAAGATATGTCGAAGTTTTAACCCAGTGTGCCCTAAACTGTGACACCTTATTTGGAAATATAATTATAGCAGATGTAATTAGTTAAGATGGGGTCTTACTGCAGTAGGGTGGGCCTTTAACTCAGTATGACTGCTATCCTCATAAGAAGAGGGGAATTTGGACACAGACATGCTCAGAGGGAAGACAACATGAAGACACTCAGGGAGAAAACAGCCGCATGCCCACAGGGGGCTGGATTGGAGTTATGCAGCCAAGCCAAGGAATGCTGGGGCGACTGGAAGCTGGAAGACGCTGGGAGGATCCTGCCATGGAGACTCGGGAGGGAGCATGGCCCTGCTAGCACCTTGATTTTGAACTCCTCACCTCTAAAACCATGAAAGAAAAAATTTCTGTGGTTTTAAGCCATCAAATTTGTGGGATTTGGTTGGTAATGCCAGGAGTTAGAGAGAAATGAAGATTCAGCCTAATTGGAGAAATAAAACCTATACCAGATAGGAATATTAGTGCATGGCTTTCTTAGGCCAGATTCAGTAATCGCAGCTGCTTTATTTCTACGTTGATCTCTTTTTCAAGTTTTTCTTTTTCTTTTTTGATAAAATATACATAACATAAAATTTACCTTTCTCTTTGTAGGTATATAGCCCAGTGGCATTAAGTACATTTACATTGTTGCGAAACCATCGCCATTACCCATCTCCTGAATTTTTCATCTTCCCAAACTGAGACCTGCATCCATTAAGCAGTAATTTTCCATTTCCCCATCCCCCCAGCCCCTGGCAACCTCCATTCTGTTTTCTGTCTCTCTGCATTTGTCTATTCTAGATACCTCATATAAGTGAAACCATACAATATTTGTCCTTTTGTGTCTGGCTTATCTCACTGAAGAAAATGTTTTCACAGTTCATTAATGTGGTGACATACATCAGAATCTCCTTCCTTTTTAAGACTGAATAACATCCCATTGTAAATTTGTACGAGATTTTGTTTATCCGTTCATCAGCGCATACTTGGGTTGCTTGCCCTTATTGGCTATTGTGAATATTGCTGCTGTGAACATCTGTTCGAGTCCTCACTTTGTTTCTTTTGGATACATACCCCAAAGTGGAATTGCTGGATTCTCTTTCAAAGATGAAAAGGTTTTCTTGTGGCTTCTCCACACTGAGCAGACTCGGGACTGTTAAGCTGTTAGGGTCCTCTCATTCAGGCTCCGAGGGCCAGAGTGATCAGTGCCTTTTCTGAGGTCGCACAGCCAGATGGCAGGTGAGCCCACATCCTTCTTCAGATTTCAGACATGTTTCCCATGTGAGAAGGTCCAGTTCTAACTTCTGTGGCTTGAGAATTCTGGACTGTAGCCTGTAGGTGATGGTCACCTGCTGATGAGCTGCAGTTCAACACAAGGAGAGTCTTTCTGGCACAATTGCTGTCCAGCAGGGGAGCCCACTGTTGACCCAGGAGTTCCTTAGTTCAGCGTGCTCATGGACTTGCGTAATTTCTTCCCATGCCTGTATTTCTTACCTTGCTACTGTTTCTTCATAGAAAACTCAGTTCCTTAGCTGTTCTGGATACTGGCTATGCCTTCCCCATGCCCTCCTCATTGCTGTCATTCTCCCAGTCACCCCTCATTCATTCAGGACTCAGTCATGCTCATCCTCCTTCACCACCCCAAGGTGACTTCTGTGTCCTCCTGGATGGCACATCTAGCCTCAGTCTCTGTCTCATCTGCAAGAACTTTTACCTCCTTTCCATTTCCATCTCCATCATGAGTTCCTGTGGCCACCTCATTCTGAACTTGCTGTCACTTGAAACTAACTTCAGGCATCCCACTCCCTGTCTCTGCCTCCTGCCCTCCAAGGCCTTCCCCAAGCACTTTCAAATAAAATGGAAGCTTGACATGAAAATATCTTGCCATAATTCTGCTTTATTAATTCTTTATCTCTTAAGACTGTAAGCTTTATGCAGGCAGAGACCATGACCATGTCTTGTTTATCCATGTACCCCTGAGACAATGCGTAGTCCATAGTGGGTGCTTGAAGACTATATGCGGAAGGGAAGAGGGCAGTGAGGTAGTTGTGTGTCCTGTTCAGAACCAGACTTGGTTCTCCAGGAGCATCCTGACAAAGGATGGGGGATTAGAGGCACAGGGTTTATTCAGCACTTCTCAATTTAATTCTGATGCTGAAGTTAGGAGAGCTCAGTTACCCCAAAGAAGTTATTCAGTGTAATATTTAAGTCAGCACTGGTATGACACTGGTATGATCAATGGTGTCATTTTTCTCCAACCGACTTTGATTTCTCCCTGTCTTCCTCCTCCCTTTCTCTCCCACTCCATGCACTACTGATGACCTCTAAGGACACACTGTGAGGCCTTTGCTGGAGATGTGGGTACAGTCTCGGGGGGTGGGGGGCACCCAGTAGGTGGCGCTCTAACACTGCTTGAGAACTGGCTTTTTTTTTTCCTTTGAGTGTTCTGTTCCCTTTGTTCAAGTTTAGAATGCGGGAGGCAACTATTAGTAAGATTTCTCTCTGAAACAGGAAAGTCCGTTTTTGACTGAAAAAAACAATAAGAAAAACAAGAACAAAATTAGGAGAGTGGGCAAATCTTTATTTCTCTTAAGTAGACTCATAGAAACTTGGTTGGAGGAATCCTCTGAGGCTTTCAGACCAGAGGCTTCCAAACCTTAGCATTGCCAGAGTGGCCTTGTGAAAATTCAGGCTCCCGAGGCCATCTAGGCCATTAGGTTGGAGCTTCTGTGGTTAAGGTCAGGAATGTGGTTTTTATCGGCTTCCCAGGAGATTCTGATGTGAGCCCATCTTGCCGTACAATGTGGGCACCACCCATCTACACCATTTCTCAAATTCTCTGTGCATGCAGATCACCTGGGGATTTTGTTGAACTTTAGGCTCTGATTCAGCAGGTCTGATAGGGACCTGCAATTCTGCATTTATAACAGACTGCCAGGTGATAACTGAGGTTTGTGGTCTATGGACCACACCACTCTTTGAGAAGCAAGAATCCAGAGCCAGGGTTGGCAGACTAGGACACACATGCTTGAGCCAAATCAGTCCATACCTGTTTTTGTAAATAAAATTTTATTGGAACACAACTGTGCCCCATTTGTTCACACATTATCTGTGGCTGCTTTTGCACTATAATGGCAGAGTTGAGCAGCTGCAACAGAGACCATGTAGCTCTCAAACCTGTAATATTTACTCTCTGGCCCTTTACAAGAAAACCCTATGGACCCTTAATCTGGAATACTCAAGCTCTCCCAGATGATCACAAACTGTATTGAAAGGGAGCTCCTTGCCTCATAGGACAATTCATTGCATTTCATAGATCCGTGGGAAGGCTGCTCCTTGTCACTTGGTTCTACTTATCTTGGTAGGCATCTTTTCCTCCTTCTGTGAACAGATACTTTGCTCGCTGTCTTCTCCAGGGCTCTCCCCATGATGGGTTCCCTCCAGCTGCACTCCAGAATGTCACCCAGTGCAAACCACAGCACCTTTGGTGCTGAATAGAAGCCATGCCATCTGTATTTTCTGCCTTCTGTAAGCTTCTCAGGGAGTGCACATTAGCTTTCTGGGGTAGCTGTTCACTCTTGACTCCCGCTGTCTAGGATTGTCTGTAAGTGCGGTATTACCTGAACAGCATATAGCCAGAACAGACATCCTTCATGCATCTTTTTACTCCACTTCCCCAGTGCAGGATGTTCTTGGTTTACCTACTTCCTACTTTCTGACTGCTTTTCTCCATTTCTTCCAAGATTCTCTTTTTGCCTGACCCTTAAATGTTATAGGGTCTCAGGCCTGTTCGTGGTCTTCTGGTCTTCTCCTTCTGCCCATTCTCCTTGGATGATCTTAACCATACAGTTGGCTTTGACCACATATGTGCTGCCAAATCCTGAATTGTACAGCTAGATTCTTTTCCTTTATTTTCAGTTATCTACTACAGACCAGGGCGTTTTGACTGCAGGTATCTCATGTTCAAAATTTCTCATCTTCTCAGGTCTGCCTCCCACCTCACTCCCGTCTGCTCTGAATCTGGGACTCTTCATTTATTTCACCTGAAGGTTCCACCCCGTCATGCCCTTGCATGAGCTACACACCCGGCGTGATCCTCAGTTCTTCTCCTTTTCCGTCCCCCTCTTCTGTGTGGACACTGAAGTGTATGTCTCCCCCATCTGTTGCTCTCAGATCTGTCTTCTCTTCCTGCCTCTCTGCCACAGTGACCTCCTGCCTGGTCTCTCTCCTTCCCATGTGTTTCTTCTTTGCCTCTGTAGTGGTTTTCTGGAATATATTTGATTTTGCCCTCTACCAGTGGTACCCCATTGTGTATGGTGTGGGAATTTGTGGCCCTCTTAATTCAGTCTCTGCTTACACTTTTTGTGAGTTTCCTAGATCTGCTATAACAAATTACAACAGAAATGTATTTCCTCCTAGTTTTGGAGGCCAGAAGTCCACAATCAAGGTGTTGCCAGAATTGGCTCCTTTTGGTGCTTTCAGGGAGAGTCTGTGATGTGCTTTCTTCTAGTTCCTGGTGGCTGCTGGCAGTCCTCTGTGTTCCTAGGGTGGTAGATGCATCACTCCAGTCTCTACCTCTGTCATCACAGGCTTCTTCCTGTGTGTCTCTGTGTCTTCATTTGGCCTTCTGATAAGGACACAAGTCATTGGATTAGGACCCACCCTAATTTATCATGACCTTATCTTAATTTAACTAATTATATTTGCAAAGACCTATTTCCAAACAGTATCACACTCTGAGGTTCCAGGTGGTCATTAGTTAGGGTTGGGGGGCAGTATTCAAGCCAGCACACCCTTCCAGCCTCTGCTCTGTCTACTTCCTCACTCACAGGCTTGTTCATTTACCTTGGTGCTCTGGATGAGTGAGAATTCAACAGACAAACACGGAGGAAAGGATTCCAAGCAGAGGAAAGAGGATTCCAAAGGGCCACAGAGGTGACATTTGTGCTGAGTCTTAACATAAGGCTTTGTTTTATTTTATTGCCGCACTGTACTTTAAGACATAGTTCAGGTGTTACCTCTTTTATGAAGCTTCCCTGACCACCTCCCCAGGGACTTTTCTGTTCCCTCAGTGCTTAGTACCTACATGTTTTGATGATTTAATTATCAGCTTGTGTTCCCATCTGTCCTGTGTAATCTTGGGGCAGACTCTGTGCCTAGTCTGTGGGGGCCGTGCATCCAGCCCACTGCCTAGCACATAGCAGGTCCCCAGGAGATGTTTTTGAGTGAATTTACCCATCTGCACTTAATCCCCTAAGATGAGGTCACATGCATTTTAGGGGAGGAGTTGTTCAGTCCGAATTGGATGGTTCTTTGCCTTCGATGAGGTAGAGAGGATTTGAATATGGAGGGAAGTTGTACTGCTCACCCTCTAGGTTCCTTCCATCTGGAGGTTTCTGTTGTTTTAACTATAACCCATTCCAGAAACAGCACACATTTTTAAGGCAGATAGACTGAAAATTGTAGTTGGACAGCTGCTTGGTCCCACAATGATTTGAGAAGTTTCCCTATTCTTGGAAGAGCTCAATACTCACTCGAACATCATGCAGAATAGTGCCATCATGGCTTCAAGAGATGCTGAGCATCCCAGGCCTAATGTGGAGTTGACACAGCTTATGAACAAAGCTGTTTCCATCTGCAGATGCACCCTCAAAGCCCTGCAGCTTTTCCATATTTCTTATTTGAAATTAAAGACTGTAATTTTGTGTTATTTTGGATTCTTATTTCCTGTTTTACTACATTTTTATAGAATCACTGAAAGTTGCCTTTTTATTTTGGTGGGAAAAAAATAAAAAGAGGTTTTAGTGTGGAGAAAACCAAGAGATGTGGCATTAAATGATGTTATTATAGTGGTGATCAAGGTACAAGGCTATTTTAGGGAAATTTACACCCTATATGTAATTTGTTTTTCTAATTACAATGAGCTGTGCTGAACTATTCATTGTACCACTTATTGTACCAAATTATTGTACCACTTGGGCATGTTTAAAAATACCACAGACTGTAAATAGTCACTTTTTAATTCAAGGGAACAGTTCGAAGTGAAATGCCATTATTCAAATAGCTTTGAAACAAAAGTGACTTATACAGATGTTTCACAAGCCCATGTTAGAAAAAGTTTTCTCCCTGTGGTTCCCAGATAGAATGCCTGGCTTTCGTGGTTATGGAAGCAGCAGAAACTCTGTGTCATGCACTTATGTTTTTAAACTAATGGGCACCCTTCTGATTGGGCAAGAATTAAATGAACATTCCTTCTCCCCACAGCCAGCTATGAATTATGCAGCCAAAATTCAGCTAATCACAGCCTGCTTTGTGTGTCATTGTGTAGCAGCCCTTTGCAAATTGGGTTAATACTTTTGAAACACCTCATCCCGTGCCAGAATGCCAAAGTAAAGCAGCTGTCTTGGTAAGAGGGCTTTGCAAAGTTTTGGGGTCATTTGTGCTTATTTCTGTCTTGCGTCTGGGGCAGAGATTCCTTATGTGGGTCTGTGATAGTGACAGGAGGCCTGCAAACTAGGATAGGAAAATATATGACAGCTTTATTTTTTATTCACTTCCAAATAAAATTTAGCATTAAGAAAGTTTTTATGTAGGCAACAATCCATAGTGATATTAGCAGTACCTGTGAGTTTGTCACCCACAGAAAATCACAGATATCCTGGAATATCGTTTACTCTTCACTACTTCAAAGTTTCAATAGCTGTTAGATCATCTGCTAGATCCTAATTTAAGTATGAATAAAGAATTGGATGCAAAATATTAATATTTTGGTAACTGTATATCAGTGCTCTATTTCCTTTGTGAACCTATATATATATTATTTTATGCATTTAAAAACAAGGAAAGATTGAAGAACTGTCACAAAACCAAGGAGTCTAGGGAGACATGGCAACTAAATGCAGTGAGTACCCTGGATTGGATCTTGGAACAGGAAGAGGACAGTAGGGGAAAAACTACTACTGTACTTTACAAATAAAAGTCTGAAGTTTAGTTTCTGATAATGTGCCGATGTTGGCTTCTTAGTCTTAACAAATATATCACAGAAATATGAGTCATTAGCAATGGGGGAAACTGAGTGAGGGGCTTATGGGAATGCTCTGTACATCTGAAATTACAGTGAGGGCCATGTTGTGGGGGCTGCCGTCCACTCCCAGAAATGTTTTGAGGGGAGGGTTTCATGTCAACTTACGGCCATCATGGCCTCGTCCATTACAACTCTGAGAAATGGTGGAGATAGACCCATCCAAAAGTAAGGAGAAGTTTTCCAGAGGAGTAAAGTAATTGAGAGTGTGTTAGATTGGAAAAAGATGTCTCTGGGGTCAGAGAGGTTGGCAACATAGTCTGACTCTCACTTACCAGCTTTGTGATCTGGGGCCAGAAACTGCTCCCGGCTTTCTCTTCCCATTTGCAGAATGGAGCCATCTATAGAGTCCCTGCCAGGGTTGCTGTGAGGACTGAACATAACGTGTCCACCTAGCTAATCTTTTTGTGGTTACCTGGAGTGTTTGAGTGCCTGTTCTATGCCAGGCCCTTTGCTAAGCATTTTCCATCAATTATCTCCTTTAATCTTCATGACACCTCTATTCCATGACCATTTCATACATAAGGAAACTGAGGGTCAGAGACTTTGAAAACTAACCAGATGGATGGGCTAAATGCTGGGGACAGCGGGAGCCATTGCAGGTACCTGAGCAGGGTGAACTTGGCGGTTCCAAGAGTTAAGCCTCAGTAATGGTGTACAGGAGAGAATAGAGGCAGGGAGAGCCACTTGGTAAGCACAGAGTGAGGGTTCTAATTAGGGAACAGAAAGGAAAAGAAGCAGTTTTGTCCAAGAAGGCAAAGAGCAAACAAAAAGCAATACTCTTATGTCTTATTGCTGATTAGAAGATCACGCAAAAGGATAGTCGAAAGTGACATCAAGGGCCTAGACCAGGGTCAGCAAACTTCTGCAGAGGGCCAGATCATAAAGTTTTTTTGTCATTGCAGATCACATGGTCACTGTCGCAGCTACTTAGTTCTGCAGAGTAGACATGATTGCCCAAGGCCGCAATGCTGAGCTTCAATTCAGATCTGCACTGACTGCAATTTACGGTCTTCCTAAGTCTTCTGCTGAGGCTAAGCCACCTCTGACCAACTGGTGGTCCTGGTTACTGGGGTGCTCCTCACCCTCTCTGACGTGTGAATCCCCTCTTGTTTGGTGTGTGTCTGCACCCTGATGTGGATGCTCTCCTCTTGATTCCCTTGCCCGTTGTGGATGGCCTCTCTGAGCCCAAGTTTATCCAACTATACGATGAGGGTGTTGGACTGCCTTCAAAGTCTGTTCCACATTCATTCTGCATTCTGTGAATTCAACTGCTTATTTCAGCTGTCTTATTGGGATGATTACTGAATCACTGAAGTCGAAGCTTTTCTAATTTGTTTTGGGGGAAGTTACATGTTTCTTTGGCATTTTCCCAGATTCCAGAGTAGGGCAAAAATGGAGCCGTATGCCTTAGTTGCTTCTTAAAACCATAAAAGTTAACAAAAACCCAGCAGAAGCCTTCGTGATAGCTGCAGGTTTCTTAACTGGGATTTTGTTCAGGGAACGGGAGTAATTTTATTTTTTTATTTTCCTTCTGTGATTAGAACGTACACACCATGTGTCACCATGCAGTTGCTGATTACTTCAAATTAATACCTATGGAAGAAAAAAAAATAGGTAGTTACCTGTGACAGGTATTACCTGGACAGGGGAATTTAGCCATAAGAAGTAGTTATTAGGTAATGAGCCCAATTTCCACAATACACATTTGTCTCAAGATGTGAGAAAATGAGAGCATCACTTGGCGCCATAGGTTACTGCATGGGGGGTTTGTTAAGCCCATGATTTGTTCTCTTGTTTTTCAGTTTTTCCCCTACATCCTGCTGCTCTTTGCGAT
Organism: Homo sapiens; assembly: GCF_000001405.40. Taxonomy (NCBI): domain Eukaryota; kingdom Metazoa; phylum Chordata; class Mammalia; order Primates; family Hominidae; genus Homo; species Homo sapiens. The sequence continues at coordinate 94,178,401 of NC_000011.10, forward strand.
CCTCCTGTACCTGCCCCCGCTGTTCTGGCGTTTCGCAGCTGCTCCTCATATTTGCTCAGACTTGAAGTTTATCATGGAAGAACTTGACAAAGTTTACAACCGTGCAATTAAGGCTGCAAAGAGTGCGCGTGACCTTGACATGAGAGATGGAGCCTGCTCAGTTCCAGGTGTTACCGAGAACTTAGGGCAAAGGTAACTTAGCCCCAGCAGGCAGCTCATCGGGTTTTGTAGGACAAATTCTCTGCCCTTCTACTGCCAGTCTGGGCCCAGAGTTCTCATTGCTAGGAGGCGGGGCAGGAGTGGAAGCAGGGGGACGTCATGCACCTAGTGACAGCCTGTAGTATCCCGGGATGTCCACTCTCCCCAAATCTCACCGCGACCCATCCTACCCATTTGTTTATCCTTCTGTCAAGACTCATTCCCTTGATGAGTGAAACATTACATCTCATTTTAAAAATGCAGTTCTTGTAGGGGTAACAGATTGAGGTGCTATATGAAGCTTGCTTGCTTTGATCTATTTAACTCCTTAATGGAGACGCACAGAGGATTTCAAGGCAGCTGAGCAAGGGATGAGAGAGAAATGGGGAATGAGTAGGTCGTGGCTTGCCTTTTCACAACCTTCTTTTGGTTCTTGTTATTGAATAATTGGAATAATAATAAGAGCCATCATTTTTTGAATATTTAATATATCTCACACACCGTATTGAGTTATTTAAGTACATTATCTCCTTTAACCCTCAGAGCAACATTACTAGTGCATTTGTTAACCTCCTCCTCCACTTTTATTCTGGATAAAAATACTCTTCTGTAGCTGTAAGTGAGAGTCTGGGAACTGAACCATGCCCTTTAGACCCCATAGTTTTTGCCCATACCCCCTGAGTTGTCCCACCCCTTGCCTGTAAGAGGCGTATGCTTACACATATTTAGGATTTACCAGATGCCAGGCATCACTCTAAAAATTTCCAAATATTAACTCATTTAATTAACTAGGCCTTCTGTTAAATATTAAGGGGAAAAGCATTTTATTATTCCTTTTCTTCCTCCTCTTTTAAACGGATTTTATTTTTGACTACTGACGTTGTAGGTAAAGAAGTATGGGTGTTTGAAATTTTTAGTGTGACATTGTTGAATGTGTATCTGCCTTTAATATTTGATGGTCTTGATGAGTGCCTAAGTTATTTTTGTTTCCTTTATTTTTTAGTTTGTGGGAGGTATCTGAAAGCCACTTCAAGTACCCAATTGTGGAGCAGTACTTGAAGACAAAGAAAAATTCTAATAATTTAATCATCAAGTACATTAGCTGCCGCCTGCTGACACTCATCATTATACTGTTAGCGTGTATCTACCTGGGCTATTACTTCAGCCTCTCCTCACTCTCAGACGAGTTTGTGTGCAGCATCAAATCAGGGATCCTGAGAAACGACAGCACCGTGCCCGATCAGTTTCAGTGCAAACTCATTGCCGTGGGCATCTTCCAGTTGCTCAGTGTCATTAACCTTGTGGTTTATGTCCTGCTGGCTCCCGTGGTTGTCTACACGCTGTTTGTTCCATTCCGACAGAAGACAGATGTTCTCAAAGTGTACGAAATCCTCCCCACTTTTGATGTTCTGCATTTCAAATCTGAAGGGTACAACGATTTGAGCCTCTACAATCTCTTCTTGGAGGAAAATATAAGTGAGGTCAAGTCATACAAGTGTCTTAAGGTACTGGAGAATATTAAGAGCAGTGGTCAGGGGATCGACCCAATGCTACTCCTGACAAACCTTGGCATGATCAAGATGGATGTTGTTGATGGCAAAACTCCCATGTCTGCAGAGATGAGAGAGGAGCAGGGGAACCAGACGGCAGAGCTCCAAGGTAGGGTTTGCTTTTGGCAGAGGCTACGGGAGTCTACCGAGAGCCTTTGCAGCAGCCTTGTGGGAATATTGACAGTCTTTACCCTGCCCATCATTTAAACCATTTCCAAGCATTAAAAACCTTAATACCAAGGTGCGGGGTAGGGGGAGTGGGAACCCCTCAGTATAAGGAGAGAGAGGAAAAGAATTGGTGCTGCTCTACATTTCCAAAGAAGAATAACTTCTGTGCTTTTTCTGGTTTTTCCCTCTTCTCTGTCTGTCTCACACTCTCTCTTGCTCAGCAATCTTCCTTGTCTTTCTTGCTTATTTTTGTCTTATCTTACTGGCTTTCCTTTCTACCTCTGATCTCCTTCTCTGTTACTCTCTGACTTTCTCTTTCAAAGGGGACTAAAAGTTTATTGATTCTTTTAGTTAGGCCAAGAAGCAAAACATGGTATAGACTGTGAGAGGAATTTTTGGCAGAAGAAAAATTGATTAGTATTGGTAATTCCTGCTATGTTTCTGTCATAAATATTTGTTTTCAATTTTGACAGGTATGAACATAGACAGTGAAACTAAAGCAAATAATGGAGAGAAGAATGCCCGACAGAGACTTCTGGATTCTTCTTGCTGATGATTTTTTTCCTTGAGCTGTAAATCTGTGACTTCTGCGACATGGGATTTAATTTGGCTAAAGCACCCCTGTTGGTTTCACAGCTGGTTTGCAATAAATGGTTCTTGGTGGAGATACTGAGCATGTCTTATTGAGTCCCTAATGGAAATGGTGATCAACAAAAGGTTATGGAAGAATGGTTTATGAACTTCCCATAGGAAGCACCTGAGAGATAGTAAACTGCAGCAAGTAACTATGTGTAAGTCCTCATCAAATGAAAAGCAGAAAGACAAGAACAATTAGTCAAGAGCAGTAGCCCTGTCAGAGCCTCGGAGCAATACCTTTCTGTACCCGTGGTGAGACAAGACCCAGAGCTACTGGAAAACAAGCACTTTGGAAGATTTGTTTTGTTTTCATGGAATAATAATATGTCAGGGTATAATTTAACGTGAGTTTCTTATGTGCCCTTAAAGACTGTTAGACAAGAAAAGCATTCACTGGCTAATAATCCATAGGTCGACCTATGTCCTAAGTTAGGTGTAAGGTCCGATGCCTTGGCCCACACTCGAGCTCTCTTTACATTGTTAGTTGTCAACCTTGGCTGATGGAAATCCCGTAACCACTATTTGTTGCACTGTGCCTTGAAGGGCAGCAGGCCCAAGTGCTGCTCTGACTGAAAACTGAGTTAACAAGATGAAATCTAAAGGATATTCACAGTGACTTCAATTCAGGAAGAATGCTTCCAAAAGAGCCCAGTGGGGAAATCTGACATCACAGAAGACATTAATTCAGTCACTTTCAAAGAGTTTGTCTACAGGCGGTTTCTCTGTTATCAAAGGCATTTGAAATAGGATTTTACTTAAACAATAATGGAACACAGGAGTATTTAAAGTGAAGAACACTTTGCCTGAATGTGATCAGGGCACATAAGTGACATTGGCATGCTTCATATGGCGTGCTTGGAGCCAGAAAAACTTAGCGGTTTATTTTGTTTATATTTAAGCACAGCTTTAAAAAATTCATTATCGTTTATTCAGTGTCCGAATTGAGGCCATTTGGGAAGAAAATTCTAGCACTGGTGGAGAATTATAGAATAAAGATTATAAATGGTTGGATAAGACAAATGTAAGCTTATTTCATAAACATTTAAAGCTGATTCAGAACATGTTAAAAACTGTTCCCAATTCCAACTATGTAAATAGATCCTATGTTCACATTTTACACACACACACAAAAATCTTTAACATCTGTGGAACTTCCCAGTTTTAGTCTTAGAAAGTTAGCATGTTGCATAAGTTCAGTAATCCTCAGGAACCTCCAAGTTTACTTTTAGCTCTTACGGACAGTTGTTTACATAATCTAATTACTGTTTTCTGAAGAACGGAAATTATATAAGCTGCTGTCTGCCTTTTGGAATATTCAGAAAAGCAGATTTTATTTGTACTTCTGTGATGTTTTCTGAAATGGAAAGCTGATGATAAATATCAAAGTAGCAATCAGTGCGTTAAATTATTCTGTTACATGATATTTATTACTGTTGAATTATTCTGTGACTTAGAAATGGCAGTAACCTAAATAATGGAATTTGCAAAATTATTATATTGCCGTATCTGAGATGTTCCATCACAAGTTTCTACACTGGTTTCTTTTGAAAATTTAAAAAGATTTACGAGATACATTTTCTAGGATATGATTTTTTTTTTACAAAAAGCTTCATCTTCTGTAGACTATCCTTAATTTCTATTTTGAAACGGTAAAAATTGATATTTTAGGACACCAGGAAGTCTCCAAGCCATTCCCACTCTCTGAACTCCAGTAGGGTCTGTGATGTCCCAGGCACCAGTACCAAGTTGGATGTGCAGATATGCATAGGCAGGTCCCATCCTTGAGGACTTCAGAGTCCAGTAAAAGGCAGCAGAAACATGGGCTGGTGCCTAAGAGGAGAAAGCGTAGCCACAGTAAAGGCTATGCCAGAAAACTCCTAGCAAATGCTCTGTGTTCTTGGGAGAGGGCACATTGTTTTTGTTTTCTCTCCTATAGTTCCTGTAACTGCTGGTTTTGAGAATATAGTAATCATTTTTCCCAGAGGCAGATGACCACCTTAAGGTTCTTTAGCTGCAAATCCTCTAGGTTGAAGTTTGTGTGAAATAGTCACAGTGATTTTGAATAGTAAGGAATCCAGTTGCCTTTTGAACCTTCCCTCACAGGGATGAGAGAACAAGCCTGTGGAGGTTGTGGAGCTACTGGTAAACAACTGTCAGGGCCCCAGAAGGCTGATGTGGAGGCCTGGGGATACATTTCATCTAATAAAAGTATTACTAGGTATCAGTATCAGTAATAAAAGTATTATAATAAAGTATCAGTAATAAAAGTATTATAATAAAAAGTATTATTAGGACAGGTAAACTCATCCATCTACTGTGAGCTGCTGGCTTGGAGAACGACTTTTGAGGAGCCAGTTTCCTGAGGAGAAATGCTTTTATAAAGCACTCATTGCTTTGTAAAAGGAGACAAAACTGATCCTAAATGACCACTCCAGGGTTGCTGATTTTGTTTCTGGCTCATGTCTGCCTAGTAAACCACCAGCAAGCTGCTGAACCAGGCTGGAAACAACATTGTTGCAACTGGGAGGGACATAGAGTACTGTGAAAGCAGCGTTCCAACACATCTTCACTTTTACAAAGGGATAGGCAGAGACTTCCAACATAGAGGTTCTTAAACTTCGAGGGGTTACAATCCCCTTGCAAATATTTTTATAGCTATGGACCCTCTCCTCAGATCTACAGCCAACATTTTCAGTGCACCTTAGGAGGTCATTTTAGTCCACGCCTCTGAAAAAGCTGCACTCCAACGGCTGAAGAGCAAGCCATACGGCCGAGAATGGGGCTCCCTTTGCCTTCATGAAAGCTACTTCCCCCAACACTAAGACTCAGCTGTACGTTTGCTTAGCTCAGTCACATTTACATTCTTCTGGGTGAACTGTACCTTTTGAGTACCTGCCTTCATTTTCTAGAATCAGACCTAACAAGGTCAGTAGAAGCCTGGGCAGCAGCAGGCCTGGAAAGACGAGGCAGCCAGCATGAACTGCTGTTCTCTCCCTGACCACAAGGCGTCGTCTTCCTCCAGGGTCAAGTAATTGTTCTTGTTCCGCCTCACAGGAATGTGGGGAGGAAGGACGTAACACTATAAAATGCTGCGTCCTACCTTAAACTTGTACTGTGAGAAAGCTGGAAACTTCCACCTGTACAGTGGGTCTGGTTTGCATGTTTAGTTTCATTTGTGGGAACTGCTTGTCCAAGAGTGAGCTCAGGTCAGGGCAGTTTGTGCCTATGAGAATTAGCTCAGCTATCAGGCAGGTTTTTAGACACCTTTTTAAAATGTGCTCGTGTTTGGTTTGTTTTGCTTACTGTCAGTCCTGGGTCAATCAAAGGTTTGTAAGGGTGAGAATTTTTATGCACTGCTATATCGCAAGTGCTTAAAACAGAGACTGGCCCAGATGAGGCATTCTTCAAATGTTTGTTGAAATGAATGGACAAACTCTTAGGATAAATCCTAATTTGTTGGCAACTGTTATTTGATTTTAGAAGGCAAACTGATTTTATTTTAGAGAGGGGAAGGGGAGGGGAGGCTCATTAGCCTCTTGGTAGAAAGAGGACTATTTCTGCAAATGAATAGGTTTCCACCTTAAGTAGTGACAGTCCTTAACTTCTTATTATGGAGTGAGTCTTGACCGCTTTCCAAGTTCAATAGAAGTTCAAGATTGCCTCTCAGTGATTAGGGAAATTGAAGCTTTTAAAGCTCCTGGTCTCAGTAATTCCTCAGAATAAACCTCTTTAAAAGGGATATTGATGGAAATGTACAATTACCAGTAATTGAGGTTTTATCTGAGGGGATGGAGATGATGAAATGGTTCCTTCTTGGAAGTTGTTGGCATTTTGGCTTTATTTTTCACAAATAAAGTGAAACCATTTAAAACGATTGACAACGATTATATAGTGCCATGTGGAATACAATAGATATTAATTTGTGGTTGGTTTTTCTGCCTGCTTTAAATGAAATGTATTATGTTTCTGGGTTCCTTTTTTAGCTGTAAAAATACTTCGTCACTAAAGCATGAAATTTAATCAGCAGTTGTTCTTCAAGTTCCTGAAAGCTATAAAAGTTTCTCATGACTTGAGTGGTTTTTTCCCTGCCCACCAGAGGAGAAAGCCCTTGTAGAATTCTGCAGTGTTACAAGTGTTCCCTACAAAAACTGAAACCATCAGCTCCTCTTTAACAAGTTGGCTTTTTAAAAGCACGTAATTACAATTTAATGGTATTCTGTAAAGTGGTGCTTTAGGCATAATTTAAATTCTTTTTAATGACTATATTTCTTCAAAACTTTGAAAGAAAAATGTGTTCTTTTTGCTGCATCCTTTGTAAGAAGACTGCCAACAGAGGAAAAAGGACTTTACAAATTAAGACCATCTTGGTTTCATTTCCACAAAGATGAGAACAAATCATGGTGTTAGGAAAGGATCCTTAGAAGAACACAAGAATTTGAAAGCCCTTGGTGGTTATCACTACTATATTTCATATTTCCACAGAAGTGACTTAGCCAAGCTCTGCATTTTGAGCCTGCTGACTTTCATTTAAAAGGAATGAAAGGCTGAAAATCCAGGCTGCTGTGTCTGTAGATAAAGGTCAAACCATGTTTGAGTTCTTCACTGTTGTGTCCACCTAAATAAAACTGAGTAAGTAATGAAAAATGTCTTAATATTTCTTGCCTTCCCTTTAGGGAGAGTCATTTCATGGAAGATGTAATGGGAGATGCATTCCAAAATGTCTTGAGGCTCATTGCTGTCTGCTGGAAACATAAAATTCCATAGGCTTCATGCTGCTTGCTAAAATCCAGCTGGCAGTGACTAAAGAAAGAGAGTCCTTGATTAAGGGCCCACAGATTCTGGAATTTCTAAAGCACAAATCACTTGCTTTCTGATTGAGGATTGTTTGCCTGGGCTTGGGAAAAAAAGATCAGCAACCATGTGCTACTAAACATGGGTTCTCCTGCTCACCTCTCTCAAGAGGAGGACTCCTTTGTACAATGGTTAGTACAGCTTACTATTGTGGGTAATCAGAGCCATGTGAAATTTTAGTGCCATTCCTGGCATATCACAAATATAGTAAATTCTCTCTAAGTGCTAGCTTTGACTATCTTGCTCACCAGCTATTCCCAGGGTGGCAACCCCAGGACCCTTGGATGTTGTATTAGTTTTCTATTGCTCCATAACAAATTAATGCAAACTTAGCAGCTTAAAGCAATACACATATATCATCTTGCAGTTTCCTGGGTCAGGAATCTGGACACAGCTCAGCTAGGTCCTGTGCTCAGGGATTCACAGTGCTACAGCCTAGTTGTGGAAGGTTGTATTCTCATCTGGAAGGTCAACTGGGGAAAGAGCTGCTTCAAAGCTGCCTCAGGTTGTTGGCAGAATTCATTTTGCCTAACTCAGAATCAACTGATTTGGGACCTTAATCACATCTGCTAAAACCCTCCACCTTTGCCATATTATCTTGGCTAGAATCAAGTCACAGGTCCTGCCCACACTCTTAAGTGGGAGTCATGGGGCTACACTACACTCTGTCAGCACAGATAACCTAAATCCTACCCAGTCTGTCTCAGAGACCTGTAGCTTTACCCCCTTAACAGTCTTCTGAGGCCGGCCTCTGTTCCCAGTGGTGTCATTCAGGCCCTTGTCTCTCCTGAATTCCTCTGATAGTCTTACTGTATCTAACCCAGCTAACACATTTTCTGTCTGTGGACTTTCTAGAATGCAGCAGTGATCATGCAAACTCTCCCTACCATTCCACCATCAGCACTTTTAAATCCCTTGGGACTCTTCGTGGCTTTCAGGACAAAGAACAACCTTGTTTCTTAGACCATACAAGGCCCCACCTCTTGAAGATCATCACATAGCCACTACTCTCCCTCTCATCTCTTACACAGCCTCGTGCACTGTTTCTTAAAAGCCTCTCTGCTTTCTCGGATGCTGTCTGTCCTCATCCGCCTCATACATTCTATTCAGAAGTCACCTCCAGCCTCCCCAGCAGGAAGTATTCGTGACCTGCCACTCCCTTTGTCCTGACTTAGATGCCCTCTGTGCTTGCTATTGCTCCTTGCCTCAGTGCTTAGCACTCTGCACTACGTTGATGGCTTTGTCTGTCTCCCCCTGTCTTGGAGGCCCCTTGAGGCTGGATGGTGCCTTCCACATCCCTGTGCTCCCAGCACCTGGCACACAGCCTGATGCCCATGTGCTGAGGGATTATTTAGACCCCCATCTGCCGCCATGAATGCCTTCTGAACATGTCCAGAGTGGGTGACAGCATCAGGTTAGAAGTGAATTCTTCCCCCAGGCCTTATCCATCTCTATCACGACGACTCCTACTTTGCCCAATTTGAAGTGGCCAAGTACAGCTCATCCTGTATTTCCTTCTCCTATTTTAGTAATTGAGGGCTTAACCTGAAGGCTTGCTGAAGCACTTCTAAGAAACTTCTCATGGTGGTGGTTTCTCCCCTCTGCACCCATGCTAATTTACATCTGAGTGGCCTCACTTTTCTAAGAGTTCTAACATTGACCAGCTTATTTGAACTCCACAGTTGGGTGTGCTATTGATCTGAGATACTTAATGCCATTGTGGTAAGAATAATGATGGCTTTTCTGTTCATAATTTGTGTCCACCCAGGGAAGATGTTTATGAAGTTTTCCCCCACCCCACATCCCCCTCCTACCATCACCCAGTGCTGAGAGCAGAGGAGGAAGGAGAGAAGCCAAGGTGGAGGCTACCGACCTGTGTCCCCCTTGATAAAACCAAATTACAGTAACTAAACTGCACATGAGACAATTTGCTGATCAGATCCTACCTCTTCTCCCCTCATATAATGCCAGTGTTCTGAATTCCCCTCTTTGAAAGAGGAGTGGAAAGGAAAGGCCCAAATGCTCCTCTGTGGTACACCAGAGACTGTGGAGACCCCTCAGGGGAAGGAGAAGCACACCAAGCCCATGAATGAGGAAAAGTCAAAATAAATCTTCCCAAGAGCCCTGTTCCATTATTGCAATGTACCTTTTCTCAGACACAAGGAAATGGAAACAACTAAAGTGTTACCAAAAAATCACTTCCAAATTCCCAGAAATGAAATTCACATTACCTCAGGAAGCAAAGAATCCAATAATAAAACCCAAGCTTTCATGGAAGATTCAGGAACGTAAAAGGCAATGTTCTCAAGGTAATTTCATAGGTAGAGACTCCTAAAGAGATTTGTCTCATTTGTTCATTTTGAATATCAGAACTGTTACAAAGGAAGCTTGTTTTTTTTTGAATGTTAGAAATTTCTTTATTATTACTTATTAAGCGCCAGCTTAATGCTGCAGAAAATTTCAAATTACCCTTGATAACCCACTTTCTTTTCTCCCACCCAAATTCTTGATCAAGAGTTTTTCAAGTAAAGACATGCTCTTCTCTCTTCTGTATAAAACTTTACGAAATAAAGGCAAAAGATTGTGTACATCTTGATGGAAAATGCTGCCCAGGGCTCTGGAGACGGTGGCTGCCCGGGCTCCCTTCACTGCCCAGGTCCTGAAAGACTCTTATTCATGAACTGTCTCTTCACAAAGCAAGTCCACCACTTGCTGGGTTTATCATTCTGAGGGTCGAAAACTTTCTCACAAAGTCTCAGTCCAGTCTCTTGCCTTAGCTGTTGTAAATAGGCTCTCATCACTTCATCTTCCTGTTTGTTTGCAGGTTTGGCATAAATTGCGTTAAGTAGAAAACCAGGCTTTCCAGGAATGGGAAAATTAGTGATTCCCAGTGTATACATTTCTTTCTCACCTTGGCTTTTGGAATTGCACTTTTGGAGTTTCTTCAGACATTCAGAAATGTAGAGAGTTATATATATCATTATATATTATCAAGGTCCTATCAGCTTCATTCTTAATTTCATAGTTTTTGAAGAAGATATTGGCCTTGAAGTAATAGATGCTTCATCCACAATATCTGTATCTTTTGTCTCTCTGGGGGCAGGTCGTTTGAATTGACTTCTGATAGGCAACAGTGCCTTGTTTCCGATGAGTTTGATGTCAGGATCCATGAGAGAAGAGTGGTAAGCCAGCATCTTGGCGGCGCCCGGGTTTCAACCCAGAGGAGCAGGATCGGAAGCATTGTTAAGTACAGAGGTCTTTGGAGTTCCTTATCATCTTTGTAAGTAACCCATGAGATAAGGGAAGCTTCATTTAAAAGAAATTACCCAAAACTATGGCTGTGGCAAAGAGAGCAGAAAGAAAAAAAAAAGAGTAAACATTAAAAAAAGAATAAGGGGCCGGGCCCAGTGGCTCATGCCTGTAATCCCAGCACTTTGGGAGGCTGAGGCAGGTGGGTCATGAGGTTAGGAGATCGAGACCATCCTGGGTAACAAGGTGAAACCCCGTCTCTACTAAAAATACAAAAAAAATTAGCCAGGCTTGGTGTCACGTGCCTGTAATCCCAGCTACTTGGGAGGCTGAGGCAGGAGAATCGCTTGAACCCAGGAGGCAGAGGTTGCAGTGAGCAGAGATCACGCCACTGCACTGCAGCCTAGGAGACAGAGCAAGACTCCGTCTCAAAAAAATAAAAATAATAATAAAAAAAGGGTGGTCTAGACACTCTGTCCAGTTGAATATGAGAGACGTATGTAAGTAATTTTAAATTTTCTAATAGCCACATAAATGAGTGAAATTAATGGTTATTTTAACCTAATATATCCAAAAGACTTCAACGTGTAATCAATATAAAAATATTGAGTTTCTTTTATTATACTTTAAGTTCTAGGGTACACGTGCACAACGTGCAGGTTTGTTACATATGTATACATGTGCCATGTTGGTGTGCTGCACCCATCAACTCGTCATTTACATCAGATATATTTCCTAATGCTATCCCTCCCGCCTACCCCCACCCCACAACATGCCCTGGTGTGTGATGTTCCCCTTCCTGTGTCCAGGTGTTCTCATTGTTCAATTCCCACCTATGAGTGAGAACATGCAGTGTTTGGTTTTTTGTCCTTGCAATAGTTTGCTGAGAATGATGGTTTCCAGCTTCATCCATGTCCCTACAAAGGACATGAACTCATCCTTTTTTATGGCTGCATAGTATTCCATGGTGTATATGTGCCACATTTTCTTAATCCAGTCTATCATTGTTGGACATTTGGGTTGGTTCCAAGTCTTTGCTGTTGTGAATAGTGCCACAGTAAACATACGTGTTCATGTGTCTTTGTAGCAGCATGATTTATAATCCTTTGGGTATATACCCAGTAATGGGATGGCTGGGTCAAATGGTATTTCTAGTTCTAGATCCTTGAGGAATCGCCACATTGTCTCCACAGTGGTTGAACTAGTTTACAGTCCCACCAACAGTGTAAAACTGTTCCTATTTCTCCACATCCTCTCCCGCACCTGTTGTTTCCTGACTTTGTAATGATCGCCATTCTAACTGGTGTGAGATGGTATCTCACTGTGGTTTTGATTTGCATTTCTCTGATGGCCAGTGATGATGAGCATTTTTTCACGTGTCTGTTGGCTGCATAAATGTCTTCTTTTGAGAAGTTTCTGTTCATATCCTTCACCCACTTTTTGATGGGGTTTCTTTTTCTTGTAAATTTGTTTGAGTTCTTTGTAGATTCTGGATAGTAGCCCTTTGTCAGATGGGTAGATTGCAAAAATTTTCTCCCATTCTGTAGGTTGCCTGTTCACTCTGATGGTAGTTTCTTTTGCTGTGCAGAAGCTCTTTAGTTTAATTAGATCTTATTTGTCAATTTTGGCTTTTGTTGCCGTTGCTTTTGGTGTTCTGGACATGAAGTCCTTGTCCATGCCTATGTCCTGAATGGTATTGCCTAGGTTTTCTTCTAGGGTTTTTATAGTTTGAGGTCTAATATTTAAGTCTTTAATCTATCTTGAATTAATTTTTGTATAAGGTGTAAGGAAGGGATCCAGTTTCAGCTTTCTACATATGGCTGGCCACTTTTCCCAGCACATTTATTAAATAGGGAATCCTTTCTCCATTTCTTGTTTTTGTCAGGTTTGTCAAAGATCAGATAGTTGTAGATGTGTGGTATTATTTCTGAGGGCTCTGTTCTGTTCCATTGGTCTATATCTCTGTTTGGTACCAGTACCATGCTGTTTTGGTTACTGTAGCCTTGTAGTATAGTTTGAAGTCAGGTAGTGTGCTGCCTCCAGCTTTGTTCTTTTGGCTTAGGATTGACTTAGCAATGTGGGCTCTTTTTTGGTTCCATATGAACTTTAAAGTAGTTTTTTCCAATTCTGTGAAGAGAGTCATTAGTAGCTTGATGGGGATGGCATTGAATCTATAAATTACCTTGGGCAGTATGGCCATTTTCATGATATTGATTCTTCCTATCCATGAGCATGGAATGTTCTTCCATTTGTGTCCTCTTTTATTTTGTTGAGCAGTGGTTTGTAGTTCTCCTTGAAGAGGTCCTTCACATCCCTTGTAAGTTGGATTCCTAGGTATTTTATTGTCTTTGAAGCAATTGTGAATGGGAGTTCACTCATGATTTGGCTCTCTGTTTGTCTGTTATTGGTGTATAAGAATGCTTGTGATTTTTAGACCAATAACAGGCTCTGAAATTGAGGCAATAATTAATAGCCTATCAACCAAAGAAAGTCCAGGACTAGAAGGATTCAGAGCCAAATTCTACCAGAGGTACAAGGATGAGCTAGTACCATTCCTTCTGAAACTATTCCAATCAATAGAAAAAGAGGGAATCCTCCCTAACTCATTTTATGAGGCCAGCATCGTCCTGATACCAAAGCCTGGCAGAGACACAACAAAAAAAAGAGAATTTTATACCAGTATCCCTGATGAACATTGATGCAAAAATCCTCAATAAAATACTGGCAAACCGAATCCAGCAGCACACCAAAAAGCTTATCCACCATGATCACGTGGACTTCATCCCTGGGATGCAAGGCTGTTTCAATGTAAGGCAAATCAATAAACGTAATCCATCACATAAACAGAACCAAAGACAAAAACCACATCTCAATAGATGCAGAAAAGGCTTTTGACAAAATTCAGCAGCCTTTCATGCTAAAAACTCTCAAACTAGGTATTGATGGGACATATCTCAAAATAATAAGAGCTATTTATGACAAACCCACAGCCAATATAATACTGAATGGGCAAAAACTGGAAGCATTCCCTTTGAAAACTGGCACAAGACAGGGATGCCATGTCTCACCACTCCTATTCAACATAATGTTGGAAGTTCTGGCCAGGGCAATCAGGCAGGAGAAAGAAATAAAGGGTATTCAATTAGGAAAAGAGGAAGTCAAATTGTCCCTGTTTACAGATGACATGATTGTATATTTAGAAAACCCCATCGTCTCAGCCCAGAATCTCCTTAAGCTGATAAGCAACTTCAACAAAGTCTCAGGATACAAAATATTGAGATATTTTACTTTTCATTCTAAGTTTTTTAATTTCAGTGTGTATGTTTTACTTAGAGCACATCTCATTTCACACTGGCCTCATTTAAACAGCTCAATAGTCGCATGTAGCTAGTGGCTACCATATTGGACGGAATAGGTTGGCCAGACTATTTTATGCACATCTGTTCCCACCTAATGAAGTGCTTCACTGTCCCTGTGTCCTTGTCAGTGTCTTTCTTTTGGCCTGGAATTCTCTTCCCTTAGAGATCGGTCTCCTTTCTGCAAGATTAAGTTGCCCTCTAAGCAGAATTGGTTAACTGGATGCATATTCTCGCCTGCTCACAGTGATGCAAACTAACTACCTCCTCCCTTTGAGGCTTTTTTATCTGAAATAAACGAGTAAGAACTGGGCTGCTTCCCCAGTGCCCACACTGTCTTGCCTTAATTGTCATTATTGATGTTTATTTTGTTTTGTTTTGCTGCTAGTCCTTCTCATAAAGGCTACAAGTCTGTTAAATTCAGGCATCTTAGTGCCTTTTTAGTAGTCTTTGTTAAAGAAAAGTTGTTCGATGCACTTGTTAAAGCATGGGACAGCAAACTTTATTCAGGACCATCACAACAGGTATCAGGACCACTGCAATGGGATTTCACAGTGGGAGAGATTGGGCTCAACTTCGAATACAGCATGGGCAAGTGGAAATTTATAACCAAGAAGCAGGATGGGGGTCATTGGATGGAAAATTACTAAGAGGAACCATCAGAAGTTAAGGAGATTGTCGCCAACTCAACCTAACAGTAGGAGCAAATAATCTGTCAACCTCCCCACCCCAACCTCAGTCTAGCAACATGCTGAGCACACAGCAAGCTGAGGGGAGATGGATGGAAGCTGAAAGTCAGTGTGTGGGTGATGTAGTGTTTCACCCCTCTGAGAGCAAACTACAGGTGCTCATTCTTTAACCTGTGAAGTGGAGAAAGCAATGTAATAAGAGCACATGGTAGAGTCCCTCCAAAAGTTTTCCCATCAGATGAGCTTTCTAAGTCATAGACTCCCACTGCCTAAGTGGAGAAAAATTCATACCCTATTTTCTCCCAGCCTAGTGCTCCCTTCACTATCCTGTGCCTTCCTCCAAGCCTGCAATCTGTGCCAGGTGATTCATCTCCCACTTGGCCCAAGGATGGCCTTTGTGCAGCACATCAACTGAGAAGCTGGGCTCGTATTCAAGCCAGTGAGTCATCCCTGAGCATTGATCAGGTTGGGGCAGGGAACCAAGGGTTGGTGGGCTTTTCCCTAGATAGGAAACTCATGAGGAAATAGCCTTCATGACTTCAGACTCAGTTGCAGAGTGAAGTTGGTATTCATTCATTCAACAAAGGGTTTTTCAAACACCTGCTATCTGGTATTGGGCATATTAAGGTGAAAAATCCAGCAAGCCTCTGGGGTCATGGAGTTTGCTGGGAATTATGGTGGCAAAAAGGAAAAGGAAGACCAAGAAAGCCTAAAGCTTTGTTTCCATCTATAATTTCGCCTCTCTGAGCCATTTGCCCAGTGAGGGGCTTGGACTAAACAACCTCTAGAATCTATTGGTCTGTGTCTCTGTGGTCTATGTCTTCTTTCATCGTGTCCCACACTAGATCCCTGGGAATCCAGATGGAAAGAAGGAAGGAAATTAGTATTTGTTGAGTGCCTACATGCCAGGCATTAAACAGTGCATATTAGCTCATTAAATCTTCACAATCCAGTGAGGATGTTCCTTTAGTTTTGGGGTGAGGGACATTAAGGGAATGGGTTCTCAAGACAAGCTGCCTGAGTTCTGGCCTGAGGCTGCCCGCTGACCTGCGTGACCTGAGTTCTTGACTCCTCTGGGCCTTAGTTCCCTCCTGTATGACAGAAAGTCATGGATTTTGACGAGGGCTGAAGTCGATTAAACAAAGGCAGTAAACGTAATGCCGGCACATAATAAACACTCAATCCCTCAGTCTTTTTTAAGTCTAGCAGCATTTTCTTTATTCACATCGTAAGCCATGTTTGAAAAACGAGAAAATCCCAAACTATTGGAGCATTACAGACAGGCGATTTAGCATATTGAGAAAGCCCAATTTGAGTTTTGATATCAGAAAATCTGGTTTGGAGTCTTAGCTCTAATACTTCCAAGAGGTGACCCAGTGAGTCACTTAAAATGTTTTCCCTGTACCAGTGTCTACTCCTCAGGGTTGTTGTGAGGATTCAATGAGAATGATGTACCTGGCACTCTACAGGAGCTCAACAATAGCTATTTATCTTACCTCAAATAGAAACCCATTTACAATAGTTAAGTGAAAAGGACATCATTTCGAGCTGCTGCTCAGAACCCAATGGAGGCGAATTCAGCTGGGAAAGGATACTGGAAAGGCTATTGCTAAGACAGAAAAACTCGACCTCATCCAAGAGCAGCGAGACACCCTACCCTCAACCCCCAGGTTTTGTCACTGGGCCCTGTGTGAGTGGCAGCAAAGATGGCAGAGTTGTGAAGGTGCCGTGGGCATTTTTGGAATGACTCAAGAACATCTTTGACTCAGCACGGGCAACAGCCAGATGGACCTTGTGGGTGTGAACCTCCCGAGCATTTGGAGCGGAGGCTGGAGAAGCTACCCAGGGAACCCCAGCCCCCAGGGCCATTGTGCAAACCCGCGTGGGCACTGCCGGAGACACACACTCTGCCTGCTTCAGCGCTCCTCTCCCCGGGCCAGGGCTGCCAGCTCATCCTGCCCTGCCTGGCTGGGGTGGCAGAAGGTGAATCCCAAAACAGGCCACTGGCTCCTCTCATTTTCTACTCCTTTCTCTTTTGTCATTTATTAGTTTTAGTTTTAATTTTCAAAGATGATGCAAGCTATTGATGAGTATACATTTATTGCAAAAGAAAATCGGATAATATAGAAATATAGTCATGCATCACTTAACAATGTAGATACAGTCTGAGAAATGCTTCTTTATGTGATTCTGTCATGTGAACATCGTGGAGAACTTACCCAAACCTAGCTACTATAACCTAGATCGTATAACCATATGATGCAGCCTATTGCTCCTGGGCTACATACCTGTACGGCATGTTACTGTACTGAATTCTGTAACACAGCATTAAGTATGTGTGTATCTATCAACTCTAAACGTAGAAAAGGTGCAGTAATACCTTAAAAATAAGGTATGTTGTATGTGCAGTCTGTCCTCAACCGAAATGTTATCACTATGCAATGCTTGACTGTCTATGGAGTGAGGGTCCTCCATGCATTGCTGCCTTTCATAAGCCCAGTCTGGACTGCCCAGCAGAGTCACGGTTATCACCAGAGTGTCCACCTCCTTGCTCGTCTTGAGGTCTTATACTTTGCACCAAGCTGCCTTGGTCACCTGTTTAATGATTTTAGGACTGAATTGTTTCAGAAGGGAAAGAGCATCATAATTTTCTGACACATATTTAAGCATATTTTTCTATCAACATGTAACATTTTGGTCAAGTGCCACTAGTTTGAGGAATTCTTTTTCAACTGGATTTAAAGAGGCTCTGAAGGCCAGCAGATGCAGTTTTGCTGCACAACTTAAAGAACTTCCTTGATCTTCTAACAACACAATATTCAACCAAGAAATAATGATAATATCACTTACTCCAGAAGACTCTTGTGAGGGTTAAAAGAGGGAACAGATGTCAGCAACTACAATGCCTGGCACAGGTGAAGCCTAATATTAGTTCTGGTTATTTTATTAGAATCTGTTGTTGGCCTTACAGTAGAACTCTCAGTAATTTTTTACCGTATTTTCATGTTTTATTTTTTTATTTTTTTATTTTTGAGATGGAGTTTCGCTCTTGTCGTCCAGGCCAAAGTGCAGTGGCGTGATCTCGACTCACTGCAACCTCCACCTCACAAGTTCTCTCTTCTTAGCTCACCTCCACCCTGGGGTCCCCTCTTTCTTCCTGCAGCCCCCAGAACAAGCCGACAACCAACCTGCCCTCAGATAACTCCCCATCATGTCATCAGAAGAGACATGCACTCAGGTGGTGGTGCACAGGCTTAGGGGGCAGGCGGGAAGTCTCCTGGCCCTAGGAAAAGTTTCCTTCACAAAGCACCTGCTGTGGTAGGTGCTTTGCTAAAGCACACAGTCTAAATGAACTAGTTTACCCCTTACTATGTAATAATGAGTAGGTTGGCACCCTCCCCAGAAGAGTAAACAGAAGCCTGGGAGCTCCATGACCTGCCCAAACCACACGGCCAGGATCTAATCCTGGGCCAGCCTGACTCGAAAACCCGAGTCATGTCAGTGCTAACTGTGACCAGAGGACTGCTTGCATCAGAATATGTGGACATGCTTGTTAAAAAGGCAGATTCCTGGGCCTCTCCACAGACCCACTGAGTCAGGACCTCTGGGGCAGGGCCTGGGGATGTGCATTTATCACACCTTCCTGGTGACTCTGAAACATACCAACATCTGAGAATCCCTGCCCTGTGCTGTACTGCCTGCCTGTGCACTGAACCAGGGGGACCCAGCAGAAGACAGCTAGGAGAAGGGGAAGTTGTTCCAGAAGGATCAGAATCTGTCAACACCTGTTTATTAGGAAGATCTAGTGGCGTTTTTGGGAACCAAAGGAACAATGAAGGTCCCTGAGGACACCCCCACTATAGGCCATGCTAGAGGCCTGGTGCCCTGCACACATTTCTAGCTCCTTTCACCAGTTCCAAGAAAAGACAGTGTTCTGAGAGGGCACGTACATTCACAGAAGCAACAAGGCAGCACCAGCTGTGGCCCACTGGACTATCTTGGCTTCCCACCCTGACTCAAGGGCTGGGCATCCCTGATGGCCCTGTGCACCCCACCCCCATGAGTGTAGCCCACCCTGAACTGGGGCTGAGTGCTGCCAATGTGGTTGGCCCTCTGATAGGGTTTGGCTGTGTCCCTACCCAAATCTCAACTTGAATTGTATCTCCCAGAATTCCCAGGTGTTGTGAGAGGGACCCAGCAGAGATAATTGAATCATGGGGGCTGGTCTTTCCTGTGCTATTCTCGTGATAGTGAGTAAGTCTCACGAGAACTGGTGGGTTTATCAGGGGTTTTCGCTTTTGCTTCTTCCTTATCGTCTCTTGCCACTGCCATGTAAGAACTGCCTTTTGCCCTCTGCCATGATTGTGAGACCTCCCAGCTATGATGGACTGTAAGTAAAATTAAACCTCCTTTTCTTCCCAGTCTTGGGTATGTATCAGCAGCGTGAAAACGGACTAATACACATCCTTAGTTGGAAGGGAGCCAGAGGGGTCAGAAACATCCTTTATGGTGGAGGGGGCACTTTATGTTGGTTGTCTAAGTGAGTTTGGGCTGCTAGAACATGAACACCACAGACTGGGTGACTTAACAGAAATGTATTCCTCACAGTATGAAGTCTGGGAAGTCTAAGATCAAAGTGCTGGCTGATTTGGTTGTTGGTGAGAGCTCACTTCCTGGTTTGTGGAGGGATGCCTTCTCACAGTATCCTCACGTGACTGAGGGAAAGCTAGCTCACTCCCTGGCTGCTCCTTAAAAGACACTCATCCCATTCATGAGGGCTCTACCCTCATGATCTAATTACCCCCCAAAGGTTCCACCTCTAGACACTATCACATTGGGGATTACAGCTTCAAAATATAAATTTTGGTGAGACACATACATTTGGTCCATAGCACTGACGTCGTCTCATTTTGTAGTCCAATAGCAGGAAAAAGAGGGTCAATTATCCCCACTTTATAGATGAGGAAGATGAGTTCTGAGACAGGGTACGGAGGTAGAGTAGAGGGGGAAAGAAGCTAGATGAAGGGCGTCATATCCCCTAATTTGTCCTGAGGTAGGGAGGGGGAGAGCTGGTAGCTGTCACATGAGTGGTCACTATATAGACAAATAGTGGGGCCCACTTCCAGGGCAGGACTCAGAAGCACTAGTGGAGGGTCCAGTCCAGAGAAGGGACTCCACAAATGATGCCGCTGTAATTATTGTCTGATCATCTATTCATCACACATTTTCTGAGTACATCCTCTGTGGTGAGCACTACTCATATGTTCTTTATCATCCTCATGGACATGACACCCCACTTGGCCTGCGGTGGCTGGAGACCTGGGGAGGAGTCATATCACAGCTTTTAGACCCACTCTGACATCGAGGTTAAATGCAACTTTAGGGCCAGCAAGTACAAGCCTTATTCTGCCACTTACTAGCTGCAGGGCCTGGGGTGGCACTTGGCCTCCCAAGGGAAGGTGCTCTTTTCCCCATTTTACAATTGAGAGGACAAGATATGAGAGGTGAAAATACAGACCTCCCTGACTAGAATTCATTCTCCCAACCACCATGCACACTAGTGTTTCCCAGAGGTGGTCCTGCAGGCTTCAGAATCTTGTGAGGTGTTTGGAGAGTGATTCCTGACCCCTCCTCCGACTCAGTAAATCTTGACAGTGAGGCCCCAAAATATGAATTCTTCACAAGCTCTGAAGGTGATTCTTATGTGTGTTGGGGCTTGAGAATTGGCTCTCCTGCCTCCTCATTTCCAGTCTTTAAACAGGGATCTGCACAGCAGCAGGCAGCAGAAGTAGGCAGCGCTCTGGAAATACAGTTGGCAAAAGCTCTCTCCCTTAAAACTAACAGGGAGAGAGCTAACTCCATGACTGGCATGACATCTGTGAACAAAGGAAGTGACAGGGCCACCAAGAACTGCTGTGGGCCAGTGAGAGCAACAGAAGACCAGGTCCTAGCCTTCCCTGCTGAGAACTTTACCCATTGCCTAGTGAGAAGGAACTGGAGATGCCATCAGAGCTGCATCGTAGTAATGCTGGTAGATTTCAATTTTTACAATTTATATTTGTTATGAATGTATTCACCATTCCTTAGAGTATGTTTAATTATCCTCAGTCTTTGTTCTGCTTTTAAAATCCACATTGAAAAGGCAAAGTGACATGTGCTTAAGAGGTCTTTAATAAATACTTTGGTCAAGAACAGGGAGGGGGTAGTTTAATTCCTCCTGATTAGACCCGCCTACTTCCCGGCCATCTGAAATTTAAATTTAAGTAAAAGTCAGTATGCTTTCTAAATAAATGCAGTTTCACAACACAACCTTTAGCCCACACTCAAGCAACTATATGGCTGCCCCTAATTCCTCCTCTATTGACATTCAGGAGCTGCCAGGGTTTCTGTAAAAGTACCTGAACACAGTGGATCAACCAACAGTGGCTCTGGGGTTTAGAGTTTTGAGCAGCAGCTCAGAATGATATCCATCTGCCTTTCTGAATCACAGCCAACTTCTGGCCTCTCTGCACAGATTTGGTGCAGGAAACTAGCCATACCCACGCCCACACCCACAGCTCGCCCCGTGCCTCCTTCATCTTCATAATTCTGCTCCCACCCTCTTCCCTCTTCCTTGCCCTTCAAGTTGCAACACTGAACTGAGTTTATGGATGATGCTCAACAATTTATTGTTGATTAACTGATTGATTGATTCTGTTGCTATGGAAACCATCAGATTCTAGTACAACAGTGGGATTCCTTCCTGACTTTATGCTTGACAAAATGCTGACTCTCTGTGCTTGCTTCTCCCAGCTTGCCACCTCCATCTGGGTCAGGAGGAGCAATTGGAAGCAGAAGCTCCAAGAGAAAGGTGGGAATGTTGGTAAACCCAGGTGAAAAAAAGCAACAAGGAGGGTAAGTGGCCCTGCAATGTGGAAATTTCCATCAGAAGCAGCCTACACAGTGATTATAAGTGTCAGGGCTTTTAGATCAAGCTATACCTGGGTTCAAATCTCACTTCCTCCACTTATTAGGCTTAAGGTTAATTAAGCCTTTCAGCCTTCATTTTCTCATTTGTTTTAATTGAGATAATACTGTGCCTTTAGGTTGCCTGGAGAAATTACGAAATGATACAAGGAAGTTAGAAAGCAGAGTGCCTGGTACCTACGGGAGCCTTGCCCAGGCCAAGAGGGATGCAGACCTCCCATTTTTTAAGGCTCTTAGATAGAAAGTGAATAGCAACAATATTACATAAATTGAGGAAGAGCTTTATGTATACATTTTTTTGAATTATCACTTTTTTAGTACAAAAATACAATGCAAGATTATAGGAATTCTAGAAAATATTAATTCAAGGTTCCTCATGACTCTGTGTCTAGAAATTAGACACAAAGTCTGAATGATAAATATCTTCTTCTCAGGAAATCTTTGTGATTTTATTTATAAATTGTTTGAACATGATGTCATAGTCGAAACTTGTGGTCCTTTGTGACTGAGCTGCCCAGCATTCTGCCTCAATAAACCTCCCTGGACAGGGTAAGTGTTCATTTAGTGATGGCCACACCTGTCATCCCAGCACTTTGGGAGGCTAAAGTGAGTGCATCACCTGACATCAGGAGTTCGAGACAAGCCTGGCTAACATGGTGAAACCCTGTCTTTACTAAAAATACAAAAAAAATTAGCTGAGTGTGGTGGCGGGCACCTGTAATCCCAGCTACTCAGCAGGCTGAGGTAGGAGAATCACTTGAACCTGGGAGGCAGAAGTTGCAGCGAGCCAAAATCAAGCCATTGCACTCCAGCCTGGGCAACAAGAATGAAACTCTGTCTAAAAAAAAAGAAAAAAGAAAAAAAAATTAGTAATTTTCAGCATCATCATAATGTCTCCAGTGAAGCTGAAACCACCACACATACTGCAGATGGAGTTTTGTCACTGTACACTGCACAATGATAGGGACCCCTGGGGCACCTCCAGACAGCATGAAGGTGACTGACCTCCCTGTAGACTAACCTCCTAGACCCTGTGCATCAGTGTGACGAGTGCATGCATTTCATGAC
The DNA here is from genome assembly GCF_000001405.40 of Homo sapiens. Taxonomy (NCBI): domain Eukaryota; kingdom Metazoa; phylum Chordata; class Mammalia; order Primates; family Hominidae; genus Homo; species Homo sapiens. The sequence continues at coordinate 94,201,132 of NC_000011.10, forward strand.
TCAGTTCAAACGGCAGCTCCTCTTTGAACAGGACCCTGGCTGCTCACTCATAGTAATGCCCTTTTGTGTACTCCCAGTGCAGTTTATTTATACATCTGTTTAATAATTACCAGATGCTTCCAGTGTTCCCTTTGCCCCCTTGGAGTTAAATTCTTCCCAGCCCTTTTGGAGTTAAATATGGCCACATGAATTTGATGAAGCAAACATGAGTGAAAGTGACATGCTCCTTACGAGCTAAGGCACAGTGTACTAGGGTTCCTTTCCCTCTGCCACAGCAACCAGCAACAGCTGCTATGTCAGCCTGGGCCCTAGAGTGAGAATTATATGAGTGGAGGCCATGAACATTTAGGACAAGGTTTGTTGATTAAAAACACTGAAAGTTGTCGATTGTTACTGTAGTATTAACTGACCTATACTGATTGATACATTCTGTTTTAGACTGACTGTATTGTAAAAATTCTGTTTATATGTTTGTCTGTCCTCATAACCAAGAATTTTTTAAGGGTACAAGCTGTGTCTTACTCATTTCTGATTCTGGAGCTTCCAGCACAGTGCCAACATGCACTCATATATACATAATGGATGCTTATTAATATGTGTTGGCTAGACAAGTAAACTTTAAGTGCGGTCTGTTTGAGATATCACTACATTCATTGATGGCTTCATGCCATTGCCACATCTATGCTTTTTTGGAATAAGGTCTTCATATTCCATTTCTTTATCACTTCTCGTCCTGTGGTATAAGAGGTCGTCTACCACGACATCATGGGTTATTCCCACATCTTCAGCAACTCTCCTGATTGTTTCAGACATCCATTCATCCATCCATCCATCCAGTCTTCCATCCATTCCTTTACTCATTTATACATATGTTCATTTATTCATCAAATATTGTCTGAATGTCCACTGTGTGCCAGGGACTGTGCAATAGGCTGGGAATATGGATATGCATAAAATGTATTTATCTCTCTCTCCTCTCCATCTTCCCTTCCCTGTGAAGGGACAGCAAGAAGCTCCAAAACAAAGGTGGAAATGGTGGTAAATCTGGATGAAAAAAAGCAATGGAGACGGGAGATGAGGGCACCTGTGATGTGGAAAATTCCATTAGAAGCAGCCTACACAGTGATTATGGGTATTGGTACTTTAGGCTCAATCTAGACCTGGGTTCAAATCTCAGTTATTTCACTGATTAGGCTTAACTTTAGTTAAGTCTTTTACTTTCTGTGTCCTCAATTGTAAAATTGGAATAATATCTGTGCCTTTAGGTTGCTAGGAGAAATGAATGAAATGATACAAGTAAGGTAGAAAGCAGAGTGCTTTCTACAAGCCAAGAAGTGGCCCCCCAACAGATACCAAGCTCTGGACCTCCTGGTGCCTTGATTTTGGACTTCCCAGCCTTTTTCAGACCTGTGAGAAAGTAAGTTTGTTGCTTAAACCACCCAGTCTCTGGTATTTTCATTACGGCAACATGAACAGACTAAAGGGAAAAAAAGACAAGCAAACAGATGTGAAAAATGCATTATATAACAAAAAATGGTTGTCAATGCTAAGTCTAAGTTGTTTTTATGAACAAAACCTTTCAAGTTTGAAAAATACTTCCCTAGTCTAATCATCTTGTTTTTCAGACAAAGAAACTGAGGATTTGCTGGGTCAGGGAAGCAACCTTTTGCTTAGAACTCTGCTAGGTGGCTTAGGGTGCTTGAGAATCATGAGGGTCTGACCTAACCCAAGAAAGACAAGCAGTTAGGACTAGCTCTCAGCCTAAGTTTGTCAGTCTGGCTTTCCAGATCCGCTTCCATGATACACCACTGAGGGTTTTTTGTGGAAAAAAAAAAGTCAGGGGCCAAATTGGTACCATTGAATATGCTAGAGCAACATCTATTAACAGACCACATGCAGGTCTAATGAAACACTCCCGGGGGGTTGTGTTCTCTCTGTTTGTGTATCAGCTAATAGGAGCCCTGACTGTCACAGGGCCAGAATGCATGTGGATGTACCAGCTGCACCTATGTGTGTTGGGGTGGGAGAGGTTTTCAGGGCTTGGTTAAGCTGCATAGGCCATGACCTTGTTCCCTGTGAGGAAGCCAGAGTGTCCTAGTGGATAGAGGAGTATGGCCCTTGTCCTGGACAGATTTGGGTTCAAATGCTGAGTCAGCCACTTAAATATGAGCGTACTGAATTTCCCCATCTGTTAAATGCAGATAACAATGTAAGTTTGTTGATAAGCGCCATTGAATAATTTACATAAAGCACAGAGGCTAGCCTATGAAAATCCACACTATATGGCAAATGTTATTGTTCCCAATGTCATCGTTAAATAAGATAACATATACAAAGTTATCAGGCCAGAGGGTGCTCAAAACAAATTATTTATTGTTTTTATTATCAATATTATATACAAAGCATGACATTCTTAATAAACCAGCTTTGGGATGTCAGCAAGTTGACAGAATAGAAGCTTTCTACTGTTATTCTTTTGCAGAGGCATCAGTTTTGACAAGTACTCATGAATAGTGGGAGTCTGGGAGTCCAGTGGAGAAGTTTTTGTTTTTGTTGTTTTTGAGATGGAGTCTTGCTCTGTCACCCAGGCTGGAGTGCGGTGGCACGATACCAGTGGAGAAGTTCCAGCACACTGTTGGAGAAAAAAATCTGAGAATAGATGCATGAAAAGAGTAAGAAGAACAGTTTTGGCCAGGTGCAGTGGCTCATGCCTATAATCCCAGCACTTTGGAAGGTCAAGGTGGGAGGAGCACTTGAGGTCTCAGGAGCTTAAGACCAGCCTGGGAAACACAGTGAAACTCTGTCTCTACAAAAAATGTTAAAAACAAAACAAAACAAAACTTAGCCAGGAATAGTGGCATGTGCCTACAGTCCCAGCTACTCAGGAGGCTAGAGCAGGAGGATCACTCGAGCCCAAGAGTTCCAGGTTACAGTGAGCTATGATCACACCACTATACTCCGGCCTGGGAGATAGAGCAAGACCCTGTCTCTTAAAACATAAAATATACAAAAAGAGTTTCACATTACGCACATCACCTCTCCTCTATGGTGGCATAGCTTGGTGCCAAGAGACACCCCCACCCAGTCCCATTTCTCCCATAGGGGAAAGTAAGAGCATAGTGAGTGACCATCCATCTCTCCCAGTCATGCAAGGTGCTGCCAACGAGGCCCACCTCTTTCTTACCTCACCTGTATTAGTGAGGTGATCAGCAAAGCTGACAGGCTGGGAGAGTCTGGGAGCAAGGAAGAGATGTTGTGTACCCTACTAACTGCTCCATAGATTCCATCAGGAAGATTGCCCATGAGCTGTTTGGGACACCTCATCTATGGACCCCCTCCACACCTGATCCACCAGCATCCCAAATGCTCTGTGCACCTCATCTTCCCTCCCCAGGCCAGCTCCTCCTCAAGCCTGTCCCCGTGGATGGTAAGTTCATCCCATGCAGATAGCTGACTTGACTGTACAGGATTAGGAGAAGGCATACAAAGTTGAGCGTTTCAGGGCACTACCCTGTGGAAAACAAATGAGAGGCTTTCAACATCTGATCTGGCTTTGTGGGATTGAGAGAGGCAATACAATCTCAAGAATTCCCTGCCAAAAGGGAACAAGAAGTATGAAACAGGCACATTCATAAAAAAGTTTTGAGTGAGCCTCAGAATCCATAGGCAGGATAACTGGTATAGGCATTTCTTTCCTTTTCCTGAAGCCAGTCAGTAAAGACTGAAAAAAGTGATTGTTTTTTCAAGTGTACAGACAGCAATACAAGACCTCAAGGAACAGGAAAAATTAAGGAAACATGACAATACGAAAATAACACAATAATATTTCAGTAACTGATGCCAAAAAACGGTCATCTACAGATTGCCTGACAAAGAATTCAAAGTAATTGTTTTAACCATTGTAGCTCAGAAAGCTACAAGAGAACACAAATAAAAAACTAAATGATATCAAGAAAACAATACCTGAACTAAAGTTCAATAAAGAGATAGGAGTCACTTAAAAAGAACCAGACAAAATTCCAGAGATACAGAATATAAGGAATAAAATTTAAAAATGCAATAGAGTTAACAGCAGACTTGGTCAAACAGAAGAAAGAAACTATGAAATCAAAGACAGGTTACTTGAAAATGTTGAGTCAGAGGAGGAAAAGGGAAAAAAGAATTAAAAAAAGAAGACAAAAGCCTAGAAGATTTATGGGATACCATCAAGAAAGAGCTAACATTCATGTTATGAAAGTATCAGAAGGAAAAGAGAGAGAAAAGGTTGCAGAAAACTTATATGAAGAAATAGTGGCTGAAAATTTTCTCAACCTAGGGAGATATGTGGATATCCAGTACACGAGACTCAAAGGATCCCAAATAGGTTCAACTCAAGGAAGACTTCACAGACACATTATAACTGAACTATCAAAAATTAAAGAGAATTTTGATAGCAGCAACAGAAAAGAGTCTTGTCACATACAAAGTAATCTCTAACATTATCCGCAGGCTTTTGGCAGAAACCTTACAGGCCAGGAGAGAGTGGGATGATACATTCAAAATGCTGAAAGAAAAAAATTTTCAACCAACAATACTTCACCCATCAAAGCTGTCCTTCAGCAATGAAGAAGAAAGAAAAGCTTTCCTAGACAAAGAAAAGCTGATGGAGTCCATTCCCACTAGACCTATCTTACAAGAAATGATAAAGGGTGTTCTTTAAGCTGAAATGAAAAGATGATAATCAGTAACATGAAAACATTTGAAAGTCTGAAACTCAGTGGTAAAGCTAAGTCAAATAGAATAATACTGTAGTGGTTCTTTGTAAATCACTTATAAGTATAGTATAAAGGTTAAAAGATGAAAGTATTAAAAATAGCAATAGCTATAATAATTTGTATAGGATGCAACAAAAGCAGTTCTATGGGAGAAGTTTATAGTGGTAAAATGTCAACAGGAAGTTAAAATAAGTCTCACATAAACAACCTAACTTTACACATCAAGGAACTAGAAAAATAAAAACTAACATCCTAAAGTTAATAGAAGAAAGAAAATAATGAAAATCAGAGCAGAAATAAATAAAAAAGAGAGAAACAAAAGATGAACAAAACTAAGACTTGGATTTTTGAAATGATAAACAAAATTGATAACCTTTTAGCTGGACTAAGAAGAAAAGAGAGAGGACTCAAAATCAGAAAAAAGGAGACATTACAACTGATACCACAGAAATACAAAGGAGCATAAGAGACTATTATTAACAATTATATACCAACAAATTAGATAACCTAGAAGAAATAAGTAAGTTCCTGAAACATATAGTCTACCAGACTGAATCACAAAGAAAGAGAAAATCTGAACAGACCAATAATGAGTATGGATATTGAACAAGTAATAAAAAGCCTCCCATCAAAGAAAAGTTCAGCACCTGATGACTTCACTACAGAATTCTACCAAATATTTAAGGAACTAATACAAATCATTCTCAAACTCTTCCAAAAAATTCAATAGAGGGAACACTTTCAAACTCATTTTGCAAGGGCAACATTACCCTAATACCAAAACCAGACAAGAAAACTGAATTATAGGCCAATATCTCCGATGAACATAGATTCAGAAGTTCTCAACCAAATACTAGCAAACCAAATTCAACCACACATTAAAAGGACTGCACACCATGATTAAGTGGAATTCATCCCAAGGGTGCAAGGATGATTTAACATATGCAAATCAATAAATGTGATATATCACATTAACAGAATAAGGGATTTAAACCATATAATCATCTCAATAGATGCAGAAAAGGCCTTTGGCAAAATTCAATTTCCTTTTTTAATGTCCTTTTATTTTTATTTTTTTGAGGCGGAGTTTCACTCTTGTCACCCAGGCTGGAGTGCAATGGCATAAACTTCGCTCATTGCAACCTCTGCCTCCCAGGTTCAAGCGATTTTCCTGCCTCAGCTTCCAGAGTAGCTGGGATTACAGACACCCACCATGATGCCCAGCTTATTTTTGTATTTTTAGTAGAGATGGGGTTTCGCCATGTTGGCCAGGCTGGTCTCGAACTCCTGATGTCAGGTGATCCACCCGCCTCAGCCTCCCAAAGTGCTGGGATTATAGGCATGAGCCACTGCACCTGGCCCTTAACGTCCTTTTATGATTAAAAAAAAAAAAAAAACCTCAACAAATTAGATACGGAAGAAATGCACTTCAACACAATAAAGGCCATAGATGACAATTCCACAGTTAACATCATACTCAATGGTGAAAAGCTGAAAGCTTTTCATCCAAGATCTGTAACAAAACAAGCATGCCCAATCTTGCCATTTCTATTTAACCTAGCACTGAAAGTCCTAGCCAGAGCAATTAGGCAAGACAAAGAAATAAAAGGCATCCAAATCCTAAAGTAAGAAGTAAAATTGTCTCTGCAGATGACATAATCATAAATAGAAACACTAAAGATTCCATAAAATCTCAGTTAGAATTAATAAGCATATTCAGTATAGTTGCAGGTTATAAGATCAATATACAAAAATTAGTTTCTATATGCTAAAACTACTCAAAAAAGAAATTAAGAAAACAATCCTATTTTAAAAAGCATCAAAAAGAATGAAATACTTAGGAATATATTTAACCAAGGAAGTGAAAGACCTATAAACTATAAAACATTGATTAAAGAAATTGAAGATGACTCAAATAAATGGAAAGATACCCTATGTTCATGAATTAGAAGAATATTGTCAAGTGTCCTTACTACCCTAAGTAATTTATAGATTCAATATAATCCTTATCAAAAATTCCAATGGCATTTTTCACAGAAAATTCATATGGAAATACAAAAGACCCTGCATAGCCAAGGTAAAAAGAACAAAGCTGGAGGCATTACACTATCTGACTTCAAAATATATCACAAAGTTATGGTGATTAGCACAGCATGGTACTGGTGTGAAGACAGACACATAGACCAATGGAACAGAGTAGAAAGCCCAGAAATAAACCTATGCATTTATGGTCAGCTAATTTTTGCTAAAAGTGCAAGAACACACAATGGGGAAAAGACAGTCTCTTCAAATAAATGGTGTTGGTAAAACTGGATATCCATATGCTGCAGAAGAAAAGTAGACCCTCATCTCACACCACATAAAAAGTCAGTAAGAATGGATTAAAGACTTAAACATAAGACTTGTAACTATAAAACTGCTGGAGAAAAACATAAAGGAAACTTGCATGACATTTGTCTTATTTTTCGGATATAACTCCGAAAGCATAGGCACAAAAGTGAAAATAGGATGGTATCAAACTAAAAAGCTTCTGAACAGCAAAGGAAAAAAATCAACAGAGTGAAGAGACAACATACAGAATGGGAAAAAATATTTGCAAACCATATATCTGACAAGGGGCTAATATCCAAAATATATAAGGAACTCAACTCAAGAGCAAGAAAACCAATAACCTGATTTTTAAAATGAGCCAACAACCTGAATGGACATTCATGAAAGAAGACATGCAAATGGCTGACAGGTATATGAAAAATGGGCATCACTAATCATCAGGGAAATGCAAATTAAAACCACAATGAGATATTACCTCACACCACTTAGAACGGCTACTTTTTATCAAAAAGACAAAAGATAAGTGTTGGTGAGGATGTGAAGAAAAGGGAACACTTGCACACTGTTGGTGGTAATGTAAATTAATACTGCCATTATGGAAAACAGTCTGGAAGTTTCTGAAAAAAATAAAAATAGAACTACTCTATGATCCAGCAATCCTACTACTGGGTATATATTAAAAAAATCAGTTTGTCAAAGAGATATTTGTACTCCATGTTAATTGCAACATTATTCACAATAGCCAAGGTATGGAATTAACAAATATGGAATTCATTGTCCCTTAATGGATCAATAAAGAAAATTATATATATATATATACACACACACACACACATACACACACACACACAATGGAATACTACTGAGCCTTACAAAAATAAGGAAATCCTAACATTGGTTACAATATGGATGAATCTGGAAGACATTACGCTAAGTGAAATAAGCTAGGTACGGAAATATAAATACCATATGATCCCACTTATATGTGTAATTTTTAAAAGACATACTTAGGCAGAAAGTAGAATGGTGGGGCTAAGAGCAGGTGAGAGTTGGGGAGATGTTGATCAAAGGATGAAAAATTTCAGTTAGATAGGAGGAATAAGTTCCAGAAATCTATTGTAAAATATGGTGACTACAATTAATAACAGTGTATTATATTCTTGAAAATTGCTCAAGGAAATCAGAGAGGACACAAACAAATGGAAAAATGTTCCATGCTCATGGATAGGAAGAATCAATATCGTGAAAATGGCCATACTATCAAAAGTAATTTATAGACTCAATGCTATTCCCATTAAACTGCCATTGACATTCTTCACAGAACTAGAATAAACTATTTTAAAATTCATACGGAATCAAGAAAGAGTCCATATAGCCAAGAAAATCCTAAGCAAAAAGAACAAAACAGGAGGCATCATGGTGCCCAACTTCAAACTATACTACAGGCTACAGTAACCAAAACATTATGTAATGGTACAAAAACAGACACATAGACCAGTGGAATCAAATAGAGAACTCAGAAATAAGACTGCACACCTACAACCATCTGATCTTTGACAAAGCTGACAAAAACAAGCAATGGGGGAAAGATTCTCTATTTAATAAATGGTGCTGGGAGAACTGGCTAGCCATATGCAGAAAATTGAAACTGGACCCCTTCCTTATATCTTATACAAAAATTAACTCAAGATGGATTAAAGACTTAAATGTAAAATCCCAAACAATAAAAGCCCTAGAAGAAAATGTAGGCAATACCATTCAGGACATAGGCATGGGTAAAGATTATATGATGAAATGCCAAAGGCAACTAGAACAAAAGCTAAAATTGACAAATGGGATCATTTTAAACTGAAGAGGTTCTGCACAGCAAAAGAAACTATCATCGGAGTGAACAGACAGCCTACAGAATGGGAGAACATTTTTGTGATCTACCCATCTGTTGAAGATCTACTATCCAGAGTCTATAAGGAACTTAAACAAATTTATAAGAAAAAAACAACCCCATTAAAAAGTGGGCAAAGACATAAACAGACACTTCTCAAAAGAAGACATTCATGCAGCCAACAAACATATGAAAAGGAGCTCAACATCACTGATCATTAGAGAAATGCAAATGAAAACCATAATGAGATACCATCTCATGCCAGTCAGAATGGTGATAATTAAAAAGTCCAGAAACAACAGATGCTGGTGAGGCTGCGGAGGAAAAGGAATGCTTTTACACTGTTGGTGGGAGTGTAAATTAGTTCAACCATTGTGGAAGACAGTGTGGCATTCCTTAGAGATGTAGAGGCAGAAATACTATTTGACCCAGCAATCTCATTACTGGGTATATACCCAAAGGAATATAAATCATTCGTTATAAAAATACATGCACGTGTATGTTCATTGCAGCACAATTCACAATAGCAAAAACATGGAATCAACCCAAATGCCCATCAATGATAGACTGGATAAAGAAAATGTGGTACATATACACCATGGAATACTATGCAGCCATAAAAAGGAATGAGATCATGTCCTTTGCAGGAACATGGATGGAGCTGGAAGCCATTATCCTCAGCAAACTAATGCAGGAACAGAAAACCAAACACTGCATGTTCTTACTTATAAGTGGGAGCTGAATGGTGAGAACACATGGACACATGGCAGGGGAACAACACACATTGGGGCCTGTGGGGGGTAGGGGTCGGGGGGAGGGAGAGCGTCAGGAAGAATAGCTAAGGGATGCTGGGCTTACTACCTATGTGATATGATGATCTGTGCAGTAAACCACCACGGCACGTGTTTACCTATGTAACAAAACTGCACATTCTGCACATGTACCCCAGACCTTAAAATAAAAGTTGAAGGAAGAAAACCAGAAAATCACTAAGAGTAGATTTTTAATGTTCTTTCTCACCACAAAAATTATAAGTAGGTGAGGTAATGCATATGTTAATTAGCTCAATGTAGCCATTTCACAATGTACATATTTCAAAATATGTTGTTACATAATAAATGTATACTTTTTTGTTAGCTACACCTCAGTAAAGCTGAGGAAAGCAAGAAACCAACTTTGGATTTGAGTGTGCCCAAACCAGTGGCCAAAACCAGATTTTTGTGTGTGTAGTTAGCTCTATGTACAATTTTTTCTGTCTACACAGTTGAAACCACTAGGAAGACAGAGTATTTGCCTCGAAGCTCATTGCAGATTCTAGCAGTTTAATTTGGATGAACTGCTTGGCTTCAGAAAGAGACATGTATTGCAGTCAGGCACCCCATGTGCACAGTTAACAGAGCCCACTCAAACAGTGAAACATTAAAATCTAGTGCAAAGGTCCTCTGTGCTTCATCCAGAATTTTATAGGACTCTAAAGCCCAAACTGACCATAGGAATCACTTTTTGTGACCCAAATGTGATCCATCAAAAGGATGTGATGAAGAGAAAATTCAGGCAGTTCTGAACCAGAGCCAGAGGAGACTGTGTCGGAAGCTGTGTCTCAGCTTTGAAGACATATGTAGCCATAAAATGAACATAACATCCAGAAACAATCTTGCCAGAAGTTGTGAATTATTGGCAAAGGAAAATAACTGGGCATTGTTTGAACAAGCAAAGACATTTGAAATCTCCTGGTTCTCAAAATCACTGTGTTGCCCTAGGGCAGGTCCCAGGCCTCATCATGGCAGGAGCGGGGCAGGTGGAGACTGATGGTAGAGGGGAACTCTGTGTACTCTAGTGCCAACCTCAACCCAGAAGTGACTATCATTTGAAAGTTGAAGGAAAGCTGAGAATCTGCATGAGACATGTATAAGATAATGAGGAGGACCCAAGCTCTCCAAGGGCAATCAGAATCAAGCATCCACACAAGATGACACAGGCAACTTCTCACATAGAGCCATTTTCCTAGAGCCATTATCTTTTCTCTCAGTTCACAAAAACATGTGACTGCCCTCTCAAAACGTCCTGTTATGAATTGAGCACAGTCCCCATTTGTAGTGTGAAAGGGCAGAGATCCAGTGGGGTTAATTCTCATGATCTGAAAACCATTGAGTGCATAGCATTTAAAGCCACTGGGTTTGCTCCATTCTAAGTCTTTTCAATAGATTTTAATTTGACACTGTTAAATTATGCATTCATGTATCCATTCACTTCTCAGCAAATATATATTGCCACTACATGCCTTCCATCTTGAAATGTCATAACCCCAGCTCCCATCCCATATGGGACAGCTTCCTCTTTCACTCTTTGTAATTCCTTCTCCTTTTGCCCAGAAAATTTTCTCATGATAAGCATTGTGGTATAATTTAACAATGTCCATGATCTGTGTGATGCACTATGTGTTTTCTTTTACATCTATATTTTCTTCTACGTGATGTATGTATAATGAGTATTATATGGAGAAAAAGCCAGAGATTTAAATTTGAAAGTTTGGTGATGCTGCCTGCAGAATATAATCAATAGCCTGTTCCCAGAGCCCAGACAATGGATCCTCATTACACCCTTTAAACCGGTATTAGAAACATGCTGCTCCTTTGACTACCTCCTCCACGTCAGCCCTCTACCCATGTCTTAATGGGCATCACCTTTCTTGACTGTATATTATCTTCAATCCATTTTTCACCTGGAGTTCCTGGCGTAAGCCTAACCCTTAACATCTTTCTGGTGTCTTTCTAAGGGAAGAGGGGAGTTGAATGCCTCCTGAATAATCTCTTAAATTTTAATTTAGGCCGTCTGACTCACTCTTTTAAGATCATTCAGTAACTTCTTATTACTTTAGAATAAATACAGACTTTTTTGCTTGACATTCCAGGAAAACTGGATTCTCCTTATCTCTCCGGCATCCTCTATTGCCCTGAACACACTGTTCATATTCTGTTTTTCTCATTCTGAAAATAGGAAATGCAGTCAAACCAGTAGTTCTCAAAGTGTAGTCTGTGGGCCAGTAGCCACAGCATTCCCTGGGTGCTTGTGAGAAGTGCAAACCCTTGGTCTTTATCCCACATCTACTGAATTAGAAACTCTGGAGGTGAGGCCACTATCTTAACCAACTATTTTAATCATCCAGATGATCCTGAAGCTTGAGAACAATTAATTTTTATGTGTGATGGGGGCAGGGGCTTGCTCTGTCTCCCAGGCTGGCATGCACTGGTGTGATCACAACTCACTGCAGCCTCAACTCCTGGGCTTAAGCGATCCTCCCACCTAAGCCTCCCAAGTAGCTAGACCTACAGGCATGCACCACCATGCCTTGCTAACTTTTCTTGTGAAGGCAGAGTCTCAGTATTTTGCCCAGGCTGGTCTCGAACTCCTGGACTCAAGAAATCCTCCTGCCTTAGTTTCCCAAAGTGCTGGGATTATAGGCATGAGCCACCACACTGCACCAAGAACAACAGATTTAAACCATTTCACATGATGGAAGGCACCAATTAAACACATATAAAATGTCTGCTTAGCCTAGTCTAAACTACCAAGGATTGGAAGACTTTAATTTCCTTGGGAGGTCTCCCAGCAGGTTACTGTGGCTTTTATCCTGCCTTCTCACTTTTTGGAAGCTCTCAGAACAGGGAAGTCCTTCAGAGGAGAGAATATCGGTCTCCTTGTCCATGTTCTCATCCCTCCCATTTTCCCATGCCTCTGATTGTGTGCCCTCTGTTCTACCTCCTCGGTGTTCCTACGTCCCTGGGAAATAAAAAGTAGTTGCTTCCCACGAAAAGATGAGAATGTTCTTCAGAGTAAAAGTGAAGTCTTTTAAAAGCCTCATTTGAGATATTGTGTTATCATCCCATAATATGTTAACTGAAGGGAATGGAGAGGGAAGAGGCACCTTCGTTCAGAGTAAAGTAATTGAAAAGCTTAATATACACCGAACTGTGTCTTTACAGGGTCCGCCGCATCTTGGAAGGAAACTTCAAAGCTCATTTAAAGTCAGCCTCTCACATAGCCCTGCTGGTCTAACTTTCTTCTGAATGTGATTTCAGAAGTAAAACCAGGCCAGGGGCTGGGACTCAGGTGAGTCTCACTGACCGTGACCTCTGGAGAGTCAACTGAAATGGTAAGCCAGGAAGTCATGGAAATCTTACCTCCCCTGCAGTAACAACGTCTACTCTCAAAGAAATGCCAATGGCACAGAAACCACAGGGGTTGTTTATCTCTTTCTTTTTTCTTTTTAAACATTATAAAAATAACACAGCAATTTCTAAATGTCAAAAGAGAGAGAAATGAAGCTATCCATAATTTCAAAAGCCTATCCTAGTAACTACTGTAGATTTTTGCCTGAGCTTTTTAGGCTTGGGCCATTTGTGCTCTGTGCTGATGCGTGCATTGTGTTTTGAAGTTTATCTTTTTTTTAACCTTATCATTCATACATTTTCCCCAGATTGTTGCCAGGTAAACCATGCAATCCAGAATTATGGACTATCAGAGCTATAAAGGGTTTTGGAGATCATTTTCTGAAGCAATTCTTAATTGGCTCTTCAAAGATGAGCTTTTGACAGTTTGTGTCACCCCTGAAATTATTTGTGAAATTCTACACTGAGTTTGTGAATCTTTCTACAGATAGTGTTATCCCTGTATTTCATTAGATCTTCAAAGTGGTTTACACGCCCTAAAGGTTGTCTATTCTTCTCATGCAGTTATTCTATGTGCAGTCATTCAAGCTGTGTTTTACTCAACTTGTTGTTGGAGGGAAGGGGGAATAGCACATAGGCTATAATATCCTCTAGAGTTGTGCAGTACACAATTGCACAGCCATGGATGGTGGACTGACATTCTAATCCATCCTTATTTTGTGGTTGGCACCACAGAGCTGAGGAGTAATTTGCCCTGTTTCCATAGCTCTTTGCACACATTTCTTTAAACACACTTGCATTATATTGAAATGATTTGAGAGGATCTGTTTAATTCTAGTACTTAGTATTAAGAAACCCACCGTTGCATACACTAATGCTATGTTTTCCAATATCAGCTTTATTACTAACAAAATTTACATTTTATTTTCCCTCTGCTTGACTTCTATTTTTCAATTGATTCCAAACTTAGATAGAAAAGAGAGATGCAATTCATTGTCCCTGAAACCTTAAACATGTACATGATGAGTCGATCAACAATTCATAAATAAAAGAAGAACAAAAAATAGCTATATAAGACAGTGAGGACTAAGAACGGATGAAAAATGAATTCCTTCTCTAGTCCTAACTGCTAGAAATGTTTCCCCTGAGGGTATTTTTGTACTTTGTCATTTCTCTATTTAGAAACCTCAGCTCCCTCTTCTATTAAATTTTGCAAGGGCTTCTGATAATCTTAACAATTAATAGCTAGTGCTTACAGTTCTCAAAACACTTGCAATTACATTAGCTCATTTGAGTCTCAACAGGAACAGGTGTCGTCTCCATTTTACACAAAAAGAAAAAATAACTCAGCAAGATTGAGTTATTTGTCCCTGCAAGTGGCAGAGCTGGGACTCGAACAGGGTATATCTGACTTAAATACATCACGCCAAGTCCCAGTGCCAATGTGGTAGACGCTGCCAATGGGTGCCAATGTGTGGTTCTCCTCTATGTCCAGATAAGTAAGACTGTGCTTCCTTGCCCTCTTAAAGTTGGCTATGTTTGTGTTACCAGATATAGCCAATAAAATGAGAACAAAAGGGATGTGTGTTGCTTTTGGACCAAGTGCTTAAGTCTTAGTGGTCAACTCACCAGTTTTCCCTCTTCCCTTGCTACAGCTTTTAACACATGGAAGCACTTTAAAAAAATTCAACTTTTATTTTAGATTTGGTGGTACCTGTGCAAGTTTGCATTGTGTGATGCTGAGGTTTGGAGTACAATTAATCCCATCACCCAAGTACTGAGCATAGTACCCAATAGTTAGTTTTTCAATGGTTCCCTCCCCTTTCCCTTCCCCCTCTAATTGTCCCCAGTGTCTGTTGTTTTCATCTTTTTGTCTATGAGTACCTAATATTTAGCTCCCACTTATAAGTGAGAACATGTGGTATTTGGTTTTCTGTTCCTGCGTTAATTCACTTAGGATAATGGCCTCCATCTGCATCCATGTTGCAAAATACATTATTTCATTCTCTTTTATGGCTGCGTAGTATTCCTTGGTGTATATGTAGCATGTTTTCTTTATCCAATCCACCATTGATGGGCACCAGGATTTATTCCATGTCTTTGCTATTGGGCATAGTGCTGCAATGCGTATACATTTGCATGTATCTTTTTGGTAGAATGTTTTGTTTTTCTTTGAGTATATACCCAGTATGGGATTGCAGGGTCAAATGGTAGTTCTGTTTTAAGTTCTTTGAGAAATCGCCAACCTGCTATCCACAGTGGCTGAACTAATTTACATTCCCACCAACAACGTATAGGCATTCCCTTTTCTCTGCAGCCTTGACAGAATCTGCTATTTTTTATTTTTAAAATAATAATCATTCTGAATGGTGTGAGATGTTATCTCATTGCGGTCTTGATTTGCATTTCTCTGATGATTAGTGATGATGAACTTTTTTGCATAGGTTTGTTGGCCACTTGTATATCTTGTTTGAGAAGTGTCTGGTCATGTGTTTTGCCCATTTTTTAATGGGGTAATTTGTTTTTTTGCTTGTTCAATTGTTTAAGTTCATTATACATTCTGGATATTAGACCTTTGTTGGATGCATATTTTGCAAATATTTTCTCCCATTCCATAGGTCACAGATTACTCTGTTAATAGTTTCTTTTGCTGTGCAGAAGCTCTTTTGTTTAATTGGGTCTCACCTGTCAATTTTTTGTTGTTGCAATTGCTTTTGAGGACTTAGTCATAAATTATTTCTCAAGGCCAAAGTCTAGATTGGTGTTTCGTGGGTTTTCTTTTAGGATTCTTACAGTTTACAGTCTAACACTTAAATCTTTAATTCATCCTGAGTTAATTTTTGTATAAGTGAAAGGGATCCAATTTCACTCTTCTGCATATGGCTAGACAGCTATCACAGAACCATTTATTAAATAGGGAGTCATTTCCCCACTGCCTATTTTTGTCAACTTTGTTGAAGATAAGATGGCTGTAAGTACACAGCTTTATTTCTGGGTTCTCTATTTTGTTCCAGTTGTTTATGTGTCTGTTTTTGTACCAGTAGCTTTATAGTTAGTTTGAAGTTGGATAATGTGATGCCTAGGGCTTTGTTCTCTTTGCTTAGGATTGCTTTGGTTATTTGGTCACTATTTTGGGTCCTTATGAATTTTAGAATAGTTTTTTCTAGTTTTGTGAGAAAATGACATTTGTAGTGTGATAGGAATAACATTAAATCTGTAGATTGCTTTGAGTGGTATGGCCACATTAATTCTTCCAATCTATGAGCATGGAATGTTTTTCCATTTGTTTGTGTCATCTGTGATTTCTTTTAGCATTGTTTTATAGTTTTTTCTTGTAGAGATCTTTCACTTCCTTGGTTAGAGGTATTCCTGGGTATTTTATTTTTTGTGTGGCTATTATAAATGGGATTGTGTTCTTGATTTGGCTCTCAGCGTAAATGTTATTGGTGTATAGAAATGTTCCTGAGTTTTGAACATTGGTTTTGTATCCTGAAACTTTACTGAAGTCCTTTATGAGTTCCAAAAGCCTTTTAGCAGAGTCTTTAGGGTTTTCTAGGCATATAATCATATCATTAGTGAAGAGAGATAGTTTCACTTCTTCTTTTGCTATTTGAATGCCTTTTATTTCTTTCTCTTGCCAGATTTCTCTGGCTAGAACTTCCAGAAGCACTTTTTGATATGAAGATGCTGTAAGACAAAAATAGCCTAGAATCATGAGTCAACATACGGAGGAAATTTTCTCTAGGAAGCTATCTGGTCCTGCAGAAGACTTTGCTTGAGCCAGAACTTAACTTTCACTGTGGTCAGCCAAGAAGATTTTGGGATTGTTGGTTGCCACAGCATAACCTAGCCTACCCTAAATAATACTGGCAGACTCCATACATGACTGGGTCTCTCTCCCTTAGAGCTCAGGCTAGTGTTCAGAGAGGCATATTTTGTCATGCACAACTTATCTTCCCTCACACAATTCAGCAATCTCCTTGGCTGTTTTTCCCTTGAATCTTTAGTAACCAAATTTTAAACTGTTAATCTGCAGGACATACAGTCCAGAGGAGGACAGCTGGGAAGGGGCAGATTCCTGACTGGCTGAGGGTAGAGAGAACCTCAGATGTGATGAATGTTATTGGCACAGTGGATATTTGGGCTGGGTCACAAATGAATTTGCTGTGATTGCTTGTAGTGGCCTAATGAGATGACATCAACATCATTGTTCCAAGACCAGTAAAAATAGAAAAGATCAAAATAGCAGAAGTCAGGGCCAAGTAAGAGAGGAGATGGGCTCAACTTGCTGGGAGCTGATTCAGCACCACAGACAGATCCCATGGGCCCTCTCCTCTAATGTTTTTTTTCTGGGCAGCTCAATTTTCTCAGGTTAGCTTTGCTGTTAGAGAGTCCTTTTCAGCCTCCAAATGCCCAGTTCCTCCTAAGCGAGGACTAGTAGTGCTGTAGGCCGGGGACCATATCTGTATTCATCCAATACAGTGCTTCCCAACTTATTTCTCTCTATATTATGTTATGCATGAGAATATTTACCTGGCCTCCTGGGATAAATACTTGAAGCCACTTCTGGCTGGAGGTGACAAACCTGTGAGCTCCAGCTATCCTAGGCTCTGCCTGATGGGCTTAGGTAATCAATATACCACACATTTATAACTTGCTCATGAGAAGCTGTGTTCCAGTCATCTCTTCCTTACCCTCTGCCCCAGTCAGACCGTAAATGACCAGATCATATAGAAGTCAGACCATAGGTCTTATTGGGTGACTTGGAGGCAAAGCTGGGTCTAGGTCTTCCATAACTTGATTTTGGCTCCCTTGGATGCTCTTCCCAAATCTTATGCTGGAAGCCAGGCCAAGGGTGCAGAAGATGAAGGCAAAGCAACTGGGGGTGCCCACTCCCTCCTACCATCTGTCATTTGACAAATATTGAGCACTTACCATGGGCTAAACCTATCCTAGCCCCTGGGAATGCAGTAGGGAACAAGACAAATATGGACCCTGCACTCATGGAACTCACAGTCCATCAAGGAAGCCCAACAATTAGCCAGCAAGTATTAAAAAGTCTGGTCAGTGTTATGTTGATGATGTACTGGGATGCTATGGGATTACCTAGCTGGAGAAACTAATTTATTTGGTATGGGAAATGGGGGATGGGTTCAGAGAAGACTTTTGGTAGCTTTAATCCCCTTTTGAACATTCTCTTACTGTATGTCTAACTAAGTTTAACTGTGGGGAGTTAGGTATCAGAAGAACCAGCCCCCAATATTTCAACATAGGTTCTTTTCTATTTTCCCTAAGTGTTGGCTGGTCTGAGAAATAAAGAGAGAGAGTACAAAAGAGAGAAATTTTACAGCTGGGTCTCTGGGGGTGACATCACATGTCAGCAGGTTCCATGATGCCCCCTAAACTGCAAAACCAGCAAGTTTTTATTAGGGATTTTAAAAGGGGAGGGGGGTATGAATAGGGAGTGGGTCACAGAGATCATATGCTTCAGAGGGCAATAAAAGGTCACAAGGGCAGAGAGGCAGAGTGAGATCACAAGACCAGGGTGAAACTAGAATTACTGATGAAGGTCCATGTATCTCTGGGCACACATTGTCATTGATAAACATCTTAACAGGAAACGGGGTTGGAGAGCATACAACCGGTCTGACTAGAATTTGCCAGGCTGGAATTTCCTAATCCTAGCAAGCCTGAGGGTGCTGCAGGAGACCAGAGCATATTTCATCCCTTATCTTCAACTGCATAAGACAGACACTCCCAGAGTGGCCATTTAGAGACCTCCCCCTGGGAGTGCATTCTTTTCCCAAGGCTATTCCTTGCTGATAAAAAGAATTCAGCGATATTTCTCCTATTCGCTTTCTGTAAGAAGAGAAATGTGACTCTGTTCTGCCCGGCCCCACAGGCAGTCAGACCTTATGGTTATCTCCCTTGTTCCCCGAAAATCACTGTTATCCTGTTCTTTTCAAGGTGCCCAGATTTCTTATTGTTCAAACACACATGCTTTACAAACAATTTGTGCAGATAACGCAATCATCACAGGATCCTGAGGCGACATACATCCTCAGCTTACAAAGATGATGGGACTAAGAGATTTAAGTAAAGACAGGAATAGGAAATTATAAGAGTATTGATTGGGGAAGTGATAAATGTCCATGAAATCTTCACAATTTATGTTCAGAGATTTCAGTAAAGACAGGCATAAGAAATTATAAAAATATTAATTTGGGGAACTAATAAATGTCCATGAAATCTTCACAATTTATGTTCTTCTGCCATGGCTTCAGCCGGTCCTTCTGTTCAAGGTCCCTGACTTCCTGCAACAGTTAGGGTCTGACGTGTAGTATAGATTTTTCATGATTTTGAAATTCCACAAACATTTTCCACATACCATTTGGACATTTGTCCTTGCATTACCTCCCAATGCCCTTGCAGCAACCCTGGAGTCAGGGTTTTATATTGTTTCATTTTCCTTGCAGGCTCAGAGAGATCCCACTGCTAGTATATGATGGACTTAAATGCTGAGTTCTTTCCCATGCAGGAGCCCCATATGCCCTTTGTCCTACCCCTGGGAGTATACCTCTCCAAACTCTCAAAGGTCCTGTTGCCCTCCAGTCTTTTACGTAGAAGCAGTATTAGAGCCAGCTTAAATTTATTCAAGATGTTTAGTTGCTTCAGAGAACTGTTCCCTGCACATTTTGGCTGCAGCAGGACTGCCCTCACTGTCCCCCTTTGTCAGAGGGTAGTAAATGTCACTCCACCACATCACAGAGGAAGTCTTATCCACCAGATAAAAGGATTCCATCCAACAGAACAGTGATCCTTCAATCCTTAGACCACTCCAGCTAGAGGCCCAGACAATGCCTGAGGCAGAGAAAAATCCCCGGAGACACAGTGCTGACACGTCCTGTTATGGTGAAGGTTTGGCTCTTCCTAATCATGAACACTGGAGAATGGTGAGATTTTGCTTCAGAGCTGGATGAGTCTAGCTGAGTTGCCAGAGTTCCCAATTGTCCTCTATATTTAACAACTGAGATACATGTTTACCTCTTTTTTTATATGTTAGTGCGCAGCAGTGGTTGTCAAGATAAAGTCAGGGCCCAGCAGGGCCCAGAACAGCATGCCTGGGTGAGCCTCAGCTAGTTTATTGCTTATACTGTAATGTGAAAAGGTCTGTGCTTTCCTTGTGGCCAGACCTTTCTCTTCTTACCTCAAACAAATCCTGTTTAAGGCCTCTGCTCCCATTGTTTCCTCTTTCAGTGATGGCTGTCTGCTCGCTGACTGCTTGGCCAATATCAGCACATTTTCCAAATCGCAGCTTTTCTTCTATCCTGAGGCCCTTTCTGACCCTACTCCTCTGCAAGGTAGAATTGGCCTGCTTTCTGCCTCTACTGTGCACTACACACACCTATTACAGCATTGATCATACACTACATCATATCTCTTGTGCCCCACAAGGTGCAGCATGGACACTGCAAATCCTTGTTGAGTGAGCTCATGCATTTGCTATTATGGGAAGAGCACTGTGCTGAGGGCCAGGAGGCCTGGGCATTGGTACCAGCTCTGTCATTGGTACCAGCTTGGCCAAGCCATTCCACCACTCTGAGCCTCATTTCTCTCTCCTCTAAACTGGAAGTTAGAGTTGATAAGGCCTAAGGGTAACTTCCTGCTCTAAATTTATATTTAGAAAGCAAAGTGGGAAGAACTTTGTGATGGTTTTCTGATATGTTAACTTGGCTAGTCTACAGCCCCAGTTATTCCATCAAACACTAATCTAGGTATTGCTGTGAACATATTGTATAGATGTGATTAAGATCCATAATCAGTTGATTATCCTAGATAACCTGGGTGAGCCTGATTCAGCTAAATATTCTTAAGAGCAGAGCTGAGGATTCCTTGAAGAAGAGGACATTCTGCCTGTGGATAGCAGCATCGGCCTGTGCCCAAGAGTTCATTCCTGACCTACAGATTTCCAGCTTGTCTTACCAGTCCCCATAATTGCATAACCCAATTGCTTTCATTAACATCTCTCTATATATCTCCCTTTGGTTGAGCTCTGACCCACATAAGCTTCATACTTTGATTCAAGTATATGCCTTATACTTGGTTCAAGCCCTGGCTCTACTACTTATTAGCTGTGTGATCTTAGGAAAGCTAGTGAGTGGCTCTGAGCCCCTGCTTTCTTATCTATAAAATTAGGGTAACAATACCTATTCCACAGTTAATAATAAAAACTATTCTTATTTTGTTTTAGAGCACTACTTTTTTGATATTTTCTGTGAACCAGCTTCTGTGCTTATTGCTTTACAACTCATTTACTCTTCTTTAAACCCTTGTAGTACTAAATGACATAATGCATATGAGTAATGATAAACACCATCATGCCTGGCACATTGAAGGTGCTTAGTAAGAGCTAATTCTGACTTTTCCTTTCCTTTGCCTCTATAATATTTCTGAATAAGCTATCTTAAGGCAAATTTATTGTAAATAATGGTTTAGACTGTGTATGTGACTTAAAGGAGCCAAGCTATGGGATTACAACACAATTAGTTTAGTTCACTCACTCTTGTCTCCAGGTTTGCATTAAACCAACATTAGATTGTCTTGGAATTCCATAGTACCTTCTGTTTGAGGATTTATGGAAATAGTCCATATGAAGCAGAGAAGAACAAGGGCTACTCCTTACTCGATGGAAAAAGTGAAGCAACCAGAAATGTTTTGCCATCAAGTTGGAAAACATCAATTCTCTAAATGTACCAGAGATTTATTTCATACTATGAAAGTCAGATTTGAAAATATTACAGATGAAATATTAACTGAATGTTTATAGCTGGGATAGGAACTGTGAGGGAATTTAGAAGTCTCTACCTGCCAGTAAGAGGTTTACTGACTTCTAGAAACTCAACAGTATTTAAACACAACAAAGACCACTTGTTCATTCTTGAGCAGATATAGGCCTACCCACTGCCTCATGTCTCTGTACTCAAACATTGAGAAAGAGAAGGAAACAGAGTTAGTGAATGGGGGATTGGTGAGTGCCACTAGAAGGTTATTGGGTACATAGCTTGGGAAGATAAAGCTTGGGAGTAAGGGTGGTTTGGCAAGTGGATGTGCAGGAAAAAATGTGTGAGCATAGGAGGAAAAGATTAGGCAAGTGACCCCAGGATGCAAGTTCTATACTTGAGTCCCAACTCCCATGTCAGCCTGGCTCTTTCTCCAGGCTCACGACTTCTCATAGTTGACCTCACCAATGCCTACCCTCCTGCAGCCTCTGGTGTACCCTATTTTCCTAAGCCAATCCTGACTGTGGTACAAATATAAGTTTTAACTGTTTATGACAAAAATTTAAAACATGTAGAGAAATAGAGAGAATGGTATGATGAACCCCTATGTAACCACCCCCCAGATTCAACAGTTCTCATCTCATGGCCAGTCTTGTTTCATTTATACTGCCTCCCACCCCATGGATTATTGTGAAGAAAATTTCAGACGTAATTTCATCCATAGGTA
The DNA here is from genome assembly GCF_000001405.40 of Homo sapiens. Classification (NCBI taxonomy): domain Eukaryota; kingdom Metazoa; phylum Chordata; class Mammalia; order Primates; family Hominidae; genus Homo; species Homo sapiens. The sequence goes on from NC_000011.10 coordinate 94,223,775, forward strand.
TTTCAGTATGTCTTTCTGAAAGAAATACAAAAAAGCTATAATGAATTTATTTTACCTAAATGTTAATCATAATTTTTAAATTTAAAATATTCTGTCCATGAATTTTTTCTTTATATAGATAGATGATAGATAAATGATAGATAGATAGAAGATAGATAGATAGCTAGCTAGCTAGCTAGCTAGATAGATAGATAGATAGATAGATAGATAGATAGATAGATAGAGCTTGTTTGAATCAGGTTCAATTAAGAGCCATTCATTGTTTTTCATTTCTATGAATAATATGTCTTTTTTATCTAGTAATACACCCTTCATCTGTTTTCCTCTCCTTGCAATTATTTGTTGAAGAAAACAAGTTGTTATTCCTATAGGATTTCCCACAGCCTTGATGTTGCTGACTCATCTTCATGATGCCATTTTTCATTTGTCATGGTGAACATGTTTCACTGTTCTCTATGTTTTTTGCAAATAGGTAGGTAAATCTAGAGACTTAATCAGATTCACATTTGTGTGTGTGTGTGTGTGTGTGTGTGTGCAGACCATTTCATAAGTGGTGGTGAGTATTTCCTTCAGGAAGCACATAAGTTCCGACCGTTTCTCTTTCTGTGATGCCAGCAGCTGTTGCTGATCATGACTTAGATCTGTTAATTCCTTAGGGGTTACAAATGTTGATGCTCTTATTCTATCGTTCCTTCTTTGTTTTTATATAGAGAAGCTTCATTTCATTAACTATTTGTTACCCAGAAGAAAAAAGGAAATATGCTTATTTCCTTTTATTTGCCAGTTTTCAAATAATATGTAGGGTTTAGAGCACCCTCCAAAGATGATCAATGACCAATTCTGTATTATTATAAATCATGAATTTAAACATACTTAACATGTTTAAATTCATTTTAGTTTTTATCCTTATTGTTGTTCAAGCTGTTTCATCTTTGGCCAGTGGGAGGCTCCTCAACTTAGTTCCTGAGTTTTTTTGAAAAGGTCCTACTGGTTTTTGATAGATTCCTTGCTTTCTGGCATAACAAGATGTTTCAGACTCCCTGTATTAATTTTATAGGACTGCCATATCAAAGTACCACAAATGGAGTGGCTTAAATTTATTCTGTCACAGTTCTGGAGGCTAGAAGTCCAAAATCAAGGTACCAGGCAAGCCATGCTTCCTCTGAGGGCTCTAGGGAAGAATCCTGCTATGCCTCTTCCTAACTTCTGGTGGTCACTGGCAATCCCAGGCATTCCTTGGCTTGCAGCTGCATCATCCCAGTCTCCGCCTCTATCGTCATACAGCCTTCTTTCCTGTATTTCTGTCTGTTTCTGTTTTTCTTCTTGTAAGGACACCAGCCATTGATTTAGAGCCCACTCTAATCATGTATGACCTCTTCTTAGTTTAATTACATTTTGCAAAGACCCTATTTCTTAGTAAGGTCACATTCTGAGAATCCAAGTGGATGTGAATTTTGAAGGAAAGGCTACCAATTTTGGTGAGGAGAAGCACACATTGTAAAGTTCCCACCGTTGAGGTTTGTAGTGAGCAAATGACGACAGAAAAAGAATCAGCAAGAAGAATCAGACTATCTTCAAAAGGAAACCAAACCAGTAGTTCAAGAGGAGAAACCTTGGTCTGGCATTGAGGTCTAACAAGCGTTTCTCTGGATGGGTGACTACACACACAAAAAATCACACATTTAGGAGCAGTCCATGTTTTCAGCAGTAGGTACAGCACCTTTACAGCTCAGACCTCTCTCTTCCTTATTGTCATAAGGAGGTTTCTTTCTCCATAAGAGTGGAGGTTATTCCCCTCTTTGCGCAGATGAACAAGCACAGGAGAAAGAAAAGAATAAACTGGCTATAAGTGTGGTGTAGCTTGTAAGAAGGAGGGGAAAAAGGAGGAGAAAGATAAGGAAGACAAACATTGAGAAAAGAAGCTTTCTTGGATAGGGAAATTGAAGAATGAGCCTTGAAAGGCAGAGTTGAAGGAGCATAAAAGTTGGCATCAGAAAGGCCTCTGCTACTCACAAAACCTGTGACTTTGAATATGTTTCATAATTTCTTTGAGATTCAGTTTTTTAACTGAAAATCAGGAATAATGGTATCCATAATAATATGCTTGCATTTATTCATGTTTCTATTGAGCATCTTCTACTTGCCAGATACTATTGTAGGTGCCAGGGATATGGCAGTGGAAAAACTAGACAGAAATATGTGCCTCATGGCTTCCATTCTAATTCAGGTAGTTGTGAGGTAAAAGTAAAACTGCAGATGTGAACACTGGACAGATAGCAAGTATTCTTAAAGAGTTAGATTCTCTTCATCTGTCCTAATGCTGAGCCACAGATTCAGAGATTGGCAGAGCGCTTAACTTAACAGCAATTTATGTGAGTGAGGACTCTCCTCAAAGAAAGAAACCACCACTCAAAGATCCCATTATGTTCTCAAAGAGTAGGGCAAAAAAAGGCCTACTTGGGATAAATGTCAGTGTTTGTTCTCTGGGAGTAGTTGGGGAGATTTGTTTTAATCTTATGAATTTTTGTTTGTTCTTGTTTTACTGTTCTAGTATGATTGCTAAGAAGGAGGGCCTTAGGAGGTTCCCTAGTAAGATACTATTACATTTTTCTCTCTCAAAAATGTATTGGCTCCCTATAAGGTGACTGGATATCGATTATTATCTGGCCTCAAGTTCCCCCCTACAAAAGCTGCTAAATCTCCTAGGCCCCTGCCTATGAAGCAGGCGTTTGGAATTGGAGGACAGATTTTGTATTAAGCCCCTACCAGGCAGATACTTGAGTGATCACTGGGGCTGAGGTGGGCATCTTATCTGCACAGCCTTGATGACTGGAAGGATCTTCCAAGAATCCCTTAGGGAAGCATTTATGCTCACTTGGACTGGTGGCACCTTTGCACTGTTTTTCGTGTTGGTTTCCCAAATATTGAGCCCTTTGGAAGGATGCTGGGATAAAACTATAGATCTTAACTTTTTGCTTCTAGTTGGAAATTCACATTTCAGGTACTGCACAGGGCGAAGGAATGTTCTAATGGAATTTTTTATTTATTTATTTATTTTTATTTTTTGCTTCCCTGGAAGATTGGGTGATTACAGGAAGGTGTATTCACATGTGGAAAAGGTGATGAACTTGTAGCATCAGTACCCTACAAACTTGAAACCCATCATAAAAAGCTTTGATGATGTAGCAGAAGACACTTTGGTTGACACCAGGAATAGCCTTTGACTCTTAGATCAGATAAAATTCCTAACATAGCACAGTTACAGTGGACAACTGCTTTTTTGTCTCTCTTTGAGAATGTTATTATATTCTGTTTGATTGCAGCAAAAAACTTACATTTAAAATCAAGAAAGCAGAGTCAGAGACCCAGTTATAACCTCTGGAAACCCAAGAGTTTACTGAAGATACTATTTCTCTGGGAATTTTAAGCCATCTTATGGGAGAAAAAGTTTCTAGAATGGTAGCCCAGTCTACTGTTGGGAAAACCAATAACTGGAAAAACACAATTATTGGGATGCACACTGCTGATATATAGGCATATGCTATGCTTTCAATCTTTTTCCCCACAGTCTTATCTCTCTGCTTCTGCCTTGAGGAAAGATCAAAGGGGTTGGCAGGACAACTAAGGCCTTTCCCTTGAGAACATTTAAGCAGGCAACTCAAAGACTCTCTTTCCTACCAGAGCAAGAAAGAAAACCACAGGAAAGTGGAAAACAGGCTGTAGACAGACCTCTGAATGTGTTTCTAAATATTTCTAAAAATTTATTATTCTAATGAAAAGGCTCAGAGTAAGTTAGAAGAACATGTTCTGCTTGGCTTTGAAGAATAAGCAGTGATTACACTTAATTAATGAAAATTGTACCAGATGATATCATGTCATTTATATTTAATTCTTGCTCTAAATTTTGTATCACTTAAAAATATAGTGATTGGCCATGGTGGATACTTAACTCGTTTACTCAGCACATATTTATTATGTATCTACTATGCTAGCTACTGAGATAACAGTGGTAAACATGCATGGTTCCTGCTCTCATGAGGCTTATAGTCTAGGGATAAAGAAAGTCTTAATAAAATCATCTCACTAAAAATATGTAAATTTTCAGCTGAGACATGCTGTGAAGGTAGTAAGCATATGGTGTTTGAGAACCTATAACAGTCAGATTGTACCTATCTGGAAGTCCCTGAGGAAGTGATGTTTTTGTAGAGAGCTAATAAATGAGTGGACGATAACAGGGCTTAGAGGAGGGAGAATGGTTCCAGCAGAGGAAATAGTGTCTGCAAAGTCCTGGGCAGGAGGTAGGGGACCCACCTAGAGAAACTGAGACTACTGTGATGAAAACAGAGCAAAGAGGAGCTTGAATATTAGAGGATAGTAAGTTGGAGAGGAACAGAGAAGATGATGCAAAGCACTCAATCTCTCCATGCCCCAATATCTTCATCTATATAATGGGAATAATAGTAATATCTATATTTAGGGATACTATGAAAATGAAATATTAATATGCATAAAGCACATAGTACCTGTGTACTTTGTGCTAGCTGTTATCATCCTTTCCCATATCCCACTGACAGCATTCTAGCCATGTTATAATCGGAGATCTTGCTTTATTCTAAACAATATTATCAGTTGCTTGAGGTCAGGGATTTTGTCCTATTCATCTTTGGATTGCTTGGGTCTTAAACATAACAATGGCTAAATAAACATTTTCCAAATTATTTTTTTCTGGAACTTACCATATGCAAGACCTATCTAGGCACAGTGAAGTCTCAAGTTCTTTGAGACTTTTGTGGTTTGAGGATACTAATATTTAAAACAATTTCTTATCAAAATATACACACAGCAAAAGAAACATAAGTCAAAATTCCGACTTAATATATTTTCACAAACAAATGCATTCTTACAGCCAACTGTCAGATGAAGAAACATTATCTGCACTCAGGAAAACTCTTTTATCCTATTTTGGCATTATTCACCTCCAAGGGAAGTCACTATTCTGACTCCAACTTGACTGTTTTGTAGTTTATATAGATAGAATAAAACAATATAGACACTTTCCTGTCTAACTTCTTTCACTCAACATTATAGTTGTGAGGTCCATCCACATTGTTGTGTGTAGTCATAGTTCATTTTTATTGCTGTAGCCTATACTATAATTTATTCGTTCTACTCTTGATGGGCTTTTGGGCAGTGACTAGTCTGTGACTATTATAAATAGTATTGCTTTCAACATTCCAGAACATGTCATTTGGTGAGTAGATATACGCATTTTTATTGGCTACACACCTAGGAGTGAAATGCTGGGTCATAGGGTATACATATGTTCAGCTTTAGGAGATATGGCTGAGCTGTTTTCCAAAGAGATTGTACCAATTTATACAGCCCACCAGCAGTCGATGAAAGTTGCAGTTCCTTCACATACTCATCAACACTTGGCATTTTCTTTCTTTTTCTATATTAATTATGCTTAAAATGTATATTTGATCAGCTTCTCACCAGGTTGGAATGTAGAAACTGTGGTACATCTCCATGGCAGGGCAAGCCAGGGCTGTGTCATTAATTCAGATGATTCCCTGCCAGAAATCTTTTATTCAATAATCAGTGATTAAGAGCCTACTCTGTTCTAGCTGCTGGAGATTCCAGGAGAATAAAGTATGGTCCCAGGTCACGAGCCATCATGGCTCAAGTCAAGAGAAGAGCGATGGAGTTGGATCCTTATATATACAAACAAGGTGACACAACAATACAGAGAATGGGATTTTCTGACTACCTGGGGGCCACAGAGAAGGCTCACAAAGGAGGGGACATTTGCGATCTGTAGTTCCAAATGTAGTTCATCTGTAGTTCCCATAATCCTCACATGTCATGGGAGGGACCCAGTGGGAGGTAATTGAATCATGGGGGTGGTTACCTCCATGCTGTTACTCTGATAGTGAGTGAGTTCGCAAGAGATCTGATGGTTTTATCAGGGACTTTCCCCCCAATTCCCTCTGCACCTCTTGCTGCTGCCATGTGAAGAAGGATGTGTTTGCTTCCCCTTCCACCATGATTGTAAGTTTCCTGAGACCTCCCCAGTTATGCTGAACTGTCAGTCAAACCTCTTTCCTTTATAAATTACCTAGTCTTGGATATGTCTTTATTGGCAGTGTGAGAACAGACTAATATACTGGCTAATTTATAAACCACAGAAATTTATTTCTTACAGTTCTGGAGATTGGGAAGTCCAACATCAAGGCACTGGCAGATTTAGGGACTGGTGAGGAACTGTTAACTGGTTCATAGATGGTGCCTTATTTCTGTGTCTTCACATGGTGGAAGGGGTTAGCTAGTTTTCTGGGGTCTCTTTAATAAGGACACTAATCCCATTGATAAAAGCTCTACTCTCATGATCTAATTACCTCCCAAGGGCTTCACCTCCAATATCATGCCATTGGGATTTAGATTTCAATATTTGAATTTTGGGGGGACTCAAGTGTTCAGATTATTGCACTCATTTTTTGATACACTCCAGTATTTCAATGTCTCTGTTCGTGTAGCATCTTGAGTGGAACAAAATACTCAAGGGTTGTCTTTACCAGCTTGAAATAAATTGGGACATCAACATTAAAATTCTGAATACTTAATTTATACTAATGCATTTGTATTTCAGTTAGCTTTATGTTTTGGCTTGCTGCTTTGTCGTATCCAGCCCATTTCCCTTTCCTCCTGGGCACACAACTAGACCACATTTTCCATGTCTCTTGCAATCAGCTGTGGCCATATGACTGAGCTCTGGCCAATGAAACATGGCCAGAAGTAGTAGGTATCATTTCTGGACAGAAGCAGGTGGGTGTACCTTTTTCTTTGTCTCTCTCCTCATTTACCAGTTGAATGGGACCACCATAAGGAAGGCCGAGCCACAGTTGGAAAGAGACTGGGCACCTGAATGTTGATGTTGAAGGCTGCTGGGCCATGCCACCACACCGGACTGTGTCCTAGGGAGACGTACCCATATTGTGCTAAGTCACAGAGACTGCAAGGTTTAGCATACAGCAGCTAGAGTCACTTTAACTAAAACAGGGTAACAGTGGTCTCCCTTGTCTTGATCTTCTCTTCCACTACTTCCCCCAAAGTACTAACAAAAGATCCGCAATTACATCTGCAACTTCTCCCAGCACAGTGAGAATTATTCTATCAGGGGAGCCTCAAGGTCACTTAGATGAATTCTGAACTCTCTTATGGTCTTTTTTGCTCTTGGATCTCTATAGGGTCTAGCTAGTATGACCCTGCTTTTTCCAGTCTGACAACTATTGATTCTTAAGAGAAGAGACAAACTGAGGCAGGATTGGGGCAGTTCTGCATTCTCTCTCTATTGGCAACACTGCAACATCTGAGAGTTGTTATTTCCTTTGACGACAAAACAGAAAGCATGTGTCCTTCCTCCTGCTGAGTGGCAAAACAAGATGCCCATCCTACACACTGTCCAGAACAGCAGGTCCTCACAGTCTTCTCAGAAAATCCAGGCCGAATGAAGAGAAAAAGGAAGGCCAATGCCAGCCAGTTGCATCTTTCATAGAATGAGTTAAGCATTGGCCTAGCATAAGGTACACAGGCAGGCTGACATGGCTGATGGGCTCCTGATGCCACATCATTAGTACTCTGAATGACTCAGATACTGTTATTTTCTGGTAGGTCATGTTGACTTGAGATCTAGAAGAAACACTGGTCCAGAAGTCATAATGCCTGGGTTTCAATGGATCCAATAATAGCTACCACTTATGGGGTCCTTGCTGTGTTTTAGATCTTCCTGGGCACTTTTTATACATCATGTCAAGTATCTCTTTTGGAATAAGATATGAATTTCTGTGCCTATAAATTTTATATATATTTCTATTTTACAGGCAATTTTACAGATATCTCCATTTTACAGATAAAGACATTGAGGCTCTGACTGCTATATGCTCAATAGTATGCTAGTCCCTCCCGGAAATAGATTAAGACTCTGACTTGGATGAGTTTAAAATCTCCTTAAGGAAGTGAGACTTTCCTGAAGCAATCGGGGAATCACACCCAATAGCATACAAAGTTAGATGGAGATGGAGTGTCCCGGCTGCAGAGAGTGGGAGTGAGAGTCACACCCAGCCTGAGAGGCCTGGATTGCCAGGTACCAGGGGTCGGGATGGACAGACACCAGGAGCTAAGTGGGAGTACAGCCAGCCTTGAGGTGTATATGGGGAGGCATAGTTGAAACCAGTCTGGGAGACGGGAGACAGGATATTTGGAGTAAGCTCAGGATGGCCTGTTTTTATTCTGTTTGGCAGCTGGACCAGGACTGTCTTAGAGCAGTAATTCTTAACCTTGGCAAGACATAAAAGATGCTAAGGAAATTTTTTTTTAAATTATACTTTAAGTTTTACGGTACATGGGCACAACGTGCAGGTTTGTTACATATGTATACATGTGCCATGTTGGCGTACTGCACCCATTAACTCATCATTTAACTTTAGGTATATCTCCTAATGCTATCCCTCCCCCAACCCCCCACACAACAACAGGCCCCAGTGTGTGATGTTCCCCTTTCTGTGTCCACGTGTTCTCATTGTTCAATTCCCACCTATGAGTGAGAACATGCAGTGTTTGCTTTTTTGTCCTTGCAATAGTTTGCTCAGAATGATGGTTTCCAGCTTCATCCATGTCCCTACAAAGGATATGAACTCATCATTTTTTATGGCTGCATAGTACTCCATGGTGTATATGTGCCATATTTTCTTTTTTTTTTTTATTATACTTTAAGTTTTAGGGTACATGTGCACGTTGTGCAGGTTAGTTACATATGTATACATGTGCCATGCTGGTGCACTGCACCCACTAACTCGTCATCTGGCATTACGTATATCTCCCAATGCTATCCCTCCCCCCTGCCCCCACCCCACAACAGTCCCCAGAGTGTGATATTCCCCTTCCTGTGTCCATGTGATCTCATTGTTCAATTCCCACCTATGAGTGAGAATATGCGGTGTTTGGATTTTTGTTCTTGCGATAGTTTACTGAGAATGATGATTTCCAGTTTCATCCATGTCCCTACAAAGGACATGAACTCATCATTTTGTATGGCTGCATAGTATTCCATGGTGTATATGTGCCACATTTTCTTAATCCAGTCTATCGTTGTTGGACATTTGGGTTGGTTCCAAGTCTTTGCTATTGTGAATAATGCCGCAATAAACATACGTGTGCATGTGTCTTTATAGCAACATGATTTATAGTCCTTTGGGTATATACCCAGTAATGGGATGGCTGGGTCAAATGGTATTTCTAGTTCTAGATCCCTGAGGAATCGCCACACTGACTTCCACAATGGTTGAACTAGTTTACAGTCCCACCAACAGTGTAAAAGTGTTCCTATTTCTCCACATCCTCTCCAGCACCTGTTGTTTCCTGACTTTTTAATGATTGCCATTCTAACTGGTGTGAGATGGTATCTCATTGTGGTTTTGATTTGCATTTCTCTGATGGCCAGTGATGATGAGCATTTTTTCATGTGTTTTTTGGCTGCATAAATGTCTTCTTTTGAGAAGTGTCTGTTCATGTCCTTCGCCCACTTTTTGATGGGGTTGTTTGTTTTTTTCTTGTAAATTTGTTTGAGTTCATTGTAGATTCTGGATATTAGCCCTTTGTCAGATGAGTAGGTGGTGAAAATTTTCTCTGATTCCGTAGGTTGCCTATTCACTCTGATGGTAGTTTCTTTTGCTGTGCAGAAGCTCTTTAGTTTAATTAGATCCCATTTGTCAATTTTGTCTTTTATTGCCATTGCTTTTGGTGTTTTGGACATGAAGTCCTTGCCCATGCCTATGTCCTGAATGGTAATGCCTAGGTTTTCTTCTAGGGTTTTTATGGTTTTAGGTCTAACGTTTAAGTCTTTAATCCAACTTGAATTGATTTTTGTGTAAGGTGTAAGGAAGGGATCCAGTTTCAGCTTTCTACATATGGCTAGCCAGTTTTCCCAGCACCATTTATTAAATAGGGAATCCTTTCCCCATTGCTTGTTTTTCTCAGGTTTGTCAAAGATCAGATAGTTGTAGATATGCGGCGTTATTTCTGAGGGCTCTGTTCTGTTCCATTGATCTATATCTCTGTTTTGGTACCAGTACCATGCTGTTTTGGTTACTGTAGCCTTGTAGTATAGTTTGAAGTCAGGTAGTGTGATGCCTCCAGCTTTGTTCTTTTGGCTTGGGATTGCCTTGGCGATGCAGGCTCTTTTTTGGTTCCATATGAACTTTAAAGTAGTTTTTTCCAATTCTGTGAAGAAAGTCACTGGTAGCTTGATGGGGATGGCATTGAATCTGTAAATTACCTTGGGCAGTATGGCCATTTTCACGATATTGATTCTTCCTACCCATGAGCATGGAATGTTCTTCCATTTGTTTGTATCCTCTTTTATTTCCTTGAGCAGTGGTTTGTAGTTCTCCTTGAAGAGGTCCTTCACATCCCTTGTAAGTTGGATTCCTAGGTATTTTATTCTCTTTGAAGCAATTGTGAATGGGAGTTCACTCATGATTTGGCTCTCTGTCTGTTGTTGGTCTATAAGAATGCTTGTGATTTTTGTACATTGATTTTGTATCCTGAGAGTTTGCTGAAGTTGCTTATCAGCTTAAGGAGATTTTGGGCTGAGACAATGGGGTTTTCTAGATATACAATCATGTCATCTGCAAACAGGGACAATTTGACTTCCTCTTTTCCTAATTGAATACCCTTTATTTCCTTCTCCTGCCTGATTGCCCTGGCCAGAACTACCAACACTATGTTGAATAGGAGTGGTGAGAGAGGGCATCCCTGTCTTGTGCCAGTTTTCAAAGGGAGTGCTTCCGGTTTTTGCCCATTTAGTATGATATTGGCTGTGGGTTTGTCATAGATAGCTCTTATTATTTTGAAATACGTCCCATTAATACCTAATTTATTGAGAGTTTTTAGCATGAAGGGTTCTTGAATTTTGTCAAAGGCCTTTTCTGCATCTATTGAGATAATCCTGTGGTTTTTGTCTTTGGCTCTGTTTATATGCTGGATTACATTTATTGATTTGCGTATATTGAACCAGCCTTGCATCCCAGGGATGAAGCCCACTTGATCATGGTGGATAAGCTTTTTGATGTGCTGCTGGATTCGGTTTGCCAGTATTTTATTGAGGATTTTTGCATCAATGTTCATCAAGGATATTGGTCTAAAATTCTCTTTTTTTGTTGTGTCCCTGCCCGGCTTTGGTATCAGAATGATGCTGGTCTCATAAAATGAGTTAGGGAGGATTCCCTCTTTTTCTATTGATTGGAATAGTTTCAGAAGGAATGGTACCAGTTCCTCCTTGTACCTCTGGTAGAATTCGGCTGTGAATCCATCTGGTCCTGGACTCTTTTTGGTTGGTAAACTATTGATTATTGCCACAATTTCAGCTCCTGTTATTGGTCTATTCAGAGATTCAACTTCTTCCTGGCTTAGTCTTGGGAGAGTGTATGTGTCGAGGAATGTAGCCATTTCTTCTAGATTTTCTAGTTTATTTGCGTAGAGGTGTTTGTAGTATTCTCTGATGGTAGTTTGTATTTCTGTGGGATCGGTGGTGATAGCCCCTTTATCATTTTTTATTGTGTCTATTTGATTCTTCTCTCTTTTTTTCTTTATTAGTCTTGCTAGTGGTCTATCAATTTTGTTGATCCTTTCGAAAAACCAGCTCCTGGATTCATTAATTTTTTGAAGGGTCTTTTGTGTCTCTATTTCCTTCAGTTCTGCTGTGATTTTAGTTATTTCTTGCCTTCTGCTAGCTTTTGAATGTGTTTGCTCTTGCTTTTCTAGTTCTTTTAATTGTGATGTTAGGGTGTCAATTTTGGATCTTTCCTGCTTTCTCTTGTGGGCATTTAGTGCTATAAATTTCCCTCTACACACTGCTTTGAATGTGTCCCAGAGATTCTGGTATGTTGTGTCTTTGTTCTCGTTGGTTTCAAAGAACATCTTTATTTCTGCCTTCATTTCGTTATGTATCCAGTAGTCGTTCAGGAGCAGGTTGTTCAGTTTCCATGTAGTTGAGCGGTTTTGAGTGAGATTCTTAATTCTGAGTTCTAGTTTGATTGCACTGTGGTCTGAGAGATAGTTTGTTATAATCTCTGTTCTTTTACATTTGCTGAGGAGAGCTTCCAAGTATGTGGTCAATTTTGGAATAGGTGTGGTGTGGTGCTGAAAAAAATGTATATTCTGTTGATTTGGGGTGGAGAGTTCTGTAGATGTCTATTAGGTCCGCTTGGTGCAAAGCTGAGTTCAATTCCTGGGTATCCTTGTTGACTTTCTGTCTCATTGATCTGTCTAATGTTGACAGTGGGGTGTTAAAGTCTCCCATTATTATTGTGTGGGAGTCTAAGTCTCTTTATAGGTCACTCAGGACTTGCTTTATGAATCTGGGTGCTCCTGTATTGGGTGCATATATATTTAGGATAGTTAGCTCTTCTTGTTGAATTGATCCATTTACCATTATGTAATGGCCTTCTTTGTCTCTTTTGATCTTTGTTGGTTTAAAGTCTGTTTTATCAGAGACTAGGATTGTAACTCCTGCCTTTTTTTGTTTTCCATTTGCTTGGTAGATCTTCCTCCATCCCTTTATTTTGAGCCTGTGTGTGTGTCTGCACGTGAGATGGGTCTCCTGAATACAGCACACTGATGGGTCTTGACTCTTTATCCAATTTGCCAGTCTGTGTCTTTTAATTGGAGCATTTAGTCCATTTACATTTAAAGTTAATATGGTTATGTGTGAATTTGATCCTGTCATTATGATGTTAGTCAGTTATTTTGCTCATTAGTTGATGTAGTTTCTTCCTAGTCTCGATGGTCTTTACATTTTGGCATGATTTTGCAGCGGCTGGTACTGATTGTTCCTTTCCATGTTCAGCGCTTCCTTCAGGAGCTCTTTTAGGGCAGGCCTGGTGGTGACAAAATCTCTCAGCATTTGCTTGTCTGTAAAGGATTTTATTTCTCCTTCACTTATGAAGCTTAGTTTGGCTGGATATGAAATTCTGGGTTGAAAATTCTTTTCTTTAAGAATGTTGAATATTGGCCCCCACTCTCTTCTGGCTTGTAGGGTTTCTGCTGAGAGATCTGCTGTTAGTCTGATGGGCTTCCCTTTGAGGGTAACCCGACCTTTCTCTCTGGCTGCCCTTAACATTTTTTCCTTCATTTCAACTTTGGTGAATCTGACAATTATGTGTCTTGGAGTTGCTCTTCTCGAGGAGTATCTTTGTGGCGTTCTCTGTATTTCCTGAATCTGAACATTGGCCTGCCTTGCTAGATTGGGGAAGTTCTCCTGGATAATATCCTGCAGAGTGTTTTCCAACTTGGTTCCATTCTCCCCATCACTTTCAGGTACACCAATCAGACGTAGATTTGGTCTTTTCACATAGTCCCATATTTCTTGGAGGCTTTGCTCGTTTCTTTTTATTCTTTTTTCTCTAAACTTCCCTTCTCGCTTCATTTCATTCATTTCATCTTCCATTGCTGATACCCTTTCTTCCAGTTGATCGCATCGGCTCCTGAGGCTTCTGCATTCTTCACGTAGTTCTCGAGCCTTGGTTTTCAGCTCCATCAGCTCCTTTAAGCACTTCTCTGTATTGGTTATTCTAGTTATACATTCTTCTAAATTTTTTTCAAAGTTTTCAACTTCTTTGCCTTTGGTTTGAATGTCCTCCCGTAGCTCAGAGTAATTTGATCGTCTGAAGCCTTCTTCTCTCAGCTCGTCAAAGTCATTCTCCATCCAGCTCTGTTCCGTTGCTGGTGAGGAACGGCGTTCCTTTGGAGGAGGAGAAGCGCTCTGTGTTTTAGAGTTTCCCGTTTTTCTGTTCTGCTTTTTCCCCATCTTTGTGGTTTTATCTACCTTTGGTCTTTGATGATGGTGATGTACAGATGGGTTTTTGGTGTGGATGTCCTTTCTGTTTGTTAGTTTTCCTTCTAACAGAGAGGATCCTCAGCTGCAGGTCTGTTGGAATACCCTGCCATGTGAGGTGTCAGTGTGCCCCTGCTGGCGGGTGCCTGCCAGTTAGGCTGCTCGGGGGTCAGGGACCCACTTGAGGAGGCAGTCTGCCCGTTTTCAGATCTCCAGCTGCGTGCTGGGAGAACCACTGCTCTCTTCAAAGCTGTCAGACAGGGACATTTAAGTATGCAGAGGTTACTGCTGTCTTTTTGTTTGTCTGTGCCCTGTCCCCAGAGGTGGAGCCTACAGAGGCAGGCAGGCCTCCTTGAGCTGTGGTGGGCTCCACCCAGTTCGAGCATCGGGGCTGCTTTGTTTACCTAAGCAAGCCTGGGCAATGGCGGGCGCCCCTCCCCCAGCCTCGCTGCCGCCTTGCAGTTTGATCTCAGACTGCTGTGCTAGCAATCAGCGAGACTCCGTGGGCATAGGACCCTCTGAGCCAGGTGCGGGATATAATCTCGTGGTGCACCGTTTTTTAAGCCAGTCTGAAAAGCGCAATATTCGGGTGGGAGTGACCCGATTTTCCAGGTGAGTCCGTCACCCCTTTCTTTGACTCGGAAAGGGAACTCCCTGACCCCTTGCACTTCCCAAGTGAGGCAATGCCTTGCCCTGCTTCGGCTCGTGCAAACCCACTGACCTGCGCCCACTGTCTGGCACTCCCTAGTGAGATGAACCCGGTACCTCAGATGGAAATGCAGAAATCACCCATCTTCTGCGTCGCTCACGCTGGGAGCTATAGACCGGAGCTGTTCCTATTCGGCCATCTTGGCTCCTCCTTCGCCACATTTTCTTAATCCAGTCTATCGTTGTTGGACATTTGGGTTGGTTCCAAGTCTTTGCTATTGTGAATAGTGCCACAATAAACATACGTGCGCATGGGTCTTTATAGCAGCATGATTTATAATCCTTTGGGTATATACCCAATAATGGGATTGCTGGGTCAAATGGTATTTCTAGTTCTAGATCCCTGAGGAATCGCCACACTGACTTCCACAATGGTTGAACTAGTTTACAGTCCCACCACCAGTGTAAAAGTGTTCCTGTTTCTCCACATCCTCTCTAGCACCTGTTGTTTCCTGATTTTTAATGATTGGCATTCTCACTGGTGTAAGATGGTATCTCATTGTGATTTTGATTTGCATTTCTCTGATGGCCAGTGATGATGAGCATTTTTTCATGTGTCTGTTGGCTGCATAAATGTCTTCTTTTGAGAAGTGTCTGTTCATATCCTTTGCCCACTTGTTGATGGGGTTGTTTGTCTTTTTCTTGTAAATTTGTTTGAGTTCATTGTAGATTCTGGATATTAGCCCTTTGTCAGATGAGTAGATTGCAAAAATTTTCTCCCATTCTATAGGTTGGCTGTTCACTCTGATGGTAGTTTCTTTTGCTGTGCAGAAGCTCTTTAGTTTAATTAGATCCCATTTGTCAATTTTGTCTTTTATTGCCATTGCTTTTGGTGTT
Source organism: Homo sapiens (assembly GCF_000001405.40). Classification (NCBI taxonomy): domain Eukaryota; kingdom Metazoa; phylum Chordata; class Mammalia; order Primates; family Hominidae; genus Homo; species Homo sapiens. The sequence continues at coordinate 94,239,211 of NC_000011.10, forward strand.
TTGGACATGAAGTCCTTGCCCATGCCTATGTCCTGAATGGTAATGCCTAGGTTTTCTTCTAGGGTTTTTATGGTTTTAGGTCTAACGTTTAAGTCTTTAATCCAACTTGAATTGATTTTTGTGTAAGGTGTAAGGAAGGGATCCAGTTTCAGCTTTCTACATATGGCTAGCCAGTTTTCCCAGCACCATTTATTAAATAGGGAATCCTTTCCCCATTGCTTGTTTTTCTCAGGTTTGTCAAAGATCAGATAGTTGTAGATATGCGGCGTTATTTCTGAGGGCTCTGTTCTGTTCCATTGATCTATATCTCTGTTTTGGTACCAGTACCATGCTGTTTTGGTTACTGTAGCCTTGTAGTATAGTTTGAAGTCAGGTAGTGTGATGCCTCCAGCTTTGTTCTTTTGGCTTGGGATTGCCTTGGCGATGCAGGCTCTTTTTTGGTTCCATATGAACTTTAAAGTAGTTTTTTCCAATTCTGTGAAGAAAGTCATTGGTAGCTTGATGGGGATGGCATTGAATCTGTAAATTACCTTGGGCAGTATGGCCATTTTCACGATATTGATTCTTCCTACCCATGAGCATGGAATGTTCTTCCATTTGTTTGTATCCTCTTTTATTTCCTTGAGCAGTGGTTTGTAGTTCTCCTTGAAGAGGTCCTTCACATCCCTTGTAAGTTGGATTCCTAGGTATTTTATTCTCTTTGAAGCAATTGTGAATGGGAGTTCACTCATGATTTGGCTCTCTGTCTGTTGTTGGTCTATAAGAATGCTTGTGATTTTTGCACATTGATTTTGTATCGTGAGACTTTGCTGAAGTTGCTTATCAGCTTAAGGAGATTTTGGGCTGAGACAGTGGGGTTTTCTAGATATACAATCATGTCATCTGCAAACAGGGATAATTTGACTTCCTCTTTTCCTAATTGAATACCCTTTATTTCCTTCTCCTGCCTGATTGCCCTGGCCAGAACTTCCAACACTATGTTGAATAGGAGTGGTGAGAGAGGGCATCCCTGTCTTGTGCCAGTTTTCAAAGGGAGTGCTTCCGGTTTTTGCCCATTCAGTATGATATTGGCTGTGGGTTTGTCATAGATAGCTCTTATTATTTTGAAATACGTCCCATGAATACCTAATATATTGAGAGTTTTTAGCATGAAGTGTTCTTGAATTTTGTCAAAGGCCTTTTCTGCATCTATTGTAATAATCATGTGGTTTTTGTCGTTGGTTCTGTTTATATGCTGGATTATGTTTATTGATTTGTGTATGTTGAACCAGCCTTGCATCCCAGGGATGAAGCCCACTTGATCATGGTGGATAAGCTTTTTGATGTGCTGCTGGATTCAGTTTGCCAGTATTTTATTGAGGATTTTTGCATCGATGTTCATCAGGGATATTGGTCTAAAATTCTCTTTTTTTGTTGTGTCTCTGCCCGGCTTTGGTATCAGGATGATGCTGGCCTCACAAAATGAGTTAGGGAGGACTTCCTCTTTTCTATTGATTGGAATAGTTTCAGAAGGAATGGTAACAGCTCCTCCTTGTACCTCTGGTAGAATTCGGCTGTGAATCCATCTGGTCCTGGACCGTTTTTGGTTGGTAAGCTATTAATTATTGCCTCAATTTCAGAGCCTATCATTGGTCTATTCAGAGATTCAGCTTCCTGGTTTAGTCTTGGGAGGGTGTATGTGTCCAGGAACTTATCCATTTCTTCTAGATTTTCTAGTTTATTTGCATAGAGGTGTTTATAGTATTCTCTGATGGTAGTTTGTATTTCTGTGGGTTCAGTTGTGATATCCCCTTTATCATTTTTTTTTGCATCTATTTGATTCTTCTCTCTTTTCTTCTTTGTTAGTCTTGCTAGCGGTCTATCAATCAGTTTTGTTGATCTTTTCAAAAAACCAGCTCCTGGATTCATTGATTTTTTGAAGGGTTTTTTGTGTCTCTATTTCCTTCAGTTCTTCTCTGATCTTAGTTATTTCTTGCCTTCTGCTAGCTTTTGAATGTGTTTGCTCTTGCTTCTCTAGTTCTTTTAATTGTGATGTTAGGGTGTCAATTTTAGATCTTTCCTGCTTTTTAAAAAAAATATGAATGCCTGAGCCTCATCCCCCAAGATTCTGATTTAGTGTGCCTGATTTAATGGGGTTGGGTCTTGGCATTGGGATTTTTCAGAGCTGCCCAGAAGATTCCAAAATGAATTCAAGACTGAGCACCACTGCCTTAAAGGCACCACCAGACAGTTACCTATCATTCCTGCATCATCTCAAATGTGCTTCTCCACTCACTAGTTGTTGGTAACTCTTATAGGTGTGTTTCCGAGAAGGAAACTGTCAAAGAACCCTGGAGTTAAGAAGGGCAGGCTCTCTGGAAAAGGTGAGACTCCAGGGAGCCTTTGAAGGACTAAAGTTTCTCTTAGGACAGGAGGGCTGTAAAGCAGTAGAGCCAAAGACCTGGAGCCCCCACATCCTGTCTGCCAGATGAAATCCTGCTTCCCTTTAAGGGAGGAGGCATGATAAAACATTTTGTTTTTCTTTTTCTCTCCCAAAATCTGCTTGTGTAAAAAATAAAAAAGAAACTGCTTCGGGAAAAAAAATTGCTTTAGAAGCCTAATCTATTGCTTGAGAAAATAGTAGCATCTCTATATTTTAAGTGGTGAGTTTATGAGACAAATTCTTTTTTGGAGGACCAATGAAAGAGATTGAAAATATAATTGAAATTCCAAGCAGATTTTGGGAGAGAAAAAGAAAAACAAAACAAAACAACCCTAAAGGCAGGCCTGAGAAAAGTTCTGGCAGACTGAGAAAACAAAGATTTAGATGAATCAGCCTAGAAAGATGGAAGTTCATTCCTTCTGTGCTGCCCGAGGATGATAGCACAGAGGCAGAATGTCCTCTTGTACATTGTCAGAATTTTTCAAGTTTCTGTGGCGTTTACACTCAGCAGAATGAGAAGTAGAACCAGAGATCCTTCTCCTCACCATACCACACCTGCCTTAGAATCTTGAAAAGGCACATTTGACATTCCTTCTGTTGAACTGCCACCTTCACTTTGGGATCCCTTCAGGGCAGCCTGTTCTCTCCAGGTCTTCATTTCTTTGACTTTCCTGAAAACAAATGGGAGGCCCAGTCTCCTACTTTCCCTTCTCAAGTCATCCTTGGGGACTTATCCTCAATGATCAGAATGGCTGTGCAAGCTGTGGACCATGGAAATCCAAGCTGGTAATAAGACTGCTACTGCTGGTGGGATTTTCAGGCCCAGTAGGAGCCTCCTTCCTAATCTCTCCAGACCAAGGCCTGGCCCCACCCCACCCCACTTTGCCCAGGGTATCCCCATTAAATAAAGAAGGTAGATTTCAAGCTGGCCCTAAAGATTCATCTTTTAGTCTCTAAGTGCCTCAAAATGGCCAGCTTTGATTCCAGGGCTTCTAATTCCAGGCCCTGGAAGTTTTTCCTTCAGCATTGGCCATGTTCCCTCTGTCCTGTGGGGTTCCCTGCAGCATGTTTGATGATTGTTAAAGTTGGTTTTACCAGTGAATACAGTCTCCATTCCTGCCTGCTTTTTCTCTCGTGCTACTGAATTTTAAGTAGGACAGAGTTACCCAGGATCTTTTTCCTCATGTCTTTGAAAACAACCAAAAAGCTGAACATAAAAATGGACAATGGCCATTTTTAAGTTGATCAGTGTCCATCGCCAGACAAATGGTTAAAGAAAATGTAGTACATATACACAATGGAGTACTATTCAGCCATAAAAAGAATGAGATCCTGTCATTTGCAACAACATGAATGGAACCGAGAGACATTAAGTGAAACAAGCCAGACACAGAAAGACAAACTTTGCATGTTCTAATTTGTGAGAGCTAAAAAATTAAAACAATTGAACTCATGGAGATAGAGAGTAGAATGATGGATACCAGAGGCTGGGAAGGGTAGTCAGGGGGGTGAGAAGTGGGGATGGTTAATGAGTGTAAAAATGTAGTTAGTTAGAAAGAATGAATAAGATCTATTTGATAGCACAACAGGGTGATTACAGTCCACAATAATTTATTGTATATTTAAAAATAACTAAAAGAGTATAATTGGATTGTTTGTCACATAAAAGAAAGGATAAATGCTTGAGGTGATGGATATCCCATTTACCCTGATATAATTATTACCCATTGTATGCCTATATCAAAATATGCCATGTATCCTATAAATATATATACCCACACAAAATGTATGTACCCACACAAAAAAAATCAGATTGGAGGATTCCATTTATATAAAGTCCACAAACAGGCACAACAGGTCTATGCTGGTGGAAATAAGAAAGTGGTTGGCTCTGTGATGGAGGGGAGGGGTGGTGGAGAGTGAGAAAGGAATGTGTTGAATTGACTGGAAAAGATCATCAGGAAGCTTTCCAGAGGGTCAGAAATGTTCTAGATCTTATTGAGTGATGGGTACATGACACATACAGTTGTCAAAACTTATTGATCTGAATACTTAAGATCTGTGCATTTTATGATACGTAAATTACACCTTGTGGCAGGCAGCCTGTACAATGATCCCTGATTCCTGGCACTCACACTCTTGTGGAATTCCCTCTCCTGGATTGTGTGCTGAACCTAGCGACTCCCTTTCAACAAATAGATACAGCAAAAGTGAGGCATTGTCACTTCTGAGATGAGGTTACAAAGGCTGTGGCTGTCAGGTGCTCTCTTGCCCTTCTTGCCTCGCTTGCTCCCTATTGTGAACTGCTGTATGTAGAGGCCCGCATGGCAAGGAACTGATGACTCTGACCAACAGCCAGCAAGAACTTGAGACCTGACAGCAGCTACATGAGTGAGTTTGAAAGCAGCTCTTCCCCCAGCTGAGCCTTGAGAGGAAACCACAGTCCCTCCTGGTATTTTGATTGTAGCCTTGAATGAGACCCTGAGCCAGAGACACCCAGTGAGGCTATGCCTGGATTCTCAACCCACAGAGACTATGAGATAATAAATAGTTGTTGCTTTAAGCCACTGCATTTTAGGGTAATTTAATTTATTCTAAGGCAATACATAACTAATGCACCAATGAAATCTGGTCTGTATTTAAAATTTGCAATGCTCATTAAAAAGGAAGTGAAGCACAGTGCCTAGTAGCATATGCTTCTGTTCTTTTCCTTGCCCAGAGGATCTTCTCTGACCATTTGCAACAACATGAGTGGAACTCAGTTGCCCCACCCAATTCTTTCCCTGGAAAGCCTTCTTACAGAATAACAGTTTTATAATATTACAATGACTAGGATATACTCATAGACCTTCTCCAAGGCATGGGAAGAGAGATTCTCCACATTGTCTTATGGGAGCACTCCTAGCTCTGAGCTGCTAATGGAATTCAAACATCCTGACACCTGGCATGGAGAGAGGTGGGAGGAAGCTCTGTTGGACGTATGGATGGTCTCACTCAGATGGTTGGTCTTTGCCCACAAGTCCTCCCTCATGTCTCCACCTCCCTCGGCTGGTGAAGGTAGAGAGAGATGCAGCCTCCTTGGCCAGCATCACCTTTGCTGGAAGGACAATGCACAGAATGTGAACTGTGGAACCACATGGACCTGAGTTCAAATCTCAGGTTCACTTTTATGAGCTGGGTGACCTTTAGTGGATCATGAATCCTCTCTGAGGCTCTTGGGGATCTCATCTATGAAATTAAGAGAACTCTCACCTTGAGGAGTTATTGTAAGAATTAAAGACATGCACCAACATGGATGAATCTAATATGCATTATACTAAGGGAAAGAAGGCAGACTCAAAAGGCTACATTACATGACATTCTGGAAAAGGCAAAACTATAGTAACAGAAAACAGATCAGTGCAGGTGAGAGGTGGGAAGAGGGGTGGACTACAATGGCCACAAAATAATTTTTAGGGCAATGGAACTGTTCTGTATCTTGATTACAGTGATGGCTACAGAAATGTATGTATTTGTCCAAAAATCACAGAACTATACACTAAAAAGGTTGAATTTTGCAGTATGTAAATTATACCTCAATAAACCTGCTTTTAAAATTAATGGAAGGATGTAAAAGGTGCAGACTCAGTAACTCTCTCAGTCTGGCTCACCAAGACAGACAGCTGTACAGGCTTAGTCACAGCTCTGAGCTTGCTGAGGTAGTCAAGGTCTTAGTCACACTCTGAGCTCCCTGAGTTAGTGAGGGTCTTATAAGCCAAGATTGTTTTTCCCATAACCCTCCCTCCTCAGCCTCTAAGACTGTCTGCCAACTCCTCCCTGCCTGGGGGGACTTGTTGCTTTAGGGTAAACAGACTCAGCCCCAGGAGCCAGGCTAGGTATGACCAAGTATAGCATCCAGGCAGCTCAGAGCCACCATGACCATCCATACCTATTGAAACAAAAGTAATGTTCTGCCTATTCTTCAAGATCCCATCAGTTAACAAGGGAACCTTAAGAGTCAGTCATTTTCATCAGCCATCAGCATCTATGAAAATACGTATTTTTTTACTCCAAGCCAGAAAATATGATGTTTGCACAACTGCAGAGCAGTGGCCTGGGAATCAAACGTGAATGTCATATGTAACCTAATAAACAAAGTTTGTATGTATATTTGTAACAAAACAAAGTTATGTATTCCCCTCTCCCTTGCACCAGGGAGGTAAGGAGGTGGAATTGTGAGTTTTTAATCAAGCAAGCAAATGAGAAATAAATAGAATATGGCAATGGTGCCTATTAATCACCCTAAAATTTCCACGGGGATGGGCCCAGCCAGAAGCTTTCATTTCTATGGAAACCACAAAGGCAGTTTGGACAAAAGAAAATGAAACCAGGGCAAGGAAGGGCTGGGTAAGGCTAAATTCTAAGATTGGTCTGATGAAAGGCTTAGGAGTTTTCAAAGCTTGGGCAAAGCCTTGTGTCATCCAGCACTGGCAAAGGCATCTCAGCCTGGGCATGGGTGAGTAGCCTAGATGTCCCAACTTATTTAGGCCTGAGGACTGCTAAGGAAACCCAGGGAGGCTTGTATGAGTAGTATACAGTGAAAGCACAGTAGGAGAAAAGAAAAAATGGCAGGGAAGAATGTGCACCCAATTACGGGTATCAGGAAGTAGTTTCTGACACCCATAATTGGGATGGCACCCCTCCTTTGCAGTCCCAAGGGTGCCCTGCACTTGTCTCCATGGTAACACAGACAACTTTATAGTAACAGCCTGCTTACTTGTCTCCACCACCAGATTCCTTATTAAGAATAGGGTGTACAGAATTCATTATTGTATTAACCGAACCTAGCTCAGGGCTCAGCCTCTAAAACAACTACAGTCATGCTTGATGATGGGAACGTGTTCTGAGAAATGCATTGTTGGGTGGCTTTGTCATTATGTGAACATCATAGTGTGCACTTACCAAACCTAGATGGTATAGCCTACTATTAGGTTGGTGCAAAAGTAATTTCGGTTTTTGCCATTAAAAGTAATGTATTCCTAGGATATATGGGATAGCCTATTGCTCCTAGGCTACAAATCTGTACAGCATGTCACTGTACTGAATACTGTAGGCAAGCATAACACAATGGTAAATATTTGTGTATCTAAACGCATCTAAACATAAAAAATACAGTATAAAAGATTAAAAATGGCATAGCTGTGTCTATAAAATGCTTACCATGAATGAAGCTTGCATGACTAGGTGTTGCTCTGAGTGGGTCAGTGAGTGAGTGGTGAGTGAATGTGAAGGCCAAGACATTACTGTACACTACTGCAGACTTTATAAACATGGTACACTTAGGCTACACTAAATTTATTTTTAAAAATTTCTTTCTTTAATAACATATTAACCTTAACTTACTGTAACTTCATTACAAACTTCTAAATTTAAGTTTTAAACATTTTGGCTTTTTTATAATAACACTAGCTTAAAATAAAACACATAGTATAGCTGTACAAAAATATTTTCTTTCTGGCCGAGCACAGTGGCTCATGCCTGTAATCCCAACAATTTGGGAGGCTGAGGTGTGTGGATCAATTTGAGGCAGGAGTTCAAGACCAGCCTGGCTAACATGGTAAAACCCCATCTCTATTAAAAATACAGAAAACTAGCCGCGTGTCGTGGCACACGTGTGTAATCCCAGCTACTTGAGAGGCTGAGGTTCAAGAATTGCTTGATCCTGGGAGGTGGAGGTTGCAGCGAACCAAGATTGAGCCACTGCACTCCAGCCTGGGCAACAGAGCAAGACTGTCTCAAAAAATTTTTTTTCTTTCTTTATTTCCTTATTCTATAAGCTGTTTTCTATTTCAAGTTTTTTGCTTGTTTGTTTTTATTTTTTAAACTTCTTTGTTAAAAACTAGCCCACAGGCTGGGCACAGTGGCTCACGCCTGTAATCTCAACACTGTGGGAGGCCGAGGCAGGTGGATCACGATGTCAAGAGATCGAGACTATCCTGGCTAACACGGCGAAACCCCATCTGTACTAAGCATACAAAACATTAGCCAGGCGTGGTGGTGGGTGCCTGTAATCTCAGCTACTCAGGAGGCTGAGGCAGGAGAATGGCATGAACCCGGGAGGCAGAGGTTGCAGTGAGCTGAGATCATGCCACTGCACTCCAGCCTGGGCGAAAGAGCGAGACTCCATCAAAAAAAAAAAAAAAAAAAAAAACCTAGCCCACAAACACACACATTAGCTTAGGCCTACACGTCACTGTCATCCACCTCCACATCTTGTCCCACTGGAAGTTCTTCAGAGGCAGTAACATGCATGGGGCTGTCATCTCTTATGATAACAATGCCTTCTTCTGAAATGTTCCCTGAAGGACCTGCCTGAGGTTGTTTTACAGTTAACTTTTTAAATATATACAAGTAGAAGGAGTATACTCTAAAATCACAATTAAAAGTTAATACAGAAACCACTAAGAGGAGGTTCCAAGATGGCCAAATAGGAATAGCTCCAGTCTGCAGCTCCCAGCATGAGCGACGCAGAAGACAGGTGATTTCTGCATTTCCAACTGAGGTACTGGATTCATCTCGCTGGGGCTTGTCAGACAGTGGGTGCAGCCCACGTAGCAGGGTGGGGCATCACCTCACCTGGGAAGCACAAGAGGTCAGGGAATTCCCTTTCCTAGCAAAGAGAAGCCATGACAGACAGTACCTGGAAAATTGGTACACTCCCACCCTAATACTGTGCTTTTCCAGTGGTCTTAGCAAACGGCACACCAGGAGATTATATCCCACGCTTGGCTCGGAGTGTCCCACACCCACGGAGCCTTGCTCACTGCTAGCACAGCAGTCTGAAATCAAACTGCAAGGCAGCAGCGTGGCTGGGGGAGGGGCATCCACCATTGCTGAGGCTTGAGTAGGCAAACAAAGTGGCCAGGAAGCTTGAACTGGGTGGAGCCCACGGCAGCAGAGGAGGCCTGCCTGCCTCTGTAGACTCCACCTCTGGGGGCAGGGCATAGCTGAACAAAAGGCAGCAGAAACTTCTGCAGACTTAAACATCCCTGTCTACAGCTCTGAAGAGAGTAGTGGTTCTCCCAGCACAGAGTTTGAGATCTGAGAACCGATAGACTGCCTCCTCAAGTGGGTGCCTGACCCCCGAGTAGCCTAACTGGGAGACACCTCCCAGTAGGGGCTGACTGACACCTCACACAGCCGGGTGCCCCTCTGAGACGAAGCTTTCAGAGGAAGGCTCAGGCAGCAACATTTGCCATTCTGGAATATTTGCTGTTCTGCAGCCTCTGCTAGTGATACACAGGCAAACAGGGTCTGGAGTGGACCTCCAGCAAACACCAAGACACCTGCAGCTGAGGGTCCTGACTGTTAGAAGGAAAACTAACAAACAGAAAGGACATCCACACCAAAACCCCATCTGTACGTCACCATCATCAAAGACCAAAGATAGATAAAAGCACAAAGATGGGGAGAAACCGGAGCAGAAAACCTGAAAATTCTAAAAATCAGAGCGCCTCTCCTCCTCCAAAGGAACGCAACTCCTCGCCAGCAATGGAACAAAGCTGGACGGAGAATGACTTTGACGAGTTGAGAGAAGAAGCCTTGAGACAATAAATAATAACAAACTTCTCCGAGCTAAAGGAGGATGTTCAAACCCATCGCAAAGAAGCTAAAAACCTTGAAAAAAGATTAGACGAATGGCTAACTAGAATAAACAGTGTAGAGAAGTCCTTAAATGACCTGATGGAGCTGAAAACCATGGCAGGAGAACTACGTGATGCATGCACAAGCTTCAGTAGCCAATTTGATCAACTGGAAGGAAGGGTATCAGCGATTGAAGATCAGATGAATGAAGTGAAGGGAGAAGAGAAGTTTAGAGAAAAAAGAAGCAAATAAAGCCTCCAAAAAATATGGGACTGTGTGAAAAGACCAAACCTACGTCTGACTGGTGTACCTGAAAGTGACAGGGAGAATGGAACCAAGCTAGAAAACACTCTTCAGGATATTATCCAGGAGAACTTCCCCAACCTAGCGAGGCAGGCCAACATTCAAATTCAGGAAACACAGAGAACGCCACAAAGACACTCCTCAAGAAGAGCAACTCCAAGACACATCATTGTCAGATTCACCAAAGTTGAAATGAAGGAAAAAAATGTTAAGGGCAGCCAGAGAGAAAGGTTGGATTACCCACAAAGGGAAGCACATCAGACTGACAGCTGATTTCTCGGCAGAAACTCTACAAGTCAGAAGAGAGTGGGGGCCAATATTCAACATTCTTAAAGGAAAGAATTTTCAACCCAGAAATTAATATCCAGCCAAACTAAGCTTCATAAGTGAAAGAGAAATAAAATCCTTTACAGACAAGCAAATGCTGAGAGATTTTGTCACCACCAGGCCTGCCCTAAAAGAGCTCCTGAAGGAAGCACTAAACATGGAAAGGAACAACCAGTACCAGCCAATGCAAAAACATGCCAAATTGTAAAGACCATCGAGGCTAGGAAGAAACTACATCAACTAATGAGCAAAATAACTGGCTAACATCATAATGACTGCATCAAATTCACACATAACAATATTAACCTTAAATGTAAATGGGCTAAATGCTCCAATTAAAAGACACAGACTGGCAAATTGGATAAAGAGTCAAGACCCATCAGTGTGCTGTATTCAGGAGACCCATCTCACGTGCAGACACACACACAGGCTCAAAATAAAGGGATGGAGGAAGATCTACCAAGCAAATGGAAAACAAAAAAAGGCAGGAGTTACAATCCTAGTCTCTGATAAAACAGACTTTAAACCAACAAAGATCAAAAGAGACAAAGAAGGCCATTACATAATGGTAAATGGATCAATTCAACAAGAAGAGCTAACTATCCTAAATATATATGCACCCAATACAGGAGCACCCAGATTCAATAAGTCCTTAAAGACCTACAAAGAGACTTAGACTCCCACACAATAATAATGGGAGACTTTAACACCACACTGTCAACATTAGACAGATCAACGAGACAGAAAGTTAACAAGGATACCCAGGAATTGAACTCAGCTCTGCACCAAGCAGACCTAATAGACATCTACAGAACTCTCCACCCCAAATCAACAGAATATACATTCTTCTCAGCACCACATCACACTTATTCCAAAACTGACCACATAGTTGGAAGTAAAGCACTCCTCAGCAAATGTAAAAAAGAACAGAAATTATAACAAACTGTCTCTCAGACCACAGTGCAATCAAACTAGAACTCAGGATTAAGAATCTCACTCAAAACCGCTCAACTACATGGAAACTGAACAACCTGCTCCTGAATGACTACTGGGTACATAACGAAATGAAGGCAGAAATAAAGATGTTCTTTGAAACCAATGAGAACAAAGACACAACATACCAGAATCTCTGGGACACATTTAAAGCAGTGTGTAGAGGGAAATTTATAGCACTAAATGCCCACAAGGGAAAGCAAGAAAGATCTGAAATTGACACCCTAACATCACAATTAAAACAACTAGAGAAGCAAGAGCAAACACATTCCAAAGCTAGCTGAAGGCAAGAAATAACTAAGATCAGAGCAGAACTGATGGAGATAGAGACATAAAAAACCCTTCAAAAAAGCAATGAATCCAGGAGCTGGTTTTTTGAAAAGATCAACAAAATTGACAGACCGCTAGCAAGACTAATAAAGAAGAAAAGAGAGAAGAATCAAATAGACACAATAAAAAATGATAAAGGGGATATCACCACCAGTCCCACAGAAATACAAACTACCATCAGATACTATAAACACCTCTACACAAATAAACTAGAAAATCTAGAAGAAATGGATAAATTCCTCAACACATACACCCTCCCCAGACTAAACCAGGAAGAAATTGAATCCCTGAATAGACCAATAACAGGTTCTGAAATTGAGGCAGGAATTAATAGCCTACCAACCAAAAAGAGTCCAGAACGAGATGGATTCACTGCCAAATTCTACCAGAGGTACAAAGAGGAGCTGGTACCATTCCTTCTGAAACTATTCCAATCAATGGAAAAAGAGGGAATCCTCCCTAATTCATTTTATGAGGCCAACATTATCCTGACACCAAAGCCTGGCAGAGACACAACAAAAAAAGAGAATTTTAGACCCATATCCCTGATGAACATCAAAGCAAAAATCCTCAATAAAATACTAGCAAACCAAATCCAGTAGCACATCAAAATGCTTATCCACCACAATTAAGTTGGCTTCATCCCAGGGATGCAAGGCTGGTTCAACATATGCAAATCAATAAACGTAATCCAACATATAAACAGAACCAAAGACAAAAACCACATGATTATCTCAATAGATGCAGAAAAGGCCTTTGACAAAATTCAACATCCCTTCATGCTAAAACTCTCAATAAACTACGTATTGATGAGACATATCTCAAAATAATAAGAGCTATCTATGACAAACCCACAGCCAATATCATACTCAATGGGCAAAAACTGGAAGCATTCCCTTTGAAAACTGGCACAAGACAGGGATGTCCTCTCTCTCCACTTCTACTCAACATAGTGTTGGAAGTTCTGGCCAGGGCACTCAGGCAGGAGGAAATAAAGGGTATTCAATTAGGAAAAGAAGAAGTCAAATGGTCCTGTTTGCAGATCACATGATTGTATATCTAGAACACCCCATCGTCTCAGCCCCAAATCTCCTTAAGCTGATAAGCAACTTCAGCAAAGTCTCAGAATACAAAATCAATGTGCAAACATCATAAGCATTCCTATACACCAATAACAGACAAACAGAGAGCCAAATCATGAGTGAACTCCCATTCACAATTGCTTCAAAGAGAATAAAATACCTAGGAATCCAACTTACAAGGGATGTGAAGGACCTCTTCAACGAAATAAAAGAGGACACAAACAAATGGAAGAATATTCCATGCTCATGGATAGGAAGAATCAATATCGTGAAAATGGTCATACTGCCCAAGGTAATTTATAGATTCAATGCCATCCCCATCAACCTACCAAAGACTTTCTTCACAGAATTGGAAAAAACTACTTTAAAGTTCATATGGAACCAAAAAAGAGCGCATATTGCCAAGACAATCCTAAGTGAAAAGAACAAAGCTGGAGGCATCACACTACCTGACTTCAAACTACACTACAAGGCTACAGTAACCAAAACAGCATAGTACTGGTAACCAAAACAGTACCAAAACAGCTGTTTTGGTACAGTAACCAAAACAGCATGGTACTGTTCCATAAACCAATGGAACAGAATAGAGCCCTAGGAAATAATACCACACATCTACAACCATCTGATCTTTGACAAACCTGACAAAAACAAGAAATGGGGAAAGGATTCCCTATTTAATAAATGGTGCTGGGAAAACTGGCTAGCCATATGTAGAAAGCTGAAACTGGATCCCTTGCTTACACCTTATACAAAAATTAATTCGAGATGGATTAAAGACTTAAATGTTAGACCTAAAACCATAAAAACCCTAGAAGAAAACCTAGGCAATACCATTCAGGCCATAGGCATGGGCAGGGACTTCATGACTAAAACACCAAAAGCAATGGCAACAAAAGCCAAAATTGACAAATGGGATCTAATTAAACTCAAGAGCTTCTGCACAGCAAAAGAAACTACCATCAGAGTGAACAGGCAATCTACAGAATGGGAGAAAATTTTTACAATCTACCCATCTGACAAAGGGCTAATATCCAGAGTCTACAAAGAACTTAAACAAATTTGCAAGAAAAAATCAAACAGCCCCATCAACAAGTGGGCAAAAGATATGAACAGACACTTCTCAAAAGAAGACATTTATGCAGCCAACAGACACATGAGAAAATGCTCATGATCAGTGGTCATCAGAGAAATGCAAATCAAAACCACAATGAGATACTGTCTCATGCCAGTTAGAATGATGATTATTAAAAAGTCAGGAAACAACAGGTGCTGGAGAGGATGTGGAGAAATAGGAACGCTTTTACACTGTTGGTGGGACTGTAAACTAGTTCGACCATTGTGGTAGACAGTGTGGCAATTCCTCAAGGATCTAGAACTAGAAACACCATTAGACCCAGCAATCCCATTAGTGGGCATATACCCAAAGGATTAAAATCATGCTGCTATAAAGACATGCACACGTATGTTTATTGTGGCACTATTCACAATAGCAAAGACTTGAAACCAACTGAAATGTCCATTAATGATAGACTGGATTAAGAAAATGTGGCACATATACACCATGGAATACTATGCAGCCATAAAAAAGGATGAGTTCATGTCCTTTGTAGGGACATGGATGAAGCTGGAAACTATCATTCTCAGCAAACTATAGCAAGGACAGAAAACCAAACACTGCCTGTTCTCACTCATAGGTGGGAATTGAACAGTGAAAACACTTGGACACAGGGTGGGGATCATCACACATCAGGGCCTGTCATAGGGTGGGTGAAGGGGGGAGGGATAGCATTAGGAGACACACCTAATGTAAATGACGAGTTAACGGGTGCAGCACACCAACATGGCACATGTATACATATGTAACAAACCTGCACATTGTGCACATGTACCTTAGAACTTAAAGTATAATTTAAAAAAAAGAAACCAGTAACATATAGTAAATACATAAAGCAGAAACATAGTCATTTATCAAGTATTATGTGCTGTACATAATTGTATGTGCTATACTTTTATATGAGTGACAGCACAGATTTGTTTACACCAGCATCACCACAAACACGCAAGTAATGGGTTGCACTACAACATTAAGATGACTATGATGTCACTAGGCATCAGGAATTTTTCAGCCTCATTATAATCTTATGGGACTACTGTCATATATGCAGTCCATTATTGACCTAAACATCCTGTGTGACATCATGACTGTACTACAACAGGAATAGCTAACCCTTATATAACAACAAAAACTAATGCATACTGTACTTATAGTGTGTCAGGGACATAAAATGTTTACATATGTTACATTTCTAAATTCTCATTGTTAATATTATACATATTTTATGGATGAGGAAACTGAGGCGGAGAGAATTCAAGATGTTTGCCCAAGACCACATTGCTAATAAGTGGCAGAGCTAAATATATAATTAAATTACTGTAATTTAATTTAATTACAGTGAATTACCCTAGCAGTACCCTACTGCCCTATCTATATTCCCCCCACACCCCCCAACACACAAGGTCCAGAAGTCCCTCCCCTACTACCTTCTCCACTGAAGGGTACAATTGATCAGAAACATTATGTCCAGCTCCCCACTCTCCTGTCTCTCCATCTCCTCAAAGGCCCACTAAAACTTCTGCATTAAAAATGAAATCAGATATACAGAACAACTTCACAAGGAAGACAGGTTAGCAAAGCCATGATTTTAATTTCCTCTGCCACATAGAACCTTTTCTTAGTTAATTCAAAACAATCCAGTCCTTATTGGCATCTTGTATTTTTAAAAATTGATTGTCAGTGCCTCAGGTCCCATCGGCTAAAATGATAAAAGAATTTCCAAATGAGATTCAAATTATTAATGCCTGATAGAAAGGTCCCCTGATGCCTAAGCAGCCTCTCATATTACTTTTCTTGTTAGCCTCTCCCACCAGGAGAAAATACTTTTGAGAATAAATGTTAAAGAATCCAGATAAGTGACAGAAATATTCCACTCATCCATGCCTAACCATCAGCTTCTTCCCCAGCATTCCTTGACATAAAAATTTCTGGATTGGGCTCATCCATATTTTATAAGTCATAAGCCCAAACTACATAAACTCAGAATAGTTTGTTGGTGACTGGCCTGTGTACTTTTCTGGAAGAAAAAAGGTGGCTTACATTTAATGCAGCAGGCTTTCATTGTGAGCCCACTATAAGCCATGAACAGTACCAGGGGCAGGGGCAGAAAAAAGACAGATCAGCAAAGTTATGATTTTAATTTCCTCTGCCACATAGGACCTTGTCTTAATTAATTCAAAACACCTCCCATGTGCTTTGTCCCATGTGCTTTCTATGTGCGTATAACTTAAAGAGATAGATACACCAAAATAATGGTGAAAAAATACGTATTAACAGTAAGGACAAAGCAAAGAAATAATTCTGCTCTGGGAAGTACAGGGAGACAAAGGAGTTTGGGAAATGTTTGTAGCATTAAAATTCCCTGAATTGAGACCTCAAGAGTGAGGATCAGTCCCCTGCAATCATCAAACTGAAAATTTTTTACCAATTGGAGTGGTGAAAATATGTGGTTATTTTAAAGTATATTTCTCTGATTATAAACTAGTGAAGGTCAACATCTTTTCATGTTTACGTGGCCATTTGGTTTTCCTTTGTGAATTCCCCAATTTTCTATTCTATTGAATTTTTAAAAATTATTATTTATTTGAAAGAGTTTGTTAGTAAATGTATTGAAAACAATTACTAGGTCGGTTTTTGAATTTCCTTTTCTTTATAGTGCTCTTTGCCACAGAGGTGTTTCAATTTTTTTTTTTTTTTTTTTTTTCTGAGACAGAGTCTTGCTCTGTAGCCCAGGCTGGAGTGCAGTGACATGATCTCGACTCACTGCAACCTCCGCCTCCTGGGTTCAAGCGATTCTCCTGCCTCAGCCTCCCAAGTAGCTAGGACCACAGGCATGCTCCACCATGCCCAGCTAATTTTTTGTATTTTTAGTAGAGACAGGTTTCACCATGTTAGCCGGGATGGTCTCGATCTCCTGACCTCGTGATCCACCCGCCTCAGCCTCCCAAAGTGCTGGGATTATAGGTGTGAGCCACCGCACCCAGCCCAGGTGTTTCAATTTTAATGTCATCAGATTTAGCAATTCTTTCTTTTATGGTGTATACCTTCTGTGGCTTATCAAAACTCTATCCATACTCTGGTGTGATAAAGATGTTCTCCTATATGTTTTTTTATTACTGCTTCTGAAATTCCATTTTTATTAAGTATAGCAAGACATTATTTGCATAGCTATAAGGTGGAAAATGTTGTCAATTCTACTGCTATTCACTGTCCCTTGCACAAATCCTTAAACCTCTTACTTCTCACTGTCTCTTACTCCCTTAGCTAAATCAAAATCTGGTTAAATAAAAATTTTTGCTTCCATGGTATCTTCACATGCAGAGTTGACGAATGCTGAAGAAAAACTCAATCATGATGACTGGTAACCTCTTAAACCTGAACACTGACTACACGATTCCATAATATTGTCTTACAATTATACCATAGTCTCTTCCTCCATCCACTCTTCTTCTAAAAGACCATTTCTTCTCTCTAATCGAACATTTAACATGGCCTTCCTGGACCTCACTTTTTAAAATATGGTTAAAAAACCAGGTAACATTAAACTTATTATTAACCATTTTTAAATGCACAACTCACTAGCGTTAAGTATAGTTCTATTGTTGGGCAACAAATCTATGGAAGCTCTTCATTTGCAACACTAAAATTGCATACCCACTAAACTCTAATTCCTCCTCTCTCCATCCCTTGGTAACCACCTTTCTACTTTCTGGTTCTATGATTTCGACTACTCTATTTTTTAAAAATTTTGTTTATAATTGACATACAATAATTGTACAGGTTTATGGTGTACAGTGTGATGTTTCAATATATGGATACATTATATAATGGTCAAATTAGGATAGTTAGCATGTCCTTCACCTCATACCGTTATCATTTCTTTGTGGTGATAACTTTCAAGATCCTTTTTCCTAGCTATCTTAAAATATACAATACATTGCTCTTAACTATAGTCATCCTACTATGTAATGGAACACCAAAATTATTCTTCCCATCTGACTATAATTTTGTACTCATTGGCTGAGTTTCCTCTCTTCCCCTTATCCCTCACCTCCTCAGTCTCTGATAACTACTATTCTGCTCTATACTTCTATGAGCTCAACTTTCCTAGATTCCACATATAAGTGAGAGAATGCAGTATTTGTCTTTCTGCACCTGGCTTATTTTACTTAACATTGTGTCCTCCAGGTTCATTGATTTTGCTACAAATGACAGGATTGCATTCCTTTTTATAGCTGAATAGTATTCCATTGTGTACTTATACTACATTTTCTTTATTTGTTTATCTGTTGATGTACACACAGGTTGACTTCATATCTTGGCTACTATGAATAGTGTTTAAATAAACATAGGAATGCAGATATCTTTTTAATATACTTACTTAATTCCTTTGGCTATATACCCAGTAGTTGAATTGGTGGATCTTTTGGTAGTTCCAGGCAAGAACATACTGTTTTTCATAATGGCTGAACTAATCTACACTACCACCAACAGTGTATGAGTTCCCTTTCTTTGCATCCTTACCAGCGTTTGTTAATTTTTGTCTTTTTGATTATAGCCATTCTAACTGGGGTAAGAGGTCAGATCTCATTGTGGTTTTAGTTTGCATTTCTCTGATGATTAGTGATATTGAGCATCTTATTATATACCTGCATGTATTTTTTTGATAAATGTTTATTCAGGTCTTTTGCCCATTTAAAAAATTAGATTATGTGTTTTTGTTTTTTGTTGTTTTTGCTATTGAGTTGAGTTCCTTATATATTGTGGATATTAATTTATTGTCTGGTGCATAGTCTGCAAATATTTTCTCCCATTTTCTAGGTGTCTCTTCACTCTGTTGATTGTTTCCTTTGCTGTGCAGAAGTTATGTGATCCCATCCATCCATTTTAGCCTCGGTTGCCTGTGCTTTTAGGGTATTATTCAAGAAACCTTTGCTCAGACTAATGTCCTGGAGAGTTTCCCAAATGTTTTCTTATGGTAGTTTCATAATTTGGGGTCTAAGATTTAAATCTTTTATTCATTTTTATTTTTGTATATGAGATGGGGTTCTAGTTTCATTCTTCTGCATATGGATATCCAGTTTTCCCATCACCATTTATTGAAGATACTGTCCTTTCCCCCAGTGTATGTTCCTGGCACCTTTGTCAAAAATGAGTTCCCTGTAGATGTGTGGATTTATTTCTGGATTTTCTCTTATATTCCATTGGTCTATGTGTCTGTGTTATGCCCATACCCTGCCATTTTAGTTACTATAGCTTTGTAGTATAATCTGCTTCTGCCAACTTTGTTCTTTTGCTCAGGATAGCTTTAGCTATTCTGGGTCTTTTGTGGTTCCATATAAATTTTAGAATTTTTTTTTCTACTTCTGTGAAGAATGTCATTGCAATTTTGATAGGGATTGCATTGAGTCTGTAGATTGCTTTGGATAGTATGGACATTTTAGTGATATTAATTATTCCAATTCATGAACATGGGATGTATTTCCATTTTTGTGTGTCTCCTTCAATTTCTTTCATCAGTATTTTGTAGTTTCCATTGAAGATGTATTTCACCTCTTTTGTTAAACTTATTTCTAGGTATTTTATTTTTTGTAGCTATTGTAAATAGGATTGCTTTCTTGATTTATTTTTCCTCAAGTTTGTTATTGGCTGATAGACTGCTAATTATTATATGTTGATTTTGTATCCTGTAGCTTTACTGAATTCATTTATTAGTTCTAATAGTCTTTGGTGAAGTCTTTGGGATTTTCTATATATATGATCATTTTCTCTGCAAAAAGAAACAATTTGATTTCCTCCTTCCCAATTTGGATGCCCTTTATTTCTTTCTCTTTTCTAATTGCTCTTCCAAAGACTTCTGGTACTATGTTGAATAACAGTGGTAAAACAGGGCATTCTTATTCCAGATCTTAGAGAAAAAGCTTTCAATTTTTCACCATTCAGTATGATGTTAGCTGTGGGTTTGTCATATATGACCTTTATTGTGTTGAGATATGTTATTTCTATACCTAATTTGTTAGAGTTTTTATCATGAAGCAGTGTTGAACTCTTCTCTGCATCTATTGAAATGGCAATATAATTTGTGTCCTTCATTCTGTTGATATGATGTACCATGTTTATAGATTTGCATATGTTGAACCATTCTTGCATTCCTGGAATGAATCCCACTTGATTATGATGATCTTTTTAATGTGTTGTTGGATTTTGTTTGCTAGTATTTTGTTGAGAATATTTACATCTACGTTCATCAGGAATATTGGCCTGTTGTTTTCCTTTTTGTGGTGGCCTGTCTGGTTTTGATTTCAGGACAGTGCTGGTGCTGTATAATGAGTTTGAAAGTATTTCTTCCTCTTCAATTTTTTAGAAGAGTTTGAGAAGAATAGGTATTAGTTCTTTTTTTTTTTTTTTTTTTTGAGACGGAGTCTCGCTCTGTTGCCCAGGCTGGAGTGCAGTGGCGCGATCTCGGCTTGCTGCAAGCTCCGCCTCCCAGGTTCATGCCATTCTCCTGCCTCAGCCTCCCAAGTAGCTGGGACTACAGGCCTACCACTACGCCTGGCTAATTTTGGTTTTGTATTTTTAGTAGAGATGGGGTTTCACCATGTTAGCCAGGATGGTCTCGATCTCCTGACCTTGTGATCCACCCGCCTCAGCCTCCCAAAGTGCTGGGATTACAGGTGTGAGCCACCACACCCAGCCAGTTCTTCTTTTAAAAGTTTGGTAGAATTCAGCCATGAAGTCATCAGGTCTTGGGCTTTTCTTTGATGAAGGAGTCTTTATTACTGCTCTAATCTTGTTACTCATTATTGGTCCACTCAGGTTTTGTATTTCTTCATGGTTCAAACTTAGAGGTTGTATGTGTCCAGGAATATATCCATATCTTCTAGATTTTTTCAATTTGTTTGTGTATAGTTGTTCATCATAGTCTTATGATCCTTTGCATTTCTGTAGTTTCTGTTGTAATGCCTACTTTTTCACCTCTGATTTTGAGTCTTCTCTCTTTTTTTCTTAGTCTTCCTAAAGGTTTGTTGATTTTTTAATCTTTTCAAAAACCCACTCTTTGTCTTGTTAACCTTTTGTATTGTTCTTTAAATCTCTATTTTATTTCTGCTCTGATCTTTGTTATTTCTTTCTTTCTACTGATCGTTGATTTCATTTATTCATGTTTTTCTAATTCCTTGAAGTGTAACATTAGATTATTTGAGACATTTCTATTTTTTTGATTTAGGTGTTTATTGCTATAAACCTCCCTCTTAGCATTGCTTTTGCTGTGTCCCTTAGGTTTTGGTATGTTGTGTATATTTAATTGGAGAATTTAATCCATTTACATTCAAGTTTATTACTGAAAGGTAAGGGTTTACTACTGCCATTTTGTTACTTGTTTTCTGGTTGTTTTGTAGATCCTTTTTTTCTTTTCTCCTCTCTTATTATCTTCTTTTGTGGTTAAGTGATTTTCCTTTAGTATTATGTTTTGATTTCATGCTATTTATTTTTACTCTATCTATTACAGGGTTTTGATTTATGAGTACCATGAGGCTTATTTTAAAACATCTTATAGTTATAACAGATTATTTTAAACTGATAACTTAACTTTGATCACAAAAAATTAACAAAAATAAACTATGCTTTAACACCATTCCCCCCCACACACAAATTTTGACTTTTTGATATTTTGATTTACATCTTTTTGTATTGCCTATCTCTTTACCAATTGTCATGATTATTATTATTTTCTTTAATAGTTTTGTCTTGTAGTCTTTATACTTAAGATATAAGTAAGTTACATATCACAGTTAAAGTATTATTCTGAATTTTTCTATATTCTTACTTTTACCACTGAGTTTTTTATACCTTCAAATGTTTTCTTTTTGCACATTAGCATTATTTCCTTTCAGCTGCAAGCCATATTGGGGCTTCATTTAATATGATATGTTTCTTTTCTTCTGCTGCTTTCAATTTTCTTTTTTGTCCCAGATTTTTGATAATTTGATTATGATGTGCCTTAAAGAATTTCTTTTTGGATTGAATTTGATTGGTGACCTCTGAGATTCCTGTACTTGGATAATGTCTTTCTTCAAATTTGGGAAATTTTCAGCCATTATTTCTATAAATATGCTGTCTAGGCCTTTTTCTCTATTGTCTCATTCAGGAACTCCTGTTAAGCAAAAGTTGGTTCACTTGGTGGTGTCCCATAATTCTTATGGGCCTTCTTCACTCTTTTTTATTCATTTTCTCTTTGCCTCTCTGATTGGCAATTTCATGTTCTGTCTTCAGGCTCACTGATTCTTTCCTCAGTATGAACCAGTTTGCTGTTAAAACTTTTTAATGTGTTTTAAAATTCAGTTATTGAATTATTTATTTATAGGATTTCTGTTTATAAAAAACAAAATTTTTGTCAATTTTCTTCCTGGATTGTTTTCCATATTTCATTTAGCTTTTTATTCATATTATCTTGTGAGTCCTTGAACTTCTTTAAGAGCAATGTTCTGAATTCTTTGTTAGACACTTCATAGCTCTTCAGTTCTTTTTTGTCTATTACAAGAGCTTTGTTGGTTTCTTTTGGTGGTGTCAGATTTATTTGAGTTTTCACAATTCTTGCATCTTTACACTGATGCCCATGCACTTGAGGAGACAGCCACCACTTCCAGCTTTTGCAGGTGTTCTCTGGTGGTGTTAGACCTTTACTACTTAATATTGGAACTTAATTGCTGACCTGCTATTGCTCCTTATTTTAGGAAGGACTTACAATAAGCACTGGAACTAAAACACTGCATTGGAACTAACTCATTGCTTGCCTGGTCTGGGGAAGACTCCCAGTGAGCACCAGAACTTAAGCACCAGAACTATATCACTGCCCTACCATTGTTTTCTAGTCTTAAGAAGACTTAAATAAGCACCAGAACCTAATTGTTTCCAGGTCAGAAGAAGGCTTCATGAAAGCACCTGGGCTTTGTGGGGAATCTGGCCAGGGATTTCGATCTTCCTGTGGATTGTTTCCCTTATAGTGCTCTGGCAGCAGTCAGTCTCCTCAGCATGGTGTCCCCTTTGATTTAAGCTCAGAGAAGCCACCAAGATTTGCATGCCAGTTGCTGTGATCAGTGCCCCTACTTTTTGTCCCCAATTCACCCCAGGTGGTTCAGCCTTCTTGGTACTCTCAGTGTTTTCTGTGAGATGGAACTGGAGTTGGCTTCCCAAGAAGATTCCCAGACTGGTGGGGATATTAACGTCCACCTCCAGTTTTCTCCTACCACCTCAGAAACCTTGGGTTTAGGAAAATTTTTCGTGAGTGGCGTTGTGCCAGCTTGAGGTAGGGGTTAGTCCAGTCTAAAATGACTGTTCCCCTTACTAGTTGAAGCATTTCTTGATTCTG
The DNA here is from genome assembly GCF_000001405.40 of Homo sapiens. Taxonomy (NCBI): domain Eukaryota; kingdom Metazoa; phylum Chordata; class Mammalia; order Primates; family Hominidae; genus Homo; species Homo sapiens. The sequence goes on from NC_000011.10 coordinate 94,262,772, forward strand.
TGGGTCCAGGTGGCTTTTCCACTCCCCTCCCCAATATATGGTGAATTTAGGGTAGTATTCTTCTCTTTGAGTAGTTTTTAGTTGTACTTTGGTAGGAGAATGATGCTGAAGGAACTTCTACTCTGCCATCTTGCTGGTGTCACTCTCTCGTCTGATTTTGTCTACTATACTTCATATAAGTGAAATCATATAGTGTTTGTTATTTTGTGACTGGCTTCTTTCTCCTAGCATGCCCTAGATATTCACTCATGTTGTAGTATGTGATAGAATTTCCTTCATTTTTTAGGCTGGATAATATTCCATTGTGTATATATACCACATTTTCTTCATCTATGCATTCAGTAGTGGACATTTGGGTTCCTTGCACCTCTTGGCTATTGCAAATAATGCTACAATGAACATGGGTGTGCAAGTATCTCTTTGAGATCCGGCTTTGAATTATTATGGATATATACTAAAAAAATGGGATTGCTGGATCATGTGATAATTCTATTTTCAATTTTTAAGGAACCCCCTTCCTGTTTTTCATAATAGCTGCACCATTTTGCATTCCCATCAACAGTTCACATGGGTTCCAATCTCTCCACGTCTTCACCAAAAGTTGTTATTTTCCGTTCTTTTGATAGCAGCCATCTTGATGGGTTTGAAGTGATATCTCACTGTGTCTTTTATTTGCATTTTCCTAATTATTAGTGATACTGAGCATTTTTTATGTGCTTATTGGTCATTTGTATATCTTCTTTAGAGAAATGTCTATCCAAGTCCTTTGCCATATTTTAATTGGGTTATTTGGCATTTTGTTATCATTATTAAGTTGTAGATGTTCCTTAAATAGTTTGAATATTAACACCTTGTCAGCTATGTGATTTGCAATTATTTTCTTCCATTCTCTCCTTTTCCCACTGGCATTTCACTCTGCTGATTGTTTCCTTTCCCACTGAGAAGTTTAAAGTTTTGCATAATCTCTTTTTAAAAATTTGTTGTCTATGTATGCTTTTGATGTTACATCCAATAAATTATTGCCATATCCAACATCCTGAAAGTTTTTACCTTTTTTCTCCTAGGAGTTTAATAATTTTAAGTATTAAATTTAAATACTTAATCCATTCTTAGTTACATTTTGTATATGATGTAAGGTAAGGATTTGACTTCATTCTTTTGCTTGTGAATATTCAGTTTTTACAACAATATTTGTTGAAGAGACTGTTATTTATCTATTATGTAGTCTTGGCACACTGGTCAAAAATCATTTCGTCATATAGCAGTGGTTTATTTATGAGCTACCTATTCTGCTCCATTTATTTATATATCTATCTTTATCCCAATACCACATTGTCTTAATTACTATTGGCTTTGAGATATGTTTTGAAATAAGGAAGTTTGAAATTTTCAACTTTGTCCTACTTTTTTCAAGTTTGTTTTGGCTATTCAGTATTCCTTGAAATTATGTATGAACAGTAGGATTTTTTTTCTATTTCTGAAAATGCCACTGGGATTTTGAAAGGGATTGCATTGACTCTGTAGATTGTTTTGGGTGGTATGGCTATTTTAACAATATTAAGTCTTCCAGTTCATGAACATAGGATGCTTTCCCATTTACTTATGTCTTCTTTAATTTCCTTCAGCAGCATTTTATAGTTTTCAGTGAACAAGTCTTTCTCCATCCCCTCAGTTAAGTTTATTCCTAAGTATTTCTTTATTTTTGATTTATAGTAAATAGGATTGTTTTCTTGATTTCCTTTTCAGATTGATCATTATTTGTGCATAAAAATGCAACTAATTTTTGAGTGCTGATTTTGTATTCTGCAACTTTACTAAATTTATTAGTTCTACTGTGTGTGTGTGTGTGTGTGTGTACTCTTTAGGGTTTTTTATATATAAGATTATGTCTTCTTTTACAATTTGTATTCCTTTTTTTTTTCTTGTTGAGTTGCTCTACCAGAACATCCAGTACCATGTTGAATAGTAGTGGCAAGAGTGGACTTATTTGTCTTGTTCCTTAACTAGGAGGAAAGCTTTCTCTGTTGAGTATCATGTTTGCTGTGGAATTTTTATATATGACTTTTATTATGTTAAGGTCTTCTTCTTTCCTAAAGAGATAGGGTCCCACTTTGTCATCCAGGCTGGAGTGCAGTGCCATAATAATAGCTCACTGCAGCCTTGAACTCCTGGGCTCAAGTTGTCCTCTTGCCTTAGCCTCCTTAGTAGCTGGGACTACAGGCATGCACCCTGTTGTCTGGCTACTTAAAAACTTTTTTTGGAGAGACAGTATCTCACTGTCTTGCTTAGAATGGTCTTGAACTCCTGGCCTCAAGTGTTCCCCCCACCTTAGCCTCCCAAAGTGCTAGAATTACATGCATGAGACTCCATGACTGTTCCAGAGGTAGATTTTTTTCTATTCCTTGTTGGTTGAGTGTTGTTGTTGTTGTTTTTTTATCATGAAAGGGGTTTGAGTTTTGTTAAATGCTTTCTCTGTATTGATTGAGATGACCATGTAGTTTTTGTCTCTTATTTTGTTAATGAGGTATAGTACATGTATTGATTTTTGTATACTAAACAGTCCTTGCATTCCAGGTATAAATCCACTTCGTCATGGTGTATGATCCTTTCAATGAGCTGTTGAATTCAGTTTGCTAATGTTAGGTTTAGTATTATTGCTTTAATATTCATCAGGAATGCTGGCCTGTAGGGTTTTTCTTTTTTCTTGCTGTGTCTTTGTCTGGTTTTGGCTACTATGTGCTCTTTTAAAATCTTTAAAGTTTTGATTTTCATATTTAGGTTTTTTTGTCTATCTAGTGTTTATTTTGTGGGTATGAGATAGAGATTGATATTATCTTTAGCTAAATGGTGTTACTTATTAAATAATCAAGAAACTCACCTAACACATAAGAACTCAAGTAAACTTAAGGTGAATGGATGAGAAAAGATATTTCATGCAAATGGAAACCAAAAGTGAGCAGGAGTAGCTATTCTTATATCAGACAAAACAGACTTTAAAGCAACAACAATTTTAAAAGACAAAGAGGGACATTATATAATGATGAAAAAATCAGTCCAACAGGAAAATATCATAATTCTAAATATATATGCACCTAACACTGGAGGTCCCAAATTTATAAAACAATTACTGCTAGACCAAAGAGATGAGATAGACAGCAACATAATAATAGTGGGGACTTCAATACTCCACTGACAGCACTAGCTAGGTCATCAAGACAGAAAGTAAACAAGGAAACCATGGACTTAAATCATACCCTAGAACAAACGGTCCTAACAGATATTTACAGTGCATTCTACCCAATAACTGCAGAATATACGTTCTTTTCATCAGCACATGGAACATTCTCCAAGATAAACCATATGATAGGCCACAAAACAAGTCTCAATAAATTGAAGAAAATCTAAATTATATCAAGTACCCTCTCAGACCACAGTGGAATGAAACTGGAAATTAACTCCAAAAGAAACCCCCCAAACTATACAAATATATGGAAATTAAATAATCTGCTCCTCAGTAGTCTTTGGGTCAACAATGAAATCAAATGGAAATTTAAAATTTCTTTGAACTAAATGATAATAGTGACACAATCTATCAAAACCTCTGGAATAAAGCAAAAGCAGTGCTAAGAAGAAAGCTCATAGCGTTCAATGCCTATATCAGAAAGTCTGAAAGAGCACAAATAGACAATCTAATGTCACACATCAAGGAAGTAGAGAAACAAGAACAAACCAAACTCTAACCCACCAGAAGAAAAGAAATTACAAAGATCAGAACAGAATTATATGAAATTGAAATTTAAAAAAATACAAAAGACAAATGAAACAAAAAGCTAGTTCTTTGAAAATATAAACAAAATTGATAAACTATTAGTGAGATTAACCAAGAAAAGAAGAGAGAAGAACACCTAAATAAGCTCAATTAGAAATGAAATGGGAAATATTACAGCTGATACGTCGGAAATACAAAAGATCATTCAAGGCTACTATGAACACCATTACACACACACAAACTAGAAAATCTAGAGGAAATGGATAAATTCCTGGAAATATACAACCCTCCTAGATTAAATCAAGAAGAAATAGAAACTCTGGACAGACCAATAGCAAGTAGAGATATTGAAACAGTAATAAAATAATTGCCAATAAAAAAAGTCCAGGACCAGATGGATTCATAACTGAATTCTATCAGGCATTGAAAGAAGAACTGGTACCAATCTTACTGAAACTATTTCAAAGACAGAAAAAGAGGAAATCCTCCTTAAATCATTCTATGAAGCCAGTATCGTCCTAATTTGAAAACCAGAAAAAGACAATAAAAATAGAAAATTACAGACCAATATCAGTGAGGAACACAGATGCTCAATATTTTTTGAGAACAAAATCCTCAACAAAACTCTAGCTAATGAAATCCAACAGCATATCAAAAAAAGAACACACCATGATCGAGTAATTTCATACCAGGGATGAAGGGATGGTTTAACATACCCAAGTGAATAAATGTGACACAGCACGTAAACAGAATTAAAAACAAAAATCATATGATCTCAATAGATGCAGAAAAAGCATTTGACAAAATCCAGCATCCTTTTATGATCAAAACCTGCCGCAAAATTGGCATAGAAGGGACATACCTCAAGGTAATAAATCCCATCTATGACAAACCCACAGCCAACATTTCACTGAATGGAAAAAAAGTTGAAAGCATTCCTTCTGAGAACTGGAACAAGACAAGGATGCCCACTTTCACCACTGCTATTCCACATTATACTGGAAGTCCTAGCCATAACAATGAGACAAGAGAAAGAAATAAAGCACATCCAGATCAGTAAAGAAGAAGTCAAACTCTCACTGTTTACCAATGACATGATCATATACCTAGAAAACACTAAAGATTCATCCAAAAAGCTCACATCTGATAAGTGAATTTTGGTAAAGTTTCAAGATACAAAAGCAACGTACACAAATCAGTAGCAGTGCTATACACCAACAATGACCAAGCTGAGAATCAAATCAAAATCTCAACCCATTTTACAACAGCTCCATACACACACACACACACACACACACACACACACCACTTTAGGAATATACCTAACCAAGGAGGTGAAAGATCTCTACAAGGAAAACTACCAAACACTGCTTAAAGAAAACATAGATGACACAAACAAATGGAAACACATCCCATGCTGATGGATGGGTACAATCAATATTGTGAAAATGGGCATACTGCCAAAAGCAATCTACAAATTCAATGCAATTCCCATCAAAGTACCATCATCATTCTTCACAGAACTAGAAAAAACAATCCTAAAATGTATATGGAACCAAAAAAGAGCCCACATAACAGAAACAAGACTAAGCAAAAAGAACAAATCTGGAGGCATCACATTACCTGACCTCAAACTATGCCACAAGGCATGGTAGTGGTATAAAACAGCATGGTACTGGTATAAAAATAGACATGTAGCCCAGTGGAACAGAATAGAGAATCCAAAAATGAAGGCAAATGCTTACAACCAATTGATCTTCAACAAAGCAAACAAAAACATCAATTGGGGAAAGAAAACCCTCTTCAACAAATGGTGCTGGGATAATTGGCAAGCCACATGTTGGAGAATGAAGCAAGATATTTATCTCTCACCCTATACAAAAATCAACTCAAGATGGATCAAAGACTTAAATCTAAGACCTAAAACCAAAAACATTCTAGAAGACAACATTGGAAAAACTCTTCTAGACACTGGCTTAGGCAAAGAATTCCTGACCAAGAACCCAAAAGCAAATGCAAAAAATAATAATAAATAAATAAATAAATAGATGGGACCTAATTAAACGAAAAGGATTTTCTGCACAGTAAAGGAAACAATCAGCAGAGTAAACAGACAATCCACAGAGCAGGAGAAAATTTTCACAAACTATGCATCCAACAAAGGACTAATACCCAGACTCTACAAAGAACACAAACAAATAAGCAAGAAAAAAACATAAACATAATCCTATCAAAAAATGGGCAAAAGACGTAAATAGACAGTTCTCAAAAGGAGATATACAAATGGCCAATAAACATATGAAAAAGTGCTCAACATCACTAATTATCAGGCAAATGCAAATCGAAACCACAATGAGATACCAACTTACTCCTGCAAGAATGGCCATAATTTAAAAATAAAAAATAAACTCTCAGGATACAAAATCAATGTGCAAAATCACAAGCATTCCTATACACCAATAATAGACAAACAGCCAAATCATGAGTGAACTCCTATTCACAATTGCTACAAAAATAATAAAATACCTAGGAATACAACTTACAAGGGATGTGAAGGACCACTTCAAGAACTACAAACCACTGCTCAAGGAAACAAGAGAGGACACAAACAAATGGAAAAACATTCCATGTTCATGGATAGGAAGAATCAATATTGTGAAAATGGCCATACTGCCCAAAGGAATTTATAAATTCAATGCTATCCCTATCAAGCTACCACCGACTTTCTTCACAGAATTAGAAAAAACTATTTTAAATTTCATATGGAACCAAAAAACAGCCCACATAGCCAAGACAATCCTAAGCAAAAAGAACAAATAAGAACAAATCTGGAGGCATCACGCTACCTGACTTCAAACTATGCTACAAGGCCACAGTAACCAAAACAGCATGGTACTGGTACCAAAACAGATATATAGACCAATGGAACAGAACAGAGCCCTCAGAAATAATGCCACACATCTACAACCATCTGATCTTTCACAAACCTGACAAAAACAAGCAACAGGGAAAGAATTCCCCATTTAATAAGTGGTGTTGGGAAAACTGGCTAGCCATATGCAGAAATCTGAAACTGGACCCCTTCCTTACACTTTATGCAAAAATTAACTCAAGATGGATTAAAGACTTAAACATAAGACTCAAAACCATAAAAATCCTAGAAGAAAACCTAGCCAATACCATTCAGGACATAGGCATGGGCAAAGGCTTCATGACTAAAACACCAAAAGCAATGGCAACAAAAGCCAAAATTGACAAATGAGATCTAATTAAACTAAAGAGCTTCTGCACAGCAAAAGAAACTATTATCAGAGTGAACAGGCAGCCTACAGAATGGGAGAAAATTTTTGCAATCTATCCATCTTACAAAGGGCTAATATCCAGAATCTACAAGGAACTTAAACAAATGTACGAGAAAAAAACAACCCCATCAAAAAGTACATGAAGGATATGAACAGACACATCTCAGAAGAAGACATTTATGCAGCCAGCAAACATATGAAAAAAAGCTCATCATTACTGGTCATTAGAGACATGCAAATCAAAACCACAATGAGATACCATCTCACGCCAGTTAGAATGGCGATCACTCAAAAGTCAGGAAACAACAGATGCTGGAGAGGATGTGGAGAAATAGGAATGCTTTACACTGTTGGTGGGAGTGTAAATTAGTTCAACCATTGTGGAAGACAGTGTGGCAATTTCTGAAGGATCTAGAACCAGAAATACCATTTGACCCAGCAACCCCATTCCTGGGTAGATACTCTAAGGATTATAAATCATTCTACTATAAAGACATGCACACATATGTTTATTGCAGTACTATTCACAATAGCAAAGACTTGGAACCAACCCAAATGCCCATCAATGATAGACTTGATAAAGAAAACGTGGCACATATACACCATAGAATATTATGTAGCCATAAAAAAGGATGAGTTCATGTCCTTTGCAGGGACATGGAAGAAGCTGGAAACCATCATTCTCAGCAAACTAACACAGGAACAGAAAACCAAACACCACACGTTCTCATTCATAGTAGGAGTTGAACAATAAGAACACATGGACATGTGTGAGTGGAACATCACACACCATGGTCTGTCAGGGGGTGAGGGGCTGGGGAGGGATAGCATTAGGAGAAATACCTAATGTAGGTGATGGGTTGATGGGTGCAGCAAACCACCATGGCATGTGTATCACTGTGTAACAAACCTGCACGTTCTGCACATGTATCCCAGAACTTAAAGTATAATTAAAAAAACAAAAACAAACAAACAACAACAAAAAAACAGATGTTGGCATGCATGTGGTGAAAAAGGGAACACTTACACTGCTGGTGGGAGTGTAAACTAGTACAACCACTATGGAAAACAGTATGGAGATTCTTTAAAGGACTAAAAGTAGAACTACAATTTGATCCAGCAATCCCACTACTGGGTATCTACCCCGAGGAAAAGAAGTCATTATATGAAGAAGACCCTTGCCCAGGCATGTTTCACAACTGCAAAATTCATAACTGCAATTCACAACTGCAAAAATATGGAACCAACCTAAATGCCAATCAATTAACAAGTGGATAAGGAAAATGTGGTACGTATATACCCATACATACATACCATGGAATACTACTCAGTTGTAAAAAGTAATGAAATAATGGAATTCACAGCAACCTGGATGGAGTTGGAGACCATTATTCTAAGTGAAGTCACGAAGATTGTCAGGCCACAATAAGGGGGTCAGTTAATGTGAAATCTCCTGATATTTTTGTAGTAGTATCAGCCTGAATGTATAATTCTGCATCTCTATTTGTACCTTTAGCCTAGTGCTCTAGACTAGTATTATCCAGTACAAATATAATGTGAGCCACAAAGGTGAACCACATATGTAATTTTAAATTTTCTAATAGCCACATTAAAAAAGTAAAAGAAGAAACAGATAAGATTAATTTTATTTATTTATTTGTTTTAGAGATAGGGCCTTGCTCTTTTGCCCAAGCTGGAGTGCAGTGGTGTGATCATAGTTCACTGCAGCCTCAAACTCCTGGGCTCAAGTGATCCTCCTGTCTCAGCCTCCCAACTCACTGAGATTACAGGCAGGAGCCACCATGCCCCACTGAAATTAATTCTAATATATTTCATTTAATCTAATATATCCAAATTATATCAACATATAATTAATATAAAAATTATTATTTTATCTTTTTCATACTAAATCTTTGAAATCAAGTGTGTATTTTACACTTACAGAGCATCTCAATTCAGAGGAGTCACATTTCACATTCTTAGTAGCTGCCTACAGATAGTGGCTATGGTTTTGAAAATGTATCTCTAGGCAATACTTTCTTGTTTTTTAAGAAACTAGGTCTTGCTCTGTCATTCAGGCTGAAGTGCAGTAGTGCAATCATAGCTTACAGGCAGGGGCAACCACGTGCAGCCTGACAATATTTTTTCCCCCATCTAACAGCAATGCGGTTCAGAGAACATTTTCTTAGTTTCGTGGTAAGGAGATTAGGTCAAACCAGAATTGGAAGTCAGGCTGTATCATGTCTGAGGATACTCATTTCACATATCAGTGAAATGAGTATGGCCTCATTTCACTGAGGCCATACTGCTATATAATTAAACATGACTGATACGATGAGACATAATAAATATTTCAGGTTGCCAGGTGAACTGAAAGAATTATAGGAACTGAAAGATAGAATGTTAGTCAAATACAACAAAATGTGAGTCACACACATAGAAGTTCAGTGAAAGATCTTGTAAATGGAGGCAGGTTAAGCCCCTTGCTCCTTTGAAAGTCTTGTTTTGATTTCTTTGCTTCTTTTAAAAATTCTTCATAATTCCCCTGGAAACTAAAGGATGTGAACATTAATGAAACTGATACATATAATTTCATTTCCTACAAAATACATATTTTTAGATGTTAGCACTTTGAAAGGGAACATCAGGATGCTAAACCATGACCTATAAATAACAGGCTATATTTTAAAATATAAAACAAACTGATCACAGCTTTTGAGAGGTTTCATCTTCCTGAATCTCCAATTATCTTCTGGTTCTGTTTCTAAGAGAGTCTTCAAAAGGAAAAAATAATAGCCTCAGGCAAGCATGTATCTATGGAGATAAACAGGCTCATATACATATCAGTCAAGGTACATACTTGTTTTGGGTATTTATTCCTGTATGTTGAACTCTGAAACTTAATGGCTTAAAAAATACCACCATTCTAGTTATCTGCTCGTGATTCTGAAATTTGAGCAGAGCTTAGTGGAGTGAACTCATCTCTGCCCTACATCGATTGCATCGACTGGCATGGCTCAATGGGGGCTGGAAGATCAAATCCCAAGAAGTTCTCACTCACATGGCAGGCAGTTGTTGCTGTTTGTTGACGAGGAACACAGCTGTGTCTGTTGACCAGCAGAGCTAAGAATGATAGGAACTGAAAGATAGAATGTTAGTCTATCTTAATGTTAGGCTCTCTAAGGACAGCCTTAGTTGTCTGTATGGCCTTTTCACATGACTGGGTTGGACTTTTCACAGGATGTTCAGATTTCTTGAATAACAGCTGGCTTCCCTCAGAGCCTGAGCACCGAAGTAGAGCTGCTGGCCTTTGTTAAGGGTTAGTCCTAGACTTTCAGAGTATCACAGTCTCAGCATTTTATTGCTTAAAGCAGGTCACAGGGCCAGGCCACGTGCAAAGGGAAAAACTTCACAAGAGCATGAATACTGGGAAGTGTGGTTCACTGAGATATAATAGCATCCACATTAGTAAACTCATTAATACAGCCCACTTCTCCTCTCAATAGATATTCTCACCTTTAAACCTCTGTTACCCTATTAGAATCAATAATTCTCTATACTGATGACAACCATGTTAGTATTTCAGCCTGTGGTTCCTGGCCAATACCCAAATTCTTATAAAAAGAGTTTCTTGGATACCTTTGTCTGAATATCTTGCTGATACCACTCACTCAACATTTGCAAACTGAGCTCCTGAATTCTTTTTTCTTTTTTTTGAAAAGGGTCTCATTCTGTCACCCAAGCTGGAGGGCAATGGCATGATCATGGCTCACTGCAGCCTCAAACTCCTGGGCTCAAGCAATCATCTCATCTCAGCTTCCCTAGGAGCTGGGACTACAGGCTCACATAACCATGCCCAGTTAATTTTTTTTATTCTTTGTAGAGATGGGATCTTGCTATGTTGCTTAGGCTGGTCTCGAACTCCTGGCCTTAAGTGATCCTCCTGCCTCAGCCTCCCAAAGTGTTGGGATTACATATTAATTGCCTTCTCTCTGTAGTATAGAAGAAACATACGTCATCTGTTTCCTTCTACTCTGAGCTTCCTTGGAGTTGGTGTGGTGCAGCCTGGGCTTTCAAAACAGACTTAGGCTGGAATTCCAACCGCGTCATTTTCTAGCTGTGCATCCTGGAAAAGTTACTTAATGTCCCTGTGGTTCAATTTTTTAAAAATTGACAACTTAAGAATATTAACACAATTACCTTCCTGGGTTGTAGTAAAAATTAAATAAGATACATAAAGTGTCCAATTCAACATTTGGCACATTGTACAGAAACCTATTCATTTTTGTTTTCCAGTGCAGTAGACTTAGGGTTGAGTGAATGTATCATTACCCTTCTTTGGAAAATCCTGGGAGTGCAAGATTCAGTTGTTTTCCATAACCGTTAGGCAGACCCAAAGTGTCTTGCCCCTAGATATGCATCTTTGAGTATGTTTTTCAGGCAGATCCTCCCTTCTTTCTGCTTACGTGATAAGCATGCTACAAGCGACTGGCATTCCCTGGCTCCTGCTGCATCTTTTCTGAGTTGCCATGCTTCCTAACTATGTGCAGGAGACACAGGCACACGGCCAATGCCCATTAAGTCATTATTAAGGCTGAGTCTCTATCTAGCTCCGTGGCTAGCTCTCCAGCATTGCTTCATATTTCCTCACCAAGCCAGCAAAGCCTGCACCCCAAAACCTCAATCCTAGTTGCTGACTCTCTGACCTCACCCCATGTGGGCACCCCCTCTCTCCTTCTGCTGCTGGAGGAACTTCCAAATATGATACCATGTGGGCACCCCCTGTTTCCTTCTGCTGCTGGAGAAACTTCCAAATGTGATACCAACCAAGTCTGCAGGACCATTCCAGCCTCTTCCTGGAGATCAGCATTCCAGATTCGAAAAGGCCCAAACTCCACAGCAAAGTCTGTGGGAACTTGCTTTTTCCTCTTTTTCTGCTGCCCTACATTTTTCTATCTTTTAGAATTCACAGGGGTTCAAAAACATACATTAGATTAACAATACTGATAGTTTAAACACAGCATAGTGGTTGAGAAGATAGGCTTTAAATTTGGATAAAGCTAGACTTGAATTTAATACCACAATTTACCACTTGTGTAATGTTGGCTACTTACTTAAATCTATTTTTCTATCTAAAGATGAGAATGATAGTATTCTATAACACAGAGTTTGCATCATTTGGTTCCAAGTAAAGCAATATGACTTCAGTGGCTTAAACAGAAAGAAGTATAGTTTCTCTCACTTAACGAGAGCTCTGCAAATGGTGGCTAACTGTGTTGAATTAGTACCTCAATGCTATCTCCCAGTTCTTTTGACCTTTGCCTCATTCTTATTGCCTCATGTTTGCAGAATGGCTGATGTAGCTCCAGATATCACATTTATATTCAAAGAAACCATATCTTTCCTTTTATCAAGAAGATAGAAGGATTCTCTGTGGTCTCTGTACTAGACTTCCTGTTAGCCAGAAACAGGGCATATGACAATTCTTTAGAAAAGAGCTGGGAGATTGGGGAATTGTTATCATTATTGGTTTAGACCAACCAGAATTCATATCCTGGGTTGGGAACATTGCAGCTCAGAAAAAAAAAATCAGGCTTTTGTTACCAAGTAAGAGGTAGGTTATGGCTAAATTGTGGGTAACCAATAGGGGTTTGGTTTGACACAGGGTTGTAGTATTAAATTTAATAATATTTGTAAAGTTCTTAGTATAGTGCTGGACTTTTACATAGTGTTTAATAAACTGTGGCCATTATTATAAATAAAATTGCCAAATTGGTTGGCCATGCTCTAGATCTAGTTATTTTTAAATACAGTATTTATAAAATTATAAAATTCATGAAACTCAGCTCTACTGATTTCTTGGAGAGTGCACTGCATCCTCGTTAGCTCAGATTTTGCTTTCTTTTTTTCTTTCGTGGCACAAATATTCATTCAGTACCAACTTTGTGCCAGGTGTAAGCACAGGTACAAGTCTAGCCTTCTCCCTGACACTATGGGATCCCCAGGCCTCAAAATTTAATTTCTATGCCATTTATGCCCATGTTTCTCATGCTGGAGCCTCAGGCCCAAGCCTCTGCAGATCCATGGTGCTTCCTCTTTTTCCACAAAATCAGAAACCAAAAGGATGGTTCTTAACTTGGTTAAGCATAGCACGATAAACTATTGTCAAGCTCACAACTTCACTTTGAGGTTTTGCGATCACCTAAATGTAAATTCAAATGAAGCAGACATCAGCAAAGGTACTAGGGAACTCTTTACAAAGCTCACACTTCTCAGGGATACCAATTCAAAAGCTCTCCAGATTCTGCCATCTCATCATTACTCTCATTAGACATTTGCTGATTACGGGCTATGAGTCAGCTGACCTTCCTGTGTTGAACCCAAGAACACTTTACATTTGTAGGGCTATTTCAAAGCCAGTCCTCATTTTTAGAAGCACTGAGGTCCTCAAGGCAGGTTGCATTATCCTGAATTTATTAATAAAGGTACTAGGACCCATAAAGGGGTCTGTTCACAGTGCCAGGAAATTTGTACACATTCTCTCATTTAATCCTCACACACTGACAGTTAGGTAATACTATTGCTAATTTACAGATGAGAAGTCTGAGGCCCAGAGAGAGTAAATTACCTGAGGTCACACAGATAGTCAATGGCAAAGCCACAGCTGGAACTAAAGCCTTCAATTTTCAATCCCCCATACTTCCCCCTGTGCCATACAGTGCCTCACTACATGCATTCTTTGGAATACATATCTATGATGAACCCTTTTATGTGGTCTGAGTAAAAGTTTTATAGAGAAAAATGTAATTCAAGCTATAGTTGTTTGTGGATTTAAATTGCCTATATTTTCTATCATTGCACTTATAGAAATTACAGAATTCCATATCTACTATACCTATGCTACAATTCTATTTTCTTTTTTTTCTTTCTTCCTGACAACTCACACCCTCTCCACTGCCACCAGCATCATTTTTTGCTTCTTTTTGCTACAGGAGAGGAAGTTATTAAAGGGTAACATTAAAACAAGCTTAACAACCTTATTGCAAGGAATCACTAAAGCAATATTAGCGTTAGTCCTAAGGGCTGATTACCTTATCTCAACTTTCTCCCCAAGGAGAGACAAATACCAAGGAGATATCAGGAAGAATATTGTCCCCAGTAAATACCAAGTCACATCAGGAAGAATATTGTGGAGAGAGAGGTAAAGAATCAGGATGGAAACAGAAAATAGGCCGAACAATGGCCAAGCGTCAAAATCCTACGTCAGGTAATTATTAGGGGGAAGTGAAACAAAACACATCCTGAAATGGAGATGAGACAGGCTCCTGCTTCCCTTCACCTTGTCTTTGATATAGAGATTGAAAAACAAGAGTGTGACCTCTCTCGGAGCTCCGGAGGCCCTCTGCTTGGGATGTCCTAGAGGATCCTCTGCCCAGTGTAGGGTAGAGGGAGGGATGATAAATAATTGACCATTTACTAAAGTTCCAGGCACTTAATAAGAGTTAATTTACAGAATCCTTAAATAATTCTTCAAGGCTAGTATAATTGACCAAATATTACAGATGAAGAAACTGAGGCTCATAGAGGTCTAATAGTTTGCTCAATACTATAAGTGGTGGAAGTGATATTCAAACCCAGATTCAGCCTAAGACAGCTCTCCAAATAGCTGTAATTTATTGCCTCATTTGTGCAATTGATCTTTGGATCTAAGGATAGGACTTTACATTGATCCCTCTTATGCTGTGGGAGTCAGTGTGTCAAAGTAACTTTGACTGGGCTTGTCAGTCACGTAGGTAACTCTACATACTAGATTTTCATCATTGAAAAATTTTGTATAAATAAAAATAAATGCCATTAAATTAACACAACAGTGAAGCACTCAACAGTTGACATAGCACTTTGATATATAGTTATTGACAACTCCTCTTTTTTCACACCTTGTGCTAAGTTATCACTTCGTCTTTGGCAGCTGAAAGAAATAAGATACTTAAGTATAGCCATAGGTTGTTACAATTGCTACAATTTGAATTCACTCTGTTCTATGCTCAACTGCATTGTTACTGTCTACCTCGATCTGACCAAATTGCAAGCATTGCCCCTTTCCACTTCCAGTGCATTAGGAAAACTTAAAGGAAGCCCCTGTATCAGGTCACTCTGATAGATTCTGAAATTATATCCTGTACACTGTCTCATCCCACTAGAAAATTGTGCATCATGTCACTGCCATGTTAGAAAAATGGGGCTTACCTGAGTCAATACACAAGAGAAATATCCAGCAGATATGCTAACACTCTACAGCCTCACATGGAAATTCTCTCCCTTTTGAAACCTTAGTCCAAGGGTTCTTGCCAGAAAATTCAGGCCTGCTACCCATGAATATCCTAGTCTTCCTGTGACTATGAGTGTCCTCCAGTCTTTCTGAAAAGCAGAGCCACAAGGCCCTGTGAGAAAACATTTTAAATGGTCAATTTTCAAGGCATGATAAATCTAAGTACTGGCAGCCAGCCTGCAGATGTAACAAACAGCATGCATGCATCTAGAAGGTCACGATATGTAAACAGAATGTAGAGGAGGGGTCAGCCCATAAAAGGGAAGAAAGTTTCGTTATTGGGAAATCAAAGCTTAAGCAGGAAGGGGACCAGGGTATAACCTTATAAGGGGGATGATTAAACTTAGGCGACGTCCAGGAAGATTGTAACCCCATAGTACTTGACCAATGAGGAACTGGGGGAGGGATTTGCATGCTAGGAGGTAAATTACCTGCTGTAACTGCCCAGGGTGTACCTGTCTACCAGACACCCGATCTTGCAAGACCCCCATCAAAAGTCTCACTTCGGCTACTCTTCATGTCTCGGAGTCCATTCTTTGGGTTTGGATGGGTGAATATGTGTTTCTCACAGCACTGTCTTTGTTTCTTCCCAGGACAGTGCTAGGACTGCTTTTTTCTATATCAGACACGTGGGCTCCTGCTGTGTCTTCCTGGAAAGCAGAGGCCAAGGATGGAGCAGACCAAGAGGATGCCAGGAAAAATCACAAAGAAGCCCAGAAAGCACAGCTGGAAGCCAAGAACCCTATTTTTGGTTTGTGTGGGTGGAAGGTGAGGGACAACATATAGTGACCAACAGGATTCTTCATTTGAAAGAGAATGGAGTACATCAGACCTGTGTATTTAGGTGAAGTATGATAAACATCATCATACTTCAAAGATTATGAACATCAAAGATTATGGAAAGGAACATGACTGCTTAGTTTATTCCATTACCAGTGATCTGCTTGTTTGTTCATTTGCTTACCCATCCATTCATTTATTCATTCATTCCTCCATCCATTCTCTTTCACTTATTCTACAATCATGATTGTATGCCTACCATATCGCTAGAGAGAGGGCAGGAAAAGATCCAAGGATGTGAATACAATCTTCTGCTTCATGATGAGAGCTAAAGGAATCTGTAAAGACTTTGTCTTTTTCATTTTTCTCTCTCCTACATAGACCCTGGAAAATGTTTTATTTCTTATAATTTGCCTGAGGTTTACTCATCCACTACCAGAGCTCTGAAAACACTCTTCAGAACACTATTTTAAAATAATGACAATGACAATAATAGATAACATATATTCAGTGTTTTTTGTATGTGAAGCAATGTAATAACCATTTAAAATGATTGTAACTATACTTTATAAGAGTATGATGAAACAGGCACTATTAAAATGCTAGTTTTTCACACAGCTAATATGAGAGAGAGCTGGGATTTGGAGCCTCCATTCATGGCCATTATATGGTCTGTCTAATGAATGAAATGTTTGACCTTAGAGAAAACTTGAAATGCATAGTTTTCTTTGCTGACTTGAATGATATAAGTTTAAAAATCCGATAGTGGTTGCTAGTTGAAAATTCCTATTCCTTGGGAAACTGTTGAAAGTCTGTTTAGTACTAACCCCCCTCATTAATGGCCATTTGCAAAGCCAGGCCAAGTTTAGTCTTCTACCAGCACTGAAGAAACACATTTTTACCCAGAAGAAATGAGGGTGAAATCCTCTGATAACTGGAAGATGCTGGATGTTCTGGAAAGAAAAGTAATTTTTTTTTCAATCTCTGGAAATTGCTTTTTTTGTTTTAAGTAAGGGTGGCTCAGTAGATGCTAACAGAGAAGCTGGGATCAGCTAATCTGGAGAAGATTCTGAGAGAATGAGTTGGGGAAGCTCACACTGAGAAAATGAGAAGATTGGTAGGAAGGGCGGTTTCTTGCTGTGTCCAAGAACAGGAATTGAGAAATGGTATTAAGCTGAAGGTGAGAGGGGAACAAAGAAGACTTTGAAAGTTGCATACAGGTTTGAAACAAAGTATACCACAAGGAATGGGAACATGTAGAGCTGTTTTAAAAATGTTTCTGTGTTTGTGTGAGTGTGTGTACTAGATATATTTTTAAAATGACTTTTCTCGGAATTACATCATACTTTGAAGATCAGCATAGGAAGTGAAGAAGGAACAAATATTCACTGAGAGCATTCACTAAGGGCCAGGAGCTCCCTGAATACCACATATGCCACCGCTCTCTCTTGTGATCCTGAAGGTCTGTGAGGCAGTTATCACTATGTATGGTATATTTTCAAAGAAAGCAAATAAAACCCAATGTGACTAAGAAAGATGCTAAAGTCATACAGCTAATTAGCTGTGGGTCCAGGATTCAAACCAGTGCACCCAGCACATGGTCTTCAATAAATATTTATTGAGCAGTGAATACATGAATGAGTAAATAAGATGAAGCAAGCAAGCAAGCAGGTAGGCTTGTCTAACCCAAGTGTTCATGTTCTATCCTCTGTACTGGTGGTTTTTAAATTGTGTGCCACAAAGGCCTTGGGTAACATGAGGAGGGTTAGTATGAGTGGCTGTCTAGCAGCATGGGGCCCCAGGCTCCCTATCTCTACTCCAACCAGGGCATCTCTGCTTCTGTTTGTGTTAAACATTGGGCTTTTGCCTGAGGTTTCATTTGAAGAAGAGGGCCTTCTTCTAGAAAGTGTTTATTACTCCTGCCCCATGCCGTGTTCCCTCCTAAGTATGCATTATGAACTAGTTAAGTTTAATAAAGACATATATTACTGTAAAGTTGGAATTTATACCAGTGTCTGAATTCCAGTAGCAGCCCCCATATCTTGGTAATCGAAAGCCAACTGTTTCTAATATCCGGCATGCTGCTGAGGCCATTAACAATAGATGAGCCATCTAGGGCATTATGGCTAGCAGCCGGGACTACAACTTCAAGCTGTCTAGGTTCAACTGTGGCTCTGCCATGACCTGGTGAAATCTCAGGTAAATGATTCGACCTCTCCACACTTTAGCTTCCTCATCCATGAAATGTGATAGCTACCTTATACAGCATGGAAACTTTGTGCTCCAGTAATATGAATGGGCTCACTATAGCCAAGTGCACTTAGTTCCCTTGATCTCACGTTTTTGTTTATGCTGGCTCCCAACTTAATGTGGTCTTCTCACTTTTCATCTGACTGTGAAAACTCCAACCAAAGGTACTTATATTCCTCCCACTCAATAAATATGATGGCCTTGGTGTCAGTAAGGCGACATGTGAAGAGAGATATCAGTCTGGCTTGCCATACATTACAAGAATTTGCAGGCTTACCCTGACAGTCCTAGTCCATGGGAGTGGGTGATGGGGTACTATTGTGTCACTGTCCGGGGTCCTGAATAATTAAAGAGTGCACAGTGGCTTTTACAAGAATACTAAGAATTATTTATTTGTTAAGGTAACACTATCTGCTGTAGTAGGTAACCCTCTCTACCCCCAAATCTGAGTAGCTTACCATATTAGAAGTCTTTTCCTGTTCTCATAGGGTTCCATTGGTGCTGGGGGTGAGGAGGGGAGGTGGTAAAGGGGTTTGTTCCACACAACCATTCAGAGATTCATATTGATGAAGACGGCCATCTTCAACATATAGTTTCCAGAGTTGTTCTGGGCTCAGTATTTAGACTCCAGGTGGTATATCAGAGGAGAGAAGGAGAGTAGAGAACTGTGTGGCAGATTTTTATGAACCAGATCTAGAAGGGACATTCATCACTGTCACTGGGATGCTGTTAATTAAAACTCGAGCATACAACCATTCCTAAGAATAAAAGAGGCAGTGGGATGTTGCTTATTTGTGAGTTCATTGGAAAATCACTAGCTTGTTTTTGCCACAAAATATTTTTTATGTTGTTACCCAATACCCCCCCCCACTGAGACACACACACACACTCAACACAAATACAACTAGAGCAAAAAATTCATTAAATAATCCTCTGTGTGTGATATAGTCTCATAGTTTCTATTCTATTTTATTGTTTTAAAGTGCTGTCATGACCCATTAAACTGTTATTATGGCTGAATGAGTTTTGACTTATTGTTTGGAAAACACTGCCCTAAGGTATAACTGTTTCTCGTAATCTTAGACAGTGAGATATTGCTAATGAGGAGGAAAACTTCTCTTTTAAAATCATTTTCAAATAATTGCCATTTCTAATAAATAATTCGTAATCATCCGTGGGTAGAATATTAAAATAAAGTTGTTAAGAAATGGAATATTAATTAATAGAAAACCAGGAAGACTTCAGTCCAATATGGACAAGCAAGATCTGCTGGCAAACGAGGAAAATTGTGTAGGGATTTGAGACAGGCCAAATAAATAGCATTACTTTTTTCCCATCTGAGTTTGGAACCACTGAGAAATAGAGAAGAAAAAGCAGATGGGCATTCAAATACTGGCTTTATTACTGATAAAGTTAATAATGAAAAATATGGCTTCCTAATCCTAAACCTCAAACAGAGCTTACCTGCCCAGCCACAGGCAGTGCTAAGCAACTTCAGGCCTCCTGATTGCAGCCTGCCCCTGAAAAACTTACAGTATGAAGGAGCAAACAGGAATGATGAGTAGACCCCCCAAAATAAGAGGCCAGTACTGACCACACTTTGACAGCCCCTCATCCCATAATCACAATTTAGATCACTCCTCCTCCCCCTAAGGAGTTTGAATGCGAGGGTGGGGAAGTGTGACGGATGCCTCTCACAAGAAGCCAAGGGAGAGAAAGCTCTCCCCCATAAACACCACCAGGCAGAGATGGCATGACAGCAATGTCATTATCAAATGAAGCCTATCAAAGTGCTATTCACTTTTCTCTGCTATTTTCTAGAAAGACAATACATTTGCAATTTTTAGACCATCTTAAGCAAATGGAACAATGATTTTTCAAAACTCACATATCTGATTCCATAGGCTTTTGTGGTTCTATGCTATTTCCGAGAATGGGACATGTCATTCCTTCAGGAAGATAAGTAGCGTACATGCCACATTCCCTCCCCTAACCCAGGTGCTGTATTTATGCCTTTCTGTTTTAGTTATGGTTTAGGATTTTTAGTTTAGGGTTTCTCATAATCTACTGGCTTACAATGATATCTCACAGCTTCTACTAACCCAAGCAATTCTTACGTTGGTATCTGTGGGCATCGAGTTTCTTCTTATCTAACTCTGCCTCTTAATGTTCCCAGCACAGCGTTTTGTACATAATAGATTCTGGAACAGTCTTCCCTCAGATCATCACAGAACAGGGTTCCTCTCATGATTAAGCTCAAATATCACCTCCCCAGAGAGTCCTTTCTTGACCACCCAAATGGAAGTAGCTGCAACCCCCAAAATTATGGCATCAATACTTTTATATGCTCATAGCATATCATAATCTTTTTTCTTTTTACTTATTTGCTTGTTTATTTTCTGGCTCTTCCCACTAGAATATACATGCAATAGGAGCAGGTACTTTGCCTGTTAATCCCCCTCTTTTACTCTCAGTGCCTACAGCAATACCTGGCTCATGGATAAAATTTATACAATTTTAAAATGAATGAATAAATGCATAATAAAATTGAAATTGGCATTTCCCCAACTTTTACCCCCTTCTGGATAGAGAGGGAATGTTAGGTGAGGACTCATGAGAGGCTAGTTAGACAGAGGGAGAGAAGAAAAACTTGGCAAATGCTGGGTGTTTGCCTCAAAAATCTCTGTTAGTTTTGGCAGCTACTCAAAGAAAGACACAGCACAGTGGCCCTGCAGCACTTGACTTTTCTGTAATAGCTCTTCAGTAATAAGAAGAAAACAACATGCTTGTTATTTAGCAGGCAATTCTTTAGGTCAGAGAGAAACAACCCTACATCATTCTTATTCCAAAAAGACCTGGCTGGGCAGGAGAGGAGGCCCCAAGGTCTGTGGGGCTCTGAAAAGCTACCCTTTTCAAGCGATTTTGCCTAAAATATTTAGCAGGCAATTATTTAGGTCAGAGAGAATCAACCCTACATCATTCTTATTCCAAAAAGACCTGGCTGGGCAGGAGAAGAGGCCCCAAGGTCTGTGGGGTTCTGACAAGCTGCCCTTTTCAAGCAATTTTGCCTGATTCAGCATAGGGAGTCCAGTTTATAAAGTTGATGAATGAGGTTTGTTTAAAAAAAGAGTCATGCCCTTATCTATATAGCAGGGAAGCCCATTCCCAGTAGACCTGAATTCAGCTTATAAGCTTGCCTGGGCTAGCTTATGTGGCAAGTGATGCAGAAAGAGCTTCAGTGATGGAATATTTGCCACCTCTCCCACACCTCCACCCACTGGGTAAAGTTCTGTTCTGCTGGTTGACCCTGGGACATTATTATTCAGATTAGGATGATGAATAGTGAGAATGACAAGAGAAACTGGATGGACATAATGTATTTACCTCTAAGCTTGCAGAGAGTTATAGGAAAAGGGATAAACAACAACAACCAAAAAATAAAATAAAATAAAATAAAATTTAAAAACCCTGTACAGGTTGTGTTTATGAGTTTGGGAGACTTCAGAATGAGGAAGGAGAGAAAGTAAAAGAGAAGATGCCATACAGGTTAGAGAGAAAAGGCAAGTTTATAACTTGTTTTCTAAACATTTGTTTCATCAAGATATTGCATAAAGTTTAAACTATTTTAATTCATTTTGGGATTACAGACTCTTGTTTCCTTAAGTGTGACCCCAAGTCAAAAGGAAGCAGTTGAGATACAAAAAAAAATGCTGCAGAGTAAGAAGGATTGCCTGGGATTTTCTCCAGGACAGAGTTCGTGATACTATTCTTTTTTTTTTTTTTTTAATTTTTGAGACGGAGTCTCACTCTGTCGCCCAGGCTGGAGTGCAGTGGCGCAATCTCAGCTCACTGCAAGCTCCGCCTCCCGGCTTCACACCATTCTCCTGCCTCAGCCTCCTGAGTAGCTGGGACTACAGGCGCCCGCCACCGCACCCGGCTAATTTTTTGTATTTTTAGTAGAAACGGGCTTTCACCGTGGTCTCGATCTCCTGACCTCGTGATCCGTCCGCCTTGGCCTCCCAAAGTGCTGGGATTACAGGCTTGAGCCACCGCGCCCGGCCCCATGATACTATTCTTAATAAAT
Organism: Homo sapiens; assembly: GCF_000001405.40. NCBI lineage: Eukaryota > Metazoa > Chordata > Mammalia > Primates > Hominidae > Homo > Homo sapiens. The sequence continues at coordinate 94,285,286 of NC_000011.10, forward strand.
TGTTGTTAAATGAAATCTTATTCTAGCTGGAAATTATTATATTTTGAGCACAGATGATCTCCATCTCTTTCTCTTCATTTGAAGTTTCTTGATGTCTTAGTTCTAGAGACAAAATGTTTTGGCCAACGGCAGTCTTGCTACTTAGAGATCCAAGTGACCTTCAAGCTGGGCCACTTATGATACAACTTAAAGCAATTTCTTATTTCATTTTTGCCAATGATAGCTTGTACTCCAAATTTCATGAAAGGAGGCGATGATACTACTAGAAATTTTTTTTTAAAGCAGAGAAAGTTTGTATGTTAAGAATCCTTGCATGCAAATGGCAGAAATCCAACTCGAAATAGAGTGGGTAGAAAAGGCAATGTATTTGACCGTATTGAGTATCCCATGAAAGAGTGGGGAAAATCAACGGTACTTCTAGTTTTGGAAGACTAAAACCAGGGAATAAAATTCTGTCAGAACCTCTCCTTCCCGTCTCATATCAGTGCCTTTTTTTTCTGCACATCAGCTCTACTCTTTCTCATTTCATCCTCCCTCATTAGAAATTGAATTTATCTACATGACAGAAAATATGAGCATAGTTTTAGCTATCGCAGACAGACTGTCTCAGTCAGTTTGGGCTGCTATAAAAGAATACTATAGACGAGGGGGATCCAACAACAGAAATTTATTCCTCACAGTTCTAGAGGCTGAGAAGGCTAAGATCAGGGTGCCAGCATGATCAGGTCCTGATGAGAGCCTGATTTGCAGATGGCCATCTCCTCTTGTGATCACATTTCAAAGAAGAACAGAAAAGAGAGAGCAAGCTCTCATGTCTTTTTTTCTTTCTTTTTTTTTTCTTGATGGAGTCTCACTCCATCACCCAGGCTGGAGTGCAGTGGCACAATCTTGGCTCACTGCAACCTCTGCCTCCCAGGTTCAAGTGATTCTCCTGCCTCCGCCATGTCTTTTTTTTTTTTTATAAGGGCACTACTCCTATTCATGAGGGCTCCACCCTCATGACCTAAATACTTTCTAAAGGCACCACATCCAAATACCATCACACTGGGGATTTAGGCTTCAGCATATGAATTTGGGGGAACACGAAGGTTCATTCCATAGCAGAGACTAACCTGATATATTTAATCTCATGTTGAAAAATCCAGGGAAAGATCTCACTGGCCTAGCCTGGGTCAGGCATTATCCCTATAAACCAAAAAATTATGCCAGTGGGAGGGTCTTGAAAGGATACAGCAGCCCCTCCATATAAAGGAAGTTGAGAGAGAATCAGACCCCTGAATAAGGGGATTACCAACTCCCAAAGCAGGGGAACATGTGGACAGGTAAAGCAACAGGCATTAATCACAGGGTGAGGATAGAGACTGAGAGTGAAAAAAAAGAAGGCCCACTGCTAGTCCCTGCTCCTGCTTCACAGACTGAGAAACCAATGCCCGTGAAGACAGATTATTCAAAGAGGGGACTTCCGGATTTTCACCAAGGGAGGATATATATAAATGAATCATACCAGAGTATTAAGAATTTCATTCAAACACAAACCAATAATAATAGCATGCATTAAGAGAGGATAGGGGAAAAAGTAAGCCCTTTCTTATTTTCTGTTATCTGAATGGCAAGATGAAGTGAAGTTCCTTCAAAAAAGTGGTCCTCTAAATGTTCATGAACCTAAGAATCACCTGGGGGAGCATGTTAAAAGATGAAGATTCTTGGGCTGATTTCTCATCAGAAACCATGGAGGCCAGGAGGCAATGGGATGACATATTTAAAGTGCTGAAAGGAAGAATATTACTGGGGTCTGCCCCAGGTCTGTTGAATCAGAATCTGAGGGATAGAGCACATAAATCTTTATTTTAACAAATGTCTCAGGTGATTCTGCTGCAGGAGTTCTTTAAATAAACTCTAGAGAAACTACTCCAGAAAGAAATCTCTCCTCTCCTGAAAGTTGGCTGGCTTTCTCTATTCAGTGCCAGAACTTGATACTTTGATACCTTTGTGACCAAGGTGCATTAAAACAAAATAAAGAATCAAAAGATAGAAAGAACACTAGATGATAGATAGACATACAGATAGATAAAGAAATAAATAGGTAAAATAAAACCTATGAAAGTCTATAATTTTTAAAAATAAGTCACAGAAGTGAACAATTTACAAAGTAACAACAACAAAAATAACAAGATCTCACTCTGTCACCCAGGCCCCATCTCAAAATGACAAAACAAAAACAAAACAACAAGAGCTAATATAATGCTTATGATATGTCAGGTGCTATTCTGGGCACTGTTTATGAGCTGACTTTTCATCTCAAAGCCATATTATGAGGTAGGTCCAAGAAGGAACTACTAATTCAAGCATAAAAAAATTATTTAAATTTTCTACGTTTTCAATATTGTATCAGCAAAGATTTTAAAATACTAGTGCTCACTGCCTGGGGAGTTTTGATGTTGTCATTCTTAAACAATGCTGATAGGAATATAAATTATTTCCTAACACATAAAGAATTTTTAAAAAGTTGACTTGACAATATCACTTCTAGAAATCCTCAAAATCCAGACAAATCTATCTTGTAAGCAAATATTTGCATACAAGAATGGTTATCATGGTTTTACTTACAATAAAAAACTGGAAAGAACTAAATGGTCAACTCTAGGTAAATGATTGAATACATTATGGTATATTTATATGTAACATTAAAAATAACATTGAAAAATACACACAATCAAAACAGGATGAAAATATGAACATGGCCTAAAATTAAGAGCTTCTTACAATGTACCCCAAGGTAATTCAGGAAACCATAGAATCTAGGTTCAAAAAGAATTTAGTGAAGAGACATCACTAAAAATGGTGGAGTAAGGACAATGACCCCCAAGATGATTCATTAACTCTTCTTATGGACTCTAAGGACCTTTCCATGGACCCCCAAGGTGATTCATGAAATTATAGAATCCAGGTTCAAAAACACTGGAGGATAGATGTCACCAAAAATGGTGGAATAGGGAGCCCTAAGGACCTGTTCCTCCACTGAAGCAAATGTTAAGCTAGTGAAAGCTGTTAAACTATTTTGGAATGTGAGAATCTAATAAGAAAAAACTTACAACAACCAGGAGAGTGCTTAATAAAGAGGAGACTTCTAAATTTCAGTAAGAAATTGTGTGGCATTTTTGCTTATCCACCTATCACCCCCTATACCCTAGCTTGGTGGTGGCCAATAGGAATGGTGGCCATGTTCCTGGTGGTTTAGTTGCTAGTGCCAGAAAGATCAGTACAGACCTTGTTATCAATAAATTGTGGTTGTGCATGCATTTTAACCTTTTTGGCAGTTCCTCGAGAGGCTGGCTTAGAGAACTGCCTTTGTTTTTACCCCACTTTGAATTCTCTCATGACTGGAGGCCTCCTGGACAGCATTTGTCAAAAGCACATAAGGACATTATACAATGGACAGCCACCTGGAGAAAGAGGTGGAGAATGGGACAAGCAGCAGACAGACCAAAAATCCTGGGAATGAGGAGCCTGAGGATCAAGATAAATGGGGAAATTAGGACTTTGAAGGACTCCTGAATATATCAGGGAATCCAGACAGCCATGTGCATGCTCCGAATAAATGTTCAGAAAGATCTGGGATGATTCGGTGCTTGCATCTCTGGCTGATCTTTCGGCCCTGCAGAAGCAGGAGGATAAGGGTTAAGACAGAGTTGTTGGTGGTTTGGCTAAGCATTGAATGCTCCAGCTCAAAAATAATCTGCAAAGACTGCAGATGCCACTAAGTATTTTTCATTTTATTTTTGGTTCCAAGCATTTAAGTAAGTGTCTCTCAGGTGACTGGCTAACTGCTAAGACATAACAGTGACCATACATAAGAAGAAATACAATCTTTGCCAAATTCTTTGGAAAAGTTACTAAACAAATGGATGGCTGCAGCCCAAAACAAACAACAGTAGCCAATTATTGGAAAGGGAGATAATCTGACTTCCAGAGTTACAAACATGCAAAAAATTATGAACATGCAAAGAAACAGAAAAGTATGACCCATTCACGGGAAGAACAAGAAAGAGACATTGACAGAAGCTTTCCCTGAGGAAGCTCAGACATTGAACTTAGCAGGTAAACACTTTAAGTCAACTGTCTTAAAGATGCTCAGATAACTGGGGGAAACTATGAAAAAGAACTAAAGAAAACCAGGAAAATGATGTCTCAACAGAGAATATCAATAGACAGAAAGTATAAGAAGAAACCAAATAGAAATTCTGGAGGTGAAAAGTATAATAGCTACTTTTGTCAAATTCACTAGAGGAGTTCAACAGAAAATTTGAGCATGCAGAACAAACACGCAGTAACTTGAGGAATGGTTCATTAAAATTATCCAGTCTGAGCAAGAGGGAAAGTTCAAAGACAAAGGAGAGAGAATCATGATTAAGTTTAGCTGGATGGGTCAATTGGCTTTATACAGGAAGATGGCCACGTTTTCCATTGCATCAGAAAGTAAGTGGGAAAAGAATGCTAAGTAGAGATAGATGATAACACCGTAATAAGCCTACAAATTAGGGAAGGGTGAAAAATAAAATAATTCGAAGACAAAAAAAATTATCCAGTCTGAGTAGAGAAAAGAAAAAATAATAAAGAAAAGTAGTCCTAGCCAAAGCAATCAGACAATAAATAAAGGGCATCCAAATCAGTAAGAAGAAGTCAAACTGTCGCTGTTCACCAAAGACATGATTGTATACCTAGAAAACCCTAAAGACTCATCCGTAAAGCTCCTAGTTCTGATAAATGAATTCAGTAACGTGTGAGGTTACAAAATCAATGTACACAAAAGAGTAGCACTGCTGTACACCAACAATGACCAAGCTGAGAATTAAATCAAGAACTCGATCCCTTTTAAAACAGCTACCAAAAATAAATAAATAAATAAGAAAAGAAAGAAAGAAAGGAAAAACACCTAGGAATATATGTAACCAAGGAAGAAAAAGATCTCTACAAGGAAAACTCCAAAACACTGCTGAAAGAAATTATCGATGACACAAACAAATGGAAACACATCCCATGCTCATGGGTGAGTAGAATCAATATTGTGAAAATGGCCATACTGCCAAAAGAAATCTGCAAATTCAATGCAATTCCCATCAAAGTATCATTATCATTCTTTGCAGAACTAGAAAAAACAATCCTAAAGTTCATATGGAACCAAAAAACAGCCTGCATAGCCAAAGCAAGACTAAGAAAAAGAAAAAATCTGGAGACATCACATTACCCAGCTTCAAATTATACTACAAGGTTATAGTTACCCAAACAGCATAATACTGGTATAAAAATCAGGACATAGACTGGTGGGACAGAATAGAGAACCCAGAAATAAAGCCAAATACTTACAGCCAACTGATCTTTGACAAAGCAAACAAAAACATAAAGTGGGGGAAAGACACTTTATTCAATAAATGGTGCTGAGATAATTGACAAGCCACATGTAGCAGAATGAAACTGGATCCTCATCTCTCACCTTACACAAAAATCAACTCAAGATGGATCAAAGACTTAAATCTAAGACCTAAAACCATATAAATTCTAGAACACAACATCAGAAAAACTCTTCTAGACATTAGCTTAGGTAAAGAGTTCATGGCCAAGAACTCAAAAGCAAATGCAACAAAAACAAAGATAAATAAATGGGACCTAATTAAGCTAAAAAGCTTTTGCACAGCAAAAGAAATAATCAGCAGAGTAAACAGGCAACCCATGGAGTGGGAGAAAAATCTTCACAAACTATGCATCAAACAAAGGACTAATATCTAGAATCTACAAGGAACTCAAATCAGCAAGAAAAAAAAATCCCATCAAAAAGTGGGCAAAGACATGAATAAACAATTCTCAAAAGAAGACGTACGAATGGCCAATAAAAATATGAAAAAATGTTCAACATCACTAATTATCAGGGAAATGCAAGTCAAAACCACAATGACGTTACTCCTGCAAGAACGGCCATAATTAAAATATCAAAAAATAACATATGTTTGCATGGATGTGGTGAAAAGAGAACACTTTTACACTGCTGGTGAGAATGTAAACTAGTACAACCACTATGGAAAACAGTATGGAGATTCCTTAAAGAACAAAAAATAGAGCTACCATTTGATCCGCAATCCCACTACTGGGTATCTACCCAGAGGAAAAGAAGTCATTATATGAAAAAGACACTTGCACATGCATGTTTATAATAGCACAATTCACAATTGCAAATATATGGAACCAGCCTAAATGCCCATCAACCAATGAGTGATGAGTGGATAAATAAAATGTCATATATATCATATACATACCGTGGAATACTACTCAGTCATAAAAAAGAAATGAAATAATGGCATTCACAGCAACCTGGATGGAATTGGAGACCATTATTCTAAGTGAAGCAACTCAGGAATGGAAAAGCAAATATTGTATATTCTCACTTATAAATGGGAGCTAAGCTGTGAGGACGCAAAGGCATAAGAATGATATAAAGCACTTTGGGGACTCAGCGGGGGAGGATGGGAGGGCAGTGAGGGATAAAAGACTATACATTGGGTACAGTGTACACTGCTTGGGTGATGGGTACACCAAAATCTCAGAAATCATCACTAAAAAACTTATCCATGCAATCAAAAACCACTTGTTATCCAAAAACTGAAATAAAATTAAAAAATAAACTATATTTTTTTAAAGAAAAAGGAACAGAGTCTAAGGGAACTGTGGGACACCATCGAGCATACCAAGAAGCATCCCAGGAGGAGAGAAGAGAGAAAAAGAGGCAAAAAAGCTATTTGAAGAAATCATGGCTAAAATGGCTTGAATTTGATGAAATACATGTATCTATATATCCAAGAAATTCAACAAACTCTAAGTAGAATAAACTCAAAGACATCTACACTGAGGCACAATGATAATTAAACTGTCAAGAAAAAAAAGACTAAGACAATTTTGAAAGTGGCAGGAGAGAAACATCTCGTCATATACAAGCAATCATCAATAAGTTTAACAGCTCATTTCTCATCAGAAACCATGAAAGCCAAAAGGCAATGGGGTGACATAGTTTAAAGCCTGTAAATTAAGAATTATATGTTTATAAAAATATTCTTTAAAAATCAAAATGAAATTCAAAAAGAAAAAAAAAAAAGACCAGGTGTGGTGGCTCACGCCTGTAATCCCAGCATTTTGGGAAGCTGAAGTGGGTGGATCACCTGAGGTCAGGAGTTCAAGACCAACCTGACCAACATGGCAAAAACCCGTCTCTACTAAAAATACAAAAATTAGCCAGGTGCAGTGGTGGGCACCTGTAAACCCAGCTACTCGAGAGGCTGAGACATGAGAATAGCTTGAACCCAGGAGGCGGAGGTTGCAGTGACCCAAGATTGTGCCATTGCACTCCAGCCTGGGCAACAGAGCGAGACTCCATCTCAAAAAAAAACAAAACAAAACAACAAAAAAAAACTAAACTAAAATGAAATTAAGACATTCTCAGATAAAAACTGAGAAAGTTTATTGCTAGCAGTCCTGCCCTACAAGAAATGCTAAAAGCAGTCTTTCAGGATGAAATGAACAGACATTACACAGTAATTCAAAACAATATGAAGAAATAACACCAGTAAAGGTAACAACATAAGTGAATATTAATATAGAAACCAGGGTTATTGTATTTTTGGTTTGTAACTCATCTTTCTTTTCCTATATTATTTAAAATATAAGTGCAAAAAACACTAATTATAAATTTCTGCTAATTGGCACACAATGTATAAAGACGAAACTGTTAACAACAGCAATGTAAAGAGGGAGGGCAGCTATACAGGAGCAGAGATTTCTATGCTGTTGAAGTTAGTTGCTATCAACTCAAAGAAATTTAGGATGTTAATTATAATCTCCAGGGTAACCACTAAGAAAATAACTAAGAAACATACAGAAAAGGAAATGAGGTGGGAATCAAAATGGCACACAAGAAAAAAACAAGAAAATAATCTAGAGGTCCTCTGGCTCATTTTGCCAACAGGTGCAAGAATTGGCTTTCAGTGGAATATGATACATAGCCTGTGGGCAAAATGAGACTCCTCTGAACAGAAATTCAGCCCACATAAGATTTTTAGCAAAAATATAATATAAATAAACATGAAGCATTATCTAGGTAATAAGCATGACCTAGCAGTTCAACATGTTCTGAGAACCTGCCTACAGTTGCTCCTGTGAAATTGAGGCCTGGTGCTACATAGCAAGCCAAAATTTTTCTAAGTCTGCTTGGCAGAAGTCTCATGCCATGACGTTAATGGGTATAACACACAAAAGTGCTGCTGTAGCCAAATATGTTTGAAATGCTGGGTTAAATGGAGTTTAAGAAAGGTCTTGGCTGGATGCGGTGACTCACGTCTGTAATACCAGAACTTTGGGAGGCCGAGGCGGGTGGATCACCTGAGGTCAGGAGTTCCAGACCAGCCTGGCCAACATAGTGAAACCCTGTCTCTACTAAAAATACAAAAATTAGCCAGGCGTGGTGGCATGTGCCTGTAGTCCCAGCTACTCACTCGGGAGACTGAGGCAGGAGAAGCACTTGAACCCGGGAGGCGGAGATTGCATTGAGCCGAGATCATGCCGCTGTACTCCAGCCTGGCAGACAGAGCAAGACTCTGTCTTAAAAAAAAAATTAAAAAAAAAAAAGTCTTTACTGCAGTACTTATTGGAATCTGTAACACATTGTGCATGTACACTTTGAGTCCTCAGGAGGTAGTGATAACACGAATGTTTCCCAAACATTTTCATCGTGGAAAGAATCTGTTATTTTTGAGACTGGAACTTCAGGGAACATTCTTTAGAGAATGGTGCATAGCAAAGTTAAGCAAAAAAATAGAGGTATTCTAAACCCCCGTTTCTTCATGACCATAGTTGGGGTGGTGGCATTTAGGGTTGCTGTGTGATAACCTGAGTGACACACTTGGCCCAGTGGCTGCCACATGGCAGGTGTTTAAACTTTGCAGAGTTTATTAGACTTAATTGCCTATGAAACACTCAATAGACTTTTATTTTCTGTTTAATATAGAATAGGGGGAACACAGACTTGAAGCCAGATAGATTGGGCCTCAAATTCTTGTTTCATTGCTCGCCACCGATTACAGACTTTAACAAGAGTTACAAAATACCTTCCTAGCAACACCTAGATTACCATTTTGTTGAGAATAGGGGGCAATAGCCTAGATAATTTCATACATAACGACCACATGAATCCACCCTTTGACAACCTGGCACCCATACACATCTTCTTAAGCCATATTTAATATCCAAATAAAGACAACAAAGTGATACTTCCCCCTAACATGACACAGCTATCCTGTGTGCAAACAGAAACATGCTAATCCTTTCCCCAGAACAGAATGCAGATTCTTGGGTGATATTCACTCTTTTCCTTTCATATCTTGTAGCTTAAATACAAAGAGTAGACCACATATGACAGTGATGACAGTGGCCCCATAAGATCATAATACTGTATTTTTACTATACCTTTTGTATGTTTAGATATGTTTAGATGCAAAAATGCTTATCATTGTGTTACAATTGCCTACAGTATTCAGTACAGTAACATGCTGTATAGGTTTGTAGCCTGAAAACAATAGGCTATACTACTATATTTAGCCTAGGTGTATGGTAGACTATACCCTCTAGGTTTGTGTAAGTACACTCTATGATGTTTGCATGATGTCAAAGTTGTCTAACAACACATTTCTCAGAATATATTCCTGTTATTAAGCAACACATGACTGTACTGTGATATAAAGTTAACTATTGGCCAGGCATGGTGGCTCACACCTGTAATCCCAGCACTTCGGAAGGCTGAGGTGGGAGGATCACTTAAGCCTGGCAGTTTGAGACCAGTCCGGGCAAAATAGTGAGACTCATCTCTGCAAAAAAAAAAAAAAAATTAGCCAAGTGTGGTGGTGCATGCCTGTAGTCCTAGCCACTTGGAAGGCTGAGGTGGGAGGATCACTTAAGCCCAGGAGTTTGAGGCTGCAGTGAGCCATGATCATGCCACTTCACTCCAGCTTGGGCAACAAAGTGAGACTCTGTCTCAAAATAAATAAATAAAGTCAACTATTACTAATATATCTTCTGTTCTGTGAAAGAGGTAAGACTGAACAACTTATTTAACTTCTCTGAGGTGATCTTTAAAATGGGTTTAAAACACCTACACAGGATTGTTTGCTCATTCCTTCATTCAGCAGTCATTCATACCAATCAATGTCAACTGTGTTGTATACACAAAGACATTCATATATGATACAATCTTTGCCCTTGATTAGCAGACAGACAGTGAGATGAGATGTCTCAAGAATTTGATACGGGACCTGGAACAGAGCCAGTGCTTGAGAAATCTTAGTTGCCTTCCCCTTATTCATGGAATGGGTAAGGCACAGCTCTGAGAACAACCATCCTCATATCCTAGGTTTCTTCACTTCACCCAAAGAGACCATTTATCCTTCAGTAGAAATAATCCCAGAACACTTCCTCCAGATTCAAAGAAAACACCATGCCAAGGGATTTGGCAGATAAAGGAGGAGATAAAGGCTTTCCACATTTCTATGAATGAATGCAATGCTTTGTCTTTAAGGAAAATACAGCAAGAGGCCTCAATGTTTCCTCTTAAGCCCCAGTTTGCATGGCAACCAGACATTCCACACACTTTGATCATAAAACGGAAGCATCAACTCAAATGTGAAAAGACACTTAGCAACTTAAAATCTATTATAGTTTCATAAATTGGAGTCTTTGAATATTCCCAACTATTAACATTTTTCAGAGATTTAAGTCTTAAATAAACTTAAAGCAATTCAAGAGCTTCACATAATGGTACATCTCACTGGTCTATAATAAAGGTATCTGAAGAATCACAAAATTTACTTTTCTAGAAATGGCAACTGCTTAATGATTGTATTGCAAGGCAATTTACCCACAGCCTCCTGGAAAATTGATTTTCCTCTCTCTGTCTTTTCATTTGTAAGCACAAGGGCATAAAGAGCCAAATATTTGCCACCTTGAAACTATATACTTTCCATTATTTTCTGTCTATAAAAACTATAAAATACATTGCGGACCTTCCAGCTCTTCTGCGAGATTTCTCAGATATTTTCAATGTAAGACAAAGACTAAAACAAATCCAAAAAGATGCATATTTGTTTTCTCTAGGCTATGAAGTATAACCCAACTGATTCCGTTCTTCAAACTTGAAATTGTGTACTTGACTAAGAAAAAAACAAAAAACAATTCACCAACTGCATTTGCCAAGCCTCATGGTTTATAGAGCTGTGGGGAGTCAGGAAGATGAGCCCAGCAAGACACAGGACATCTAGTGATAAGAGAGGTGAATAAAGAGAAGAAAAACAATCATTTTCTACAAAGTAGAAATTGAAACGCCTGCAAATCACATATGTACATGACCATCTAAATATGACCATACACAGAAACTCAGATTTCCAAGAATTTTTCCTGGTATGCTTCTTGGCAAAAATGAATCATAGGAGAAATCTTTTTTTTTTTTAACCAAAAAACAATCCCTTGTTCATTTAACAAATACCTACTGAGTGCCTATCATGTACCCAGAACTGTGGTTATAGGTGTAAGACTGACAGACACAGTCTCTACTGGTCTAGGAGCTTACAGCCGCCCAGTGGGGAACACATGAGTCAGCAGGCATCTCTGGAATAGTGTGGCAAGTGACATGATGGAGGTAACCCAAAAGCTATGAGAGAGAGTACCTGGAAGGACACCTAACCCAGATTTGGGCTTCCTTGGATATAGATATCTTCAAATTGAGGTCTAGAAAATAACAAGTTAGCTAAAGGAAGATACTACATGTTTTGAGGATGACGGGGGAGGTCCCATGTGAAATGGAACAGCATGTACAAAAGCCTGGAGCAACAGTGATCATAGAGAGTTCAAAGTATTGAAGATAGTTCCGTTTAGCTGGACTTTCCCACACTAGGAAGGATAGGATTGTGGATACAATTCTAATGCTGCCACCAACACTGGCTTACATCCTTGGAAAGTGAAGGGGAGAGATGGGGGGAGGACACAGCCACACTGAGAGTCATGCTTTGGGCAGCCTTGCCTGCAGGGGGCCACTGAACCATACGTATTATACCCATGTAAAATTGTCCCAGTCTAAAAGAACATATGTAGGGGTGTTTCAAGGTCCTTTGAGAGGAGCTACTGATAAGTTTGCACCTATTCAAATACTTATCTTTTTAAGCATACTAGGTTGGCAGGAGGGGCATCCACTGAAAATTGGACTGTGAGGAAAGAGCATGGCCTGTGGAGTCAGAAACACTGAGTTCTACCCCAGGTTCAGGCCCTGTGGGTTGTCACACCTGACACATCCCATTCACTCACTCACTCATTCATGTGTTCAAATATTGAGAGGCCCTTCTATGTACCATAAACTGGCAGGAGCAGGTGACAGAAGGTGATATGGTTCGGCTGTGTCCCCACCCAAAATCTCATCTTGAATTATAATCCCCATAATCCCTATGTGTCAAAGGCAGGGCCAGGTGGAGGTAATTAGATCATGGGAGTGGTTTCACCCATGCTGTTCTCATGGTAGTGAGTCTCACAAGACCTGATGGTTTTATACGCGTCTGGCATTTCCCTTGCTTGCACTCACTTGGTCCTGAAACCCTATGAAGAAGATGCCTGCTTCTCCTTTGCTTTCCACCATGATTGTAAGTTTCCTGAGGCTTCCCCAGCCATGCGGAATTGTGAGTCAATTAAACCTCTTTCCTTTATAAATTACCCAGTCTCAGGTATTTCTTCATAGCAGTGTGAGAACAGACTAATACAGAAGGATAAAGCAAAGTCCTCACTCTTAAGGAACTCAAGAGTCTAAGGAGGGAGGGGCAAGCAAATATGCAGAAGATTGCATCACCCTGTATTAAATACGATGCTGAAAAGAAGCATTGAATGCCATGAGAGTCCACAGAGGAAGGGGCAAAAGCAGGCTGTCTTGTGATGAAGGTGCCTGAGCAGAGCCCGAGATGATGAGCAGCCTGGCGGAGAAGCAGGGAAAGGTCATCCCCAGCAGATGGAGCTGCAGATGAAAAGGAACAGAGCAGTGGTGGCTCATTCAGAGAGCAGGGAGTAGCTCAGTGTGGCTGGCCTGAAGGGTGAGGATGGGATGGGGGGTGAGAAGTTTCTGTTGTAACCCATGTCAGATGATGAAGAGCCTCGAATGACCATGTTAAAGTATTTGCATGAGGTGGCAGAGGAAGAGGGGTCCAGGATAGCTCCAGGCAGGGTGACTGGAGGGAAGGGGTGCCATTAGCCAGCATAGAAAAGCAGATTGAATGAGGAGCTAAAACAGGTAAGTGTAAGGTGCCTGTGAGAAATTCAAGTGCAATACCATTGGAAGTATGTAGATATGTAATTCTACAGGTCGGGACTGTATAGAGATTTAAGAGTACCCACATATAGATGATCACTAAAGCCATGTTGGGGGTGAGATTGCCCAGAGAGAGAGTGTGTACCGTAAGAAGAGAAGAGGTCCAACCAAGAACAGAGCCCCAGAAAGCACTTAAAGGGCAGAAGGCGGAAATGGAACCTATCAAAGGGACCAACAAGGAACTAGTTGAGACGCAGGAGGAAAGTCCTGAGAATCAAGAAGACATGACTTTCAAGAAGGCCAGGGGGATTGAGTACTTTGGTCAAAGGCAGCTGAAGGGTCAGGTAGGATACAGATGGACCTTACCCACTGGATTGGATAATTTAGAAGTTGCTGCTGAATATGGCCAGAGTGGATTCCAGGGAACGGTGGTGGAGCCAGGCAGCAGGGAGGGATAATGAGCATAAGGAGACACAGAGGAGCCACCATGAACATACACAGGTTTTATACAAAACATGGCTAGGAAGAAAAGACAGTTTGGTAGCTGACGTGGAACTTAGGGTCAAAGGACAGTTCCAGGACGGGACGTTGGGTGGATTGAAAATATATGAAGAGGCCGGGTGTGGTGGCTCACACCTGTAATCCCAGCACTTTGGGAGGCCAAGGCAGGTGGATCACTTGAGGTCGGGAGTCCGAGACCAGCCTGGCCAACATGGTGAAACCCCGTCTCTACTAAAAATACAAAAATTAGCCAGGCTTGGTGGCACGTGCCTGTAATCCCAGCTACTGGGGAGGCTGAGGCAGGAGAATTGCTTGAACCCAGGAGGCGGAGGTTGCAGTGAGCTGAGATTGCGCCATTGCACTCTAGTCTGGGTGACAAAGCAAGACTCCGTCTCAAAAAAAAAGAAGAAAAGAAAGAAAATGTATGGAGAACAGTGCAAATTGTAAAACTGCATGCAAACCTTAGTTACTAGTTAATAATGCTCTCTGATATACCCAGCAGCAGCCTGGTTTGAATGTGACAATGTGACATAAGTGTAATGGTGAGCAAGGGAGCCATCAGCCCGAGAAGGAAAATATGGAGAGTAAAGACATTTGTTCTTTCTCCCCTGTCTGTAATTTTCAGTTAATTCCTTGTCCATAGAACACTGGTGTTTTGCTCTCTGTTCTCCCCTTCCTTGGACTCTCTTCAACAGTTGATGAGCTTCACATTCATTTCCCTTGTGGTGATTAGACCTAAAAAGTGGCCTTCTTCAAGTGGCAATGAGAGGCCCCAGCATTAACGCTCTGAAATATCACGGAAATTATCAGAAAATGAAGAGGCTCTGGTTGGAAAATCTGGGAGTGAGGAAGAAAACTGAGAGAGGAAAGGCAGGGAGGGGAGGGGTGGGAGAAAAGGCTGAGAGGAGAGGTCACTATAAACTAAAAGGAGGAAGAATAGAGGAGGGAAGGAAAAGAAAGAGGGGATAGGAAGGAAGAGAGGAGAGGGGAGGGAGGGAGAGGAGAGAGAGAAGGGAAGAGATGGGAAGAAGGATGGGGAGAGGGAGAAAGGAGAGGTCACCTTAAGTTGGAGAGAAAAGGATAGGTGAGCACATGATAAAGGAGAAGAGAGAGAGGAAAGGAAGGAAGGCAGGAGAAAGGGAGAGATGGGATAGGTCAGGTTAAACTAGGGAGGTGTCTGAATTAGTATTCCAGGAAGAGATGCTGGGTGGATTGAAAATGTATCAAGAACAATTGCATATTGTAAAACTGCATACAAACCTCAGTTATGAGCTATTACACTCAGCAGCAGGAAAGAAGAGAGGCAGAAAAGAGAGATGGGATACGTCAGGTTAAACTAGAGAAGGGTCTGAGTTAAAACTATGTTTTTAAGAAATGCAGTTTGGGCCAGGCATGGTGGCTCACACCTGTAATCCCGGCACTTTGGGAAGCCGAGGCAGGTGGATCACTGGAGATCAGGAGTTTGAGACTAGCCTGGCCAACATGGTGAAACCCCATCTCTACTAAAAATACAAAAAGTTAGCTGGGCATGGTGGTGTGCACCTGTAATCCCAGCTACTCGGGAGGGAGGCTGAGGTGGGAGAATCGCTGGAACCCGGGAGGCAGAGGTTGCAGTGAGCCGAGATTGTGTTACTGCATTCCAGCCTAGGCGACAGAGTGAGAGTCTGTCTCAAAAAAAAAAAAGAAAGAAAGAAAAGAAAAGAAATGCAGTTTTATTCTACTCGGGTATTTCTCCTCATTGCAGACAACAAATTGCAGAGTATGCACTCTGGGCCAGGGACTGTGTTTGACCCTGTGACTATTACTGTCTTTCTGGAGCTGCTTACAGAAGAGGCAATGTCGAGCCTGTCTGCAGGCATTCATTTCCAAGGGCAGGAGGTATGTGCAATGACTGCAGCAGCATAAGCTCCAAGAGACATCTCACCAGCCCATGACGGCCATACAAGCTTCCCTGACAGGAAGCCTTCAGTTCTGAGAGCTGAGGGGTATGTATCCCTAGACACAGAGGCTGGGCTATGACAGAACAGCCCTGGAAGTGGGGCCCCTGCAAGCGGCAGGACAATGACAGGCCGTCAGGCCTCAGGAGTGCCCAGAGCATCAATGAGAGCAAGTACAACAGATTAAGATCTAAAAGTAAATAAAAACCACATTTAAAAGGGCTGGTGTGCCATGTTAAGGACCTGGGACTTACCTTAAGGTCTAGAAAGGTTTTAAACATGGGAGCATCATAATTGTCTTTACATTTTTAAAAGATCATTCTGAAAAACAAAGACTGCAAACAAATGTTGAACCCTAGTTAATGATATGCATGTTTGAATTACTTAGGAAGACATCAGTTTACTGATATCTGCAATTTACTTTGAAATACATAAAAAATAATAAGACTGATACCTGAATAGAGAGAAGGATGGTTGGCTAAATATATAATAAAGAAAATATAATAAAATGGTAATGGTGAAATCTAAGTGGTGGGCATATGAGAGAGAGTTCACTATAAAATTATCTCAACTTTATGTTTGAAAACTTTCATAATTAAAATACTGATAAAAGAAACGAAATAATTATATGAAAAATATACCTGCATTCTTATGTTTATTACAGCACTATTCACAATAGTAAAGATTTGGAATCAACCTAAGTGTTCATTAACAGATGAATGGATAAAGTAAATGTGGTAAAATATATACAATGATACACTATTCATCCATATAAAAGAATGAAATCGTATCTTTTGCAGTAACATGGATGGAACTGAAGCCACTATCTTAAGTAAAACAACTCAAACAAAAAGTCAAATACTGCATTTTCTCACTTAAAAGTGGAAGCTAAATAATGTGTACACATGGACATAGAGCATGGAATAATAGATGTTGGAGACTCAGAAGGGCGGGAGGGGGTGAGGTATAAGAAATTACATAATGAGTACAATGTACAAAGCACAGACTTCACCACTGTGCAATATATCCATGTAACCAAACTGCACTTATACCCTTAAATTTATACAAATTTAAAAAAATTCTGAGAAATTAGATCATTATGGCTGCTACTTGATTAAAGCTCTGGAAAAGGGTGGGAGAGCTAGTTAGGAGGTTGTTGCAGTAACTGAGGCAAGAGCCGATCATGGTCCAGACAGTAAGTAAGGGATGTGAATTCAAGAGATATTTAGAAAGTTAAATCAACAGCTTCGGCGATTGGATAGACATAGAGTGAAGAATAAATTAATATCCCTATTTACCTCCCTAGACAGAAACCAATTAAGAGTTTACATGAGGATGGTCAATCAGGTTTGGGGTGAGAAGAATTCATGAGACCCAGTAAGAACTCTGAATCACTGAAGTCCCCTTCGGCTGGCCTCTGACATCAGATTCTCACCAGGAGACTCCTGGCTCTAGCTCTTCACTTTCGTAGTCTGTTCTCAAATTCAGTGGGGGAGTGACCTCAGGATGGGAGAGGGGAAGGAAGTCATCACTGCCCAGCATCTCCAGTGGCCCCAAACCAGAGCCAAGGCTGGGTTGCTTCACCTACTGCCCTGCCCTCCTTGTCCTCCCTCAGAGCCCGCTGAAGGCTGCTGTACCTCTTCTTTTGGAAACGCAAGTGTTGGTTTTGTTGTGTGTGTGTGTGTTTTAGAATAAAAATTGTCTTGAATCAGCCACTTCAAATTGCTTCATCTACAGTCAGCTTTGACTTATCTGCTTTCAGTCAGAAAACAGATTGCTATGGAAGGCTCAGTCACAATAAGGCAAAAATGAGCTTTGCTCAAGGGTCTCAAGCTGCATCTCCCGAGAGCAGATGCTGGCCGGCCTGATGGTTCTCTGAAAGGCAGCCTCACTCACTGGGTAATTCCTTCCTCCCTCCCTCCCTCCCTCCCTCCACCTGCATATGCGCTGGCTGCAATTTTAGCTCATTTCCTACAGCTTTGTCCTGGAGACTGTTATCAAGCAAGCCGCCCTTCGTCCTTCTTCACACCCTATGAAGGACAGTTGTCAGAGGACCTATTTCCATTTCAATAATTACTCTTGTGATTCATGTCTGGATTCTCGGCTCTGGCACCTCCACAGCCATTTTAAACTGAACCTTAAACCCCAAATCTCTTACCTTATCAATGCTTGGAGCTTCCTGAATATTCATGAGGAACTGAACAGAACATGACAGCCTGCTTCTCCCTCTGTCAGGCTATAGAGATGCTATTACCATTTGGTATCTGACCCTAAGGAGGAGACTCCAGGCTCTGCTTAACGTGGGGACATGGGAGACTGGGTTAATAACTGTCACTGTTCTAGAATAAAGCCAACACACGCCTCCCAATACATGCACAACCTCATTATGGCATTTAACGTTAAAAAAAAAAAAAAAGCAGACCTCACTTGAGACCCAGGCACCCAGGCAGTATCTACTCTTTTAGTCCCGGAGGTTTCTCCCTCACCTGGTCCTTAAGCATTAGATAGGGAGTCGAGAATACCTGAAATTATATCCCAGCTCTGCTACTCACCGCTGAGCCTCAGTTCCCCACAGCTAAAACAAGGAGGGTGTTCATATTGGAGGTCTTTTTGAGACCTCAGATCCTGTAGACAGTACCAGGCCAGTGCCTGGCTCCTTGTTTGTGCTCAGCATTCAGTGGCTGTGATTACCCAGGTGTGGAGAATGTCATTTTCCAACATTAGTATATGCTTTACACATCAGTTGTAGCTGAACACCACAGAATGTATTTTATTCCATTAAAAAAACGCTTTTAGTGTTTTGTTTTCATTTCCTTTGTATCAATAAAACTTCAGTGATTTCAGCTACTTCTCTTTCAGAGAGAGAAAGAGAGGACATATTATAAAAACAAAGAAATATGCTCCTTTTCCAGCATTTTTATCATCTTTGGGACTCTCCCAAGAATCCTATCCAAGTTTCCAATCTCTCCTTAGCTGAAAAGGATAGTCTTGCAAATATGATCACTGCTGAGAACACTTGTAGAATATTTCACAGGACAACGATTCCTGTATGCTAAGGGAGGCTGCTTGGCGGGTTATGGAGGGACTTTCTTTGTTTTGTTTGCTTTGGCTTTGTTTGTATGTTTAAATTCTTGGGTCCCCAAGGCCACACTTCATCTCTGCATCCTGTGTCCTCGGTCTGTGCTCCAGCAGGGACCATAGTTCCTGTGGGCTGTGCGAGGACACTGTCAGAAAAGCCACCAGGTGACTGAGCTGATGCTTGGCTAACAGTGAAGGGGCAGGTAGAGCTACGGAACAGAACATAGGAGGGGCGTGTGGAGAGAGGATAAAAGAATAAAATTTAAAACCATTAAGACTTCCTCTATCCCAGGCACAATGCCAAGGTTTTTGTTCATGAACTTTCTCTTTATTTTTCCAATCCCATAATAAAAACTTCCTTTACAGAGAGAGAAACTGACAGAGAATTTGAGTCATTTTCTCCAGGGCAGCCAGCTAGTAAGTAGCAGAGCTGACAGCCGAACCCGGTAACTTATTGTAGAGCCCCGGATCTTGCCTACGATGGGGTCTGTTTCTCTGAGGAAGCAAACTTCCTCGGAACCCACAGGCCTGCAGAGCTGGGTGAGACAGATGCTGTTTAATGAGAGCCACGTGGAGTTCTCCTCCTGCACCTGGACCTAGTAGAAATCAGACTGGGTAATAAATGGGCGGGACATGGAACTCCCCTCAGCCTCATAGTCTCAGGGGGAGGAGGGAGCAGGAGCACCTGAAGGCTCCTGCCTTGAAAGTGAGTATGAAGAGAGTGCTGGAAGGGGCAGCATCTTTCCTCCTTTTACCTAACAGATCTGATTCTTTAAAAATATTCAAGGCCATGGCTGAGCTTGAAACTGGTTGTCTGGAGAGAGAACAGCCTTAGATTTGGACTTGAGGTTGGGCTCTGAAGAGGGGGGCTGGGCTCTTCTTCCCCAGGATGTTTGAGGCTCTTAGACCAGGGTAGGCTAGAAGTTTCCAGTTTCACCATGATGGGTCCAGGTCAGGCTCCTGCCAGACTTGGGGGACTGGGGGAGCCATGGGCTCCTGGGCTATGAAGGTGAGGGGCCCTGTGTCCTAAGAGGTTGGGTGCTTGAGGCCTGGGGCCCCTCTGCCTTTTGCTTTGTTTTGTCTCTCTTTCCACTACCTCTCATTACCACTACTACCCAGAACAGAGTTGGAAATAGGAAGGGCCCTCCTCCTCATTCCTGTGATGGGGATCAGGCTTTGGATGTAGAAGGCTCCTCCTATCTGACTCATGCCTCGGCATGCCCCTGGCTCTGCAGGGCCAGCAAGGCCTCCAGCACTGTGTCAGGCCTCCAAGGATTATTCTACCTGCCCTGACATTCTGTGATGCTGCCTCCAAAAGAAGGTCCTAGGAGCAGCCAGAGTGTTGCAATTATTTGAGGGAGATTGAAGCCCATCCCCCTTTCCCAGTGCCTGCTATGATGAAGGGGGTGGAGTGGGGTGTCATTTCCATCAAGTGTGCAGCATGGGTCTCTCTGTAGCAGGCCATGGCATGCTGGTGGCCGCTCCTGCTAGAGCTGTGGACAGTCATGCCCACCTGGGCTGGGGACGAGCTGCTCAACATCTGCATGAATGCCAAACACCACAAGAGAGTGCCCAGCCCAGAAGACAAGCTCTATGAGGAGGTACAGAGGCCAGACCTGGGTATGGGATGGGGAAGATCAGGGAAGGGACACAAATGCCAAGATGGTCTCCGAACCTCATCAACCCTGATCATTTGGTTCCTGGGGTTAGGAGTTAAGCAAAGGCAACTAGATGGAAAGAGACTATGCCTTTTTGAGACCATAAGAGCCAAGCGATTCAAAGTTCCCATTTCTGAGCTGCTCTAGCCACTGGGAAAGCAGGGACCGCTGGTGATCCCAGAGATCCATTGTTGACTCGGCACAGATGAAAACAAGCCTTCCTGCCAACAGGTCCTGGGGCAACATATGACTTATGTGACCCCTCCCCAAGCTCCTAAAGGCAATTTCCAGGGATATGGGAGGAAGAACACAGCTGGCATTTGGCCTATGAGACCCTCCCACCCAATGCAACCCCAGATTCCCCTGGGTCTCTCTGGGGCTCTTCTACCTGCTTTGCCCTAAAAGGCTTCTGCTGCCTCTCAGGAGCTGAGAGCCCAGAAGTTGTGTTTCTAGAGGACTGTAGCAGCCTGTGGCAGGGGGTCATTGTGCAGGTGCCTCTGCCCTTTGGGTAAATATTGAGAGATTATCAGGGTTCCTCTTATGTAGGGGCTTACTAGCTAAAGGCATCCCACTTGCTCAGGCCTCCTAAGGGACATTTTCATTTCACCACCTTTCTTCCCTAGACACTTGCCGATCCTTGCCCCTTTTGCCTGGGCCTTTTGTTTCTTCCTCTGCCTTCAGTGCATCCCCTGGAAGGACAATGCCTGCTGCACCCTCACGACAAGCTGGGAAGCCCATCTGGATGTATCCCCACTCTACAACTTCAGCCTGTTTCACTGTGGACTGCTGATGCCTGGCTGTCGGAAGCACTTCATCCAGGCTATCTGCTTCTATGAGTGCTCCCCAAACCTGGGGCCCTGGATCCAGCCAGTGGGAAGCCTGGGGTGGGAGGTAGGAAGCAGATCTGTGCCATGCCCTGTTATTATATTAACAGCCAGAGCTTTCACCCGATCTTATGCTGATGCCGCCAGGATGCTAGTAGGAACAGGAGGTGTTATTTCCCTATGGACAAGAGCAGAGCCAGAGGCCCCTGCTGGAGAATCACATGGGGGAGACTGTTCTGACAACAGTGGGATGAGGGGCTATCACCACAGGAGGCTTGGTGGAGTTGACAGACCTGAGCTTCAGTCTCATGTTCTGTCCCTACCAGCTGTATAGCCCAGGACAAACTATTAAATCTCTTAGCCTCATTGGTATTATTTGTAAAATAACACTTAGAGGCTTTATGGAAGATGATGTACATATGGTACCTGGTACAAATACCACTGTAGCTATTAGTAGTCTTCACATCTCTGCTATTAATGTTCTAATCTCTGGCTATGACTGCACCCAGGTGGCCCCGAGTGGGCAGGGAGAGCGAGTTGTGAATGTGCCGCTGTGCCAGGAGGACTGTGAGGAGTGGTGGGAAGACTGTCGCATGTCTTACACATGCAAATCCAACTGGCGTGGTGGCTGGGACTGGAGTCAGGGTGAGTGGTGCTGACAAGGCCTTGGTCGGGAAGAGGCCCCTTGGTGGTCCCCACAAGGGTGCAGGTGCAAAGGCTAGCAATGAGGGAGTAGGAGGTAAGCTGTCCCTCCTCCATCCCCTGCAGGGAAGAACCGCTGCCCCAAAGGGGCCCAGTGCCTCCCTTTCTCCCATTACTTCCCCACCCCAGCTGACCTGTGTGAGAAGACTTGGAGCAATTCCTTCAAAGCCAGCCCTGAGCGACGGAACAGTGGGCGGTGTCTCCAGAAGTGGTTTGAGCCTGCTCAGGGCAACCCCAATGTGGCCGTGGCCCGCCTCTTCGCCAGCTCTGCCCCATCCTGGGAACTGTCCTACACCATCATGGTCTGCTCCCTGTTCCTGCCGTTCCTTTCCTGAGAGCCCTTCTTCTCCCACTCACATTCCTGCATGTCCACCAACTGTGGGTCAGGCCAGGCCATGGCCTACCTCCTTCCTCAGGCCCTCCCCTAAAAGCAGTGGCATGGGCTAGGGACTGCAGTCCCACCCAGTCTAGCCCATGCCACTGCTTTTAGGGGAGGGCCTGAGGAAGGAAGTGCCCCTGAGGCTTCAGCGGCTGGTGCCTGCAACCTGCACATTTGGTCCGAGACCCCCTCCACTGCTCTGCTCTATCTTAGCTGGCCTAGGAGGCAGCTGGGGGCTGGAAGTGCCAAGGTGACTGGCCACCTCCTGCCTTGAGGGATGGGAGCTTTCAAGGGGCTCAAGGACTTTCCCATCCAGTGCACGCCTACCCCTTTCTGTGACAGAGCTGATGGTGGCAGACCTGGCCTCCCATCCTCCGACGGTGTCTTCAATAAATCGGCACTCAACCTCTCCTCTGCTTGACTTCCTGTGTCTTAGCTTTATGTGCAGGGACCCAACATGCACACAGAGGGAGCCAGTTTGCCCACTGCACTGAAGTCTCAAAGTTAGGTTGTTACTTGCCTAACAATTATTAACTTCTTAATATCTGCCACACATCCTCACAATACCTCTCTGATGGGAGTACTTTCAATGCCCCTTTTTTTTTCAATAAGTGACACCACACAAAGGACCCAAAGCCAGGGCGAGAGGGATGGGGCCACCCAGCACATCAGCTCTATTTTGGCTGCCAAAATTGAAGCAGCTACCTCGACTGCCTTCAGGGTTCCCTCTTCCTTTTAACCCATTCATTTTACCCCCAGAATCACAGCACACTGGTCTAACATTTTGGAAACCCGAGTTCTAATCTGACCTTTTTGCTTTCTATATGACTTTTGGCAACTCCTGTGATCTTCATTAAGACTGCCTTAATTTCTCTCTCTGCTGAAAGGAATGAGTTAGTTGGATTTAACTTATGAAAAAGAAGTAAGAAAAAGGAAAAAGCTAGCAACCTTGTTTGCCAGGAGATAGTGTGTGCTTCTCAGATAGCATACTATCTGAGAAGACCTCAAGAATGAAGTATTAGAACTGAACTGGGGATGGGGCCCTGACCTCGCACCCCAGCTGTAAGTAGACAAGCAGCTGACCTGCCCACCCAGCACTTTCCGGAGCCTGGAGCCGGGCAGCTTCCCAGCAGTAGATGATGCTTTCCCCACAACCTTTTCTTTGACAAAGAGAAAGTTCTAGCATGGCTGCACTTGATTTGACTGGCTTTTCTAACAACTGTCCATTCTTGCCAGACTCCAGCCAGCCCTGCTCATTGCTTAAACTCGGCCTCCATTCCTTCTGCACTCGCCTCACAGGCCCATCCACAGAGCAGATCTTGTCTCAGGGGAGGCACTGGAGTCACAAAACCTACAAAGAGCGTCCTTCCAAGTGCTGCCCTCGGTGTCTAGAGTAGTAGACAGATGACAGCTGCAGTGGGGACAAAGCTGTTCATAGGAAGTCTGAAAGAAAGGGGCTGGGTGGGGGTCTCTGAGAAGGCCTCACAAAGGGGTGAGGCTGGAACCCCAAAAAAGGAGAGCAGCTGAGAACAGAAGGGAAGTGCTAGTCAAAACCCAGTGGAGGCCCCAAAGTATGAGCCAGACAAAGCAGGACCTTCAATTGCTCTTAAATTAATAAATTGTGGCTTAAAAAGTACATATAAATGTATCAAAAATCTCTTAAAGAGCTTAAGAAATTTAAAATCTCTTGAAAACTGAGGTGTCTGTGGGTGTGTGGTTGATAATAAAGCTGAGAGGTTAATGCCCTTTTTAAAGTGTTTTTAAATATAACGAATTGCCAAAAGAAGGTTAAAACTGGAATGGACAAAACAAGAGTAATCTGGAAGCCCTAATAATTTGATACTTATTGATCACTTACCATGCACCCAGGATCTCTGGGAAGTACATAATATATGTTAGCTCATTTGATCCTCACAAAAGCCTTATTATCCTTGTTGTATTATAATATCATTTTTTACTATTCTCATTTTTCAGATTGGGACATAAATATAAGTAGAAACCAGCTAAGTCTGAACCCACGGTTCCAGCTCACAGGCTTACACTGAACAGCCTGATCTGTAGTTGAGTTGAACTGATGTGGATTTGGGAGTGGTGGGAGAGAGGGAGGGATAGCTGGTGGCAAGTCACAGTCAGGAAAGAGACTGAGTTCTACCCCTTCATGTGATTAGGAGTCATAACCCACAGGTCACACTGACAGTTTAAAAGTAAAAAGGCTTCCAAGTTAACTCACCTGGGGTAGGTCTTGTGATTCATGGTGACATCCTTTCCTTGAGAAAGAATCTTATTATGAGTTCCCAAATTGTTGACATACTGATTAATGTGTAGCCTACCGACATTGAAAAGGGTGATTTTTTTTTTTTTTTTTTTTTTGAGACAGAGTCCAGAAGACTCCCAACTTTGTTAGTGTGTCTTCCTGGGTCATTATTCACATTTGGCTTCCAATAAACCTTTACAAATTATTTCTGCTTCCAATAAACCTTTACAAATTGTTACAAATAGCCTTAATTTTGATCAACAGGAGGAGTGATGGGTTTTAAGCAAAGGAGTAGAACTGTCAGATTTGCAGTTAGATTGTGTGTTTTAATCAGAGTGATCCATGCACATGGCTCACAAACATCGGCCAAGGGATTTCTAATGCAAAGCAAGAGAGCAGCTGCCAGCTCACTCATCCATCAGGTTCCTACCCTGGGAGCACCCCTTCTAACCATTTTTGGGTTTAGCTATAAAAAAGTGACAAAATGTGACTTACCTTTTCTGCCACACATTCAGACTATCTTTTTGCTCTCTGTTCTGTTTGAGTTTCTCAACTTAATCCTCCAATCTTTTTAATTCTGGCAGTTCACTTTTAATTTCCAAGAGACTTTTTTTTTTTCCACAGCCTGCTGTTTTTTGTTTCATGGATGTAATATCTTCTCAAATGTCACTGAAGATCTAATTAGAATGTTTTTAAGCTTGTTTTGAGTCTCTGAATGACCTGTTTCCTCCAAGGTCAATCTGTTCTGTTTTCTTTATCGTCTCCTACGTGCTGCTCGTTCTCTCTGAGTCTGGTGGCTTTGGCTGTCTATCTTTGGCTGTCATATTTAAGAATGAGGAGCCGAGTTGATTTTATAGCAAGCTAGTATAGGTTTCCTCCATGGTTTTATATAAGGATCTTCATTTCAGTGCTGCTATTTGTAACAATTTGTAAAGGTTTACTGGTATGTGAGAAGAGCTTGTTGAGAGAAAGACCTTGCTTCAGAGTGTGAAAATTAATGAAGAGCACTCAAATAAGAACAAGCAAAGGCTATTTGTTCAGAGCTTACAAGGGAGTCAGCCACCATCACTTGCATTTTGCCAGAGACTCAAGGCAGGGAGGAGAGTGGGAAAGTTTTAGAGTGGATAAAAGGGAAGCCTTCGGCTGGGCATGGTGGCTCACGCCTGTAATCCCAGCACTTTGGGAGGCTGAGGTGAGCAGATCACAAGGTCAGGAGATTGAGTCCATCCTGGCCAACATAGTGAAACCCTGTCTCTACTAAAAATACAAAAAAATTAGCTGGGCATGGTGGCGGGTGCCTATTATCCCAGCTACTTGGGAGGCTGAGGCAGGAGAATCGCTTGAACTCGGGAGGCAGAGGTTGCAGTGAGCTGAGATTGCACCAATGCACTCGAGCTTGGGCGACAGTGCGAGACTCCATCTCAAAAAAAAAAAAAAAAATGGGAAGGCTTTAGGTCTGCTAGGCTCAGAGGCTGTGGGCAGGGGCAAGCTGTAGGCAGGCTAACTAGAAATGGGCATCCTATGTGTTTGGTTCAGGGAACATACTTAGCTTTTTCTGATTGGTCCTAAGTTGGAAATGGAGCCAAAAATGAGAAAGCTGGCTATTAATAAATTCTTGGCCATGTTGGGTCAATTGTGATAGGGATTATTCTTTGGCTTCCTGGACTGTATCTTCCTGAAGGTAAGATCCCTTACCAAGTGCAGTTAGTAGGTTGGCTTCTTGGGCTACTTGTGGGTCAGAATCCTGTTTTATATACAGCTAGCCATTGTTCATTTGTAGATTCAGTCTTTCAATCCCAGGGATAAAAATTAGGGAACCTAACAGTTATTAATCAACTCCTGGCTGTTTGGGGCTACTGCAGGGCTGATTGTTTGGCTTTCTGGGCTAATTGCTAGAGAGACAGTACTGATGTCCTACGAGTCTGACTTGCAAGATAGTAGGATGGCTTCTGGGCTGGTTACTATAGATAATGGGTTAGAGTTCTATTGTTATATGTGGTCTGACCATTGTCCATCTCGAGACCAAGTTAGCAGGAGCTATATAGCTATATTGGGGTATGGAGCCTTTGCATGCCAGAATAGGGATGGTTCTCTCTGGGATGCTAACAACCATATGTGAAATTTCAGCACTATCCAATTAGCTGGGTGTGGTGCCATGCACCTTTAGTCCCAGCTACTTGAGGGGCTGAGGCAGGAGGACTGCTTGAACCTGGGAGGTTGGGGCTACAGTGAGCCAAGATTGCACCACTGCACTCCAGCCTGGTGACAGAGTGAGACCCTATCTTAAAAAACAAAAACAAAACCCAACTTCAGCACTATCCAGAATTTAATTTTTTAGAGAAGGTTCTTCTACCCCAGGGGCTAAAGTTGGGTTGCCTGAGCACTAGATTTGGGCAGAGGACACGTGGGCCAGGGGCATGTAGAGACTTTCTTGCTCTGCCCCCAACACCTGCCAACTCTGAGCCCAGATCCTCTCAGAGTTTCTGCGTGATGAATCAGCTCCTTCGTCCACTACAGCTGCCACCTCCAATTTCTCTGGCCTCCTTGTTTCCTTTGATGTGCCCTCATGTGCTTTCTGTCTTCTAAATATTTGTTGAAATCTCTTGTTCACTGATGGTTTCCTTCACATGCTCTTGAAAAAGGAACATGGAAATAATCTTTTTAGTGGAATCCCAGGTATTCATTCCACTCTCTGTAACCAGAAGCTGTAGATTTATTAAAGACTCAACGGTTGTTTAAACAGTAGATTAGAAGAAAGCCAAATGGAAGACAAGGAGGATAAGGACAATATGTAGAATGAATGTGCAGGAAAGAAAGAAAATCAGAAGGCAGGTGCTAGAAACCTAATTGTGAGCAACTTTCTAGGAGGCATGAAGCCAAGCCACAGTAGAGGCAGTGGACACAAGAGGGGCAGATTCAGGAACTATTAGAAGATAGAATCAATAGAAGCTTAGAGCATATTTTTGCATAAAGTGCCACAAAATAGGTATAAGACATTAGGGACAGAGAACTATCACAAAGAAACCAACAGCCTTGGATAACTGCACTCTGATGCTTCCATTTATAAGAGGAACTTTCCCCACTTTGGATTGTACTAGGTCTTGGTAGCAGGGAGCTACTGGAGGGTGTTCCTTCTCCTGGAGGCAACCCAGTCACTTTTGATGATGTGGGAACATCAAACCCTATTCAAGTCCTTCCTCAGGGACAATGGGAAGTCCTGGGGGGCAAATGAAAAACAAAACAAAATGGCCCTCTTTTATGCTGCCCTTGCTTTAAGATTCTTTCTGAGTAACTTTCCTCAGTGAGGTCCCTTACCAAGCGCAGGAGTTGCTGCAGCCTGACAGTCATGCACAGAGATCTTGTTCCTAGACCACCTCTGCTGCCTGATGGAGGAGCACTGAGCACCCCTGCCATTCCTCTCCCACCCCACCCCTACTGAACTCCTCCACAAAAAGGACTGCTTCCTTAGTTGCTTCCCAATGTCCTGTTGCTTTGTCTGTTGGAAGACCCAGAAATGAAGATTATTTTGGTGTTCCAGGCTGGTGTTGGAAGCTAAGCTACAAGTGGGAGCTAAGCTACAAGGATACAAAGGCATACAAATGATACAATGGACTTTGGAGACTAGGGGGTAAGGAGAAAAGGTCAGATCACTTTCCCCAGCTCCAGCCCTTGAGATAGCTTGAGTGTCCACTCCCTTCTTGCATCCCCAGGGGACACTTTTCCTGCCAACAACACCAGTCGCCCTTTTTTTGTATTCCCTCCTACTCGGTTTTCCTTACATCCATCCTCAGATTTACTCTCCCACAGAATCAGAAACCATGTTCAATAGTGCTTTTGCCACAAAAAACTAAATAGAAACATCTGGAGGGCCGGGCGCGGTGGCTCATGCCTGTAATCCTAGCACTTTGGGAGGCCAAGGCAGGCGGATCACCTGAGGTCGGGAGTTCAAGACCAGCCTGACCAACATGGAGAAATCTCGTCTCTACTAAAAATACAAAATTAGCTGGGCATGGTGGCACATGCCTGTAATCCCAGCTACTAGTGAGGCTGAGGCAGGAGAATCGCTTGAACCTGGGAGGCAGAGGTTGTGGTGAGCCGAGATCGCACCATTGCACTCCAGCCTGGGCAACAAGAGTGAAACTCCATCTCAAAAAAAAAAAAAAAAGAAAGAAACATCTGGAGGAGGAAAGAGGATTTCCCAGTGAGGAGGAGCTGATGATGGGCTCTGAGATGCTGGCAGGATGTCAGCGAGGAGTTGTCCATCAGCCAATTGACCCACAGTGCAGGAAAGAGATGTGGGCTGCAGATAAGAATCCTGGACTCACTTTCCTAGAAGTGTGGAAGTAGATGAGTTCTCTAAGGAAAATAAAGAGAGAAAAAGGAAAAGCTTGTGGAGAGTCTCTCTGACTCACCTACAGTCAAGGAAGTGACAGGGAATGGAGCTAGTAAAGACACAGGGATGCAGAAGCCGGGTAGAAAGAGGATGGAAGGGAGCTGCACCTCTGAGGGGCAATGTCAAATTCGAAGTTGCCCGCTTCATATTAATTAACTCATAATTACTGCGTTCTTACTCTATGCTGGAAAATGCTGGTCCTGGGAATTGAAAGATTGAATATACAAATGAGCAATGACCAGGCAATGTATAAAGCAGGACTCTGACCCACAACCTGTAACAGCCAGCCCAGGAAGCCAACTTACTATCCACAGTATCCATTCCAGGAAGCCAAAGGATAGCCCCTATAACGATTGACCCAAAATGATCAGGAATTGATTAATAACTTCCAGCTTTCCTATTTCAGCTCCTGCTTTTAACTTAGGACCAACTGGGGAAAGCTAAATATGCCCCCTCACCAATCACATGGAATGCCCTGCTTCTAGTTAGCTGCTGATATAGTCTGGACATTTGTCTCCAGCCAAGCAAGTCTCATGTTGAACTGTAATCCCCAATGCTGGAGGTGGAGCCTGGTGGGAGGTGTTTAGAGCATGGAGGCAGATCCCTCATGACTTGGTGCTGTCTTCGTGATAATGGATTCTCATGAGATTTGGTCATTTGAAAGTGTGTGGCACCTCTGCCCCTCCACCCACAATTCCCTTCCTTCTATTTTTGCCACATAATGTGCTTGTTCCCCCTTTGTTTTCTGCCTTGACTGGAAGTTTCCTGAAGCCTCCCCAGAAGTAGATGCTGCAATGCTTCCTGTACAGCCTGCAGAACTGTGACCCAGTTAAACCTATTATATATATATTTTATATATAAGCCAGTCTCAGGTATTTCTTTATAGCAATGCAAGAACGGACTAATACAACTGCCTACAGCTTGCCCCTGCTCACAGCCTTTGATCTGAGCAGATCTGAAGCCTCCTCTTTTATTTACTCTAAAACTTTCCCACTCCCCTGCTTGCCTTGAGTCTCTGGCAAAATGTAAGTGATGGTGGCTGACTCTCTTGCAAGCTCTGCTTGTTCTCATATGGGTGGTCTCCATTTATTTCCACAAGATAGAATAGCAAAGAAGACAAACATCATTCCTGCCCACAAGGAGCTTATACTATGATAAGAAATACATTAAAAAATATAAGCAGATGGTTAAAATTAAAGGAACTACAAATAAGATGATTCTTAGGAAAGAAGCATACAAGGACCCAGAGAGAGTTGAAGAAGTGGATAATTTAGATAAGGTGGATATATTAAAGGAATAGGAAACCATCAGTGAACAAGAGATTTCAACAAATATTTAGAAGACAGGAAGCACATGAGGGCACATCAAAGGAAACAAGGAGGCCAGAGAAATTGGAGGTGGCAGCTGTAGTGGACGAAGGAGCTGATTCATCACGCAGAAACTCTGAGAGGATCTGGTTTCCTTCACATGCTCTTGATAAAGGAACATGGAAATAAGCCCAGGTTGGTCCCCTTCCCCCTCCCTTACTCTAGGACTCCAAAATAGCCACAGCAAGGCATTAAATAATAGTTGTTGCTATGGTTTTATTATTAAGTAAGAGGTATGACACCACCCAGTTCTTAACCCATTTCCTAGCCCAAGGACGTTCAGAGGTAAGATAAAAACATTTGTCTTACACATGACTTAATAACTACACAAAAAAAACCTTAAAAATTGATGGTGTGTGAAAATAATGAGTACAATAGTAATTTTGGTGAATATTTTCATAGTTTTGATGAGGTGAGTTTTCTAAAGGCAGTAGCTATAAAGTAAAAGATTAATATATTTACTAATATTTTTAAAACACAAGAAAGAAAAAGGAAAGGTTTTTTTTAAAACACTCTAAATAAAATTCAAAGACAGATAAAAATAGGAAGAAATATTTGCAACATATACATACAGATGTTAATATTTTTAGTACAATAAAAGTTTTTAAAATATAAGCAAAGGATTTGTATAGGTAATTCACATTTAGAATAAACTTTAAACTCCTGACTAGAACTCTGACCTTAGCTCCTAAGACTTTTGCTCCTACTTACCACTCTCCAGTGACCTGGGATTTCTTCTCATTCTCAAACAAACTAGGCTCATTTATACCTCAGAACATTTGTACTTGCTTGTTTTCTATTCCTTTGATGCTTTTGCCCATCTCATTGCATACCTAGCTCTTTCTCATAATTTGGGTTTTAGTTCAAATATCACATCTTCAGAGAAGCCTTCTGCAATTACTCAAGTCACCATTCCAAGTCATACTCCATGTCACCTTGTCTTATTTTTTATAGCTTATATCACCATCGAAAATTGTGTGTATGTGTATCTGCACTGTCTCCCTCACCTCACTCTTAGAAAGCAGGCTCCATGAGGGGAGAACCTCACCTGTCTTATTTACTGCTGTATCCCCAGTATATGGAACATTTCCTGGCACATAGTAGCGGCTCAACAAATATTTGTTAAATGATTAAATGAATGAATAAAGAAAAATGAGAAAATATAATCAATAAACATTAACAAAAATTTTGTTTCATGAGTAGTTAAATAAATGCAAATTAAAATAATGAGAACCTTTTTAAAACTAATTAGATTGGCAATGATTAAAAAATAGTATAAGGATCAACAAAATTGATAGACCACTAGCAAAACTAATAAAAAAAGAGAGAAGAATGAAATAGACGCAATAAAAAATGACAAAGGGGATATCACCACCAATCCCACGGAAATACAAACTACCGTCAGATAATACTACAAACACCTCTACGCAAATAAACTAGGAAATCTAGAAGAAATGGATAAATTCCTTGACACATACACTCTCCCAAGACTAAACCAGGAAGAAGTTGAATCTCTGAATAGACCAATAACAGGATCTGAAATTGTGGCAATAAT
This sequence comes from Homo sapiens, assembly GCF_000001405.40. Classification (NCBI taxonomy): domain Eukaryota; kingdom Metazoa; phylum Chordata; class Mammalia; order Primates; family Hominidae; genus Homo; species Homo sapiens. Next base: position 94,317,306 of record NC_000011.10, read on the forward strand.
CAATAGCTTACCAACCAGAGTCCAGGACCAGATGGATTCACAGCCGAATTCTACCAGAGGTACAAGGAGGAACTGGTACCATTCTTTCTGAAATTATTCCAATCAATAGAAAAAGAGGGAATCCTCCCTAACTCATTTTATGAGGCCAGCATCATCCTGATACCAAAGCCGGGCAGAGACACAACCAAAAAGGAGAATTTTAGACCAATATCCTTGATGAACATTGATGCAAAAATCCTCAATAAAATACTGGCAAACTGAATCCAGCAGCACATCAAAAAGCTTATCCACCATGATCAAGTGGGCTTCATCCCTGGGATGCAAGGCTGGTTCAACATACACAAATCAATAAATGTAATCCAGCATATAAACAGAACCAACGACAAAAACCACATGATTATCTCAATAGATGCAGAAAAGGCCTTTGACAAAATTCAACAACCCTTCATGCTAAAAACTCTCAATAAATTAGGTATTGATGGGACGTATCTCAAAATAATAAGAGCTATCTATTGCAAACCCACAGCCAATATCATACTGAATGGGCAAAAACTGGAAGCATTCCCTTTGAAAACTGGCACAAGACAGGGATGCCCTCTCTCACCACTCCTATTCAACATAGTGTTGGAAGTTCTGGCCAGGCAATCAGGCAGGAGAAGGAAATAAATGGTATTCAATTAGGAGAAGAGGAAGTCAAATTGTCCCTATTTGCAGATGACATGATTGTATATCTAGAAAACCCCATCATCTCAGCCCAAAATCTCCTTAAGCTGATAAGCAACTTCAGCAAAGTCTCAGGATACAAAATCAATGTACAAAAATCACAAGCATTCTTATACACCAATAACAGACAAACAGAGAGCCAAATCATGAGTGAACATGATTTGCTTCAAAGACAATAAAATACTTAGGAATCCAAATTACAAGGGACGTGAAGGACCTCTTCAAGGAGAACTACAAACCACTGCTCAATGAAATAAAAGAGGATACAAACAAATGGAAGAACATTCCATGCTCATGGGTAGGAAGAATCAATATCGTGAAAATGGCCATACTGCCCAAGGTAATTTATAGATTCAATGCCATCCCCATCAAGCTACCAATGACTTTCTTCACAGAATTGGAAAAAACTACTTTAAAGTTCATATGGAACCAAAAAAGAGCCCACATCACCAAGTCAATCCTAAGGCAAAAGAACAAAGCTGGAGGCATCATGCTACCTGACTTCAAACTATACTACAAGGCTACAGTAACCAAAAGAGTATGGTACTGGTACCAAAACAGAGATATAGATCAATGGAACAGAACAGAGCCCTCAGAAATAACGCCACATATCTACAACTATCTGATCTTTGACAAACCTGAGAAAAACAAGCAATAGGGAAAAGATTCCCTACTTAATAAATGGTGCTGGGAAAACTGGCTAGCCATATGTAGAAAGCTGAAACTGGATCCCTTCCTTACACCTTATACAAAAATCAATTCAAGATGGATTAAAGACTTAAATGTTAGACCTAAAACCATAAAAACCCTAGAAGAAAACCTAGGCATTACCATTCAGGACATAGGCATGGGCAAGCACTTCATGTCTAAAACACCAAAAGCAATGGCAACAAAAGCCAAAATTGACAAATGGGATCTAATTAAACTAAAGAGCTTCTGCTCAGCAAAAGAAACTACCATCAGAGTGAACAGGCAACCTACGGAATGGGAAAATTTTCACAACCTACTCATCTGACAAAGGGCTAATATCCAGAATCTACAATGAACTCAAACAAATTTACAAGAAAAAAACAAACAACCCCATCAAAAAGTGGGCAAAGGATATGAACAGACACTTCTCAAAAGAAGACTTTTATGCAGCCAAAAGACACATGAAAAAATGCTCATCATCACTGGCCATCAGAGAAATGCAAATCAAAACCACAATGAGATACCATCTCACACCAGTTAGAATGGCAATCATTAAAAAGTCAGGAAACAACAGGTGCTGGAGAGGATGTGGAGAAATAGGAACACTTTTACACTGTTGTGGAACTGTAAACTAGTTCAACCATTGTGGAAGTCAGTGTGGCGATTCCTCAGGGATCTAGAACTAGAAATACCATTTGACCCAGCCATCCCATTACTGGGTATATACCCAAAGGATTATAAATCATGCCGCTATAAAGACACATGCACACGTATGTTTACTGCGGCACTATTCACAATAGCAAAGACTTGGAACCAACCCAAATGTCCAACAATGATAGACTGGATTAAGAAAATGTGGCACATATACACCATGGAATACTATGCAGCCATACAAAATGATGAGTTCATGTCCTTTGTAGGGACATGGATGAAATTGGAAATCATCATTCTCAGTAAACTATCGCAAGAACAAAAAACCAAACATCGCATATTCTCACTCATAGGTGGGAACTGAACAATGAGAACACATGGACACAGGAAGGGGAACATCACACTCTGGGGACTGTTGTGGGGTGTCGGGAGGGGGGAGGGATAGCATTGGGAGATATACCTAATGCTAGATGACGAGTTAGTGGGTGCAGCACACTAGCATGGCACATGTATACATATGTAACTAACCTGCACATTGTGCACATGTACCCTAAAACTTAAAGTATAATAATAAAAATAAATAAATAAATAAATAAATTGGAAATCATCATTCTCAGTAAACTATCACAAGGACAAAAAACCAAACACCGCCTGTTCTCACTCATAGGTGGGAATTGAACAATGAGAACACATGGACACAGGAAGGGGAACATCACACTCTGGGGACTGTTGTGGGTTGGAGGGATGGGGGAGGGATAGCATTAGGAGATATAGCTAATGCTAAATGACGAGTTAATGGGTGCAGCGCACCAGCATGGCACATGTATACATATGTAACTAACCTGCACATTGTGCACATGTATCCTAAAACTTAAAGTATAATAATAATTTAAAAAAAAAAGAAAAATTCAAACAATACAAAAAAAATAGTACTGTCTGTTTCTGGGGATGTAAATTGATGGATGCATTATAGAAGGAAAACTGTTCAAATGCATTAAAATATAAAATTGTCAAATCTTTTTAGTTCACAATTCTACTTCCATGAAAAATCCTAAGGAAATGTCACTTCTACTTCAGCCTGGAATGATAAATCCATAGATCCAAGAAGCTGAATGAATCTCCAGCACAAGAAACATGAAGGTGACATCAAAATAAATCATAATCAAATTGCTCAAAATACGTGATAAAGAGAAAACCTCTAAGCAAAGAGAGAAAAACATTTGATACATTCAGAGGAGCAAAATTAAGAAGACAGTGGAGCAACATTGTTAAAGTGCTGAAAGAAGAAAACTGTCCACTTATAAATCTATGCCCAGAAAACATATCTGTTTACAGGCTGCATTGTGTTCCCTCACCCCCCAAACTTCATATGCTGAAATCCTAACCAGCAACTCCTCAGAATGTGACTATATTTTGACATAAGTCCTTTATGGAAGTAATTAAGGTAAAATAAAGTGATACAGGTGGGCCCTAATCCGATATGATTGGTGTCCTCATATGAAGAGAAGATTAGAACACCACACAGACTGAGGGGCAACCCTCTGAGAACATGGTGAGATGATGGCCTTCTTCAAACAACAGAGAGAGGCCTCAGAGGAAACCAAACTTGCCAAACCCTGATCTTTGACTTCTGGCCTCCAGAACTATGAAAAAATTAATTTCTGTTGTGTATACCGTCTACTCTGTGGTATTTTGTTATGGCAGCCCTAGAAACCTAACACAATATCTTTTTTAAATGAAGACAAAGTAAAGACATTTTTAGACATACAAACTCTAAAACATTCATCACCAGCAGACCCAGACAGTAAGAAGTGTTAAATAGGCAGAATAAAAATAATAGATTGAAATGTAGATCTATGCAAAGGAATGAGGAACACTGGAAAGATGAACTATGTGGGTAGATATCTAAGATTTTTAAAAATTACTTAAATTTTAAGCCCAGGAGTTTGAAACCAACTTGTTCAACATAGGGAGACTTCACCTCTACAAAAAATAAAAAACATTAATAGGGTATGGTGGTGTGCAACTATGGCCTCAGCTACTCAGGAGACAGAGGTGAGAAGATCTCTTGAGCCCAGGAGGTTGAGGCTGCAGTGAGCCATGATTGTGCCACTGCACTCCAGCCGGGGCAACAGAACAAAACCCTGCCTCACATTAAAAACAAAAAGTCAAAGAATGGAAATAGATATACCGTGTTAACACTAACCAAAAGATAGTTATATCAGCTATATTAACATCAGACAAAGTACATTTCAGAGCAAAGAGTATTACAAGACAAGGTCATTTCATAATGAAAAAGGGTTTTCATCAGGAGGGCATAACAATCCTTACCTCTTATATATCAAATAACAGAGCTTCAAAATATGTGAAGCAAAACCTGACAGAACTGAAAGAAATAAAAAGTGTATAATTTTCGTCAGAGATGTTTATCTTCTATCTCCATAATTGGTATAACAGTTGGTACACAGAAAATCAGGATATATAAGATGAACAACATGGTCGACCAACTTAACCTAATTGACATTTCTATAATACTCCACTTAAGAATGGAAGACTACATATTCAAGTCATACAGAATATTTACCAATACAGACCATATTCTGGGTCACAAGACAGGTCTCGATATATTTACAAAAATTCAAGTCATACCAGATTTATTTTTAGACCATAACAGAATTAAATTAGAAATCAATAAAAAAAACTCTGAAAAATTCCCAAGTATTTGGAAACTAAACAATGTACTTTTAAATAATTGATCAAAAAAGACATAGAAAAATTAGATATTACTTTATACTGAATGAAAATAAAAACACACCATATCAAAAATTCATGAGATACTATAAAAGCAGTATTTACTGGGAAATTCATAACACCAAATGTCTATATTAGAAAAGAAGAGGCCGGGCGCAGTGGCGCACGCCTGTAATCCCAGCACTTTGGGAGGCTGAGTGAGGTGGGTGGATCATGAGGTCAGGAGTTCAAGACCAGCCTGGCCAAGATGGTGAAACCCTGTCTCTACTAAAAATACAAAAATTAGCCAGGCGTGGTGGCGCACACCTGTAGTCCCAGCTACTTGGGAGGCTGAGGCAGGAGAATCACTGGAATCTGGGAGGCGGAGGTTGAGGTAAACCGAGATCATGCCATTGCACTCTAGCCTGAGCGACAAGAGCGAAACTCCATCAAAAAAAAAAAGAAAGAAAGAAAAGAAAAGAAGAAAAGTTTCAAGCCAAATTGATTGTATGGCCAATGCCCCTGAGAGGAGTAACTTAAGCATACCCTGAGGATGACCCTATGGTTTAAGAATGTGTGTTCAAAGTTCTCAGCTAAGGAATCTGGTAGCGGCCAACCCACAGATTCACTCCTCATCTATGAAGGACATCAGAATCCCTGACCTGTTCTTGGAACACAGGATGTGCAAGGAACTGAGACCCATTGTTTTGGGTTAAATGGAGGTTCATGAGGTTTGCTAGGTGGAGGGTGCTAAGTGAAAATTGCTATATTAACTACTTGCTTCTCATGAACAGTAGCAATTCTCCTGTCCAGCCCACCACTTTTAGAACACCCTGTATGTAAGTTCTCAATAAACTCATTTGCTGTCTTTGGGTCTCTTCTTCAGCCTCTTGGACATGAGTCTGGCATGACACCAATGACTTCAGCTTCTACTGTAAGAAATTATATTTTTCAAAAAAGAGCAAATTAAACTCAAAGTAAGAAAAGAAAGAAAATACTAAGGATTAGAGCGGAGATCAATGACATAGAAAACAGAAAAACGGGCTGGGCCAGGTGGCTCACACCTGTAATCCCAGCACTTTGGGAGGCCGAGGTGGGCAGATCACCTGAGGTCGGGAGTTTGAGACCAGCCTGACCAACAAGGAGAAACCCGCATCTCTACTAAAAATACAAAATTAGCCGGGCATGGTGGTGCATGCCTGTAATTCCAGCTACTCAGGAGGCTAAGGCAGGAGAATCACTTGAACCCAGGAGGCGGAGGTTGCGGTGAGCCAAGATCGTGCCATTGCACTCCAGCCTGGGCAACAAGAGTGAAACTCCATCTCAAAAAAAAAAAAAGAAGAAGAAAAGAAAAGAAAAAAGAAAAAATACTCAAGAAAATCAATGATTCTTTCATTGCAAATAATGCAGACTTTTTTTCAAGGCTAAGCCTTCCCTGACACTATGAAAGCAAATGCAAATCTTTTTTTATCAATATATATGTGTAAACCTGTACGTGTATATATGTGCATCTACTCATAATTATGCTTTGCATTCATTTCATTTAACAAAATGTATCATCTTTATTAAAGTAACACTTCAAATATATACATATATATTTTTAAACTGAGTCTTTCAGATGATTATAAAATTGATCATTCTCTAGCCAGACTGATCAGAAAAAAAGACACAAATTATTAATATTAGGAATGAGAGAGGTAGCATCACTCTAGATTCTACAGATATAAAAATGAACATAAGGGATTATTAAAAACAACCTCGTGTCAATAAATTGCACAATTTAGATGAAATGGATGAATTATTTGAAAGACATGAATTATCAAAGCTCACTCAAGAAATTATTATTTCACTGGGCATTGTAGCTCATGCCTGTAATCCCAGCACTTTGGGAGGCTGAGGTGGGAGGTCACTTGAGGCCAGGAGTTTGAGACCAGCCTGAGCAGCATAGTAGGAACCCCTCTTTCCAAAAAAGTTTTTTAAAGAAATAGATTATTTGAATAGCCCTATATCTATTAAAGAAACTAAAGTTGTAGTTAAAACTATTCCACAAAGAAAATACAAGGTCCAAATGGATTCACTGGTGAATTACAACAAACATTTAAGGAAGAAACTATACCAAGTCTACAAAAACTCTCCTAGAAATTTGAAGAGGAAGGCATACATACCTCCCAACATATTTTTAATTTAATAACTTCAATCAGCACCCTTTTACTGACACATAACACACAACATGAATTGTTGCCTAAGGAAAACAGCTCTAAAAGAACACAAGAAAAGTTGAATGTGGTGAAGTAGATAGAAGTAGATCCTAGGCAAAGGCCCCTGCCACAAGGAAAGAGAGAGGAAGACTCTTGTAAGGAAGAGCCACTCTTCCTCCAGCTGCCCCCTACTTCTCAGTGGCAAGAAACATTTTCTATGTTTCACTGAGGTGGTACTAATATTTCCAGAGCACTACACTACTGAAGAAAAGATTGTAGACAAGAGCAACCTTTCATCCCATATCACATTTTGGTTCCTAGATCCTGAGTGTGCTACAGTTTACCAAGGATCTCCCATGTGCTGAGTTCTGTGCTGGGAATTTCCAGGTATAACATTCCTTCTCATCCTTATAACCACCTCTGTTATAGGAAACACCATTCAGTACAATGCACCCTTGCCCAAGCCCCAAGTTTCTTTTGCAGGCCAGGAGAGTCCAAGAGATGAGATAAGAAAGGACAAACAAACCATCACAAGATTCAGGTCAGATTTACTCATTGACGTAACCCATGTGGCAGGTGCCTCCTTTTTCTCTCTCACAAATTATGTTTCCAATCACCTACCAGGAAGGGAGAAACAGGCAGAGGGGAGGTAAGGAGTCCATCTTACTACTTCCCCAACTGGGCCATCCTTCTAAGGATGTATCCTCACCACTTTGTGGTCTGTAATTAGGTTGTTCCCTCAGCCTGGTGGATGAGCTCTTGTATCACCTCATTCCTGTTTTCTTACCTTCCCTTCGTTGGATTTGGATAAAAATTTAAGCTGATCTTTACCACCAAAAGCCACACAGGGTTGAAAAAAAAGTGATAGACTCATCCTTGATGTGCCTTTCAGTCTTTGAATAATAGAATAAAGCCTTATTGACTGAAGCTTCAAAGACATGCCACTTCCCAACTCTTCCTCTTTTTCTTCTCTTTTCTTCTCATAATCCCTCTCTGTAAGACCTCAAATGCCCTGCCTGACCCTCCTTTCAGAAGAATCTATCCCTTATATCTTTGTTGGACATTAGTGTACCATGGTTGTTTGCATATGACTGTCCATGGCTTTAATCTAACTTAGTAGAATTGATCTTACCATCCCCTGATTCTGCTAGGAAGTGAGGGCATGGGGAGGGGAGACTTGGGACATGGAGTGCTGGAAGGAGAGAATGTGGGGGAATGATAAGTTTTCCACTCTGAGTTGCATTTTTACCCCCCAAGGTATCTGAAATGAAACATATTTTACCACCATGAAAATTCATGTATTTCTTCAGACTTTCCTATTCTCAATACAAGCAATTACAAAGTTCAAATTCCTTCTTTTGGCATATTTCTTAGAAAACAGTAATCCCCATTTGGATTAATTAAAGGCTCCAGTCAACAAGCAACTAGTCAAAAGACAACTCACAGTGAATGCTAGCATAAGAGGTGGAGAAGGGAGAGGATGACTGGTCATTAGCCATCTGGGTTGCTGCTCCTGTTTCTGTAGGAACATCCAGAGCAGTGTGGCCCCCAGCAAGGTTGGTCTTCCTCAGGTGGCCAGCAGGAGGCAGCAGAACACATGGGAGTTGGGGAAGAGGGTGCTGTGGCAATGAAGATCGCTAACATGAGAACAAGCAGAGGCTATTTATTCAGAGGTGGTTATAACAAGGGGGTCAGCCACCCTCACTTATCCTATGACAGAGGCTCAAGGCAGGCAAAAGAGAGTGGGAAAACTTTATAGTTAAAAAAAAAGTTGGTGGAACAGCTTTAAGTATGCTCTGATTGTAATTTGTCAGTGTGGGAAGCTTTAGGCAGGATAATTAGAAGTGGAGCACCTTACATGATTAATTTGGGGAGCATTCTATGTTTGGGCCTCAGTTGGAAGTGAGGGCAAAAAATAAGGAAGCTGGCAGCCATTGACCAAGTCCTCCCCATTCTGTGAAAGTTGCTACAAAGGTTATGGTTTGGCTTCCCGGCCAGGTTGCTGCAGAGTTCTATTGTAATATACAGTCTGCCATTGTCCACTTATATATTCAGTCCGTTTGTATACTCTGTGCTTCAACATCATACTTGGTCTGCCCTTTCTGCAGCTACCCATGGGTGATCAATAGGAGGCTGACTTTGTGTCCTCCCATAGAGGACTCCCATCATCAACTTTGTATTAGCTATCCATTGCTACGTGTCTTAGTACATTTTGTGCTATTATTACAGAATACATGAGACTAGGTAATTTAAAACAAACAGAAATTTATTGGCTCACACTTTTGGAGGGTAGCAAATCCAATATCAATGTGCAGACATCTTGCAAGGGTCTTCTTGCTGTGTCATATGATGGCAGGAAGGGAGGAAGAATGAAAGAAAGAATGTGCGTAAAGGGGGCCAAGCTCTCCCTTTTATAACAAACCCACTCCCACAATAATGGCACTAATCCATTCACTTCACCTTCTTGGCCTAATCACTTTTCATCAGGTTCCACCTCCCAACACTGTTGAATTGGGAATCAAGTTTCTAACACCTGCTTTTTGGGGGACACATAAGAACCAAAGCACTGTGTAACAAATTACCCCAAAAGTTAGTGTCTTAAAATATTTATTATCACACATTTTCTATGGCCCAGAAATTCAGGTATGGTTTAGCAGATACTCTGGCTCACGATCTCTAACAAGGACACAGTCAAAGTATCATCTGGTTGTGTAGTCATCTTAAAGCTCAACTGGGGAAGGATCCATTTCCAAGCTCACTCACAACTCTGCTGTTCACATGGTTGTTGGCAGAATTTAGTTTTTTGTGGGCTATTGGACCAAGAGCCTCAGTTCCTCACTGGCTGTTGGCCAGAGGCCACTTTCAATTCCTTTTAACATGTGTTTCTCCACAGAACAGCTCATAATATAGCAGCTCATTTCATAAGAGTCAGCAAACCGAGAAGAGCCAGGGAAAGAGAATCAAAACAGACTCTGCAATCAAAACAGAAATGATAGCCTTTTGGAACCTAGTCTCAGAAAAGACATTGAATCGCTTTTGCCTTATATTCTATTCATTAGAAGCAAAGTATTAGGTCTATCCCAGAAAGATCAACTCTGGGTGTGGTGGTGGGGGGTGGGACGGGGATTATAGAAGGGAATGAACACCAGGAATGGGGATCATTGGGGGCTGTCTTGAAGGTTGTCTAATCACAAAACTCTGTCAAATAGAGGCATAACCTGGAGATATTGTGGCTTTGGTTCCAGACCACCACAATAAAGTGAATATCACAATAAAGTGAGTCACACAAATTTGTTGGCTTACCAGAACACATTAAAGTTTACACTATATTGAGGTCTACTAAGTGAGTGATAGCATTCTGTCTAAAAAAGTGTACATACCTTAATTTTAAAATACTTTATAACTAAAAAATGCTGACAATCATCTGAACCTTCAGCAAGTTGTGATCTTTTTGCTGGTGGAGAGTTTTGCCTCAATGTTGAACACTTTGCTTTGGATTAGGCTTTGGCTTAAGGGAATGTTGTGGCTGGTTTGATTTTTTTATCCAAGTTATTAACACTTTCTCCATACCAGCAAGAAGGCTGTTTGGCTTTCTTATCATTCATGCGTTCACTGGAGCAGCACTTTTAATTTCCCTCAAGGACTTTTCCTTTGAATTCACAATTTGGCTAACTGGTGCAAGAAGCCTAGGTTTCAGCCTATCTCAGCTTTCAACATGCCTTCCTTATTAAGCTATTCATTTCTAGCTTTTGATTTAAAGTGGGAGACATGTCCTTCTCACATATAAAATATATTCATTCCATCCCAGTAGCCACAAAAGCCTTAACCTGTTCAGTACCAACTCAAAAGTCTATAAACTAGAGTCTCATCTAAATATCACCTAAATCAATGTGGGTGAGATTCAGGGTATGATTCACCCTGAGGTAAATTGCTCTCCAACTGTGAACCTGTAAATTCAAATAACTTATGTACTTCCAAATACAATGATGGGATAGGCATAGGATAGACATTCCCACTTCAAAAAGGAGAAATAGTAAGGAAGAAAGGGATAATGGGTTCCAAGTAAGTCTGAAACACTACAGGGCAAAAACATTTAATCTTAAGGCTCCAGAATAATCTTTAATTCAATGTCCTACCTTCCAGACACACTGGGGTGAGGGTTAGGCCCTGAAGGCTCCAGGGTTTTGCTAAGCGCATCCCATACAGCAACTGTCATGCATTGGAGTCACATGCTTGCAGCTGTCCCAGGTTGGAGCTACATGTTGGTGGCTCTACCAGCCTGGGGTTTAGGAAGTGGACCTGCCTTCATGACTACACTGAGCATTGCTCTAGTGGGGATTCTCTGCAGTGGCCCCATCCCTGTGGCACTTCTCAGCCTAGGCGCCAAGGCTCTTCAGGGCATTTTTTGAAATCTAGCTGGAGGTAGTCATGCTCCTACGATTTGCACACTCTACACACCTGTGGAGATGGTACTGCATGGACACTGCCATGGTTTACCACTTGTGCCTTCCATAAGAACAGCCACTGCTGCACCTGGGCGTGCTTGAGCCACACTTTAGGTGGCTAAGGAGCGCTGCACTGGAATGCAGGCAGCAGAGGCTGGAGGTGGCCTGATGCCAAGGTTCTGCAAATGCCCAAAACCCCTCTTTTGACATATTTCTGTCTTCCAGGCGTTGCACTGAGCCTGTGCTGGGAGAGGCAATCCTGACTATCTCTGAAATGTGTTCAGGGTCATTCTTGTATTGTCTTAATGAAGAGCATTTGGCTTCCGCCCACCCATATTAATCTCTTTGGCATGCTTGGTCACACCCTTGGTGTTCTGTCTCTATTGTGCTTTTTTTTTTTTTTTTTTTTTTTAGATGGAGTCTCGCTCTGTCACCCAGGCTGGAGTGCAGTGGCACGATCTCGGCTCACTGCAAGCTCCGCTTCCTGGGTTCACGCAGTTCTCCTGCCTCAGCCTCCCAAGTAGCTGGGACTACAGGCGCCTGCCACCGCACCCGGCTAATTTTTTGTATTTTTAGTAGAGACAGAGTTTCACCGTATTAGCCAGGATGGTCTCGATCTCCTGACCTCGTGATCCACCCGTCTCGGCCTCCCAAAGTGCTGGGATTACAGGCGTGAGCCACTGTGCCCGGCCTCTATTGTGCCATTTTATTCCTTACAACATGGCCATGCTGACAATTTTCCAAATATTTAAGTTCTGCTTCCCTTTTGGTTATAAATTCCATCTTTAATTTGCTTCTCTCTTCTCGTACTTACTATGAGCAGTCAAGAGAAGCCATGCTGCACTCTGAACTCTTTACTTGTAGATTTCTTCTGCCAAATCCAATTTCATTTCTCATTCATAAATTCCTCCTTTCATAAAACACTAGGACAAGAACATAATTCAGTCAAGTTCTTTGCCACTTTATAACAAGAATAGTCTCGGCTTCAGTTTCCAATAATACACTCTTTGTTTCCATCTGAGATCTCATCAGAATGAACTGTACCGTCCATATTTCTACCAACATTCTGATCACAATCTCTTAGACAATCTCTAAGAAGATTGAGGCTCTCTCTACAGATTTCCTCTTTTTCTAACTCTCACCAGAACCACCCTTTATGGCTTATTCATGGCAATAGAGACTTTTTCTAGCCTGCTCCTCCAAACTCTTCCAGTCTCTGTCCATTACCCAGTTCCAGAACTGCTTCCACATTTTTAGGTGTTTGTTACAACAGCAACCTACTTCTCAGTACCAATTTCTGTCTTAGTCCACTGAGGCTGCTGTAATAAAATACCTTAGACTGGGTAATTTATAAATAATATAAATTTATTTCTCACAGTTCTAGAGGCTGAGGAGTTCAGGTTCAAAACACCAGCAGATTGGGCATCTGGTGATGGCTTGTCTTCCGCTTCAGATTGTGCCTCTTGCTGCATTCTCACATGGTGAAAGGTGCAAGGCAGCTTTCATCAATCTCGTTTATAAGAGCATCAATCCCATGAGGGCTTTGCCGTCATGACTCAATCACTTCTGAAAAGGCCTCATCTCTTAAAATTCCAACATATGAATTTTGGGGAGACACCAGTATTTAAACTATAGCGCTATAACTTATAAATTATTTACAGACTGCGGGCTGAGTGACCCATACATTTTTGCCACTTCCTGAGTCTTCTGTCTTTTATCTGTAAAACCTGACAGTGAAGAAGTGAACATTGTGTTGGGTTAATAGAATCTTAAAAGATTTTCTCAGGTGGCCGAACAGAACTTGGGAGAAACAGGACACACAAAGCCTCGAGTCTATCTCGGAAAAGGAAACTTTTACAAAAGCTGTACAGATCAGGCTCTTTTCATTATGATAATATCTTCTGCAACATTCTACCAATGCCACCCCTCCCCAGTCCCACCACTAATACACCTCACATCCTATAATAAAACAAATGGGCAAGCAAGGAGACTTCTGATATTTGGCTGTTTGAGGTGTTTTTCTCCTTTCCACAGTTTTCTAGAACTCCTTAACATTCCAATAACTTCCTTGCTTCTCTAACCATTTCTGAATTCTTGGCACCTACCATAATATTTTAAATTCAATGAGAAATAATTTTCTATCAGGAGAGCCATAAACCACTACAGATAAAAGGAAATACAGAATGTAGCAAAGGCAGGTGATTACATAAACAACATTAAGAGCTGTTTGGCCTTAGGGAAAATGTGACTCACTTGCTTGGCAAAATCACTTGTTAAAACACAGCGCACAGAGTAGAGGGTAAGCATATTCTTAAAAATTTTGGTTTTCAGGGCAGCACAAAGCTATTATGTTTGGAAATAGACTTCTGTAAAGATTAACCTTCAGCCTCCACCATTTCAGTAAATATGAATACACACATTATCTTTCTCGGTCCTCTCCATAGCCCTTGGGAGGTTAGTATTATTGTCATCCCCATTTTGTGAATGAGGTTACCAGGTCTGGGCTTTGCAGGAGCCAAGGCAGGGAGAGAAGGTGAGAGGTGAGGCTCCATAGGTAGGTAGGCAACAGGAGCCATGAAAGAGTTTTTTGTTTTGTTTTGTTTTGTTTTTTTTGAGACAGAGTCTTGCTCTGTCGCCCAGGCTGGAGTGCAGTGGCACTATCTCGGCTCACTGCAAGCTCCACCTCCCAGGTTTACGCCATCCTCCTGCCTCAGGTTCCTGAGTAGCTGAGACTATAGGTGCACACCACCACGCCTGGCTAATTGTTTTATATTTCTAGTAGAGACAGGGTTTCACCGTGTTCGCCAGGATGGTCTCGATCTCCTGACCTTGTGATCCACCCGCCTCGGCCTCCCAAAGTGCTGGAATTACAGGCGTGAGCCACCGCGCCTGGCCCAAGAAAGAGTTTTAAGCAAGGCATGACAAGTTTGGCTTTGAGTCATTTTAATACATGGCATGAGGAGTTAATTGGAGGGGCAAGGCTGGCACATAGAGGCCAGTTTGGAGACCATCGTGTTTTCCAAGGGGAGGCATAGTGGGTACAAAATTTAGAGATGCTCATTCTCAGGGTTGTGCAAGTGCCTGCTTAAATTTGTGTCCTTTCAGGGGGTGGGGGGCTAGGGGAGGGATAGCATTAGGAGAAATACCTGATGTAGATGACGAGTTGATGGGTGCAGCAAACCACCATGGTACGTGTATACCTATGTACCAAACCTGCACATTCTGCACATGTATCCCAGAACTTAAAGTATAATAAAAAATAAATAAATAAAATAAAATAAAATAAAAATTTGCATCCTTGCACCTAACTTGCCTCACCCCAGTTCCAGCTCGCTGAGAATATGAACTGCTGAATTTATAACTGATCGTTTACCTGTCAGCTGAGGTATTCATGCTTATGAAAACCCTCTAGCTGGAGGGGTAATTACTAAAAATGAGACCCTGTAAAATGCTGCTATACCCAACATACAACAGCATACATAAACACACCTATGAGTATGATAAAAAGAGCTCATTCCTGTGGGTGAGCAAGATGGGGTTGACTGCTCAGGATGAGACGCTTGGGAAAGTGTAATGACAATGGAGGAAACAGAGATGCTTTTTCTTCTGATGTGGGAACAAGTTTATCAAGAGAGATGGTGGCTCCTCAGTGTGGGAGGTAGCACAGTTTTAAGAGCCAAGATCATGCGAAGGAGGATAGTGTTCATCCATGTGCAAGGCAGCCTTAGAAAAGAATGGAGTTGAAGCTTCTTGATATCCACTCGCGTGCTTCACCAGTGGTCTTCAAACATATTTCCTCGGATGTCCTCTAAACAAACAAATCACCAACCATAACAAAAGCCTCGAGGATGAGAACAAACGGAGGTGAAGAACGGGAAAAATAAAGCCTCAAGGGCTGTTGTGAAAATTAAGTGAGAAAGTGAATGGAAAGTCCTGTTAGCACAATGCCCACAGTTTTTGTTCCCTTGATGTTCATTTCATAATTTCATTTTGAGCTATTTAGGGAATCTGATAGGTGATAATAAGAGCTATCATTTGTTGAATGATTACAAAAGTGTAAGCACTTTACCTGCATTATTTAATCCTTACAATAACCTATTTTACAGATAATGAATTGAGGCTCAGAGAAGTTAATTTAGTTGCCCAAGGGCACATAGTAGTAAATGGCTTAGATGGATTTAAGGCCCAGTTAGTCTGACCCTAGCAGAGCCATGACATTAACCACTGCATCCTACTGCCTCTCCTGGCTTCAGAGCCACAGGATGAGACAAATACCTGGCAAAGGACCTCCCACTGAGCCCTGTTTCCCAGACAAGCACCTCCAAGGAGAAATTTTTCAGCCTTCCTGAGGAAACAATTTCATGTCTTGAAGCCTCTCACTGGGACTACTCTGAGAACATCTCTTTGCTGTCAAAACCTAGTTGTTTCTTGCTTTTATTTCAACTCATTGCAGCTTATTTAGTTGAGCTGGAAAAGCTTGAAATAATACGAAATTAAAATGTTATTTCAAAATACTTATGTCACCATTCTTCATCACAAACAGCTCCATCCTTTGGACTCATGGACAACAGTGATTCATTTCTGACTTTCAAGATCATGCCCCAGTTGGTAAAAATAAAATGTATTTTGGGGGTAACAAAATAAAATTATTCATTGCCAAGGGACTGAGGCTCAAAAATCATTTTTTCTTGAATAGAATTTATGAAAAAGAAACTAGCTTGCTTTCCTAATGACTGGACACCTCTTCTTTGTGCTTTGTTCCGATTGCTGTGCTTTTTTATTCATGCTGAAGTTTGAGGGCAGCTTTACATCCTGCACTGCCTCAGATATGTCTATTTGTAGCACCACATGGAATGCCAAATATTCACCAAACAACATACACCCAACTTGCATTATTATACCTTCAAAAGAAGAAAAAGCAAGCCGTTGTAAATGACTTAGCTGGATTTAAGGCCCAGTTAGTCTGACCCTAGCAGACTCACTGCTAGGGTCTCATTGACACAAGACAGCAGATCCTTGACATTTTCAAGAAGCATTCCCAAGACTGACAAATCCCTCAGAATGACGTATGTGAAAATGTTTATACTGGAACCTAATTGCCCTCCAAATTACATTTTTATCAAAAGTGACATGTTTCCTATATACAACCTTACAATATAATTAAGTAGTCATTTTTCACTGAAGGTTTAGCTTCCTCTTAATAAGCAAATTGCGGCTGTCTGGGCACTCACTCAAAGTACCATAAAGTCCTCTTTTCTCTTTTTAAGTGTATGGATTGGTCCTGTTCACATCAGACACCTGAGCCCTTTCTAACATTCCCCACTTTAAAGTGACTTGAAGTTTGAATCTCTGGCCAACCACAATGACTTCTTCTTAGAAGTAAATGTAGGAAGCTGCTTTGGTCATTTTTCATGGCGAGTAATCAAAGTAAGTGGTGTAAATGTGATAAAACAGAAATGGAAGTTTAAGAAAATTATTTATAATAATACTTGTTATAGACTGAATTTCCCCCCCCCACAAAAAAAAAAATCATGTGTTCAAGACTTAGCCTGTGGTGCGACTGTATTTGGAGGTAGGGTCTTTGGGGAAGTAATTACGACTAAATGAAATCATAAGGATGGGCCCTAACCTAATCGAACCAGTGTCCTCACAAAAAGAGGAAGAAATACCAGATTTCTCTCTCTTTCTTTCTCTCCCTCTGCATACACACAGAAGAAAACCCATGTGAGGACACAGCAAGAAGACAGATATCTACAAGCCAAAAAGAGAGCCCTCACTGGACATCAAGCCTGATGTCACCTTGATCTTGAACTTCCAGCCTCTAGAATTGTGAAAAAGTAAATTTCTATTGCCAGGGGTGTCCAATCTTTTGGCTTCCCTGGGCCATACTGAAAGGAAAAGAATTGTCTTCGACCACTCATAAAATACACTAACACTAGTGACAGCTGATATGCTTTTTAAAAATCTCATAATGTTTTAAGAAAGTTTACGAATTTGTGTTGGGCTGCATTCAAAGCCATCCTGGGCTGCATGCAGCCTGCAGCCCGTGGGTTGGACAAGCTTGTATAAAGCCCTCCAGCCTGTGTTTTTTTGTTTTTTTTTTTTTTGTTTGTTTGTTTTTGCTATGGCAGCTTTAACAGACCAATACAATACCACTGGATATAATTAAAAATGATTATTTAACCAACAAAAGTAGGAACTGGTGAGGGTTTGGAAGCAAAGTCTGGGAGAAGTGAGGAAGTGGAGCATTGTAAGTGAGGTAATTACTCATGGGTTTTGCTTGTTGTTTTTAAAAGGCTTCATTTTTTAAACAGCAGTTTTAGGTATAGATTTCCCATATATCCTCTGCCTGCGCACACACACAGCCTCCCTCATGATCAACATCCCCCACCAGAGTGATACATTTGTTACAACTGATGAACCTAAAGATACATCACTGTCATCCCAAGTCCACAGTTTACATTGAAGTTCAATCTTGGTGTTGGACATTTGTGTAAACATTGGACATTGGATAAGTCATGTATCCACCATTATAGTATTATACATAGTAGTTTTGCTGCTCTAAAAATTCTCTATGCTCATTAATTCATTAATTAATTCATTATTCCCTTCCCCCAGCCCCTGGAAACCACTGATCTTTTTAAAGTCTTTATAGTTCTGCCTATCTCAGACTGTCATATGGTTGGAATCCTACAGTATGTATGTAGCCTTTTCAGACTGGCTTCTTTCATTTAGTAATATGTACTTAAGTTTTCCATCATGTCTTTTCATGGCTTGATAGCTCATTCATTTTAGCACTGAATAATATTACCTCGTTTGGATGTACCACAGTTTGTCTGTCCATTCACCTACTAAAGGACATTTTGTTTGCTTCTAGATTTTGGCAAGTATAAATAAAGCTTGCCAAAATAAACATTTACATGCAGGATTTTGTGTGGACATAAATTTTCAAAGTTTTTGGGTAAAAACCAAGATGTGCAGTTGCTGAATATTATGATTAGAGTATGTTTAATTTTGTAAGAAACCATCAAACTCTCCTCCAAAGTGGCTGTACAACTTTTTGCGCCCCCACCAACGATGAATGGGAGCTCCTGTTACTCCACATCCTCATCAGCACTTGGTGTTGTCAT
This sequence comes from Homo sapiens, assembly GCF_000001405.40. NCBI lineage: Eukaryota > Metazoa > Chordata > Mammalia > Primates > Hominidae > Homo > Homo sapiens. The sequence continues at coordinate 94,335,873 of NC_000011.10, forward strand.
TGTTCAGAATTTGGGCCACTCTAATAGGTGTGTAGTGGTCTCTCATCATTTTTTTTTCTGAATATGCTTTTTTTTTTTCTTTTTTGAGACAGAGTCTCGCTCTGTCACCAGGCTGGAGTGCAGTGGTGCAGTCTCAGCTCACTGCAGCCTCTGCCTCCCAGGTTCAAGCAATTCTCCTGCCTCAGTCTCCCAAGTAGCTGGGACTACAGTCATACACCGCCACAAGCGGCTAACTTTTTTGTATTTTTTTAGTAGAGACAGGGTTTCACCATGTTGGCCAGGATGGTCTTGATATCCTGACCTCCTCCCACCTCGGCCTCCCAAAGTGCTGGGATTACACGTGTGATCCACCATGCCCGGCCTGAATATGCTTTCATTTATTTAAATTGCAAATTCTCTTGGAATACACATCATGTCTGAAATGTGTGCATCTTTTCTGCTTGATTTTCTGTTTATGGTGACACCTAAGTAAGCTTTTAAGTGACTAAGTTGCACACCATGTCTTAAATAATTAATACGTAAGAGAAGGTGGATTTTAAAAACTTCTTCAAGGAATACTTATGCAAAGTGAATTATGGGACTTTTGTTAAAGATGCATGATAAGGCAGATGCAAGATGCTCTGTGACTACTATAAACAGATAGAAAAGTTCTTTAAAACTAAGAAATGGAAAGGTCCAGATGTCATCAACAAGAAGTAAACTAACATCTAAATGGGGAGTAGGAATTGATGCGATAACTGCTCATGGTGATATCAGGATTTAATATACATTTTAGACGCTGAATTTATATTGCCTTTATGAATATGGAGGCTACATTCATGGGTGGGGAAGGGGAAGCTGGAACTCCCTGCCTAAAGGTAGAAGCCTATATATGTGCTATCAGAGTGAATGGTGGAAGGGGGACTACTGGCATGAGTAATGATATAGAAGCTTCTCATTCATCCTGCACCATGGATGGAAAAATAGAGTTACCCACAAGAAACTGGAAATCGAGGACAGCTCCATGTTTGGATGTAAGGCCAAATTCACAATAATCACAGGGTATGGAAAGCCTAAGCTGAGAAACAACTTTAAAACTCATAAGAGTGGTAATGGCCAAAAAGCTTGGTCAGATTCTGTAGTAACAACTAAAAATATGGAAAAAAATATTAAAACAACTGTATGAAGGCCCTGTAGAAATTGAATAGGGGTCCACCCTCAAAATACAGCAATTACAATTGGTGTGATTTGGGAATCTGAGACATTCCCCAATATACACGAAACTCAAGGGACAAATTTCAGGGCTTCCATAAAAAGGAACAAGATGATGTCCTTTGCAGGGGTATGGATGGAGCTGGAAGCGGTTATTCTCAGCAAACTAATGCAGGAACAGAAAACCAAACATCGCATATTCTCACTTATAAGTGGGAGCTGAATGGTGAGAACACATGGACACATGGTGGGGAACAACACACACTGGGGCCTGTCAGGAGTGGGGTTGGGAGAGGGGGAGCATCAGGAAGAATAGCTAATGGATGCTGGGCTTAATACCTAGGTTATGGGATGATCTGTGCAACAAACCACCAAGACACACATTTATCTATGTAACAAACCTGCACATCACCCACATGTGCCTCAGAACTTAAGATAAAAGTTGAAGAGGCCGGCGCGGTGGCTCACGCCTGTAATCCCAGCACTTTGGGAGGCCAAGGCGGGTGGATCACAAGGTCAGGAGATCGAGACCTTCCTGGCTAACACAGTGAAACCCCGTCTCTACTAAAAATACAAAAATTAGCCGGGCGTGGTGGCGGGTGCCTGTAGTCCCAGCTACTCGGGAGGCTGAGGCAGGAGAATGGCGTGAACCCGGGAGGCGGAGCTTGCAGTGAGCCGAGATCGCGCCACTGCACTCCAGCCTGGGCAACAGAGCCAGACTCCGTCTCAAAAAAAAAAAAAAAAAAAAATTTGAAGAGAAAAAGAAAGCTCAGGGCTTGTAGAGTGGTAGGAAAGTTAGGGGGGAAACTGCAGGGGAGAGAGAGGTGCAGAAGGGATGAATCCTAAAATATGAATATACACTGGGTCCAAATCCTGTGCAGACAACTAAAGTGTGCATGTGTTGGAGGCCTCAGAGAGCCCAGCTAAAAAGCGGCAGAAGAAAGCTGAAGAAAGTGGGTAGAGATTTCAGCTGCTGCCCACCACAAGGGGCATCAAGGTTAACGTCCCGCAAGACCAAAAAAAGAAAAACAAAACTCTTCAGGGAAATATAAAATCTCTCTCTAACATGCCACTATAATGTCCAGTAGGCAATCAATGAGAAATCACTAGACATACCAAAAAAACAGATAAATATGACCCTCTACAGGAAAATCAGGCAATGGAAACCAGTCTGGAGATGACCTAGATGTTGCAATTTGCAGACAAGAAGATTTAAAGCACAACTATTATAATATTTTAATATTTTAAAAGAAAATATATTCAAAATGGAGGAACAGATGGAAAATCTCTGCAGAGAAATAGATGTTACTTAAAAAATCACACAAGGGATAGATGGGACTTCTGTAATGATGACATAAGAAGGTCATACAATTCCTCTTAAAGATAACAATTATAAAAACTGGACAAAATTATTAAAAACAACTATTTGAAGGTACTACAAAAAGTTCGAGTGACTGGCAGGCACTTGTGAAGAGTTTACTCCTGAATGACCAATAATATATCAGGTAAGAAATGAAAGTTTATGGCTCTTTCTTCTTGGAGCTCCCCAACTTTGCCAAGCTCTGCTGAGGAACTAACTATGGCAGCCTTGCCATCGGGGAGGGCCACACAGGTTTCAGAGAGGTAGAACAGCTGAAAATTTAAGAGGGAAATTCTGGACATTAGAACTCTACAGAAAGACTGAGATTTAAAATCTGAATATAAATTTTGCCAAAATCCTTGGCTTACCACTCAAATATGCAAATACAAGGGAGCCTCCAGGGAGCCAGGCTTAACAAAGCAGAACCTGGGAGCCAAAAGAACTGAGCACAGAGGTCTGACCACCAAGGCTGCTGAAGCCGCAACAGCCTAACTCTCCCACTGATCACAACTAAAAACTCTAAACAAAATTCTAAAAGCAACTATTTAAGGACTCTCAAAAGTGAAAAAAAAAAAAAAGCCGATTGTGGAGGTGAGTCAAAACTTGGAGAAGTGATACTCTAAGGGGTAGCACTCCCAGGTTTGGGGGTGCTTTTTCCTTTTTTCTCCAGGTTTTGCCCCAGTTGCCAAGCTGCATGGTAGAACAGTAGTGTAGATACCTAAAATTTCAATCAAAACTCCATAATTTTGGCCAGAGAAACCTGATAAGGGGCCTCTGTGAGCTGGAGGAGTGTGTGTGTGTGTGTGTGTGTGTGTGTGTGTGTGTGTGTGTGTGTGTGGTTGGGGGGGTGCCCTGAGGACGAGAGAGTCTGGAAAGGGGACTTCTTTTTTTTGAGACGCAGTCTCGCTCTGTAGCCCAGGCTGGAGTGCAGTGGCGCGATCTCAGCTCACTGCAACCTCTGCCTCCCGAGTTCAGGCCATTCTCCTGCCTCAGCCTCCGAGTGGCTGGGACTACAGGCGCCCGCCATCACGCCCAACTAATTTTTTTTTTGTATTTTTAGTAGAGACGGGGCTTCACAGTGTTAGCCAGGATGGTCTCGATCTCCTGACCTCATGATCCCCCCCGCCTCGGCCTCCCAAAGTGCTGGGATTACAGGTGTGAGCCACCGCACCCGGCGAAAGGGGACTTCTTAATTCTGTGTGTGAACCTGCTATTGGTGGGCTGGGGAAGGTTCCCAAATGCTGGTAGGACCTCAACCCCAGCTGATGTCCAGACTCTTGACAGCATGGCAAGAAGGAATTCAAGGATGAGTCAGAAAATAATGAGAGTGTGGAGATTTACTACAAAGTAAAAAGTACAGGGGAGAGTGGGAGTACTCCAGAGAGATGCACAGTTGGGTTTGAGGTTTCTACCTTTATGGATTTCTTTAAGGAGTGGAATATTCATGAAGATTCCTGGACAAAGGTGAAGATTTCTTGAACTGTGGTGTCACCCATTTTTATACCAAATGTGAGTGTTCCTGGAACTGTCATGATGCTAGTGGTTGTGTGATTTAGTTTGTTAATGAGCATATAATGAGGTCCTAGGAGAAACCTAGGTCAATTCAGTACCATATTGGGTCCAGTTGGTCTTAGCCAGCTTGGCCCACACCCTGATTTTCAGGATCTTATTGGCCCCTACCTTAGGCAGCTATTTCAACAGTTCCCTTTTTGTTAGTCATCCGAAACCGCTGCCTGGAATTTTCTATTCTCCTGCCACCACCCTGTATTATTCCTATCTTGAATCAGCATAGGTCCTGGGCTTACCCCAAGCTTCACATGCGTGGGACAGACTCGTAGAAACACGGCAAAGTCATTGAGAACTAAATTAAAAATTTAAACCACTCAGTGGCCAGTCTGAATGGCGCATACGTGAGATAAACCTGAAACAGCAGAGCAAAGATTTGAAAACTGAACTGAGATTGAAACCACTGGTCAAAATGGAAGAGACAGAACTTGTAGGCTAAACTGAAGTGGATCGATTTCCTGCTAAAACGAAAAATCAACATTCTTTACAGAATTATAAGGGGGTTCAAGTCTAAGCAACACAATATTCAAAATGGCTAGGATACAATCCAAAATTATACGACGAACAAAGAACCAAGAAAATGTGACAAATTTTCAAGGAAAAATGACAGTCAGGAGATGCCAACCCAAGGAGGGCCCAGATATTAAAATTATCAGACTTTCAGTAAGCTATTATCACTTTGCTTCATGAGATAAAGGTGGTCTCACCTGAAGTAAAACACATGAAGAAATGCTCATCATCACTGGCCATCAGAGAAATGCAAATCAAAACCACTATGAGATATCATCTCACACCAGTTAGAATGGCAATCATTAAAAAGTCAGGAAACAACAGGTGCTGGAGAGGATGTGGAGAAATAGGAACACTTTTACACTGTTGTGGAACTGTAAACTAGTTCAACCATTGTGGAAGTCAGTGTGGCGATTCCTCAGGGATCTAGAACTAGAAATACCATTTGACCCAGCCATCCCATTACTGGGTATATACCCAAAGGACTATAAATCATGCTGCTATAAAGACACATGCACACGTATGTTTATTGCGGCACTATTCACAATAGCAAAGACTTGGAACCAACCCAAATGTCCAACAATGATAGACTGGATTAAGAAAATGTGGCACATATACACCATGGAATACTATGCAGCCATAAAAAATGATGAGTTCATGTCCTTTGTAGGGACATGGATGAAATTGGAAACCATCATTCTCAGTAAACTATCGCAAGAACAAAAAACCAAACACCGCATATTCTCACTCATAGGTGGGAATTGAACAATGAGATCACATGGACACAGGAAGGGGAATATCACACTCTGGGGACTGTGGTGGGGTCGGGGGAGGCGGGAGGGATAGCATTGGGAGAGATACCTAATGCTAGATGACACGTTAGTGGGTGCAGCGCACCAGCATGGCACATGTATACATATGTAACTAACCTGCACAATGTGCACATGTACCCTAAAACTTAGAGTATAATAAAAAAAAAAAAACCTTTAAAAAAAAATAAAATTAAAATAAAAAGAAAGAAAACTTGTTAACAGAGGAAAAAAAAAAACTATGAAAAAAGAAAGGGAAATTTCAAAAATGAAAAATAAAACGTGAAATAGGATATTCATTGGGTAGGCTAAATAGAATGTTTATGACGGAGTACAAGTTAGTAAACTTAAAAATAGATTTTTAAAAAAATTAGAAGAACAAAAAGAAAAACCTTGACAAAAAAATAGAGATGTAGGAACTTACAGGACAACATCGAAAGGTCTAATATACATCTCATTGGAGTCTAAAAAGTACAGAAGAAAGAGAACATGACAGAAAAAATATTTGAAGAAAAAATATACCTGAAAACTTCTCAAATTTGGTAAAAAGCATCAACATTCAGGTTAAAGAAGTTCACTGAAATTCAGAGAGAATATATTCAAAGAAAAAAAAAGCCTGGGCATATAATAATGAAATTGCTGAAAACCAAATATTTGGAAAAAAAATCTTGAAGTAGCTAGAGAAAAACAACAATTCAAATGAATGAAGATTTCTCTTAGAAATCATGGTGGTCAGAACACAGCAGAATAACTATTTTTTTTTTTTTTTTGAGACAGAGCCTTGCTTGCTCTGTTGCCCAGGCTGGAGTGCAGTGGCGCAATCTCTGCTCACTGCAACCTCCACCTCCCAGGTTCAAGCAATTCTCCTGCCTCAGCCTCCCAAGTAGCTGGGACTACAGGGATGTGCCACCACACCCAGCTAATTTTTTGTATTTTTAGTAGAGACAGGGTTTCACCATGTTGGCCAGGATGCTCTCTATATTTTGACCTCATGATCCTCCCACCTTGGCCTCCCAAAGTCCTGTGATTACAGGTGTGAGCCACCGTGCCCAGACCTTTTTTTTTTTTTAAGAGACAGAGTCTTGTTATGCCACCCAAGATGTGGGGCAGTGGTGTAATCATGACTCATCAAAGCCTCGAACTCCTGAGCACAAGTGATCCTCCCACCTCAGCCTCCCGAGTAGCTGGGATTACAGCCATGTGCCACCACACCCAACTAATTTTTTAATTTTTTGTAAAGATGGTGTTTTGTCATGTTGCCCAGGCTGGTCTCAAGCTCCTGGCCTCAAGTGATCCTCCCACATCAGCTCCCAAATGCTGGGATTACAGTTATGAGCCACCATGACCAGAAAAACTTTTTTTTTTTTTAAACAGGGTCTCATTCTGTCACCCAGGATGGAATACAATGGTGTAATCATGACTCACTGCAGCCTTGACCTCCTGGGCCCAAGTGATCATTCCATCTCAGCCCACCAGGTAGCTGGGACCACAAGCATGTGCCACCATGCCTGGCTAATTTTTTTATTTTTGCAGAGATGAGGTCTCCCTATGTTGCTCAGGCAGGACTCCAACTCTTGGGCTCAAGCAAACCTCCTGCCTTGGCCTCCCAAAGTGCTGGGATTATAGGCATAAGCCACCATGCCCAGCCTAGGATAACATTTTTAAAATTCTAAAAGACTGTCAACCAAGAATTATGTGCATTCTTCTAAAGTGAATTACTGAATTTAGTATGGTTGCAGGATAAGAATTTTGTGTACACACACACAATGACAAGATTTGTCTCAAGGATGCAAGGTTGTTTCACCATTTTAAAATTAATTAATGTAATTTACCATACTTGTAGAATAAAGAATAAGGAAACCCACATTATCATCTCAATATATAAGAAAAGATCATTTGATAAAATTCAGCCACCTATTCATTAATACTCTAAGCACTCTAAGAATAGAAGAAAATATGTATCTAGAGAAAACCTATGACAGATATCATACATGATAGTGAAAGTCTGAATGCTTTCTACTTAACATCCTAAACAAGGCAAGCGTATCCATGTTCACCACTTCTTTACTATTGTACACAAAAACATAATTAGTGCATTAAAACAAGGAAAATATATAAAAGTCATATATATTAGAAAGAAGTAAAACCTTTTTTATTTGCAGATGACATAGTGATGTACATAGAAAATCCTAAGGAATCTACAAAAGAAATCTACTAAAATGAATTACTGAATTTAGCATGGTTGCCGGATAAGAGTCCAGTATTTTTTTTAAGTTTTCTATATCTTGGATTTACAAGAAGTAATGAGAAGTACCAGAAGCAATAACCTAGCAAATGCCCTTAGGGACTGACAGAGGAAAGGAACTTTAATGAGACAGTAATTAAAGTGAGAAAAGGAGACTCAGCAAAAAAGGGAGAGAAGAGATTCCAGCTTCCCCTAGAAAATCAAGCATCTGGCTAATAAAATTCATTTGCATGTGTAAGATCTAAAAATGCATACAGCATTTCTGAGAGACAGAGCTAGATAGCTCTTCCTTTGAAGTGACTATGTCTGGGATTATTACCTGTTTTCTACTAAGAGCTAGGTACTCTTCCTTTGAAGTGGCTATTCTGGGTTAACTACCTGTTTCTCTACCTGAAAGCCTCTGATCCCTAGGATCTGGGAGTGTTACTTACCTAAGAGGAAAATTGGACTCTAGTTTCAATCTCACTGAGGGACCAATTCTATGGCTATCAGAGTAACATCAAAGTATGAGACAGACTTCAAACCATGTCTTCTTTTCCTGAATTCCTCAGCTAAATCAAGGATATAAAAAGGGCTCAGATTTGGAGGAGAAAAATTTTTGAAAAAAAAATTTGTAGAGAGCTGTTGCCTATTTATCTCCCACCCCCCTGAGAGATGAGATATGTGAGTTTCTATTTTCTTAATTTCAACTAATAAAGGAGTTTCCTTGAGATTCTCTGTCCCCTGGAATCCAGGGACACTGTGGACATGTGTCTGGTCCAGGTGCTCATAGGAGGTAGGATAAGGACTGAACCACTGCTTTGGTGGCATAGCAAAGAGAAGGTTGCCATGCTAGAATTACCTGAATTGCTTCAGTGTGTCTGAGGAAAAAAGAATGCCTGAGTGTTCTCTGTGAACAAGATGTCAGTCACATGGAGACAGAGAGTAGAACTGGAGTTACTGGGGGAGAGAATAGACTCTAGCATGCAAACCACAGTGGAATGGATCAGCAGTAAACAAGAGGCCGAGGGCAGAGTGTTTCCTGGAACACTGATCAAATGTATCCCCTTTGTTTTGAGGATTATGGCAAGAGGTCCTTGGAGAGCCTCTGCAGAGCCACTGAAAACACCCATAAAACAAAGTTAGCTTCATCTATCTGCCCAAGCCAGAAAGGATGAAGTCACCCCAGCAAGTTAAGAACTCTTAACTCTCTTCCCTCTCTTTGACTCGCTTCTCATTGAAGATCCAAACAGGAGCTAAAGAGTTAAAGTTGTGATGAGGGATGTCAGAGTAGATGCCAGTCATACCCCTAATTCCGAGAGTAGGAAACTGCCACAAATGTTAGGGAAGTGGGGGAAGATTTCACTTTAGATAAAGATTGAAGGACTGACTCTTGTACCTGACATTTTAATTTTTGAAATAAAAATTTGAAACAGTTTTTGATGTAAAGTCTATTTATTTAAAAGTAAGCAAAAAAATTGTTGTAGACCTTACAACATGAAAAACATGATAAATGAAAGAAAAAATTAATAAATTGGACTTTATTAAAAGTAAAAACTTCTGCTTTGCCAAAGTCACTGCTAAGAGAATAAAAACACAAGTCACAAACTGGGAAAAGTATTTGCAAAACACGCAACCGATAAAGAACTTTTGTCCAAAGTATACAAAGAACTCTTACAACTCAACAATAAGAAAACAAACAACCCAACTAAAAAGTGGGCAAAAGATATGAACATCTCATAAGAAAAAATATGCAGATGGAAAATAAGCATATGAAAAGATGCTCAGCACCATCCATTATTAGGAAAATGTAAATAAAAATAACAATGGAATATATTACATACCTATTAGGATGGCTGAATTCAAAATATTGACCATGCCAATTGATGGTGAGGATGTAGAGTAACAGGAACACTCATTCATTGCTGGTAGGAATGCAAAATGTAACACCCATTTTGGAAGACAGTTTGACAGTTTCTTACAAAGCTGAACATAGTCTTACCACATGATTCAGCACTTATGCCCCTAGGTATCTACCAAACAGATTTGAAAATTTATATTCACACAAAAAATAGCAAGTGAATATTTATAGAAAATTTATTTATAAATGTCAAAAACTGGAAACAATCACTATGTCCCTGAATAAAGGTAAATGGATAAACAAACTGTGGTACATTTATACAACAGAATACTGTCAGGCCTCTGAGCCCAAGCTAAGCCATCATATCCCCTGTGACCTGCATGTACACATCCAGATGGCCAGTTCCTGCCTTAACTGATGACATTCCACCACAAAAGAAATGAAAATGGCCTGTTCCTGCCTTAACTGATGGCATTATCTTGTGAAATTCCTTCTCCTGGCTCATCCTGGCTCAAAAGCTCCCCTACTGAGCACCTTGTGACCCCCATTCCTGCCCGCCAGAGAACAACCCCCCTTTTTCCTTTACCTACCCAAATCCTATAAAACGGTCCCACCCTATCTCCCTTTGCTGACTCTCTTTTCGGACTCAACCTGCCTGCACCCAGGTGATTAAAAGCTTTATTGCTCACACAAAGCCTGCTTGGTGGTCTCTTCAAATGGACGTGAGTAAAATTTGGTGCCATGACTCAGATCGGGGGACCTCCCTTGGGAGATCAATCCCCTGTCCTCCTGCTCTTTGCTCCATGAGAAAGATCCACCTACGACCTCAGGTCCTCAGACCGACCAGCCCAAGAAACATCTCACCAATTTCAAATCTGGTAAGTCACCTCTTTTTACTCTCTTCTCCAATCTCCTTCACTATCCCTCAACCTCTTTCTCCTTTCAATCTTGGCACCACACTTCAATCTCTCCCTTCTCTTAATTTCAATTCCTTTCATTTTCTGGTAGAGACAAAGGAGACACGTTTTATCCATGGACCCAAAACTCCGGCGCCAGTCACAAACTGGGAAGGCAGCCTTCCCTTGGTGTTTAATCATTGCAGGGATGCCTCTCTGATTATTCACCCTCGTTTCAGAGGTGTCAGACCACGCAGGGACGCCGCCTGCCTTGGTCCTTCACCCTTAGTGGCAAGTCTGCTTTTCTGGGGGAAAGGCAAGTACCCCAACCCCTTCTCTCCGTGTATCTACCCCTTCTCTGCTTTTCTGGGGGAGGGACAAGAAACCCCCAACCCCTTCTCCTTCACCCTAAGTGGCAAGTCCCACTTCTCTAGAGGATGGACAAGTACCCCAACCTCATATCTCTGCTCCCCAATCCCTCATTTCTGCACCCCTACCTCATATCTCTGCGCCCTGATCCCTTATTTCTGCACCCTGACCTCATATCTCTGCACCCCAACCCCTTTCCTGCTTTTCTGGAGGGTAAGAACCCCCAAACCCCTTCCCTCCATATCTCTACTCTCTCTTTTCTCTAGGCTTGCTTCCTTCACTATAGGGAAACTTCCACCCTCCGTTCCTCCTTCTTCTCCCTTAGCCTGTGTCTCAAAAACTTAAAACCTCTTCAACTCACACCTGACCTAAAACCTAAATGCCTTATTTTCTTCTGCAACACTGCTTGGCCCCAGTGCAAACTTGGCAATGGCTCTGAATGGCCAGAAAACAGCACTTTTGATTTCTCCATCCTACAAGACCTAAATAATTTTTGTCGAAAAATAGGCAAATGGTCTGAAGTGCCTTATGTCCAGGCATTTTTCACAATTCGTTCCCTCCCTAGTCTCTGTTCCCAATGTGATTCCTCCCGAATCCTCCTTCTTTCCCTCCCACCTGTCCCCTCAGTCCCAACCCCAAGCATCCATAAGTCTTTCTACTCTTCCTTTTCTACAGACCCATCTGACCTCTCCCCTCCTCCCCAGGCTGCGCCTCACCAGGCCGAGCTAGGTCCCAATTCTTCCTCAGCCTCTGCTCCTCCACCCTGTAATCTTTTTATCACCTCTCCTCCTCACACCCAATCCAGTTTACAGTTTCATTCCGTGAGCAGCCCTCCCCCACCTGCCCAGCAATTTCCTCTTAAAAAGGTGGCTGAAGCTAAAGGCATAGTCAAGGTTAATGCTCCTTTTTCTTTATCAGACCTCTCCCAAATCAGTGAGTGTTTAGGCTCTTTCATCAAATATGAAAAACCCAGCCCAGTTCATGGCTCGTTCGTCAGCAACCCTGAGATGCTTTACAGCTCTAGACCCTAAAAGGTCAAAAGGCCGTCTTATTCTCAATATACATTTTATTACCCAATCTGCTCCCAACATTAAATAAAACTCCAAAAATTGAATTCCATCCCTCAAACCCCACAACAGGACTTAATTAACCTCACCTTCAGGTGTACAATAATAAAATAGAGGCAGCCAAGTAACAACATATTTCTGAGTTGCAATTCCTTTCCTCCACTGTAAGACAAACCCCAACCAGATCTCCAGCACACAAGAACTCCAAACACCTGAACCGCAGCTGCCAGGAGTTCCTCCAGAACCTCCTCCCCCAGGAGCTTGCTACAAGTGCCAGAAATCTGGCCACTGGGCCAAGGAATGCCCATAGCCCAGGATTCCTCCTAAGCCATCTCCCATGTGTGCAGGACCCCACTGAAAATAAGACTGTTCAACTCACCTGGCAGCCGCTTCCAAAGCCCCTCGAACTCTGGCCCAAGGCTCTCTGACTGACTCCTTCCCAGATCTTCTTGGCTTAGCAGCTGAAGACTGACACTGCCCGATTGCCTCAGAAGCCTACAGGACCATCACAGATGCTCTAAGTAACTCTCACAGTAGAAAGTAAGTCCATCCCCTTCTTAATCAATACAGAGGCTACTCACTCCACATTACCTTCTTTTCAAGGGCCTGTTTCCCTTGCTTCCATAACTGTTGTGCATATTGATGGCCAGGCTTCTAAACCTCTTAAAACTCCCCAACTCTGGTGCCAACTTAGACAATACTCTTTTAAGCATTCCTTTTTAGTTATCCCCACCTGCCCAGTTCCCTTATTAGGACCAGACACTGTAACTAAATTATCTGCTTCCCTGACTATTCCTAGGCTACAGCCACACCTCATTGCCACCTTTTCCCCCAGTTCAAAGCCTCCTTCACATCCTCCCCTTGTATCTCCCCACCTTAACCCACAAGTATAAGACACCTCTACTCCCTCCTTAGTGACCGATCATGCACCCCTTACCATCCCATTAAAACCTAATCACGCTTACCTCGCTCAATGCCAATATCCCATCCCATAGCACGCTTTAAAAAGATTAAAGCCTGTTATCACTCGCCTGTTACAGCATGGCCTTTTAAAGCCTATAAATGCTCCTTACCATTCCCCCATTTTACCTGTCCTGAAACCAGACAAGGCTTACAGGTTAGTTCAGGATCTGAGCCTTATCAACCAAATTGTTTTGCCTCTCCACCCCATGGTGCCAAACCCATATACTCTCCTATCCTCAGTACCTCCCTTTATAACCCATTATTCTGTTCTAGATCTAAAACATGCTTTCTTTACTATTCCTTTGCACCCTTCATCCCAGCCTCTCTTCACTTTCACTTAGACTGACCCTGACACCCATTAGGCTCAGCAAATTACCTAGGCTGTACTGCCGCAAGGCTTCACAGACAGCCCCCATTACTTCAATCAAGCCCAAATTTCATCCTCATCTGTTACCTATCTCGGCATAATTCTCATAAAAACACACGTGCTCTCCCTGCTGATCATGTCCAATTAATCTCCCAAACCTCAATCCCTTACAAAACAACAACTCCTTTCCTTCCTAGGCATGGTTAGTGTGGTCAGAATTCTTACACAAGAGCCAGGACCGCACCCTGTAGCCTTTCTGTCCAAACAACTTGACCTCACTCTTTTAGCCTAGCCCTCATGTCTGCGTGCAGCGGCTGCCACTGCTTTAATACTTTTAGAGGCCCTTAAAATCACAAACTGCTCAACTCATTCTCTGCATTTCTCATAACTTTCGAAATCTATTTTCTTTCTCATACCTGACGCGTATACTTTCTGCTCCCCGGCTCCTTCAGCTGTACTCATTCTTTGTTAAGTCCCACAATTACCATTGTTCCTGGCCCGGACTTCAATCCGGCCTCCCACATTATTCCTGATACCACACCTGACCCCCATGACTGTATCTCTCTGATCCATCTGACATTCACCCCATTTCCCCATATTTCCTTCTTCCCTATTCCTCGCCCTGATCATGCTTGATTTATTGATGGCAGTTCCACCAGGCCTAATCGCCACACACCAGCAAAGGCAGGCTATGCTATAGTACAAGCCACTAGCCCGCCTCTTAGAACCTCTCATTTCCTTTCCATCGTGGAAATCTATCCTCAAGGAAATAACTTCTCAGTGTTCCATCTGCTGTTCTACTACTCCTCAGGGATTATTCAGGACCCCTCCCTTCCCTACACATCAAGCTCGAGGATTTGCCCCCACCCACGACTGGCAAATTAGCTTTACTCAACAAGCCCCGAGTCAGATAACTAAAATACCTCTTAGTCTAGGTAGACAGTTTCACTGGATAGGTAGAGGCCTTTCCTACAGGGTCTGAGAAGGCCACCACAGTCATTTCTTCCCTTCTATCAGACATAATTCCTCAGTTTAGCGTTCCCACCTCTATACAGTCTGATAACAGACCAGCCTTTATTACTCAAATCAGCCAAGCAGTTTTTCAGGCTCTTAGTATTCAGTGAAACCTTTATATCCCTTACAGTCCTCCGTCTTCAAGAAAAGTAGAACGGACTAAAGGTCTTTTAAAAACACACCTCACCAAGCTCAGCCACCAACTTAAAAAGGACGGGACAATACTTTTACCACTTTTCCTTCTCAGAAGTCAGACCTGTCCTCAGAATGCTACAAGGTACAGCCCATTTGAGCTCCTGTATAGATGCTCCTTTTTATTAGGCCCCAGTCTCATTCCAGACACCAGACCAACTTAGACTGTGCCCCCAAAAAAACTTGTCATCCCTACTATCTTCTGTCTAGTCATACTCCTATTCACCATTCTCAACTACTCATACATGCCCTGCTCTTGTTTACACTGCCGGTTTACACTGTTTTTCCAAGCCATCACAGCTGATATCTCCTGGTGCTATCCCCAAACTGCCACTCTAAACTCTTGAAGTAAATAAATAATCTTTGCTGGCAGGACTATGCTGAATCTCCTTAGGCACTCTCTAATCAGATGTCCTCGGTCCTCCCAACTCTTAGACCTTTTATACCTGTTTTTCTCCTTCTCTTATTCCATTTAGTTTTTCAATTCATACAAAACCGTATCCAGGCCATCACTAATAATTCTAAATGACGAATGTTTCTTCTAACAGTCCCACAATATCACCCCTTACCACAGAATCTTCCTTCAGCTTAATCTCTCCAATTCTAGGTTCCCACGCCGCCCCTAATCCCGCTCAAAGCAGCCCTGAGAAACATCGCCCATTATCTCTCCATACCACCCCCAAAAATTTTCACCGTCCCAACACTTTACCACTATTTCGTTTTATTTTTCTTATTAATATAAGACAGGAATGTCAGGCTTCTGAGCCCAAGTTAAGCCATCATATCCCCTGTGACCTGCATGTAGACCACCAGATGGCCTATTCCTGCCTTAACTGATGACATTCCACCACAAAAGAAGTGAAAATGGCCTGTTCCTGCCTTAACCGATGACATTGTCTTGTGAAATTCCTTCTCCTGGCTCATCCTGGCTCAAAAACTCCCCCACTGAGTACCTTGTGACCCCCACTCTGCCCGCCAGAGAACAACTCCCCTTTGACTGTAATTTTCCTTTATCTACCCAAATCCTATAAAATGGCCCTACCCTTATCTCCCTTTGCTGACTCTCTCTTTGGACTCAGCCCGCCTGCATCCAGGTGACTAAAAGCTTTATTGCTCACACAAAGCCTGTGGTCTCTTCACAGGGACACACATGAAAGTGACTAGCCCTCCCCCACCTGCCCAGCAATTTACTCTTAAAAAGGTGGCTGAAGCTAAAGGCATAGTCAAGGTTAATGCTCCTTTTTCTTTATCCCAAATCAGATAGCGTTTAGGCTCTTTTTCATCAAATATAAAAAACCCAGCCCAGTTCATGGCTCGTTTGGCAGCAACCCTGAGACGCTTTACAGCCCTGGACCCTAAAAGGTCAAAAGGCCGTCTTATTCTCAATATACATTTTATTACCCAATCTGCTCCCGACATTAAATAAAACTCCAAAAATTAAATTCCAGCCCTCAAACCCCACAACAGGACTTAATTCACCTCACCTTTAAGGTGTACAATAATAGAGTAGAGGCAGCCAAGTAGCAACATATTTTGGAGTTGCAATTCCTTGCCTCCACTGTGAGACAAACCCCAGCCACGTCTCCAGCACACAAGAACTTCCAAACGCCTAAACTGCAGTGGCCAGGCATTCCTCCAGAACCGCCTCCCCCAGGAGCTTGCTACAAGTGCCAGAAATCTGGCCACCAGGCCAAGGAATGCCCGCAGCCCAGGATTCCTCCTAAGCTGTGTCCCATCTGTGTGGGACCCTACTGGAAATCAGACTGTTCAGCTCACCTGGCAGCCACTCCCAGAGCCCCTGGAACTCTGGCCCAAGGCTCTCTGACTGACCCCTTCCCAGATGTTCTCGGCTTAGCAGCTGAAGACTGATGCTGTCCGATCACCTTGGAAGCCCAGTAGACCATCACAGACACCGAGCTTTAGGTAACTCTCACAGTGGAGGGTAGTCCGTCCCGTTCTTAATCATTATGGAGGATACACACTCCACATTACCTTCTTTTCAAGGGTCTGTTTCCCTTGCTTCCATAACTGTTGTGGGTACTGACAGGCTTCTAAACCTCTTAAAACTCCCCAACTCTGGTGCCAATTTAGACAATACTCTTTTAAGAGCTCTTTTTTTAGTTATCCCCACCTGCCCAGTTCCCTTATTAGGCCAAGACACTTTAAATTATCTGCTTCCCTGACTATCCCTGGACTACAGCTACATCTCATTGCCGCCCTTCTTCCCAATCCAAAGCCTCCTTTGCGTCCACCTCTTATATCCCCCCACCTTAATCCACAAGTATAAGATACCTCTACTCCCTCCTTGGCAACCGATCATGCACCCCTTACCATCTCAGTAAAACCTAATCACCTTTACCCTGCTCAATGCCAATATCCCATCCTGCAGCACTCTTTAAAAAGGTTAAAGCCTGTTATCACTTGCCTGCTACAGCATGGCCTTTTAAAGCCTATAAACTCTCCTTACAATTCCCCCATTTTACCTGTCCTAGAACCAGACAAGGCTTACAGGTTAGTTCAGGATCTGAGCCTTATCAACCAAATTGTTTTGCCTATCCACCCCATGGTGCCAAACCCATATACTCTCCTATCCTCAATACCTCCCTCCACAACCCATTATTCTGTTCTGGATCTCAATCCCTTTGCACCCTTCATCCCAGCCTCTCTTCGCTTTCACTTAGACTGACGCTGACACCCAACAGGCTCAGCAAATTACCTAGGCTGTACTGCTGCAAGGCTTCACAGACAGCCCCCATTACTTCAGTCAAGCCCAAATTTCATCCTCATCTGTTATCTATCTCGGCATAATTCTCATAAAAACACACGTGCTCTCCCTTCTCATCATGTCTGACTAATCTCCCAAACCTCAATCCCTTACAAAACAACAGCTCCTTTCCTTCCTGGGCATGGTTAGATACTTTCGCCTTTAGATACCTAGTTTTGCCATCCTAACAAAACCATTATATAAACTCACAAAAGGAAACCTAGCTGACCCCATAGATCCTAAATCCTTTCCCCATTCCTCTTTCCATTCCTTGAAGACAGCTTTAAAGACTGCCCCCACCCTAGCTCTCCCTGACTCATCCCAACCCTTTTCATTACACACAGCCGAAGTGCAGGGCAGTGCAGTCAGAATTCTTACACAAGGACTGGGATTGCATCCTGTAGCCTTTTTGTCCAAACAACTTGACCTTACTATTTTAGGCTGGCCATCATGTCTCCATGCAGCGGCTGCTGTCGCTCTAATACTTTTAGAGGCCCTTAAAATCACAAACTATGCTCAACTCACTCTCTACATCTCTCATAATTTCCAAAATCTATTTTCTTCCTCACACTGATGCATATACCTTCTGCTCCCCGGCTCCTTCAGCTGTACTCACTCTTTGTTGAGTCTCCCACAATTACCATTGTTCCTGGCCCGGACTTCAATCTGGCCTCCCACATTATTCCTGTTACCACACCTGACTCTCATGACTGCATCTCTCTGATCCACCTGATGTTCATCCCATTTCCCCACATTTCCTTCTTCCCTGTTTCTCACCCTGATCACACTTGGTTTATTGATGGCAGTTCCACCAGGCCTAATCGCCACACACCAGCAAAGGCAGGCTATGCTATAGTACAAGCCACTAGCCCGCCTCTTAGAACCTCTCATTTCCTTTCCATCATGGAAATCCATCCTCAAGGAAATAACTTCTCAGTGTTCCATCTGCTATTCTACTACTCCTCAGGGATTATTCAGGACCCCTCCCTTCCCTACACATCAAGCTCCAGGATTAGCCCCCACCAAGGACTGGCAAATTAGCTTTACTCAACGTGCCCCAAGTCAGATAACTAAAATACCTCTTAGTGTAGGTAGACACTTTCACTGGATGGGTAGAGGCCTTTCCTGCAGGATCTGAGAAGGCCACCACAGTCATTTCTTCCCTTCTATCAGACATAATTCCTCAGTTTAGCCTTCCCACCTCTATACAGTCTGATAACAGACCAGCCTTTATTAGTCAAATCAGCCAAGCAGTTTTTCAGGCTCTTGGTATTCAGTGAAACCTTTATATCCCTTACAGTCCTCAGTCTTCAGGAAAGGTAGAACGGACTAATGGTCTTTTAAAAACACACCTCACCAAGCTCAGCCACCAACTTAAAAAGGACTGGACAATACTTTTACCTCTTTCTTTTCTCAGAATTCAGGCCTGTCCTTGGAATGCTACAGGGTACAGCCCATTTGAGCTCCTGTATGGACACTACTTTTTATTAAGCCACAGTCCCATTGCAGACACCAGACCAACTTAGACTGTGCCCCAAAAAACTTGTCATCCCTACTATCTTCTGTCTCATCATACTCGTATTCACCATTCTCAACTACTCATACATGCCCTGCTCTTGTTTACACTGCTGGTTTACACTGTTTCTCCAAGCCATCACAGCTGATATCTCCTGGTGCTATCCCCAAACTGCCACTCTAAACTCTTGAAGTAAATAAATAATCTTTGCTGGCAGGACTATGCTGAATCTCTTTAGGCACTCTCTAATTAGATGTCCTAGGTCCTCCCAATTCTTAGACCTTTAATACCTGTTTTTCTCCTTCTCTTATTCCATTTAGTTTTTCAATTCATACAAAACTGTATCCAGGCCATCACCAATAAATCTAAATCACAAATGTTTCTTCTAACAGTCCCACAATATCACCCCTTACCACAAAATCTTCCTTCAGCTTAATCTCTCCCACTCTAGGTTCCCACGCCGCCCCTAATCCCGCTTGAAGCAGCCCTGAGAAACATCGCCCATTATCTCTCCATACCATCCCCCATAATTTTCACTGTCCCAACACTTTACCACTATTTCGTTTTATTTTTCTTATTAATATAAGAAGACAGGAATGTCAGGCCTCTGAGCTCAAGCTAAGCCATCATATCCCCTGTGACCTGCACGTACACATCCAGATGGTTCCTGCCTTAACTGATGACATTCCACCACAAAAGATATGAAAATGGCCTGTTCCTGCCTTAACTGATGGCATTATCTTGTGAAATTCCTTCTCCTGGCTCATCCTGGCTCAAAAGCTCCCCTACTGAGCACTTTGTGACCCCCATTCCTGCCCGCCAGAAAACAACCCCCCTTTTTCCTTTACCTACCCAAATCCTATAAAACGGCCCCACCCCTATCTCCCTTCGCTGACTCTCTTTTCAGATTCAGCCTGCCTGCACCCAGGTGATTAAAAGCCTTATTGCTCACACAAAGCCTGTTTGGTGGTCTCTTCACACAGACACGCATGAAAAATACTATTCAATAAAAAGAAAAAAAAGGAATGAGACGTCAACCCACGATGACAGATGAATCTCAAATGCATATTGTTAAGTGAAGGAAGCCAGTTTAACAAAGCTATATACTGTATTATTGTAACTACATAACATTCTGGAAAAGACAAAACTATAGTGATAGTAAATAGATCAGCGGTTGCTAGGGGTTCAGAGTGGAGGAGTAAGGTGAGTGTTGAATAGATAAAGCACAGGAATATCTTTTAGGGTAGTGAAACTATTTTTGTGATACTATAATTGTGAACATAAGACACTATGCATTTGTCAAAGCCCATGAAGCTTTACAAAACAAACGCTAATGTATACAAATTTAAAACATTTTAGGAGGTCAAGAGATCCCTGGATGGATCTCGGGATAGAATGTAGATAGAACAAAAGAATCTAACTGTATTATAATTATTTAAAACAATATCACTGAAGGGGATAGATGATAAAGTTGCTGAATTTGGAAATTATAACTTTACAAAAGTAATTTTGGAAATGGAACCTGTAAGACTAAAGGCAAAAAGAACTGCACATATGCATAGTACTCTAGTTATAAAGTTGTTTCTCACAGGCGTATGCGTTAACAATTCTGCTATTGCTGTAGATGTATATTGGAAGTGAACAATTAAGTAAATGGATGGCAGATGATGTGAGCCAGGTTTCTCACTGTCAGAGTGGGAGTTTAGAGGAGGTTAGAATGATCCATTGCCAATGGTGTAGAGTTGAAGACGTCAATATGAGCTCATAATTAACTTAATATATATATTGATGGTTACTTATGCATACACAGAATATATACACATATATTTCCTTGCTCTACCAGCTGAGAGGTCCTAGAAGTAATGACACCCCAGTAGCAATGTACACATTCAGCACCCAGATCTTGATTTCAAAAGTCATTTTCCAACAAAAGAAACCAGTCTTCTTGGGGAAATAGCTGATTTTAGGACAAGAGCAGGAAATATACAAGATAAGCCTGGAGCATCCCATAGCTCAAGAAAGTACTGAAAAACTCCCCAAAACAAAAAACAAAACCCACATTGATGGAAGCATGTCAACAGATACAGGAGCTAACTAAAGGAGCTCCTCACAGCCAAAACTGGAACAAAATTAGCAAAATTAAGTAGTATTGAATTATAACCCACAGATATATATCCACGAATCTATACTGATATAAAAAATGATTGAATAAATAAATGGGAGAAGAGACAAATCTGCTGTGTAGTAGAATTCCAAATAATTTATGTAGCTACTTCACCTTCAAGAAGGTGGAGCATAACTCCACTCCTTAAGTGTAGGCTGCACATAGTGACTTCCTTCCAAAGAGTACAGTATGAAAACTGGAGTTGGTAGGGAGAGTAACTATACAATGTGTGATGGTTAATATTCGGTGTCAGCTTGATTGAGGGGAGGCTAGATGGCTGGTAAAGTATTATCTCGGGTATGCTTGGGAGAGTGTTTCCAGGGGAGACTGACATTTTAGTCAGTGGACTGGGAAAGGAAGACCCATCCTCAATGAGGGTGGGCACCATCCAATCAGCTGCAAGCACAGCTAGAATAAAGCAGGTGGAAAAAGGTGGGATAAGTTTGCTTCCTGAGGCTTCTGGCTCTCTTTCTTCTTCTTGAGCTGGACACTTGCTTCTGCTCTTCTTAGACATCAGACTCCAGATTTTTCAACCTTTGGACTCTGGGACTTGCACCAGTGGCTTCCTGGGGTCTCTCTAGCTTTTGGCCACAGACTGAAGGCTGCACTGTCGGCTTTCCTGGGTGTGAGGTTTTCATAATTGGACTGAGCCACTACCAGCTTCTTTCTTTCCCCATGCAGATGGCGTATCATGGGATTTCATTTTGTAACTGTGTGAGCCAATTCTCCCTAATAAATTCCCTTTTATATATGCATATATCCTATAGGTTCTGTCCTTCTGAAGAACTCTAACACATGGTGGAAAAACCTGAGAAACAGTAACTTGGCCAGATTTTAACATCAGTAGTGACAATTCATGTTTTGATATAATGTGATAAAAATAGCACTTTACTTCTGTGGTCTTTATCCCCCAAAAATCCAAAACCCCACCTAATCATGAGAAAAAAATCACACAAATCTCAGTTGAAGGACGGTCTTCAAAATGTCTGACCAGTACACCTTCAGACTGTTGAGGTCATCAAAAGCAAGGAGAGGCGGAGAAACTATCACAGCTGAGAGGAGCTTAAGGATACATGAAGATTGAAATATAATGAAATGAAATGAAATAAAATAAGATAAAATGAAATGTGATGGACTGGAGGGAATCCTGAAACAGGAAAAGTACCTTAGGTAAAACCTAAGGAAATCTGAATAAAGCATGGACTTTAGTTAATAGTAATGTGTCAGTATTGGTTCAATATTTTGACAAATATGTCATACCAATGTTAGATATTTATAATAAGAAAAATTAGATATGGGATATAGGGAACTCTCTGTACTGCCTTTGCAAATTTTCTGTATGTATAAAACTATTTTAAAAGATAGAAGCTTATTTTTAAAAGTCATATAGTCTGTCCACCTTCATCTAGGTATGGGAAAAGATTACAGAATGAACAAATTTTTAAATTACGATGCAGTCAAAAAATAAAGCTTGATGAAATCACAAAACAATTCATCTAAAATTCAGGGCCCCTGACAGAGGCAAATGTCAACTTATTCATCATAATACCTGTGCAAACATAGCACTTCCACAGTACTTCTATAAAAAACAATTCTTGCCAAATATGAGCTCATAGGCAAAAATTACAAAACACACATGGAAATTCACCTTCATAAATGAGAGTTAACAGTTACAACAAACTGGAAAATTTGAGGTCAAGAAATCATAGAAAATAGTTCAATCTCTGAAGGACTTAGCAAATGACTTACCTGTTCAAAGACATAAAAAGAAGGAATAGCGTTCACAATACAAGGAGAGACTATTAAGAGAAAAAAGCAGACATATTTCAAAAAGGAATATGCAGTCACACTAGGAATATAAGAAAACAGTCATTTGGGCCAGGGACAGTAGCTCACGCCTGTAATCCCAGCACTTTAGGAAGCTGAAGCAGGTAGTGAGTCACTTGAGGCCAGGAGTTAGAGACCAGCCTGGGCAAAATGGCAAGACCTCATCTTTACAAAAAATACAAAAGTCAGGATTCCCTCCAAGATGGCCAAATAGGAACAGCTCCAGTCTACAGCTCCCAGCATGAGTGACACAGAAGATGGGTGAATTCTGCATTTCCAACTGAGGTACAAGGTTCATCTCACTGGGACTTGTTGGACAGTGGATGCAGCCCACAGAGTGGGAGCTGAAACAGGGTGGGGCATCACCTCACCTGGGAGGCACAAGGGGTCAGGGAATTCCCTTTCCTAGCTAAGGGAAGCCATGACAGACATTACCCAGAAAATCGGGACACTCCCACCCTAATACTGCACTTTTCCAATGGTCTTAGCAAATGGCACACCAGGAGATTATATCCCGCACCTGGCTTGGAGAGTCCCATGACGACAGACCCTTGCTCACTGCTACCACAGCAGTCTGAGATCCAACTGCAAGGCAACAAGGAGGCTGGGAGAGGGGCATCCGCCATTGCTGAGACTTGACTAGGTAAACAAAGTGACAGGAAGCTCGAACTGGGTGGAGCCAACCACAGCTCAAGGATGCCTGCCTGCCTCTGTAGACTCCACATCTAGGGACAGGGCATAGCTGAAGAAAAGGCAGCAGAAACTTCTGCAGACTTAAACATCCCTGTCTGACAGCTTTGAAGAGAGTAGTGATTCTCCCAGCATGGAGTTTGAGACCTGATAACGGAGAGACTGCCTCCTCAAGTGGGTCCCAGACCCCCAAGTAGCCTAACTGGGAGACACCTCCCAGTAGGGGCCGACTGACACCTCATACAGCTGGATGCCCCTCTGAGACGAAGTTTCCAGAGGAAGGATCAGAAAGCAACACTTGCTGTTCTGCAGTATTCACTGTTCTGCAGCCCCTGCTGGTGATACCCAGGCAAACAGGGTCTGGAGTGGACCTCTAGCAAACTCCAAGAGACCTGCAGCTGAGGGTCCTGAGTGTTAGAAGGAAAACTAACAAACAGAGAGGAATAACATCACAGCAACAAAAAGGACATCCACACCAAAACCCCATCTGTAGGTCACCATCATCAAAGATGAAAGGTAGATAAAACCACAAAGATGGGGAGAAAGCAGAGCAGAAAAGTTGAAAATTCTGAAAATCAGAGCTCCTCTTCTCCTCCAAAGGAACACAGCTCCTCACCAGCAATGGAACAAAGCTGGATGGAGAATAACTTTGATGAGCTGACAGAAGTAGGCTTCAGAAGATTGGTAATAACAAACCTCTCTGAGCTAAAGGAGGATGTTCAAACACATCACAAAGAAGCTAAAAACCTTGAAAAAAGATGAGATGAATGGTTAACTAGAATAAACAGCATAGAGAAGACCTTAAATGACCTGATGGAGCTGAAAACCATGGCAGGAGAACTATGTGATGCATGCACAAGCTTCAGTAGCTGATTCGATCAAGCTTCAGTAGCCGATTCGATTCGATGAAAGAAAGGGTATCAGCAACTGAAGATCAAATGAA
The DNA here is from genome assembly GCF_000001405.40 of Homo sapiens. Lineage (NCBI taxonomy): Eukaryota > Metazoa > Chordata > Mammalia > Primates > Hominidae > Homo > Homo sapiens. The sequence continues at coordinate 94,360,166 of NC_000011.10, forward strand.
TGAAATGAAGTGAGAGGAGAAGTTTAGAGAAAAAAAGAGTAAAAAGAAACAAACAAAGCCTCCAAGAAACATGAGTCTATGTGAAAAGACCAAATCTACATCGATTGGTGTACCTGAAAGTGATGGGGGGAATGGAACCAAGCTAGAAAACACTCTTCAGGATATTATCCAGGAGAACTTCCCAACCTAGTGAAGAAGGCCAACATTCAACTTCAGGAAATACAGAGAATGCCACAAAGATACTCCTCAAGAAGAGCAACTCCAAGACACATAATTGTCAGATTCACCAAGGTTGATATGAAGGAAAAAATGTTATGGGCAGCCAGAGAGAAAGGTCGGGTTACCAACAAACGGAAGCCCATCAGACTAACAGTGGATCTCTCGGCAGAAACTCTACAAGAAAGAAGAGAGTGGGGGCCAAGATTCAACATTCTTAAAGAAAAGAATTTTCAACCCAGAATTTCATATCCAGCCAAACTAAGCTTCATAAGTGAAGGAGAAACAAAATCCTTTACAGACAAGCAAATGCTGAGAGATTTTGTCACCACTAGGCTTGCCTTACAAGAGCTCCTAAAGGAAGCACTAAACATAGAAAGGAACAACCGGTACCAGCCAATGCAAAAACATGCCAAATTGTAAAGACCATCGAGGCTAGGAAGAAACTGCATCAACTAACAAGCAAAATAACCAGCTAACGTCATAATGACAGGATCCAATTCACACATAACAATATTAACCTTAAATGTAAATGGGCTAAATGCCCCATTTAAAAGACACAGGCTGGCAAGTTGGATAAAGAGTCAAGTCCCATCAGTGTGCTGTATTCAGGAGACCCATCTCACATGCAGAGACACACACAGGCTCAGAATAAAGGGATGGAGGAAGATCTACCAAGCAAATGGAAAACAAAAAAATAGCAGGGGTTGCAATCCTAGTCTCGGATAAAACAGACTTTAAACCAACAAAGATCAAAAGAGACAAAGAAGGCCATTATATAATGGTAAAGGCATCAATTCAACAAGAAGAGCTAACTATCCTAAATATATATATGCACCCAATACAGGAGCACCCAGATTCATAAAGCAAGTCCTTAGAGACCTACAAAGAGACTTAGACTCCCACACAATAAAAATGGGAGACTTTAACACCCCACTGTCAACATTAGACAGATCAACTAGAGAGAAGTTAACAAGGATATCCAGGAATTGAACACAGCTCTGCACCAAGCAGACCTAATAGACATCTACAGAACTCTCCACCCCAAATCAACAGAATATACATTCTTCTCAGAACCACATCACACTTATTCCAAAATTGACCACATAGTTGGAAGTAAAGCACTTCTCAGCAAATGTAAAAGAACAAAAATTATAACAAACTGTCTCTCAGAACACAGTGCAAACAAATTAGAACTCAGGATTAAGAAACTCACTCAAAAACCGGACAACTACATGGAAACTGAACAATCTGCTCCTGAATGATTACTGGATAAATAGCGAAAAGAAGGCAGAAATAAAGATATTCTTTGAAACCAATGAGAACAAAGACACAACATACCAGAATCTCTGGGACACATTTAAAGCAGTGTGTAGAGGGAAATTTATAGCACTAAATGCCCACAAGAGAAAGCAGGAAAGATCTAAAATTGACACCCTAACATCACAATTAAAAGAACTGGAGAAGCAAGAGCAAACACATTTAAAAGTTAGCAGAAGGCAAGAAATAACTAAGATCAGAGCAGAACTGAAGGACTTAGAGACACACAAAAACATTCAAAAAATCAATGAATCGAGGAGCTGGTTTTTTGAAAAGATCAACAAAATTGATAGAATGCTAGCAAGATTAACAAAGAAGAAAAGAGAGAAGAATCAAATAGATGCAATAAAAAATGATAAAAGGGATATCACCACTGATCCCACAGAAATACGAACTAACATCAGAGAATACTATAAACACCTCTATGCAAATAAACTAGAAAATCTAGAAGAAATGGATAAATTCCTGGATGCATACATCCTCCCAAGACTAAACCAGGAAGAAGTTGAATCTCTGAATAGACCAATAACAGGCTCTGAAATTGAGGCAATAATAATAGCCTACCAACCAAAAAAAGTCCAGGACCAGATGGACTCACAATCAAATTTTACCAGAGGTACAAAGAGGAGCTGGGACCATTCCTTCTGAAATTATTCCAATCAACAGAAAAAGAGGGAACCCTCCCTTACTCATTTTATGAGGCCAACATCATCCTGATACCAAAGCCTGGCAGAGACACAACAAAAAAAGAGAATTTTAGACCAGTATCCTTGATGAACATCAATGCAAGAATCCTCACTAAAATACTGGCAAACTGAATCTGGCAACACATCAAAAAGCTTATCCACCATGATCAAGTGGGCTTCATCCCTGGGATGCAAGGCTGGTTCAAATATGCAAATCAATAAACATACTCCAGCATATAAACAGAACCAAAGACAAAAACCACATGATTATCTCAACAGACACAGAAAATGCCTTTGACAAAATTCAACAACGCTTCATGCTAAAAACTCTCAATAAATTAGGTATTGATGGGACGTATCTCAAAATAATAAGAGCTATCTATGACAAACCCACAGCCAATATCATACTGAATGGACAAAAGCTGGAAGCTTTCCCTTTGAAAACTGGCACAAGACAGGGATGCCCTCTCTCACCACTCCTATTCAACATAGTGTTGGAAGTTCTGGCCAGGGCAATCAGGCCCGAGAAGGAAATAAAGGGTATTCAATTAGGAAAAGAGGAAGTCAAATTGTCCCTGTTTGCAGATGACATGATTGTATATGTAGAAAACCCAGTCGTCTCAGCCCAAAATCTCCTTAAGCTGATAAGCAATTTCAGCAAAGTCTCAGGATACAAAATGTGCAAAAATCACAAGCATTCCTATACAACAATAATAGACAAACAGAGAGCCAAATCATGAGTGAACTCCCATTCACAATTCCTTCAAAGACAATAAAATACCTAGGAATCCAACTTACAAGGGATGTGAAGGACCTCTTCAAGGAGAACTACAAACCACTGCTCAACAAAATAAAAGAGGACAAAAACAAACGGAAGAACATTCCATGCTCGTGGGGAGGAAGAATGAATATCGTGAAAATGGCCATACTGCCCAAGGTAATTTATAGATTCAATGCCATCCCTATCAAGCTACCAATGACTTTCCTCATAGAATTGAAAAAACTACTTTAAAGTTCATATGGAACCAATAAAGAGCCTGCATTGCCAAGACAATTCTAAGCAAAAAGAACAAAGCTGGAGGCATCACGCTACCTGATTTCAAACTATACTACAAGGCTACAGTAACCAAAACAGCATGGTACTGCTACCAAAACAGAGATATAGACCAATGGAACAGAACAGAGCCCTCAGAAATAATACCATACATCTACAACCATCTGATCTTTGAGAAACCTGACAAAAACAAGAAATGGGGAAAGGATTCCCTATTTAATAAATGGTGCTGGGAAAACTGGATAGCCATATGTAGAAAGCTGAAACTGGATCCCTTCCTTACACCTTATATGAAAATTAATTCAACATGGATTAAAGACTTAAATGTTAGACCTAAAACCATAAAAACCCTAGAAGAAAACCGAGGTAATACCATTCAGGACATAGGCATGGGCAAGGACTTCATAACTAAAACACCAAAAGCAATGGCAACAAAAGCCAAAATTGACAAATGAGATCTAATTAAATTAAGAGCTTCTGCACAGCAAAGGAAACTACCATCAGAGTGAACAGGAAACCTACAGAATGGGAGAAAGTTTTTGCAATCTCTCCATCTGACAAAGGGCTAATATCCAGAATCTACAAAGAACTTAAACAAATTTACAAGAAAAAATGAAACCACTCCATCAAAAAGTGGGTGAAGTATATGAACAGACACTTCTCAAAAGAAGACATTTATGCAGCCAAAAGACACTTGAAAAAAAAGCTCACCATCACTGGCCATCAGAGAAATGCAAATCAAAACCACAATGAGATACCATCTCACACCAGTTAGAATGGCAATTGTTAAAAAGTCAGGAAACAACAGGTGCTGGAGAGGATGTGGAGAAATAGGAACACTTTTACACTGTTGGTGGAACTGTAAACTAGTTCAACCATTGTGGAAGTCAGTGTGGCAATTCCTCAAGGATCTAGAACTAGAAATATCATTTGACCCAGCCATCCCATTATTGGGTACATACCCAAAGGATTATAAATCATGCTGCTCTAAAGACGTATGCACATGTATGTTTATTGCAGCACTATTCACAATAGCAAAAACTTGGAGCCAACCCAAATGTCCATCAATGATAGACTGGATTAAGAAAATGTGGCACACATACACCATGGAATACTATGCAGCCGTAAAAAAGGATGAGTTCATGTCCTTTGCGGGGACATGGATGAAGCTGGGAACCATCATTCTGAGCAAACTATCACAAGGACAGAAAACCAAACACCGCATGTTCTCACTCATAGGTGGTAATTGAACAATGAGAACACTTGGATACAGAGTGGGGAACATTATACACTGGGGCCTGTTGTGGGGTGGGGGGAGGGGAGAGGGATAGCATTAGGAGAAATACCTAATGTAAATGATGACTTAATGGGTGCAGCACACCAGCATGGCACATGTATACATATGTAACAAACCTGCACGTTGTGCCCATGTACCCTAGAACTTAAAAGTATAATAAAAAAAAAAGTAAGAAAATTTTAAAAAGTTAGCTGGGTGTGGTGGCACATGCCTGTAGTCCCAGCTAACTCTGGAGGCCGAGGCAAAGAGGATCGCTTGAACACAGGAGGTTGGGGCTATTGTGAGCCATGATTCCACCACTGCAGTCCAGCCTGGGTGACAGAGTGAAACTCTGTCTTGAAAAAAAAAAAAAAAGTCATTTGAATTTCTTAAAATGCAATAAGTAGTAGACTTGATTCAGCTAAAGAGAGAAGGGATGGAATAAAATATCTCCAGAAATTATATAGGTGTAACACAGAGACGTAAAGAGATGAAAAATATGAAAGAGAAATTGAGAGTCAAAGGAGATCTAATAGGAAGCTCCCAAAAAATGACAGTATTCCAGAGTGAGGAACAGAGAAAATGGGGATAGGTAATTTATATGGTTTGGATGTTTGTCCTCTCCAAATCCCATGTTGAAATGTGATTCCCAATGTTGGAGGTGGGGTGTGGTGGGAGGTGATTGGATCATGGGGATGAATCCCTCATGAATGGTTTTGCAACATCCCCTTGGTGGTAAGTGAGTTCTCTCTCCATTAGTTCATGCACGATCTGGTTGTTTAAAAAAAAATCTGGGACCTCCCCACCGCTCCCTTGCTCCCACTCTCGCCATGTGACATGCCTGTCTCTGATCCCACTTCGTCTTCTACCATGAGTAAAAGCTCCCTGAGGCCCTCACCGGAAGTCAGGCAGACACCAGTGCCAAGTTTCTCGTAAAGCCTGCAGAACCATGAGCTAATTAAACCTCTTTTCTTCATAAATTACCCAGCCTCAGATACTTCTGTAGAGAAACACAAAAATGGACTAATGCAGTGATATTCAATATGACAATGTCATGTTATTTTTCAGAACTGTAAAAACTATAAATCTTTAGAGTGAGGATCATAGAGTTCTAAACAGAATAAACAAGAACAAGTATGCACACAAATACTCAATAGTAAAAATTCAAAACATCAAAGATGAAATCTTAAAAGCTACCTACAAATGAACCTGAAGAACTTTATGTCAAGTGAAATGAGCCAGGCAGAGAAATACAAATACTGCATGATTTCATTTATATGTGGAATCTAAAAAGTTGAACTCATAGAAGTAGACAGTAGAATGGTGGTTACCAGGGGCTGGGTCATGCCAAGAGGGAGGTGAGAGAAATGAGATGTTGGTCAAAGGGCACAAAGCTTTAGTTAGCTAGACAGGATGAATAAATGCTGGAATCACAGCACAATGACTACAGTTAGTAATAATGTAGGATATACTTGAAAATTGCTAAGAGTAGATCTTAAATGTTCTCCCCACTAGTAAAATGATTATTATATGAGATAATGGGTTTGTTGATTATCTTGATTTAATCCTTTCACAATGGATATTTATATCAAAATGTTACACTGTGCACCAAAAATCTATATAATTTTTATTTGTCAATTATGCCCTAATAAAGCTAGAAAACAAAAAATCAGATAAAATAAAAAGGAAGTATTTTTCCTACCAAGGAAAGATATTCCAACAGCAGATTCTACGTCATTAATAACAGATGCCAGAAACAATAAAATAAGGTTCTAAGAGTGTTAAGGGAAAATGACAGTCAACCTGCTATTCATCACACAGCTAAACTAATATTCCAGAGTGAGTGCATAGTAAAGTGACTTTTAGACTTTCAAAGTCTGAGAGTGATTACTTCCTATAATCTTTGCTATAACTAATACATCAGACTGGTTCCTTTTTGATATCCATTCCAATGTCTTTCTTACATTGCAGAGGCTGGAATGCTTTAAAAAAAATGACATATCCTGAACCCTTTTGTAGTTAGTGATCTGCATGTGACCCAGGTTCTGGTAGGGGACAAACTCACAGGGACTTGGAAGGCAAAAGAGCTAGTAGAGGCTGTGAGAAGGTCAAAGAGCTCTTCTAATGAACACTAAGTTGGGGGCATTTGGTTCATTTGTGGCATCTGCAACAGAGATTCTACTATCATAAGTGTTCATTGATAACCAATTGCAGCAATAGGTTTTCTTCCAGTGCAGTCCCATAGAATAATTGGGCATTTCTCTTGGCTGACTACTTCTGCTTGTTAAACTTCCAAACCCCTCTAGTGTTCCTGACAATCTTGTAATCTCTCTAATATTATGTAAAATTGCTTTTACATTTAAGCTAGCTAGAACGATTTTTGTTTTCTACAACAAAGAACAGTGATCAATAAAGAATTCATTCCAGAAATGGTGGCAGACTACAGATTTTAAGGACATGGGAATCTGGAATTTATTCTTATTTCATAGGGTTTGAAGGCAATGAAGATTGGGTAGCATTACAGGATGAGGCACAGGTGTCCCAGAGCATACAGTGGCCAAGCAGTCACCATTCACATTTCCACCAAACGTGAATTTGTGAGGGGTCAAATGATAAAGGGAATTTCGACTTATGTCCTGCTCATGAGTTGGGGGCATGCATCTAGCCTGTAGTTAGTCCCTGACTTCCTAAGTGTAGAGTTGGAATACTTAAAACTGGCAGAATCTACACTTGAGAACAATTACAGCAGTGTCACATGCAGGCCCCTGAAGCTTCTCCTCCCAGTGAAGACAGTAAACCAAAAGCAATATCGCCTCCTTGGAGGAACCACGAAGGCTTGTGCCAACCTCAAATATTTGAAAGGCATGGAGATTGGGATTCCTATTAAAGCCTATTGGAGTCACTTGCTTGGTCTCTACCTAAGACAGATGGGTCTTAGTTCTCATACATAGAACTGGGAATAAGCAAAGTATCCAGTTTCTCAGCCGAAGTGCTGGAAAATAGAAGAGAAAAGAGAAATGCTGATTGGCGGCATAATGGCTTCCTAATGATGTTCATCCCAACCCCTAGAAGCCATGAATATGTTCAGGCAAAGGAAAAGTAAGTTTGCAGATGGATTTAAGGTTACTAATTAGTTGACTTTAAGACAGTATTAGATTATCCTGGATTACTAGGTAGATCCAATGTAATCACAAAAGTCCTGAAAAGTAGAAGGCAGGGGCAGAAGAAGCAAGTCAGGGAAATATGACTATAAAAGAAGTTCAGAAAGGTACAAAGTGGATGGCTTTGAAGCTGGAGGAAGGGACCAAGGGCCATGGGATATGGACAGTCAAAAAGAGCTGAAAAAGGCAAGGAGACGGATGCTTCCCAGAGCCAGTAGAAAGGAGTGCAGCACTGCTGATGCCTTAATTTTAGCTCCAGGACACCTGTGTCAGACTTCTGATGTACCTACAGAACTGTAAGAGAATCCATTTGTGTTGTTTAAGCAACTTAGACTGTGGTAACTTGTTAAGGCAGAAATATAAAACTAATACAAATGTCTTCAAAATTCTAAGAGAAAATGCTTTTCAACCTACTATCCTGTATTTAGACATACTACTAATTAAATGTGAGTTTAAACTAAAGACATTTTCAGGCATGCAAGGGCTCAAAAAAATGAGGTCCTATGCACCTAAGCAGTCTTGGGAAACTGCTGAAAGATATGGACTTCCAAAATAAGGGAGTAAACTAAATAAAAGGAAGACAGGAACCTTGGAAACTTGACTATAGCTAACATTGGAGAAAGTAGGAAAGTCCTGGGAGAACAGGTATTCTGCAGATGTGGAGAGCAACTAGCCTAGAGCAAAGCAGTATAGATAGCTTAGGAGGTTGAAGGGAACCAGTTCTGGTGGTGGCTGGCAGAGCACTCGATGTGTGTGACCATGTCACAAAGGAGTTTTAACTTGGCAGTGAACTGTATTTGCATGTTTTAATAATGCAAATATAGATGAAATTTGATTGGAAGGATCTAGGGAAGAAAAGTGAAGGCCTAGACCTCTAGGCCTCCATTTTCATTGGCTTACTGTTTGTTTGTTTGTACACCACAGGGTTACAGAATTGGATTGATCATACTCCAAATCTGGCAATCTTTTAATGTTGGTCCATGTATGACCTGCTTTTAGCCATTGGTTATTTTAAATAATGTAATAAGAACACATGAACTCACTGCCCAAAACAAAATCTAGAACCTAGACAATTATCTAACCTTGTCCCCACCCCATACTAACCCAATACCCCTTCTCCCCCATCTGAGGTCACCAACGTCCTGAATTCGGTGTTCAAGATTCCTTTGCCTTCCTCATATTTCAGCTGAAGATCTTAAATTCACGACTAGTCTGAAGACAGCATCCCCAGTGGACTAGATGCAGAAATAAGGAAGGAGCTATTAAAATCAACCACTTGTCCCGATGAAGTAGAAGATAGCTTCTTCTCTGCAAGAGAGTTTATAAAACCTCAAAAGGAGACTAAGCTCCAGAGTTTTCTCACATTAAACACATCATTGTTGTTTTTTTATTCTTTCAAAAATGCACCTAGCATTGCATGTATTTCATTTCTTCCTTCCCTAACTACTCCTTGAAATGAAAGAGAATTGGGGGGTGCACAGAGATGCAGAAGATGATGAAGTAAGATGTAACGATCAGCACTAGGAGGCTGGCAGCATCCACCTGCCATCTTTAGGCTACACTCTAAGCCAGGCATGTTTCACCAGTGGAAGCTTCAAGACCCGCAGTCTTCTCAGATTTCTCCCTGAATCCAGACACCTCAGAAGGACTCCTATCACCTAGAGGTCTGTGTAGCACATCACAGCAAGCTTAGTAGCAGTGAGGGTTTAGTGGCATTCTACCTGTGCTACCTGAGGACCTTTAGGCCCAGGCTGGCTATGGAATGGCTGTTTTCCTTGGCAACCTGCCATCATCAGTGATGCAGTTTAGATATTTGTCCCCTCCAAATCTCATGTTGAAATTTGATCTCCAATGTTGGAAGTGCGGCATGGTGGGAAGTATTTGGCTTATGGGGACAGATCCCTCATGACCAGGTTTGTGCCATCCTTGTGGTAATGCATGAGTTCTCACTCTATTAGTTCCTGGGGGAACTGACTGTTAAAAAGAACCAGGCACCTCCCTCCTCTGTCTTGCTTCCTTCCTCTCGTCATGTGATGCCTGGTCCCTTCGCCTTCTGCCATGAATAGAGCTTCCTGAGGTCCCTCACCAGTGGCAGATGCTGATGCTATGCTTCCTGTATGGCCTTCAGAACTGTGAGCCAAATAAATCTCTTTTCTTCATAAATTACCCAGTCTCAAGTATTCCTTTACAGCAACTCAAAATGGACTAAGACAATCAAGCAGGCTTCAGCAAATTGGGAGTCACTTAGAAGCTTTTTTGGAAGACAATTCTAACCAGAATTAACTTCACAACGCAGTCATAGATCTTGCCTGTACTAAAATGATGGATTCCTTGACCACTGAGCTGCAAGAGGCTTTGGAGCTCATCTAGTCAAGCATTTCCCAAAGTATCTAACTCAAGCACTAGTTTTTTAGGATGGTTGGTAGATTTTACCAAAAAAGGTATCTCTTAATCAGGGAAATTTGGAGAATCCTAGATTTTTTAAAAATTAAGATTACAGGAGCCAACATGGCCAAATAGGAACAGTTCCAGTCTACAGCTCCCAGCGTAGGTGACACAGGAGATGGGTGATTTCTGCATTTCCAACTGAGGTACCAGGTTCATCTCACTGGGGAGTGCTGGACAGTGGGTGCAGGACAGTGGGTGCAGTGCACCATGCGTGAGCCAAAGCAGGGTGAGGCATTGCCTCACCCGGGAAGAGCAAGGGGTCAGGGAATTCCCTTTCCTAGTCAAAGAAAGGGGTGACAGATGGCACCTGAAAAACTGGGTCACTCCCACCCTAATACTGTGCTTTTCCAATGGGCTTAACAAACGGCACACTAGGAGATTATACCCTGCACCTGGCTCGGAGGGTTCTACGCCCATGGAGCCTCAGTCATTGCTAGCACAGCAGTCTGAGATCAAGCTGCAAGTTGGCAGTGAGGCTGGGGGAGGGGCGTCCGCCATTGCCCAGGCTTGAGTAGGTAAACAAAGCAGCCAGGAAGCTCGAACTGGGTGGAGCCCACCACAGATCAAGGAGGCCTGCCTGCCTCTGTAGACTCCACCTCTGGGGGCAGGACACAGAAAAACAAAAGAGAGCAATAACCTCTGCAGATTTAAATGTCCCTGTCTCACAGCTTTGAAGAGAGTAGTGGTTCTTCCAGCACGCAGCTTGAGATCTGAGAACTGGCAGACTGCCTCCTCGAGTGGGTCCCTGACCCCCGAGTAGCCTAAGTGGGAGGCACCTCCCAGCAGGGGCGGACTGACACCTCACACGGCCCGGTACTCCATGAGACAAAACTTCCAGAGGAACGATCAGGCAGCAACATTTGTAGTTCACCAATATCCACTGTTCTGCAGCCACCGCTGCTGATACCCAGGCAAACAGGGTCTGGAGTGGACCTCCGGCAAACTCCAACAGACCTGCAGCTGAGGGTCCTGACTGTTAAAAGGAAAACTAACAAACAGAAAGGACATCCACACCAAAAACCCATCTGTACGTCACCATCATCAAAGACCAAAGGTAGATGAAACCATAAAGATGGGGAAAACACAGAGCAGAAAAACCAGAAACTCTAAAAATCAGAGCACCTCTCCTCCTCCAAAGGAACGCAGCTCCTCACCAGCAATAGAACAAAGCTGGATGGAGAATGACTTTGATGAGTTGAAAGAAGAAGGCTTCAGAAGATCAAACTACTCCGAGCTAAAGGAGGAAGTTCGAACCAATGGCAAAGAAGTTAAAAACCTTGAAAAAAAATTAGACAAATGGATAACTAGAATAACCAATGCAGAGAAGTCCTTAAAGGACCTGATGGAGCTGAAAACCATAGCACAAGAACTACGTGACGAATGCACAAGCCTCAGTAACCAATGTGATCAACTGGAAGAAAGGGTATCAGTGATGGAAGATCAAATGAATGAAATGAAGCGTGAAGAGAAGTTTAGAGAAAAAAGAATAAAAAGAAATGAACAAAGCCTCCAAGAAATATGGGACTATGTGAAAAGACCAAATCTATGTCTCATTGGTGTACCTGAAAATGACGGGTAGAATGGAACCAAGTTGGAAAACACTCTGCAGGATATTATCCAGGAAAACTTCCCCAATCTAGCAAGGCAGGCCAACATTCAAATCAAGGAAATACAGAGAATGCCACAAAGATACTCCTCGAGAAGAGCAACTCCAAGACACATAATTGTCAGATTCACCAAAGTTGAAATGAAGGAAAAAATGTTAAGGGCAGTCAGAGAGAAAGGTCGGGTTACCCACAAAGGGAAGCACATCAGACTAACAGCTGATCTCTTGGCAGAAACTCTACAAGAAAGAAGAGAGTGGGGGCCAATATTCAACATTCTTAAAGAAAAGAATTTTCAACCCAGAATTTCATATCCAGCCAAACTAAGCTTCATAAGTGAAGGAGAAACAAAATCCTTTACAGACAAGCAAATGCTGAGAGATTTTGTCACCACCAGGCCTGCCCTAAAAGAGCTCCTGAAGGAAGCACTAAACATGGAAAGGAACAACTGGTACCAGCCACTGCAAAAACATGCCAAATTGTAAAGACCATCAAGGAAAGGAAGAAACTGCTTCAACTAACGATCAAAATAACCAGCTAACATCATAATGACAGGATCCAATCCACACATAACAATATTAACCTTAAATGTAAATGGGCTAAATGCTCCAATTAAAAGGTACAGACTGGCAAATTGGATAAAGAGTCAAGACCCATCAGCGTGCTGTATTCAGGAAACCCATCTCACGTGCAGAGACACACATAGGCTCAAAATAAAGGGATGGAGGAAGATCTACCAAGCAAATGGAAAACAAAAAAACGCAGGGGTTGCAATCCTAGTCTCTGATAAAACAGACTTTAAACCAACAAAGATCAAAAGAGACAAAGAAGGCCATTACGTAATGGTAAAGGGATTAATTCAAAAAGAAGAGCTAACTATCCTAAATACATATGCACCGAATACAGGAGCACCCAGATTCATAAAGCAAGTCCTGAGTGACCTACAAAGAGACTTAGACTCCCACACAATAATAATGGGAGACTTTAACGCCCCACTGTCAACATTAGACAGATCAATGAGACAGAAAGTTAACAAGGATACCCAGGAATTGAACTCAGCTCTGCACCAAGCAGACCTAATAGACATCTACAGAACTCTCCACTCCAAATCAACAGAATATACATTCTTTTCAGCACCACACCTACTCCAAAATTGACCACATAGTTGGAAGTAAAGCACTCCTCAGCAAATGTAAAAGAACAGAAATTATAACAAACTGTCTCTCAGAACACAGTGCGATCAAACTAGAACTCAGGATTAAGAAACTCACTCAAAAACCGGACAACTACATGGAAACTGAACAACCTGCTCCTGAATGACTACTGGGTACATAACGAAATGAAGGCAGAAATAAAGATGTTCTTTGAAACCAACAAGAACAAAGACACAACATACCAGAATCTCTGGGACACATTCAAAGCAGTGTGTAGATGGAAATTTATAGCACTAAATGCCCACAAGAGAAAGCAAGAAAGGTCTAAAATTGACACCCTAACATCACAATTAAAAGAACTAGAGAAGCAAGAGCAAACACATTCAAAAGCTAGCAGAAGGCAAGAAATAACTAACATCAGAGCAGAACTGAAGGAAATAGAGACACAAAAAAACCTTCAAAGAATTAATGAATCCAGGAGCTGGTTTTTTGAAAAGATCAGCAAAACTGATAGACTGCTAACAAGACTAATAAAGAAAAAAAGAGAGAAGAATCATATAGATGCAATAAAAAATGACAAAGGGGATATCATCACCAATCCCACAGAAATACAAACTACCATCAGAGAATACTATAAACACCTCTACACAAATAAACTAGAAAACCTAGAAGAAATGGATAAATTCCTCGACAAATACATCCTCCCAAGACTAAACGAGGAAGAAGTTGAATCTCTGAATAGACCAATAACAGGCTCTGACATTAAGGCAATAATTAATAGCTTACCAACCAAAAAAAGTACAGGACCAGATGGATTCACAGCCAAATTCTACCAGAGGTACAAGGAGCTGGTACCATTCCTTCTGAAACTATTTCAATCAATAGAAAAAGAGGGAATCCTCCCTAAGTCATTTTATGAGGCCAGCATCATCCTGATACCAAAGCCTGGCAGAGACATAACAAAAAAAGAGAATTTTAGACCAATATCCTTGATGAACATCAATGCAAGAATCCTCACTAAAATACTGGCAAACCGAATCTGGCAACACATCAAAAAGCTCATGCACCATGATCAAGTGGGCTTCATCCCTGGGATGCAAGGCTGGTTCAAATACGCAAATCAATAAACATACTCCAGCATATAAACAGAACCAAAGACAAAAACCACATGATTATCTCAACAGACACAGAAAGCGCATTTGACAAAATTCAACAACCCTTCATGCTAAAAACTCTCAATAAATTAGGTATTGATGGGACGTATCTTAAAATAATAAGAGCTATCTACGACAAACCCACAGCCAATATCATACTGAATGGACAAAAACTGGAAGCATTCCCTTTGAAAACTGGCACAAGACAGGGATGCCCTCTCTCACCACTCCTATTCAACATAGTGTTGGAAGTTTTGGCCAGGGCAATCAGGCAGGAGAAGGAAATAAAGGGTATTCAATTAGGAAAAGAGGAAGTCAAATGTCCCTGTTTGCAGATGACATGATTGTATATCTAGAAAACCACATCGTCTCAGCCCAAAATCTCCTTAAGCTGATAAGCAATTTCAGCAAAGTCTCAGGATACAAAATCAATGTGCAAAAATCACAAGCATTCTTATACACAAATAACAGACAAACAGAGAGCCAAATCATGAGTGAACTCCCATTCACAATTGCTTCAAAGACAATAAAATACCTAGGAATCCAACTTACAAGGGATGCGAAGGACCTCTTCAAGGAGAACTACAAACCACTGCTCAACAAAATAAAAGAGGATACAAACAAATGGAAGAACATTCCATGCTCATGGGTAAGAAGAATCAATTTCATGACATGGCCATATTGCCCAAGGTAATTTATGGATTCAATGCCATCTCCATCAAGCTACCAATGACTTTCTTCACAGAATTGGAAAAAACTACTTTAAAGTTCATATGGAACCAAAAAAGGGCCCGCATTGCCAAGTCAATCCTAAGCCAAAAGAACAAAGCTGGAGGCATCACACTACCTGACTTCAAACTATACTACAAGGCTACAGTAACCAAAACAGCATGGTACTGGTACCAAAACAGAGATATAAACCAATGGAACAGAACAGAGGCCTCAGAAATAATGCCATATCTACATATCTACAACTATCTGATCTTTGACAACCCTGACAAAAACAAGAAATGGGGAAAGGATTCCCTATTTAATAAATGGTGCTGGGAAAACTGGCTAGCCATATGTAGAAAGCTGAAACTGGATCCCTTCCTTATACCTTATACAAAAATTAATTCAAGATGGATTAAAGACTTAAATGTTACACCTAAAACCATAAAAACCCTAGAAGAAAACCTAGGCAATACCATTCAGGACATAGGCATAGGCAAAGACTTCATGACTAAAACACCAAAAGCAATGGCAACAAAAGCCAAAATTGACAAATGGGATCTAATTAAACTAAAGAGCTTCTGCACAGCAAAAGAAACTACCATCAGAGTGAACAGGCAACCTACAGAATGGGAGAAAATTTTTGCAACCTACTTATCTGACAAAGGGCTAATATCCAGAATCTACAATGAACTCAAACAAGTTTACAAGAAAAAAAACAAACAACCCCATCAAAAAGTGGGCGAAGGACATGAACAGACACTTCTCAAAAGAAGACATTTATGCAGCCAAAAAACACATGAAAAAATGCTCATCATCACTGCCCATCAGAGAAATGCAAATCAAAACCACAATGAGATAGCATCTCACACCAGTTAGAATGGCGATCATTAAAAAGTCAGGAAACAACAAGTACTGGAGAGGATGTGGAGAAATAGGAACACTTTTACACTGTTGGTGGGACTGTAAACTAGTTCAACCATTGTGGAAGTCAGTGTGGTGATTCCTCAGGGATCTAGAACTAGAAATACCATTTGACCCAGCCATCCCATTACTGGGTACATACCCAAAGGACTATAAATCATGCTGCTATGAAGACACATGCACACGTATGTTTATTGCGGCACTATTCACAATAGCAAAGACTTGGAACCAACCCAAATGTCCAACAATGATAGACTGGATTAAGAAAATGTGGCACATATACACCATGGAATACTATGCAGCCATAAAAAATGATGAGTTCATGTCCTTTGTAGGGACATGGATGAAGCTGGAAGCCATCATTCTCAGCAAACTATCACAAGGACAAAAAACCAAATACCGCATGTTCTCACTCATAGGTGGGAATTGAACAATGAGAACACATGGACACAGGAAGGGGAACATCACACACTGGGGACGGTTGTGGGGTGGGAGGAGGGGGGAGGGATAGCATTAGGAGATATACCTAATGCTAAATGACAAGTTAATGGATGCAGCACACCAACATGGCACATGTAAACATATGTAACAAACCTGCACGTTGTGCACATGTACCCTAAAACTTAAAGTATAATAATAATAAAATAAAATAAGATTCTATTCTACATACCTTCTCAGAACCTAATCTCCAAAAGGATAGCCTTTTCCCAGTTTAGCTGTGCATGACCTTTAGCAGGCTGCCTAAGTTGGCTGAGCCTCTGTTTCCTCATCTGCAATAATAATGCCCACCTTGGAGGACTGCTGTGAAGGTCAGTGAGATAATGAGCTCTGAGGCATTTAACGCAATACTGCACATAGACGGTGGTAACAAATTCTTAGTTCCTCTCCTTCGCCTACACCTTTCATTTTTCTTTCAAATTTTCCTCTAGGCTTAGCAAATTACCCCTATTTACAACCTTCTGTGAAATTGTTTGAAACTAATTTTCTGAACTCTGAATGGCATCAGGTAATTATGTATGTAATGAAGGCTTACCCAGCTTACCTGGTAGGATAGTAGGACCCCAGGCTACAGTGGCAGAATGGTAAACACAGGGAATGTGGTGTGCACTGCACACTGCCAAATGGGAGAATTGCTCTCAAGGCTTGAGTGGCAGCTTTGCCTCATCCTGAGTCACTGAGGAACAGATGGAGTCCCAGGTTAAAACATGCAGCACAGATTGTAAATACAAAAGAGGGAACTTGGGCAGCTGATCAATGGAAGAAACACTAGACAAAGAGGCAGAGGTTCCTCAACTGGCTATTTAATTTCTCAGGGCTTGAATCTCAGCATCTGTAAAATGCAGGATTGAGTCGATACTCTTCATGCTCCCTTCCTCTAATCCCTGCTGACCCCGTTTTAAAGGTTACCAGTTGTGACATAATTGCAAATCCAAGAGGCACAGTCCACAAACCTGAAGTAAATTTTATTGAGATGAGCAATTTACAATAAAACACTTTACAGCACATTGGAAAAACTCAAGTTTCACAAATTTTACATTCACAAAAAGAAGTCACTTTTTGCTCAAAGTCACACACGGACCTCGGGGAAGGGACAGATCTAATGAGCCATCAGTGGGTTCTCCCCAGAGTAAAAGGGTTTTCTCTGGGACTTGGCAGTACTGAAGGTCCCGGACTAACAATGATTCAACTTAGGATTTTTAAAAATTTTATGATGATGGGAAAGCAATACACATTCAGTAGAAACCATACTTCGCATATCCATACAACCATTCTGGTTTTCACCTTCAGTACAGTATTCAATAAATTACATGAGATATTCCATACTTCATTAGAAGATAGGCTTTGTGTTAAATGATTTTTCCCAGCTGTAGGCTAATATAAGTGTTCTCAGAGCATTTAAGGTAGGCTTGGCTAAGCTACGATGTTCAGTAGGTTGGGTGTATTCAATGCATTTTCAACTTCCAATATTTTGGACTTACGATGGGTTTATTGAGATGTAAGTCAAGGAGCTTCTGTATTCCTAGACACCCTCAGAGAGGAGTGAAGTACAACATCCTCCATGCTTCCCAGAGCAGGACAAACCTTCTGTATGCCTGCTGCCTTGTCTCATTCTGGTTCACAGAATTTCTATGGCAGCTTTCAGATGAAACCATTAGCTACTTCTTGACACACCACAGAGACAATAAGTACAGGCACATGAGCCATTTGTCCTGAAAAATCCATCTGGGGATCCCTGTGGGCTTAGAAGACTCTGTCTGCCCAATGAAAGTCATGGTTTTGCCCATAATTCAGTGAGTTTTCAAAATCTTGTGTCTTGAAAATTTTCAACCATCTTCATAAATAGAAACTAGGATAAAGAACCCTCATAGTTCATTACAGGGAAGCAGATGATGTGAGCAAGTTCAGTTTCAGTTAACAGCCAAGAGGTCTAAGTGACAAACTCTTTCTCCCTCAAACCTTAGTTTCCTACTGAGCTCATATCCATGCTTTGATTTCAGAGTTTATCTGGTGCTAGAAGAAAACCTAAAAGCAGTGTGTCAGTAACAATTGTTTAGAGCAGGTGAATTAAGCTCGATTCTGCCTGACAGGTCTCTTTTCTGGGTGACACAGTGAGTCACTCAGGACCAGACAGAAGGTGATAAAAACAATCAGTCCCTGGAATGAGATTTCTCTGGCAAGTTAGACCCTTAAGAATTGAGATCTCTTAAGGATGCATAAGTTTCTGTAAGTGAAAGTTACACCTGAACCACCAAAATGATGTTGACAGCGAATCTCCTTTTGAGAAATGGTGTGAAAAAACCCTCATTATTTAGACAACACAGCGAAATGGCCTTTCTAGACAGCTTGGGAGGATGAGGTGTCTAAGCACAATTACTTCCAGCATATTGGAAAGCCTGCTCCCTCATCTCTTGTGAAAACAGAACAATGTTTCACCACCACTTGTTTTTGTGCAATTGCAGGAGAGAAGGAATCATGCCTCCTGGTTGAGTTTGATTCCCTGGTTCATCTTGAGGCTGCCTCTAAGGAGGGGCATGTGAGCCAGGCCCTTCCCACCACTGTCTACAATAGGGGGCAGTTCTGTCTGCGTGGTGACAGGCTTCACCTTGGGATCTTCTCACCTCTTCTTCAACTCTTCTGGTGGACACCCCTGGGAAAGGTACCCCTGTTTCTGTTAATCATTACAATCTAAATGAAAAAGTATAAATGAAAAAAAAGGGCCGGGCGGGGTGGCTCACGCCTGTAATCCCAACACTTTGGGAGGCCTAGGCAGGTGGATCACGAGGTCAGGAGATCGAGACCATCCTGGCTAACACGGTGAAACCCCGTCTCTACTAAAAATGCAAAAGATTAGCCGGGCATGGTGGCGGGCACCTGTAGTCCCAGCTACTAGGGAGGCTGAGGCAGGAGAACGGCATGAACCTGGGAGGCAGAGCTTGCAGTGAGCCGAGATTGTGCCACTGAACTCCAACCTGGGTGACAGAGCGAGATTCCATCTCAAAAAAAAAAAAAAAAAGAAAAAAAAAAGGTCATGCACACATGCACACAATCACACACACGAAGGAAAATGTTGCAAATAGAGCCACAGCATGTTCACAGATGTTATCACAAATGGATGGGATAAGAGAGTGATTTTGTGTGTGTGTATGTGAGTGTGTGCTTTTCTGAATTTTTCTAAGTGGCAATAATAATTTCCCTTTGTTTTAAGGAACCCAAGTTGGTCCTTTCTTATCTGGATATTGCTAGGCCACTGAAGACTTATGATTCATCATGGCCCAGTGACTCCAGAAAGTGAGGCATAAAAATCTCCACGCCCGCTCTGGCTTGCTGGCATTTCCCTGGCCCGTGTACCTGTTTCAAGCAGAGCTCTGTGCATCTGGGTCACCACACCCAAAGTATGATTTAGGTCTCCCTTAGGGATGCTCAGCAGTAGGAAGGGCTGTAAGGCAGCAGCTGCCCCACAGATGGAGGCAGTTGAATGATTCAGCCCCCATCTGGGCCAACGTTGTCCTCGCTCCTCTTCCTCAGAGATACAGGCTGCTGTGCCTCCCAGTGTTTCTTAGATGGGAATTTATGAACACATGTCTAGTTGGTGGTGCCTTTTAGTTTTCACATCACATGGGGCTAGGAGGCTGGACAGTTTCCTAGGAATTCAAGAGTCCTACAGCTTCTGCAGGAGTGTGTTTCCAGCACTCTGAAGATCATGTGTGAGAATAGGCTCTCTTTCCCTGCCTCAGGTGGAGACAGACCCCTCCCACTCCCTCTTCCCAACCTCTTCTAACTCATCGTCACAATGGGTTCCACAGATGACAGGTCTGTCTTCCCAGACTGGAGTTGGGAGGTGGGCAGGAGGTTATTGGCAAGGGGAGCCCTCTGGCCATCATTCTTCTCTGTCCAGGCCACCCTGAAGGAAGGAACTGGGGAGGGTGGCCTGTCCTCCTGAGGCTTGGGAGGTCTTTGACACATGCTCAGTAATGCCTTTAGCTCAATCCTGAAGTTCTCGTTCAGCCAGCAGTATATGAAGGGGTTATAGCAGGTGCTGCTCATGGCAAACCAGTGGAAGGCAAAGTAGAGGGCATTGTTGGTGCGGATGACCTTGCTGGACAGGAGGAGGACGTAGCAGTTGAGGGGGAACCAGCAGAGGGCAAAGAGGACTACCACCAGCATCAACATCTTGATGGTCTTCTTCTTTTTGCGCCGCAGGGCAAAGTACTGCTCTGTGGTCACATCGCCAATCATATTACACAGCCACAGTTTCTTGGCCACACGAGCGTAGGCCACAGAGATGATGAGGAGGGGCAGGATGTAGAGCAGGATGAAGGTGGCCAAGTCCAGGTACTTCCAGAAGAGGTCAGCTGGCTCAGGGAAGTCTGGCAGGCAGAGGGAGCGCACAATGTCCTCACTGGGGGCAGGAAGTGGGGAGGGGGAGAGAGGTAACAGAAAGGAGATATTAGTGTGGAAAGGCTTCATCCCAAGAAGCACTGGCCTCTCCTTCCACTGGGCTCCTGGTACATCCATCTAATATGGCACTTTTGATGCTGTAGCCTAATTATCTGATTACATTTCTACCTCCCCCACTAGGCTGGGAATTGCATAGAGGTAAATAATACACCTGAATTTCTCTGTGTTCTCTTAATCTTGTGCAATTCCTAGCCCACAGTAGAGACCCAATACATATTTGTTGAATAAATGAATGAAATGCTCATGTTTCCAGGTTGAAAACTAACTCATCCTTGAGGAAATCCTAGAATTTCCCATTCTGCTACTTCCCCATTTTAAAGGGAAAACTAAGGCATAAAGAAAAGAAATGATGGATCTTGAGCATATGAGTGGTAAAGCCTGAACTAACATCCCTTCAGCCACTCATAGAACAAGTATTTATTTGATATGGAATGCACCCCAGTCCTCTTCAGCCTTTTTAGGAATATCCATGTGGCTTGGTGCTCTAGTTCTATGTCCTGGTGGTCATCACTAACAAAAGAGAGAGGAAACTTCCTTTGCTTTTTTTAGGGGGGAAAAAAAGTCCTCCGTGTGGAAAGGTAGAAGGGCAGCCTGGATGTTGGGGGGCCTGGGTGAGTGATTCATTTCAATGTCCTAGAATTCCTGGAGGGGGCCTTTATAAGTTAGTTGAAATCTGCCTTCCGAGCCTGTTTCTCTTGACCCTGCTTTTGTCACAGGAGTGAGTGAGTGTGTGTGTGTGTGTGTGTGCGCGCGTGCTGCAGGTGGGGTGGCACATGGCTCCTGTGGCAGACACTCCCTGGATCCCTGCAGTCTGGAGAACCAACCCCCCAGGAAGAAACAGCTGGCACCTGTGATCTTCTAGGTGCCTAGGACTCCCCTAAGGCCACTCAAGGCCCTTCCCACGATTCACTACAGCCATAATTGGTCGGGAGTTTCCAATTTTCCTAGGAAAGACCTGTAATAAAAGACTGAGAGACGGAGAAATAGGAAAGCCCAGTTACCTGGCCTCAAGGTGAGGCAAACTCTGCATTTTCAGTCTGCCCCAGAGCCTCCTGTGGGGCAGGGGCAGCTTCCCCTGAAATCATACCCTTCCTTAGTCTCTCCCTGGTCTCTGTCCAGCCTCTGCCACTCTCTTTCCCATTGCTCCTGGGAGCACTGCCTCAATTAGCCACTTGTAGGTGTACCTGCCTTTATCACAAAACCTGTCTCTAAGGAAGCTCATCTAACACAACAAATGAGGCCCAGCACGGTGGCTCATGCCTGTAATCCCAGCACTTTGTGAGGCCGAGATGGGCGGATCACCTGAGGTCAGGAGTTCCAGACCAGCCTGACCAACATGGAGAAACCGTGTTTCTACTAAAAATACAAAATTAGCTGGGCATGGTGGCACATGCCTATAATCCCAGCTACTCGGGAGGCTGAGGCAGGAGAACCCAGGAGGCAGAGGTTGCGGTGAGCTGAGATTGTGCCATTGCACTCCAGCATGGGCAACAAGAGTGAAACACCATCTCAAAAAAAAAAAAAAAAAAAAAAAAGCAGGAGTTACAATCCTAATCTCTGATAAAACAGACTTTAAGCCAACAAATATCAAAGGAGACAGAGAAGGGCATTACATAATGGTAAAGGGATCAATGCAGCAAGAAAAGCTAACTATCCTAAATATATATGCACCCAATACAGGAGCACCCAGATTCATAAAGTAAGTTCTCAGAGACCTACAAAGAGACTCAGACTCTCACACAATAATAGTGGGAGACTTCACCACCCCACTGTCAATATTAGACAGATCAATGAGACAGAAAATTAACAAGGATATTCAGCACTTGAACTCAGCTCTCGACCAAATGGACCTAATAGACATCTACAGAACTCTCCACCCCAAATCAACAGAATATACATTCTTCTCAGTACCTCATCACACTTATTCTAAAATTGACCACGTAATTGGAAATAAAACACTCCTTAGCAAATGCAAAAGAACAGAAATCATAACAGTCTCTCAGAGCACAGTGCAATCAAACTAGAACTCAGGATTAAGAAACTCACTCAAGGCCGGGCACGGTGGCTCATGCCTGTAATCCCAGCACTTTCGGAGGCCAAGGCGGGCGGATCATGAGGTCAGGAGCTTGAGACCATCCCGGCTAACACAGTGAAACCCTGTCTCTACTAAAAATACAAAAAAAAAATTAGCCAGGCTTGGTAGCGGGCACCTGTAGTCCCAGCTACTCGGGAGGCTGAGGGAGGAGAGGTGGAGCTTGCAGTGAGCTGAGATCATGCCACTGCACTCCAGCCTGGGCGACAGAGTGAGACTCCGTCTCAAACAAAAAAAGAAA
The DNA here is from genome assembly GCF_000001405.40 of Homo sapiens. Lineage (NCBI taxonomy): Eukaryota > Metazoa > Chordata > Mammalia > Primates > Hominidae > Homo > Homo sapiens. Next base: position 94,383,166 of record NC_000011.10, read on the forward strand.
AAAAAAAAAAGAAACTCACTCAAAACCACACAACTACATGGAAACTGAACAACCAGCTACGAAATGCCTACTGAGTAAATAACGATATGAAGGTAGAAATAAAGAAGCTCTTTGCAACCAAGAAGAATGAAGACACAACGTACCAGAATCTCTGGGACACATTTAAAGCAGTGTGTAGAGGGAAATTTATAGCACTAAGTGCCCACAAGAGAAAGCAGGAAAGATCTAAAATTGACACCTTAACATCAAAATTAAAAGAACTCAAGAAGCAACAGCAAACAAATTCAAAAGCTAGCAGAAGGCAAGAAATAACAAAGATCAGAGCAGAACTGATGGAGATAGAGACAAAAAACCCTTCAAAAAAATCAGTGAAACCAGGAGCTGGTTTTTTGAAAAGATCAACAAACTTGATAGACCACTAGAAGACTAATAAAGAAGAAAAGAGAGAAGAATCGAATAGATGCAATAAAAAATGATAAAGGGGATATCACCACTGATCCCACAGAAATACAAACTCCGATCACAGAATACTATAAACACCTTTACACAAATAAACTAGAAAATCTAGAAGAAATGGATAATTCCTGGACACATACATCTTCCCAAGTCTAAATCAGGAAGAAGTCAAATCCCTGAATAAACCACTAACAAGTTCTGAAATTGAGGCAGTAATTAATAGCCTACCAACCAAAAAAAGTCCAGGACCAGACAGATTCACAGCCAGATTCTACCAGAGGTACAAACAGGAGCTGGTACCATTCCTTCTGAAACTATTCCAAACAATAGAAAAAGAAGGAATCCTCCTTAACTCATTTTATTAGGCCAGCATCACGCTGATACCAAAACCTGGCAGAGACACAACAAAAAAAAAGAAAATTACAGGCCAACATCCCTGAGGAACATGAATGCGAAAATCCTCAATAAAATACTGGCAAACTGAATCCAGTAGCACATCAAAAAGCTTATCCACCGTGATCAAGTTGGCTTCATCCCTGGGATGCAAGGCTGGTTCAACATATGCAAATCAATAAATACAATGTATCACACAAACAGAACCAATGACAAAAACCACAATTATCTCAATAGATGTAGAAAAGGCCTTCAACAAAATTCAGCACCCTTTCATGCTACAAACTCTCAATAAACTGGGTATCGATGGAACATATCTCAAAGTAATAAGAACTATTTATGGGGTGGTTCCAAGATGGCCGAATAGGAACAGCTCCAGTCTACAGCTCCCAGTGTGAGCGACGCAGAAGACAAATGATTTCTGCATTTCCAAGAGAGGTACCGGGTTCATCTCACTGGGGATTGTCGGACAGTGGGTGCAGGACAGTGGGTGCAGCACACAAAGCATGAGCCGAAGCAGGGCAAGGCATCGCCTCACCTGGGAAGTGCAAGGGGTCAGGGAATTCCCTTTCCTAGCCAAGGAAAGGGGTGACAGACGGCACCTGGAAAATCAGGTCAGCGGCAGCGAGGCTGGGGGAGGAGCGTCCGCCATTGCTGAGGCTTGAGTAGGTAAACAAAGCGGCCAGGAAGCTTGAATTGGGTGGAGCCCACTGCAGCTCAAGGAGGCCTGCCTCCCTCTGTAGACTCCACCTCTGGGGACAGGGAATAGCCAAACAAAAGGCAGTAGAAACCTCTGCAGATTTAAATGTCCCTGTCTGACAGCTTGGAAGACAGTAGTGGTTCTCCCAGCATGCAGCTTGAGATCTGAGAACGGATAGACTGTCCTCAAGTGGGTCCTTGACCCCCGAGTAGTCTACCTGGGAGGCAACCCCCAGGAGGGGCAGACTGACATCTCACATGGCCAGGTACTCCTCTGAGACAAAACTTCCAGAGGAACTGATCAGGCAGCAACATTTGCTGTTCACCAATATTTGCTGTTCTGCAGCCTCTGCTGCTGATACCCAGGCAAACAGGGTCTGAAGTGGACCTCCGGCAAACTCCAACAGACCTGAAGCTGAGGGTCCCGACTGTTAGAAGGAAAACTAACAAACAGAAAGGACATCCACACCAAAACCCCATCTGTACGTCACCATCATCAAAGACCAAAGATAGATAAAACCACAAAGATGGGGAAAAAACAGAGGAGAAAAACTGAAAATTCTAAAAATCAGAGCACCTCTCCTCCTCCAAAGGAACATAGCTCCTCACCAGCAATGGAAAAAAGCTGGACGGAGAATGACTTTGATGAGCTGAGAGAAGAAGGCTTCAGACGATCAAACTTCTCCAAGCTAAAGGAGGAAGTTCGAACCCACGGCAAAGAAGTTAAAAACCTTGAAAAAAGATTAGACTAATGGCTAACTAGAATAACCAATGCTGAGAAGTCCTTAAAGGACCTGATGGAGCTGAAAACCATGGCACAAGAACTACGTGATGAATGCACAAGCCTCAGTAACCAATGTGATCAACTGGAAGAAAGGGTATCAGTGATGGAAGATCAAATGAATGAAATGAAGCGAGAAGAGAAGTTTAGAGAAAAATGAATAAAAAGAAATGAACAAAGCCTCCAAGAAATATGGGACTATGCGAAAAGACCAAATCTATGTCTGATTGGTGTATCTGAAAGTGACGGGGAGAATGGAACCAAGTTGGAAAACACTCTGCAGGATATTATCCAGGAGAAATTCCCCAATCTAGCAAGGCAGGCCAACATTCAAATTCAGGAAATACAGAGAATGCCACAAAAGTACTGCTCAAGAAGAGCAACTCCAAGACACATAATTGTCAGATTCACTGAAGTTGAAACGAAGGAAAAAATGTTAAGGGCAGTCAGAGAGAAAGGTCGGGTTACCCACAAAGGGAAGCCCATCAGACTAACAGTGGATCTCTTGGCAGAAACCCTACAAGCCAGAAGAGAGTGGGGGCCAATATTCAACACTCTTAAAGAAAAGAATTTTCAACCCAAAATTTCATATCCAGCCAAACTAAGCTTCATAAGTGAAGGAGAAATAAATTACGTTACAGATAAGCAAATGCTGAGAGACTCTGTCACCACCAGGCCTGCCCTACAAGAGCTCCTGAAGGAAGCACTAAACATGGAAAGGAACAACTGGTACCAGCCAATGCAAAAACATGCCAAATTGTAAAGACCATTGAGGCTAGGAAGAAACTGCACCAACTAATGAGCAAAATAGCCAGCTAACATCATAATGACAGGATCAAATTCACACATAATAATATTAACCTTAAATGTAAATGGGCTAAATGCTCCAATTAAAAGACACAGCCTGGCAAATTGGATAAAGAGTCAAGTCCCATCAGTGTGCTGTATTCAGGAAACCCATCTCATGTGCAGAGACACATATGGGCTCAAAATAAAGGGATGGAGAAAGATCTACCAAGCAAATGGAAAACAAAAAAACGCAGGGGTTGCAATCCTAGTCTCTGATAAAACAGACTTTAAACCAAAGGCCATTACATAATGGTAAAGGGATCAATTCAAAAAGAAGAGCTAACTATCCTAAATATATATGCACCCAATACAGGAGCACCCAGATTCATAAAGCAAGTCCTTAGAGACCTACAAAGAGACTTAGACTCCCACACAATAATAATGGGAGACTTTAACACCACATTGTCAACATTACACAGATCAATGAGACAGAAAGTTAACAAGGACATCCAGTAATTGAACTCAGCTCTGCACCAAGTGGACCTAATAGACATCTACAGAACTCTCCACCCCAAATCAACAGATTACACATTCTTCTCAGCACCACAGTGCACTTATTCCAAAATTGACCACATAGTTGGAAGTAAAGCACTCCTCAGCAAATGTAAAAGAACAGAAATTATAACAAACTCTCTCCCAGAACACAGAGCAATCAAACTAGATCTCAGGATTAAGAAACTCACTCAAAACCGCTCAACTACATGGAAATTGAACAACCTGCTCCTGAATGACTACTGGGTACATAATGAAATGAAGGCAGAAATAAAGATGTTCTCTGAAACCAAAGAGAACAAAGACACAACATACCACAATCTCTGGGACACATTTAAAACAGTGTGTAGGGGGAAATTTATAGCACTAAATGCCCACAAGGGAAACCAGGAAAGATCTAAAATTGACACCCTAACATCACAATTAAAAGAACAAGAGAAGCAAGAGCAAACACATTCAAAAGCTAGCAGAAGGCAAGAAATAACTAACATCAGAGCAGAACTGAAGGAGATAGAGACACAGAAAACTCTTCAAAAAATCAATGAATCCAGGAGCTGGTTTTTTGAAAAGATCAACAAAATTGATAGACCGCTAGCAAGACTAATAAAGAAGAAAAGAGAGAAGAATCAAATAGATGCAATAAAAAATGATAAAGCAGATATCACCACTAATCCCACAGAAATACAAACTACCATCAGAGAATACTATAAACACCTCTATGCAAATAAACTAGAAAATCTGGAAGAAATGGATAATTTCCTCGACACATACACCCTCCCAAGACTAAACCAGGAAGAAGTTGAATCTCTGAATAGACCAATAACAGGCTCTGAAATGGAGGCAATAATTAATAGCCTACCAACCAAAAAAAGTCCAGGACCAGACGGATTCACAGCCGATTTCTACCAGAGGTACAAGGAGGAGCTGGTACCATTCCTTCTGAAACTATTCCAATCAATAGAAAAAGAGGGAATCCTCCCTAACTCATTTTATGAGGCCAGCATCGTCCTGATACCAAAGCCTGGCAGAGACACAACAAAAAGAATTTTAGACCAATATCCCAGACGAACATCAATGCAAAAATCCTCAATACAATACTGGCAAACCGAATCCAGCAACACATCAAAAAGCTTATCCACCATGATCAAGTGGGCTTCATCCCTGGGATGCAAGGCTGGTTCAACATATACAAATCAATAAACGTAATCCAGCATATAAACAGAACCAATGACAAAAACCACACGATTATCTCAATAGATGCAGAAAAGGCCTTTGACAAAATTCAACAGCCCTTCATGCTAAAAACTCAGTAAATTAGGTATTGATGGGACGTATCTCAAAATAATAAGAGCTATCTATGACAAACCCACAGCCAATATCATTCTGAATGGGCAAAAACTGGAAGCATTCCCTTTGAAAACTGGCACAAGACAGGCATGCCCTCTCTCACCACTCCTATTCAACACAGTGTTGGAAGTTCTGGCCAGGGCAATCAGGCAGGAGAAGGAAATAAAGGGTATTCTGTTAGGAAAAGAGGAAGTCAAATTGTCCCTGTTTGCAGATGACATGATCGTATATCTAGAAAACCCCATCATCTCAGCCCAAAATCTCCTTAAGCTGATAAGCAACTTCAGCAAAGTCTCAGGATATAAAATCAATGTGCAAAAATCACAAGCATTCTTATACACCAATAACAGACAAACAGAGAGCCAAATCATGAGTGAACTCCCATTCACAATTGCTTCAAAGACAATAAAATACCTAGGAATCCAACTTACAAGGGATGTGAAGGACCTCTTCAAGGAGAACTACAAACCACTGCTCAAGGAAATAAAAGAGGATACAAACAAATGGAAGAATATTCCATGCTCGTGGGTAGGAAGAATCAGTATTGTGAAAATGGCCATACTGCCCAAGGTAATTTATAGATTCAATGCCATCCCCATCAAGCTACCAGTGACTTTCTTCACAGAATTGGAGAAAACTACTTTAAAGTTCATATGGAACCAAAAAAGAGCCCACATTGCCAAGTCAATCCTAAGGCAAAAGAACAAAGCTGGAGGCATCATGCTACCTGACTTCAAACTATACTACAAGGCTACAGTAACCAAAACAGCATGGTACTGGTACCAAAACAGAGATATAAACCAATGGAACAGAACAGAGCCCTCAGAAATAATGCCACGTATCTACAACTATCTGGTCCTTGACAAACCTGACAAAAACAAGAAATGGGGAAAGGATTCCCTATTTAATAAATGGTGCTGGGAAAATTGGCTAGCCATATGTAGAAAGCTGAAACTGGATCCCTTCCTTACACCTTACACAAAAATTAATTCAAGATGGATTAAAGACTTAAATGTTAGACCTAAAACCATAAAAACCCTAGAAGAAAACCTAGGCAATACCATTCAGGACACAGGCATGGGCAAGGACTTCATGTCTAAAACACCAAAAGCAACGGCAACAAAAGCCAAAATTGACAAATGGGATCTAATTAAACTAAAGAGCTTCTGCAGAGCAAAAGAAACTACCATCAGAGTGAACAGGCAACTTACAGAATGGGAGAAAATTTTTGCAATCTACTCATCTGACAAAGGGCTGATATCCAGAATCTACAAAGAACTCAAACAAATTTACAAGAAAAATCAACCCCATCAACAAGTGGGCGAAGGATATGAACCAACACTTCTCAAAAGAAGACATTTATGCAGCCAACAGACACATGAAAAAATGCTCATTATCACTGGCCATCAGAGAAATGCAAATCAAAACCACAATGAGATACCATCTCACACCAGTTAGAATGGCAATCATTAAAAAGTCAGGAAACAACAGGTGCTGGAGAGGCTGTGGAGAAATAGGAATACTTTGACACTGTTGGTGGGACTGTAAACTAGTTCAACCACTGTGGAAGTCAGTGTGGCGATTCCTCAGGGATCTAGAACTAGAAATACCATTTGACCCAGCCATCCCATTACTGGGTATATACCCGAAGGATTATAAATCCTGCTGCTATAAAGACACATGCAGACGTATGATTATTGCGGCACTATTCACAATAGCAAAGACTTGGAGCCAACCCAAATGTCCAACAATGATAGACTGGATTAAGAAAATGTGGCACATATACACCATGGAATACTATGCAGCCATAAAAAATAATGAGTTCATGTCCTTTGTGGGGACATGGATTAAGCTTGAAACCATCATTCTCAGCAAACTATCACAAGGACAAAAAACCAAACACCGCATGTTCTCACTCATAGGTGGGAATTGAACAATGAGAACACTTGGACACAGGAAGGGGAATATCACACACTGGGGACTGTTGTGGGGTGGGGGGAGGTGGGAGGAACAGCATTAGGAGATATACCTAATGTAAATGATGAGTTAATGGGTGCAGCACACCAACATGGCACATGTATACACATGTAACAAACCTGCACATTGTGCACACCTACCCTAAAACTTAAAATATAAAAAAGAAAAAAAAAAGAAAGATTTATGACAAACCCATAGCCAATATCATAATGAGTGAACAAAAACTGGAAGCATTCCCTTTGAAAACTGGCATAAAATAAGGATGCCGTCTCTCACCACTCCTATTCAACGTAGTATTGGAAGTTTTGGCCAGGGCAATCAGGCAGGAGAAAGAAAGAAAGGATATTCAAATGGGAAGAGAGGAAGTCAAATTGTCTCTGTTTGCAGATGACATGATTGTGTATTTAGAAAACCCCATTGTCTCAGCCCAAAATCTCCTTAAGCTGATAAGCAACTTCAGGAAAATCTCAGAATACTAAATCAATGTGCAAAAATCACGACCATTCCTATACACCAATAACAGACAAACAGAGAGCCAAATCATGAGTGAACTCCCACTCACAATTGCTACTAAGAGAATAAAATGCCTAGGAATACAACTTACAAGAGATGTGAAGGACCTCTTCAAGGAGAACTACAAACCACTGCTCAACAAAATAACAGAAGACACAAACAAATGGAAAAACATTCCATGCTCATGGATAGGAAGAATCAATATCATGAAAATGGCCATACTGCTCAAAGTAATTTATAGGTTCAATGCTATCCCCATCAAGCTACCACTGAGTTTCTTCACAGAATTGGAAAAAACTACTTTAAAATTCGTATGGAACCAAAAAAGAGCCCGCATTGCCAAGACATTCCTGGGCAAGAAGAACAAAGCTAGAGGCATCACGCTACCTGACTTCAAACTATACTACAAGGCTACAGTAACCAAAACAGCATGTTGCTGGTACCAAAACAGAGATATAGACCAATGGAATGGAACAGAGCCCTCAGAAATAACACCACACATCTACAACCATCTGATTTTTGACACACCTGACACAAACACACAATGAGGGAAAGAGTCCCTATTCAATAAATGTTGTTGGAAAAACTGGCTAGCCATATGTAGAAAACTGAAACTGGACCCCCTCTTTACACCTTATACAAAAATCAACTCAAGATGGATCAAAGACTTAAACTAAGACCTAGAATCATAAAAATCCTAGAAGAAAGCCTGGATACCATTCAGGACGTAGGCATGGGCAAAGACTTCATGTCTAAAATACCAAAAGCAATGGCAACAAAAGCCTAAATAGACAAATGGGATCTAATTAAACTAAAGAGCTTCTACACAGCACAAGAAACTAGCAATCAGAGTGAACAGGCAACCTACAGAATGGGACAAAATTTTTGCAATCTATCCATCTGACAAAGGGCTAATACCCAGGATCTACAAAGAACTTAAACAAATTTACAAGAAAACAAACAAACAACCCCATCAACAAGTGGGCAAAGGATATGAACAGACACTTCTCAGAAGAAGACATTTATGCAGCCAAGAGACATTTGAAAAAATGCTTGTCATCACTCGTCATCAGAGAAATGCAAATCAAAATTACAATGAGATACAATCTCATGCCAGTTAGAATGGCAATCATTAAAAAGTCAGGAAACAATTGATGCTGGAGAGGATGTGGAGAAATAGGAATGCTTTTACACTGTTGGTGGGAGTGTAAATTAGTTCAACCATTGTGGAAGACAGTGTGATGATTCCTCAAGTATCTAGAACTAGAAATACCATTTGACCCAGCAATCCCATTATTGGGTATACACCCAAAGAATTATAAATCATTCTACTATAAAGACACACGCACACATATGTTTATTGCGGCACTATTCACAATAGCAAAGACTTGGAACCAACCCAAATGTCCATCAATGATAGACTGGATAAAGAAAATGTGGCACACATACACCATGGAATACTATGCAGCCGTAAAAAAGGATGAGTTCATGTCCTTTGCGGGGACATGGATGAAGCTGGAAACCATCATTCTCAGCAAACTATCACAAGAACAGAAAACCAAACACCACATATTCTCACTCATAAGTGAGAGTTTAACAATGAGAACACATGGACCTAGGGAGGGAAACATCACACACTGGGTCCTGTCAGGAGGTGGGGGGCAAGCAGAGGGACAACATTAGGAGAAATACCTAATGTAGGTGACGGTTTGATGGGTGCAGCAAACCACCATGGCACGTGTATACCACAAAACTGCACATTGTGTACATGTACCCCAGAATTTAAAGTATAATAAAACAAATTTTTTTAAAAAGACATACCAGTGACCACCACCACCACCATCAATAAATGACAAAAATCACTCTATGGGGCCAGGCGTGGTGGCTCATGCCTGTAATCTCAGCACTTTGGGAGCCCAAGGTAGGCGGATAACCTGAGATCAGAAGTTCGATACCAGCCTGGCCAATACGGTGAAACCCCATTTCTACTAAAAATACAAAAAATTAGCTAGGCATGATGGTGCGTGCCTGTAATCCCAGCTACTTGGGAAGCTGAGGCAGGAGAATTGCTTGAACCCAGGTGGCGGAGGTTACAGTGATCTGAGATCCTGCCATTGTACTCCAGCCTGGGCAATAAAACGAGACTCTGTCTCAAAAAAAAAAAATCACTCTAAGATCATTCATTCATTCAGTAAATATGTACCAAGAGCCTGTTATGTGGAGGTGGTAAGCTAAGTGTTGAGATCACCGAGATAACAAAGAAACTGGGCCAATTCTTCCCAAACTGACAGTCCAGCAGGGAGATCACCTAATGAACCAGTTGAAGTTTTAAAAAACTGAGTGTTGAAAGAAAGACGTTCTCATTCAGTGATAGCATATGATAAACATACATGGTAGGTGGGGGAGGTAGAGAAGCCTGCCTCAGGCTCAGGCATGCATGCGGATTTTGTTTGTAGATAGTGTGAGAGGTTTACACCTTGCTCCTTTTCAACAAGGCCTTGGTGACTGGGATCTCAGGCTGCGTAAGTACGGCACCCTGGTGACAGATGCTGATAATTATTGCTTTGTCCTTGCAGAGAACCCGGAAAGAGAATAAGGGAGAAGCTAAAGAAGAGAGAAAGCAGACAAAATGTAGAGGACAGGCATGGACAAGGAGGTAACAGGATGGGAGCGAGCCAGAGAAAGACTCAGTAAGACAGGTACTAGTTACTCAGACAGTTGTGAGCTCCTGGGGGCCTCAGGTATCCCTTGGTGGAGCCTGACTCAGGAGAAGACACAAGTCCCCAGGCAGATCCCAACGAATTCATCTCACCTGTATTTGAAGGTAAATAATTTCTGGCAGATAGCATGTGGGAGTGAAAAGAACGTAGCCATGGTCCAGATGACAGCGATGTAGATGACACCCTTTGTGATTGAGATCCGGGGTTTCAAGGGGTGCATGATGACCTGGAAAACAAGCAAACCACATCACTAACTGAAGACGTTTTGGAGCAAATCAGAAATCTGGGTCAGGCGCAGGTGCTCACTCCTGTAATCCCAGCACTTTGGGAGTCTGAGGCAGAAGGATCACTTGAGCCCAGGAGTTCTAGACCAGACTGGGCAACACAGTGAGACCCTGTCTCTATATATTTAAAAAAATGAAAATACATAAATAAATAAAAAGAAATCTGGATGGCACGGCTCACTTGTCACATAAGGCAGGCCCTATTGATAAAGTCAAGCACCCCTTATGTTCATTATTGAGCCCCTGAGCTACATCAGGTAGCTGCTGGGGGAGAGGAGTCCCAGCCATGCCCCACTCAACAGCCCACCTCCAGAAGAGGAAAGAAAGGGTCATCTGGATTCAGAAAACCGGGGCAGGTCATCTGCCCCGCTGGTCATACTCAGGCTGAACCAGGGTCCAGTGAGAGGACTGGGGAGGGGTCCAGGAGGAAGGCTGCTCGCATGGCACCACGGCAAGGCTGGGAGAGGAGCAAGCCCACGGTCAGCCCCCACCTCCTTGGGACCTGAGCTCATCTTCCCATGATTCTAGACCCCTTAGATTATGATGGACTCTGAGAGGGTCTGAGCTGACAGACAGGAAGAGGCCATTCTCATCACTCATCCTGGGAAGCTGCACAGACACTTATGTGGGAACTCCCAACATGTTTATGAAAGCCATTACTAAAATCTCACCAGGGCCCAGCTCTCACACACCTACAATAAAGTCAGTGTTACAGGCTTCAGACTGAAATGCATCTTGGAGTTGCTACTGTATATCAATCAATTATCCTAAAAGGTTTAAATAAAGACTTAGGGATTTAAAACCATCCTCATTTTCAGATGAGAAACATTATTTTTTGAAAAAGGCATTTGGGATAGGTTAGTCCAGGGTTGGGGGAAGAGGTCAGGAAGAGCTGGCACCACCTCTAGATGCCATCCCAGAACACACTGGACATTCTGGCTGTGTCTCGAGCTTTTTTTTAATTCCTCCCAATGTTTTCAAGGTTTTATGGGAGGAAGCAATGAGGCTTCAGAAGCTGACAGCACATCTCCCTTCTGGATTCAGCCATCTCTGCCCCTCATACTCTTGTGTTCAGATTGCTGAAGGGAGTGGCAGCCTGGGGCAGAGGCTCCAAGCACTTCTCAAGGACTCTGCTGGCCTTGGGACAGAGCCCCTTGTTGGGGTATATGTTGCAGTAACATGGTCAACATGAGCAAGGCTTTGCCCCCACTCCCCAGACCCATCCTTAGCCCATGGTCAATGCTCAGTTGCGTTAATCTGGGGTAAGCATAGGCCAGGTAAAAGTAATCAGAAGTCCTTCTAGTTAAATTAAGGGAGATGGTTAAGAAAAGGCAGGAAATATTTATATGCAAACTTTTCACACTTTACACTAAAGCATCTGCAACATAAATTAAGATTGATTCTTACAAAATTCTGGCATTTCAGAGATAAAGAGATCTCAAATTTTGACTAGTCCCATTCCTTACCAGATGCTGGAATCTCCTCGAATACCTCCCCATCAAGTTGTCATCCTCACTTTGCTCTAATATGGCTGGTGACATGAAACTCATTACCTCCCAGGCAGGTTTGTCCACCTTTAGACACTTCTATGAGAGAATTCTTCCCACATTGGACTGTATCTTTGAATCTGCATCTTTGAAGCCTCCTATCCCGTGGTCCTTGCTGCATCTCATGGTGCTACTCAGAATAAATCTCATCTTTCTGTGTCTGGTGGCCCTCATAATACTGGCCTTGTAGATTCCTTTGAGTCTTCTCAGAGCAGCATGGTCTAGTGACTGGAACATGGGCTTGGAGCCAGACAGACCTCAGTCCTAATCCTAGCTTCACCATTCACAGGCACATGATCTCGGAAAAGCTACATATGCACTTTCCTGAGCCTCCATTCTATAATTCAGCGTAGGTCTAAGCGTACAACGTGAGTTCATTGAGTAAGCATGGAAAAGGCACCTGGCATGAAGCTGTCCTTCTTTGATGTCCTGGTCAGTTCCTTTCACCATATATACCCATGAGCTTCCCATGGGGGCAGAACTATTAGAACATCTTCCTGACCCAGGGCCACCATGCTCCACTGCAATGCCTGCTCCTGCCACCTGGACATCCTGGCTTGTTTTCCGTCTGAACAGCCTGAATTGGTGAATATTCATCTCTCACTCATCTCTGACCTGCAATTACTCCTCTCTCCTTTCATCTGTGATTTTCCGGGTTTGCTTTTCTATCCTCAAACAAGCTCACTAATTTCTGAGACAGAAAATGCCAGCAATGGCCGGGCATGGTGGCTCACGTCTGTAATTCCAGCACTTTGGGAGGCTGAGGCGGGTGGATCACCTGAGGTCAGGAGTTCGAGACCAGCCTGGCCGACATGGCAAAACCCTATCTCTACTAAAAGTACGAAAACTAGCCAGGCGTGGTGGCGAGCACCTGTAATCCCAGCTACTCAGGAGGCTGAGGCAGGAGATTTGCTTGAACCCAGGAGGCGGAGGTTGCAGTGAGTCGAGATGGTGCCACTGCACTCCAGCCTGAGCAACAAGAGTGAAACTCTGTCTCAAAAAAAAATTATGACAAAGGGCTTAATATCCCTAACCTATGTGTTCATGTTGATCAATAAGAAGAGAAACACACTCATTGAAAACTGGGCTAAAACACTGTCTTCAGAGCCCCTGCAACTTCCAGGAAAGGGAAGCAAGAGAGGGAAGAGCAGAGCATTAGGGGTAGGTGCCCTCACCTGGTGGCGATCCACCGCAATGGCTGTCAGTGTCAGTGCTGAGACGTGCAGTGAGCAGTACTGGGCAAAGCGGCTGACATGGCACATGCCCTTCCCAAATATCCATGTGCTGTTCACAAAGCGAACCTGGAGATGAGCCCAAAGATGTTAGGAGACAGACAGGCCTTGACTTTGACACCCATCCCTAGAGGTCTCTGAGGAGCATGCCCTTAGGGGGATTCCTCCAGCTCCTCCCTTCTTTCTGTCTATGATACTGAATTGTGGAGTAAACATGATTTTCTCCAGCACAACTCATTTTCATTCATTCAATTCAACAAACCCTGATCATGCTTCTGGGCCAGGCTCCATTAGGTGCCAGGAGAGCCTGGGAAGGATGTGTGCTATGGAGTTGGACTTCCCACCTCTAATAGTTTCTTACTGTGAGGGCTTGGGCAAGATAGGTAACCTCTCTGAATCTGTTTCCTCATTTGCAAAAAAAAAAAAAAGCCCTAAAAAATCTCTTCCTTATAGGCTTAGTATAAGGTTTAAATTTTTTAAATGTCTGTAAAGGGCAAAACACAATGTCTGGCAGATTGTTCAGATATTATTAGAAGTAAATAGTAGCTATCTTTATGTGCAATAACAAAATTCATTCTTGGTCCACACAAGTTCACTCTAGTAGGGGAGACATATCTGAATTGTCACAACATAGCATGTGGGCTGTGCTGGCAAATCTTGGCTAAACTGGCCTTGCAAGTCATCATCTGGGGAGGACACCCAGGGACCTGGAGAGGTATGAACAGGTGTGGGGAGAGAAGACAAGCTCCCCAAACCGTGTAGGGCCCTAGAAGCAGGCCCGGTCCTTATCCCACATCACCCAGCACTATTTACTCATTCAATTAGTACTTGAGCAGCTCCTGTGAGTAACGTCCCATGCCTGAGAGAGATTGAGCATTGATTCTGATTAAGGAGTTTGCAGCCAGGGCAGAGGCGGGCTCAACTCAAGTGCAAGACAGAAAGTAATCAGTGCTCTGTAGAGACTGATTAAAGGGCAATGGGGCCACCACATAGGGATGGGAGTGGGCAGAGGCACAGAGGCATAGAAATAGGGCAAGTTGGCCCAAGAGAAGGAGTATAATGTAGTGACTTACAGCAGGGTGTTTGCCACTGATCACTGTGACCTTGGGCAAGGCATTGGGCCCTCTGAGCCCCACTTTCCTCATCTGTAAAATGGGCTAACCCTTTTCACATGGTTGTTACATCAATCAAGATTGTTAACACATGTAAAGTAGGTACAACAGTGCCTAGTACATAGCAAGTACTTAACGCTATCAACTGCCATTATTACAACATATGAGACATTTGAACTGAAGAGGGATTTGCACATGTGGAGATGAGGACAAAAGGCATTGGCACTGGATCAGAAATCCCAGGACCTGTTTGGGGAATAAGGAGTGGATTGGCTTGTCTGGAGTGTGTGAACAAGAGTCATGTCAAGTCCGGCCAGATCTTGAAACTAGGACAACAGACCAGGGATGTTACTTTCTTTGCAGAGGACAGGGAGGAGCCATTGAGGCTTTTGAGCAGTTCAGTAACATTATAGAGCTAGAAATCTTCAGCTATTCCAACTTCTCACCCTTCACATTGGGATTACCAAATCCAACCAGTTCTGCCTCTCACTGATTTTCAAAACTGTTCCCTCTTCTTCAGTCCCAAGGCCATGGGCCTTGTGGGGTACCCCATTATCTCTCCCTTGGACTATTATAGCCTCTGAACAGCTTTCCCAGTTCTCCAGGTTTGTCACCTTGGAATTCAGCCTTCACACTCCTGACAGCATTTCTGCTAACCACAATCATATTGTTGTCACCCTCCTGTTTGGAATCATCCTGGCTCTCAGGACAGAGTATCCAGGCCCCTTCACAACCTGGCCCCGCCTTTCCTTCTGGCCACCTCCGCTTCTCCCTCCCCTGCCCACTCCTCCGCTGTGCTTCCTGATGCTCCAGCTTCATTGAGCCACTCAATGTTCCCTCAACACAAAGTGAACTTTGATGCTTCGATGCCTTTGTTCTCCCTGGTCCCTCTGTCTGCACTAAGTGTTCATCTCAACCCGGGAAATTTCTATTCAGTCAGGTCCTGTTGAAATGTCACATTCTTTGCAGTCTCCTTTGACCCTCTCGTGGGACTCTGATGGGTCAGAATGAAAGACTCCCTCCTCTACGTTCTCTGTGCATCTATCTTTATCTACCATGGGAACTGTAAGTAATTGTCTGCTTTTCTGTCCATCATCAGAGCTAGGCTTCATGCTGACTGCAGTAGATTAAGTGGACAGGAAGGGAGACCAGGGAAGAAGGATATTGTTGCCAATCAGGCAAAGGCAGGGATGCCTTTCCCGATGGGGGAGCCTGTGCTGAGTAAGGCCAAGGGGTTGGAAGTCCCTCCCCACAACCTTCTCCCTTTCCTACCTGCCAGCACCTTATAAACTGTAATCCAAGTTTGGATTGGGGCAGCTTGATGGGTCAGGTTCAAGGCTAAGCTGCTTTGGCTCATACTGGAGGGGGTGCTGGGCTCTGAGGACCTTGGCATCCTGTCTCTTGCAGGAGATCCTCTGGGGCAGGTATTGCCAGCTCTCAGGTGTAGCCTGTCCTCGCGTCCATGGCCTCCCTACCCCTTCTTGTGTCTGCTGCAGATCCAGCCCTGTATCCTGGCTCTGGGCAGCAGCAAAAAAGGCCATGTTCTGTGGCTTCCCAGTTCCCAACCTAGGTAGCACAGCCCAACCGTACCACTGTAGATTCTCAGGTCAGAAACCAAGGGAGGCGCCAACGGGTGACAGGGATGCTGTTGTCTTGTGCTTTGAGACACCCAGGGAGGAGGAGAGTATTTGAAAGCCCACTCATCCTTGGGTAATGCCCAGGGGATATTAAGTGGCCATCAATACGTTAGACGTAGGCTGAAAGGAGATCAGAACAAGTCCAGGGTTTGGAGTAGCAGAAGCTAAACATGGTCCAAGAGTGTCCTTCACTCCCAGCTGGCTGGTTAGTGGACCGACCTCTGGATTTGAGTTAGGGGATGGAATTCTCATCCTGGCTCTGCCAACTACTGGCCAGGTGGCTTTGGACAAGGGATTGAACCTCTCTGTGCCCTAGTTTTCTCATCTGCAAAATGTGAGTAATATTCTAATAAGTGAGGATGAGAAAGAGAATGTGAGGGTACTTTTTCAATATAAGATTTGGAAGGATGTTCACACAGGTGATGGACTTGTGGGGGTTCATCCTGTGTTTTTTGCTTGTCTGTTATATCTGGTTGTGTATGAGAGATGGCAAGGAGACAGACAGAGAGGGATTAATAGATATTGCTTTAGTAATCACTCAAATGACAAAGTTATTCCATAAAATGAAAAAATATAACACACTAGAGAAACATGCAGTATAACTGTCACTATGGTTGCTCAGTCATCGCCCTTACAGTCCCAAATCATCCATGAGAGCCACACTCCCCGGTCACAGCGGGACACCACCAGCGCTAAGTAGCCAGGGCTTGGGGAAGAATCCCATCAGCTGCCAATGTGCAAATGCCCCCAGCCTGCCCGATTTCTGGGGCCCAAGCCCACCTCCCCTCATTTCTTCCTCAACACAGACCTCAAACACAGCCTCATTATCAACCCACAGAAGGGAAATGCACTTTAAATAAGTGGTCTGGGAAAATGCACTTAATGTTCCATTAACAATTAGCAATTGTTTGATATTTCAGTTGTAGCACAAAGCAGTATCCCATGGGTACGGCTGGGCACTGAACAGGCTGCAATTCAGAGGGAGGGGGACCTGATCATCTCTGCTGACATTTCAGGGGCATTGATTTACTGCTCAATTATCAAGCAAGCCCAGACCCAGTGAGATTAAACAGGAAATGGTCATTCATTTCCAGCTGGCTGCAGACACTCAAACCATTGACCCAATGCCACCGCCGCAGAAGCTCTGGCTGATAAGGCGATGAGACAGAAAAAAGTGGGGAGAAATCAGAGAGTGAGGCAGGGGAGAGAGGAAGAGAGGAGAGGTGGGGAGAGGAGAGGAGAGGAGAGAGAATAGAAAAATAAAATCACAGAGAGACTGACAAGAAGAAAAAGAGATAACAGGTGAGGAGACAGAGACAGATGAATAGGGAGGCTGAAAGACAAAAAAAAAAAAAAAGATGAGGACACTGAGAGATAGAGAAGAGAGACAGAAAGACTTCAGAGAGAGAGACAGAGACTGAAAGAAAGACTAAGAAAAACAGGAGAGATACAAGAACCGAGATGACAGAGGAGGGAGAAAAGAGACTAGGACAGGAAGACAGAGGCAGAGGAGAGGAGAAATGAGGAGGAAGAGAGATGTGGAGAGAGAAGTGGGGACCCACAGGGAGACGCAGAACGGCAGAGGGAGGCCAGAGAACTGAGAGAGGAAAGGGAGACGAAGACAGAAGGTGGGGCGGCAGGCAGCGGGCCCCTTACCAAAGTGAAGGGGGTGTTGAGCAGCGTGATCATTATGTCGGCAACTGCCAGGTTGACGATGAAGAGGCTGGTGGCCGAGTGCATTCGCTGGTTCTTGAAGATGACATGACAGACCAGGACGTTGCCAAAGAGTGAGAAGACAATGATGAAGGAGTAAGCCACAATGAGCAGGGCTTTCACCGTGGGGTTCTGGGACTCAGCGCCGTAGCGCCTCCTGCCCACAAAGTTCTGCCAGTCGGAGAAGGTGTAGTTGTTCCAAGAGAAGAAGTGCGAGGCATTGGGCACGGCCAGGGCCGCCTCCGCGCTCTGCTCGTCGGCCCGGCCCTCGTGGGGCTCGGTGGCTCGCACCAAGGGGAGGAGACAGAGCAGCAAGAGGTGAGGGACCATTTTGCAGGAGCCACCCCTCCCCTGGGAGCCTGCGGGCCGGGCGTCCCCTCCCGCTGGGATCGGAGCGCGCAGCCGGGGTGCGGGGCGCACAGCATACAAGGCCGTCCCGAGGAGCCAGGGAGCCCGGACGCGCGGAGCACCGCGCCGCCCGCCACCAGCCCGCGGTCGGCACGCCAGCTCCGGGTTTGTTGGAGCACTTTTATATCTCTGCTCCCACCAGGCTGCTAGGGAGCGCCTCTGCCTATTGGGCAGCGCGGCGTCTCTCGCGGCGACGGTGACGCGCTCTGGCTCTGACAAGCCTGGCTCCCCCCACCCTACCGGGTGGCGCCGTTGCTGACCCCACGCCCAGCCGTTCCCACTCCCGCCTGAAACTCCTCCGACAGGGCTTCGCTTCGGGGGCTCAGTCCCCAGCGCGTACACACTCGCGTGGTGTCGGCTTAGCCTCTTGTAAAGGAAGCAGGGCAGGCAGGTGGGAGGAAGCCCACAGGGGCACTTGGGATGATGAGGGGGCATGCTGGCAAAGCCGGGTCAGTGACAAGGATATATTCCATTTGTTTCCACCTAAGCCTTAGCCTTGGCACAGTTTCAATATCGAAATGGATCGCTGCGTCCCGGCGGTCCCAGGAAAAAGGCAAACCAAAAAATAGAGACGTTAAGGATTCTCCAAGTCCCCGGAGTATCCAGATACCAGAGGTGCTGGAGGGCTTATTAAAGGATTACAGTTTCTTTGACAGCCCCCAGGAATGCAATCTGGGGAGCTTTGTTTTTCAAGGAAACTCTTCAAAGCAGTTCGGATACCATCAAAGAAGCGAAGGAAAAGAGAAGTTTAGCTGTGTGCTCACCTCTTGGGTAACTTGAATTTTTCTGCCATGGAAGTCCTTGAAGCTATATCTTTAAGGGATATTATGACCCATGCTGTTTTTCCTTCCCCATCTACTTCTTCAGGAAACCTTGCTATCCTGCTCACCCGTTTTCACTTCCACTGTGAAAACTCTCCCAGTCACTGGGTCCTCTGCCACCCACAAGCCTGTAGTAAAGACCATGGGCTCTGTAATTAGGGTTTAATCCCAGCTTTGTCACTTCCTAGCTGTGAAATCTTGGGCAAGCCATTTAACATTTTTGGCCTTGGTTAAAAGGCTTTCTTTTCCTAAATGTGAGGTTTTCAGAGACCCCTGTATACATCTCTCACTGCATTGCCCTCTGGTGCAAGACATGCAATATCTGGTTGACTACTGGTAACCACCCCTGACCCCCAACAGGAAACACCATGTAGATTCTTTACATTGTGTCAACGTGCCCTGGGGAGCAATGTCCTTGGGCTGGGACCCAAACAATGACTCAAACCTAGGTATTACTCTTGTCTCCAGTTTTCCACTTCACATGTACTCTTCAAGCAACTGTGTCTGGAGGAAAGGATGGCTAGCAGATAACCCTCAATTATACTGAAGGACCTGGCAGGTCTCACAGGATTAAATGGCTGAAATAGGGGATTATGTGACAGATCCTAGAAGGGACAAGGTGCTAGGCCGATGAAATAATACATCTTTAGCTCCAGGAAATAAACCAAGAGACTGCCTGTAAACACTGAAAGCTTGGGGGCCGGGCGCGGTGGCTCACGCCTGCAATCCCAGCACTTTGGGAGGTCGAGGCGGGCGGATCCACGAGGTAGGAGACCGAGACCATCCTGGCTAACACGGTGAAACCCCATCTCTACTAAAAATACAAAAAATTAGCTGGGCGTGGTGGCAAGCGCCTGTAGTCCCAGCTACTCAGGAGGCTGAGGCAGGAGAATGGCGTGAACCCGGGAGGCGGAGCTTGCAGTGAGCCGAGATCGCGCCACTGCACTCCAGCCTGGGCGACAGAGCGAGACTCCGTCTCAAAAAGAAAAAAGCTTAGGTAGACTTGCTGCTCCATCAAGATGACCTGGCATCATCTTGAGAGGCAAGGCCGGAATATGATGGTCATTTAGAAAACAGAATCCTAGTCAATTGACTGTGCCCAGTGTCAACAAAGAGTGTATGGATAGAAGAGGAATAGTCAGCGTCAAGCTCAGAGAAAGAAATCAAAGGTAGCCAGTGCCCTTCCAAGCACTCTCTTCCAAGTACCACAGAAGGTGCTTGCTAGCCGGCATATTTGTAATCTGGGCCACCTAACTAATGTCTTCACTTTGATTCCCTGCTCATCATGCCCACCTTGTAAGTGTGAGGGCATTTACACCAGAAGCCTGAAACTTTCTTTCTGAAAGAGGTGAGGTGTTTTAGTTCTTAGCTTTCCCCAAAAGCATCTCCTGTGACAAATACTCTAGTGAGAGGGTTCATTTGGGAGATGAAGGCAAACACCAATAGGGAAGTGGAGAAGTGTGACAAGAAAGGGAAAGCAACCAATAGAGTTTTGTCAAGCCAGCTACCACTGTGGGTGACAAGCTGAAGCCTGCTGGGAAGCCAGTGTAAGGTGTACACATCAGCTATCCAAGCCAAGGGGTGACAGAGCTGTGGTATCTGTACTCCACCTCCTGTTAGTCACTGGTTGAAGGCTTCTCCCAGGGGTCTGCTCCTTCTCCCAGGATGCTCCTGAACTTCTGGCCTGCCATGTGGATAGCCAAAATGGGCTCCAGAGGCAAAACAAGGGCTCAGGCAAATAAATGCTACTGCTGGCAGTTGCAAGTTGCACTGGTGTGCTCTGAAGGGGGAGGCGGTCCTGAGAAAATCCAAGGGTAGGCATGAGGTCTGGAATCACTTCCTCTTCCTCTTCCCCAGGCATTCAGCTCTCCACTCAGCCAGGCCTGGGCCTCCTGAGCCCTGCCAAGCCCTCCTCTTAGCCCAGCACCACTGTCCCAAACTTATCCTGAACTCCTGAAGTCACAGTCTTTGAGACAGAGTCTCGCTCTGTCACCCAGGCTGGAGTGCAGTGGCGTGATGTCGGCTCACTGCAAGCTCCGCCTCCTGGGTTCACGCCATTCTCCTGTCTCAGCCTCCCAAGGAGCTGGGACTACAGGCGCCTGCCACCACACCTAGCTAATTTTTTCTATTTTTTTGTAGAGACGGGGTTTCACTGTGTTAGCCAGGATGGTCTCGATCTCCTGACCTCGTGATCCACCCGCCTCGTGATCCACCCGCTTCGGCCTCCCAAAGTGCTGGGATTACAGGCGTGAGCCACTGTGCCCGGCCGAAGTCACAGTCTTTAATGAAACAAGAATATCCCTTCACCTTACCTCACACGAAGGCTGAGTTATTAAAAGTAGTTCTTTTCTCAGAGGCGTTATGGTAAATCACTGTAAATCACTGTTGCTCTTACTAAGTGGTTACAGGAAGATACAAGCAGCTCTTACAGTGAACCAACCTCTTGTTTTTGTACATTACAAATAAAACCAAAGACACTGAATAGTCAGTTTGTGCCAAATAGTAAGTATATTCCTAGATCTCTAGTAATAGTCACACACAGTAAACACAGAAAAGAGCAGAGGGTTTCACTCTCTCAAATGTACTTGAAACAAACAAAAAAACCAATAAACCACTTCACACTATTTTAATAAAAATGAGACCAAGAATTATAGAACACAGTAGTCCCCCCTTATTGATGGGGTAAACATTCCAAGATTCCTAGTGGATGCCCAAAACTGTGGATAGTATCAAACCCTATACAGGCTACACATGAATTTCTTTTTCCGTCTTCACAATTTCATGGATAGAAGATTCGTTCTTATTACAGATCTTAGCAGCCTCAGCTTACGATTTTTCCCTCCTTCCTTATTAAATCAAGAACTTTCACCTTTTCACATAAAGGAAGTATTTTATAGCTTCTAGCTGGCATATGCTAATTGCCAGCATTGCTACTCTTGCAGCTTTGGGGCTACTATAAGTAAAATAAAGGTTAGTTGAACACAAGCACTGCAATACCTTGACGGGAGCTCTGACAACTGAGGTGGCTACTGAGTGACTGAGGAGGAGGTACTGCATGGATATGCTGAACAAAGGGAGGATTCACATCCTGAGTGGACAGAGTAGGGTGGTGCAAGATTTCATCAGAAACTGCAGAAAACGAAACCTTGGATAAAGTGAGACTACTGTAACATCACATAGAGGCCTACGAAAGAGGTTTTGAGAGTCTCACCACATCAGTATTCCTGACGCTGCAAACAATGCCTTTTTATCACCAATATTATTCTCTGAAAAGGCCCTACTTGAGTTAAAAACTCACCACACTCACATTTCCTTATGGTACTAATCACAGTGGCAGAAGGGAACAAACAGCAGTTCAACACAATGCCAGGCACATGACAGTCAATCCTAGTTTAATTGTACCAGTTGTATGTCATCATACTTGAATTACAAATGAACCAAGTAAGCCTGAAATACCAAGTACAGCTGAAGATATGCTCAAATGCAATAAAAATGCAAAGTGTGTAGGCAGGCTAAGCTAGGAATTGCTTTCCAAGTTCCAGCACACTGAGCCATAGAGTAAAAAGGTATATTTAGGATATGCAAAAAGAAGTACAACCAAGCTCCAACTTCAGTTTGTGGCCCCAAATTAAATTCTAAGTTGCTTGAACTTACTCTGCAGTTCTACATAGAAATTTTTCTAAATGGTGGCTAGGGTCTTAAGCCAACTCCAACAACCCATTTAACCCATATACGGATAAATGGTAGCATTTATCGTAGCATTGCTAGCTAAAGTTCAGGGCTCCAAGATGTTATGCTCCATTATCTGCTCCTCTTGAATTAAATGTCCCCCTGGGTGATCGCAGCCACCTTCACTGGTTTAACCATCCATTACTCACCAATGACTCCAAGATCTGTACCTCACTTACCACCTGTTAAAAGCTCCAAACCCGTATTATGTAACATTTCACTGTTGATCGGACATTATGACCTGGAATACCCACCCACTTCAACAAGCTCCAAACTCAATTCATTATGTCCTGCTCTTCCCTCACTTTCTTGTACTTGCTCCTTTTCCTATTCACTTGTCCACCATGGTTAGAATCTTGTGGTCATCTCACACATTACCAATTACATGACACTGTGTATTTGAGGATGCTGTTTCTCTGCCTACAGTCATCCACTCCACCACCTTAGAGCCAGAAAAACTCTATTCTTCAAGACCCAGCTCAAATGTTATCTCCCCTCTGAAGACTGTCTGACCCCCTTGACTGCCACAACCCCAGAACAAGCAAAGTCAGTGTTCCCAAATCTGCTCTTTTAAAAGTGCTCCCATAACATATGATTCATTCTCTGATACTATACTTTCCTTGTTGGGGTCTCATGATTTGCTACACGTCTATTTCCTATGAAACTGTCAGCATTACCAGGCCAGGAACTACTGTCTTCCTAATGTTGTCTCCTACAGCCTAGTACTAAGACAGGGAAAACAGGTAGTACTAAGGTTGAGATACTGTCTCTGGAATCAGACAACCCAGGATGCAGGTCTTTATCTCTCTAAATACTCTTTTATCTCTCTAGTAAGTTCCTGGGACATATCTAATTATTATTTTATTTTATTTTTCCATAAGCTATTGGGGTACAGGTGCTGTTTGGTTACATGAGTAAGTTCTTTAGTGGTGATATGTGAGATTTTGGTGCACCCATCACCCGAACAGTATACACTGCACCATATTTGTAGTCTTTTATCCCTCACCCCCCCCACTCTTCCCCCAAGTTCCCAAAGTCCATCGTATCATTCTTATGCCTTTGCGTCCTCATAGCTTAGCTCTCACATACCAGTGAGAACACAGAATGTTTGGTTTTCCATTCCTAAGTTACTTCACTTAGAATAATTTCTCCAATCTCATCCAGGTCACTGCAAATGCTGTTAATTCATTCCTTTTTATGGCTGAGTGGTATTCCATTGTATATATATATATATACACCACAGCTTCTTTATCCACTTGTTGACTGATGGGCATTTGGGTTGGTTCCACGATTTTGCAATTGTGAATTGTGCTACTATAAACATGCATGTGCAAGTATCTTTTTCGAATAATGACTTCTTTTCCTCTGGGTAGATACCCAGTAGTGGGATTGCTGGATCAAACGGTAGTTCTATTTTTAGTTCTTTAAGGAATCTCCACACTGTTTTCCATAGTGGCTGTGTTAGTTTACATTCCCACCAACAGTGTAGAAGTGTTCCCTGATCACCGCATCCATGCCAACATCTACTGTTTTTTGATTTTTTTATTATGGCCATTCTCGCAGGAGTAACGTGGTATCGCATTGCGGTTTTGATGCATTTCCCTGATGATTAGTGATGGTGAACATTTTTTTCATATGTTTGTTGGCCATTTATGTATCCTCTTTTGATAACTGCCCATTCACGTCCTTAGCTCACTTTTTGACGGGATTGTTTTTTTTCTTACTGACATGAGTTGGCTGCAGATTCTGGATATTAGTCCTTTTGTCAGATGTATAGATTGTGAAGATTTTCTCCCACTCTGTGGGTTGTCTGTTTACTCTGCTGACTGTTCCTTTTGCCATGCAAAAGCTCTTTAGTTTAATTAGGTCCCAGCTATTTATCTTTGTTTTTATTGCATTTGTTTTTGGGTTCTTGGTCATGAAATCCTTGCCTAAGCCAATGTCTAGAAGGGTTTTTCCAATGTTATCTTCTATAATTAGTCCTTTCCCCACTTTATGTTTTTGTTTGCTTTGTCGAAGATCAATTGGCTGTTTAAGTATTTGGGTTTATTTCTGGGTTCTCTATTCTGTTCCACTGGTCTATGTGCCTATTTTTATAGTGGTACATGCTGTTTTAGTGACTATGGCCTTATAGTATAGTTTGAAGTGAGGTGGTGTGATGCCTCCAGATTTGTTTTTTTTTGCTTAGTTTTGCTTTGGCTATGTGGGCTCTTTTTTGGTTCTATATGAATTTTAGAATTTTTTTTTCTAACTGTGAAGAATAATGGTGGTATTTTGAAGGTGACTGCATTGAATTTGTAGGTTGCTTTTGGCAGTATGGTCATTTTCACAATATTGATTCCACCCATCCATGAGCATAGGATGTGTTTCCATTTGTTTGTGTCATCTATGATTTCTTTCAGCAGTGTTTTGTAGTTTTCCTGGTAGAGGACTTTCAACTCCTTTGTTAGGTATATTCCTGAGTATTTTACTTTATTTTTTTTGCAGCTGTTGTAAAAGTGGTTGAGTTCTTGATTTGATTCTCTGCTTGGTCACTGTAGATGCATAGAAGAGCTACTGATCTGTGTACATTCATCCAGTATCTTGAAACTTTGCTGAATTATATAATCAGTTCTAGCAGTTTTCTGGGGGAACACTTAGGGTTTGGAAATTAAATAACCTGCTCCTGAATGAGCTATGGGTCAAAAACAAAATCAAGATGGAAATTAAAAAATTCTTGAACTGAAAGACAATAATGACCCAACCTATCAAAACCTCTGGGATACAGCTAAGGTGGTGCTAAGAGGATAGTTCATTGCCCTAAATGCCTACATCAAAAATTCTGAAAGAGCACAAACAGACAATCTAAGGTCACAACTCAAGGAACTAGGGAACTAGAACAAACCAAACCCAAACCCAGCAGAAGAAAGGAAATAACCAAGATCAGAGCAGAACTAAATGAAATTGAAACAAACAAAAAATACAAAAGATAAATGAAACAAAAAGCTGGTTCTTTCAAAAGATAAATAAAATTGATAGACCACTAGCAAGATTAACCAAGAAAAGAAGAGAGAAAATCCAAATAACCTCACTAAGAAACAAAACAGGAGATAATACAGCTGAAACCACCAAAATACAAAAGATCACTCAAGGCTACAATGAACACCTTTATGCATATAAACTAGAAAACCTAGAAGAGATGGATAAATTCCTGGAAAAATACAACCCTCCTAGCTTAAATCAGGAAGAATTAGATACCCTGAACAGACCAATAACAAGGAGCGAGACTGAAATAGTAATTTAAAAATCACCAACGCAAAAAAGTCCAGAACCAGACAGATTCACAGCAGAATTCTACCAGGCATTCAAAGAAGAATTGGTACCAATTCTTTTGACACTATTCCACAAGATAGAGAAAAAAGGAACCTTCCCTAATCCATCCTATGAAGCCAGCATCATCCTAATACCAAAATCAGGAAAGGATACAACCAAAAAAGAAAGCTACAGACAAATATCCTTGATGAACATAGATGCTAAAATCCTTAACAAAACACTAGCTAAGTGAATCCAACAACATATCAAAAAGATAATCCACCATGATCAAGTGGGTTTCATACCAGGGATGCAGGGGTGGTTTAACACACGCAAGTCAATAAATGTGATATACCAGATAAACAGAATTAAAAACAAAAATCACATGACCATCTCAATACATGCGGAAAAAGCATTCGACAAAATCCAGCTTCCCTTTATGATTAAAACCCTCAGCAAAATCAGCATACAAGGGACATACGTTAATGTAATAAAAGCCATCTATGACAAACCCACAGCCAACATAATACTGAATGGGGAAAAGTTGAAAGCATTCTGAGAATGAGAACAAGAAAGGGATGCCCACTCTCAACACTCCTCTTCAACATAGTGCCAGAAGTCCTAGCCAGAGCAATCAGACAAAAGAGAAAGAGCATCCAAATCAGTAAAGAGGAAGTCAAACTGTTCTTGTTTGCTGATACGATCGTTTACCTTGGACATATCTAATTTAAAATAACAATATCCATTTTGTATATGCAATAAAACCTACCTTCTGTAAAAGTAACAATTTTCTGGTTCTGTTGCTGGATAACCACTTAAAATGAGGTTTTTTTTTTAATTATACTTTAAGTTCTAGCGCACAACGTGCAGGTTCGTTACATAGGTATACGTGTACCATGTTGGTTTGCTGCACCCATCAACTCGTCATTTACATTAGGTATTTCTCCTAATGCTATCCCTTCCCCACCACCCCACGACAGGCCTCGGGGTGTGATGTTCCCCGCCCTGTGTCCAAGTGTTCTCATAAAATGAGAATTTCTTCATTAGCTCTCAGAGGGGACAAAAGGAAGATACAGTTCCTCTAAAGAGTAGAGCCGTGCAATTAAATGTTTCAAGGGGATTTTCTACAATTCTATAGGTTGAGTCACATTTCTTAACATCAGCTCTCATTCTATGCTCTTAATTGCTATTGGGCTATTTTTTTCTACTTCTTTTTCATTTCTGTTGTGTGCTTTGTTTTGAATCCGATCCTCAGAACGAGAAAGAGGATAATTAGCCATATTTAAGCTATTTGATTGATATTGCATCTTACAGAGGGAGAATGATGATTAAAGTGTTTTTTTAAAAAATAGCAATACCAAGTAAAAAAATTGTTAAGGATATTTCTAGAAAGCATCACAGGACCAGTAACTCATTTTCACAGGATGTAAGCAACAGCTATCATTGATCTTAGGCTCTTTTGAAAATGCTTTAATAGGATTTTTTTTATTTCTTTGAATTACCACTTGAGGTCATTAATTTTGAGCATCAGAAAAAGAAGTCTTTTTTCATATTAATTTTACACTGACTTCTATTTCATAAAGTTCATGCTATGATAAAAGAAATTCTAGCAATTACAGTTGAAGATGCAGCTAGCAGCCAATGGAATCATCGAAGGTTTTATATGCCGGGACTGTGCTAATCACTTCATAAGCATCATTGCATCTAATCACAAAACATACAAGGTAGGCATTTTTATCTACTGAATGGGGAAGCAGATGTTCTGAGACTGACTTGTATAAGTCACACAGCTAAAAGGACTGAAAGATTGAAGCCCAGGTCTGACTGATCAACAATCTTATCATTAGCTTCTGGGTGAAGAGTACTGTTAAAGCCTAAAACCAAATGGAAGAAACCTTTTACTGTGAAGTTCACAAAATCAAATAAATGACTAGGTATTGGGTAGGGTGCAGTGAAGGAGGTGCTCTCATGTTGCTGGTGGGAGTATAAATGGATATATCCTTTCTGCAAAGGAATCTGGTAAAACTGTCATAAGCCTTAAAATATTTTCATCTCCTTTACCTGAAATTCTATTTTTTACTCTATCCTAGCCTACGGATATAATTTTTAAAATGTGGTCAAAGATTTATGTACAACTGACAGCATATTTTATTTAAAAAGAGTCCTTGTTGTTTATTATATATACGCATGTGCATATATACATGCAGATTAAATAACACAATGTCTGGAATTTGCTTCAAAATCATCTGGACCTGGGGAAGAGAAATGGATTGAAGCAGGATGATGGATATATGTAGGTTTCTCACACCCTATCTCCACATAAAAAGTATAAAAATATTATGTAAAAAGATGACTCCATCAAGCATTATTTATTATAGTGAAAAATATATTATGCTGTGGTATTCCATGACCCAAAACACTATGCAACCATTAAAAGAAATGTTTTTGAGAAAAATTTAGTAACACAGAAAATGCTTTCAGAATAACACAAGCAGGACACAAACTGATACAATTTCACTTCAATTATGTGAAGCGTTAAAGGGCGCACAGTGAAATGTTAATAGCAGGATTTTGATATCCTTTTTCTTCATATTCTTTTGCATTTTTCACAAATACTATTTATACTCGGAAAAAACTCAGTAGTTTACAGAGGACAACAGTCCATCTTTATCTGTAACAGGTTCCTAATTATTGCCACTGTCACAGATGAGTCACTGGTCTGATCAGCCAACTGAACCAATCTGACTAGGGTGGCAATTTTGGGTAAGAAGGTGTTTGGAAATCAAGTCATTGACTTCATAACTTAAGACTCTAATGCCTCTACTGCATAGCACAGTCATTTGTGTTTACGAGAGTTATTTCCATTGTCAAGGAGTGAGGGGGAAATTAACAGCTCTGCTTTATTTCTGTGAGTGCTTTGGAATTTTTTTCTTTTAACAAAATCTATTATGTCTTCACATAGTCATGCATTAAGTATTTACTAAGAGCCTGCTCTATGCCAGGCACCATGCTAGGCTTGGTTCAGAGACAAAAACAGCAAGGGGCATTCCCTTAAGGAAACTCAATTTAATGGGAAAGGCAGTGTCGAGAGTTATGGCATCACATAATAAAAGGTTGTGGAAGAGGTGAATTCAGGATGAACCCAGGCTGGGAGTCCACAGCCTGCCAGAAGGCACTTGCTGTTAAGAATTGTTATTTAGGAATTAAACTTGTAAGTACAGCATAAATGGCATGGTCCGAGCATGGTGGCTCATGCCTGTAATCGCAGCACTTTGAGAGGCCGAGGTGGGCGGATCACCTGAGGTTAGGAGTTCGAGACCAGCCTGGCCAACACAGTGAAAACCCGTCTCGTCTCTACTAAAAATAGAAAAAAATTAGCTGGGTGTGATGGCTCGTGCCTGTAATCCCAGCTACTCAGGAGGCTGAGGCAGGAGAATCACTTGAATCTGGGAGAGATGGAGGTTGCAGTGAGCCAAGATCACATCACTGCACTTCAGCCTGGACGACAAAGCAAAACTCTCTCGAACTTAAAAAAAAAAAAAAAAAAGACATGGTCATTTTCTTCACACAATTTCGATTTTTATCACTCTACCCTTAATTTCAGCCTTTTATAATATCGTATGATTTTGTCGAATAGTCTAACTGGTGGGTCAAGAACGGACTTTCACCTTCAGATCCTACATGTTTCCTTCACTGTGTACAGACTTTTCCCCTGAGATATATGATCATCACAACCTTCCCTGTTCCACTGCCTGCAAGCTGCATCTTCAACTGTAATTGCTAGAATTTGTCTTTATCATAGCATGAACTTTATGAAACACAAGGCAGTTAGAGCCAGTATGAAAAAATACAACTTTTCTTTCTCTGGTGCTCAAAAATAATGGCCTCAAATGGCAATTAAAAAAATCTTATTAGAAGCATTTTTTAAAAGCATGTAAGATCAATGATAGCTATTGCTTACATCCTGTGAAAATGAGTTGCTGATCTGGCCATGTTTTCTAGAAATATCCTTAAAGATATTTTTACATGGTATTGTTGTTAAAACAAAAACAATCCACTTTAATCATTATTTCCCCATCTGTAAGATGCAATATTAATCAATAGCTTAAATTAACAGATAATTATTTTCTTTCATGTTCTGAGGATCTGATTTGAAACAAAGCACATAGCAGAAACAAAATAGAAAAAAATAGCCCAATAGCAATTAAGAGCATAGAAATCAATTCCCAGCTGGACTGTGGAGTTGAATTGGAAAGGCAAAACATAAAGTTCTGAAGATAACACAGAAGTTACATGAGCTTAAGGTAAGCAATGTTTTTCTTGAACAGAACACAAAAACATTACACCTTAATCAATGTAAGTTGGACTTCATAAAGTCCAATTATGCAATTATAAAAATAAAAAAGTTATGTTCCTTAAAAGACCCTCTGTTCAATTAGACACCATTTATACAACAAAAACCAACTCCAGATGCAAAACCAGATAAATTTGACTACATTAAAAACAAACTGTTGCACTGCAAAAAAAGTCACCATAAGCAAAATAAAAATACAAACAAGAAGTTGGGAAAAAATTTTACAATATATTATAGACAAAGGGTTAATATCTAATATTTAAAAAATACTTTTTATATCGAGTGAAGAAAAAGGGGACTAGACATTCTAGAAAAATGAGTAAGATACACGAACAAGCAATTCACCGAAAATGGGTGTAAAAATGTGCCTTAAGCATATTTTTGCAAATTCAACTTAATTCATAAGAGAAATGCAAATTATAATTACACTAAGATGCCATTTCTTGTCCATCAGTTTGGCAAACAATCAAAAATCTGACGACAATACATTCTTCTGATGGTGAGGCTATAGAGAAATAGGTAGTCCACATATTGTTGGTGGGAATACCACTTTTATAAAAAGGAACTTGGCAACACCTAACAAAACTACATGTACATTTACTCTTTTACCGAATAATCACATTTCCAGGAATTTACTCTGAAGATAACACTTCTAAAAATTTTAAAATACTAGTATTAGTATTGCAGTATTAAAAATACTAGTATTAGCATTGCAGTATTATTTGTAATTGTAAATATCAGAACTACCAAAAGGCACAAATATAGGAGGACAGAATCCACTATGGCATTTAAACTCAATGGAGTACCATGAGGCTATAAAAAAGGAAGATCTCCATAAAATGACATGGAGTAGTTTGTAGGACAAAAAACTCCATTTGTTCAGACAAAAAGAGTATATATAGCATAAAACCTTTTATGTAAGAAAATAGGGGACATGAAAAAATGTACAAATTTGCATATTTTGGTGAAAAGAATAAACAAAAATGAAATTGGTTACCTACAATGGGTGGGGCAAAAAGGGATGAAAGGAATAGGGAAGGGAGTAAGACTTGAGTGTGCATTTGAATGATTTAGACTTCAGGAAGCACGTTGATACTCTACATATTCACAGAATAAAACTAAACCTAGACTAGAGGGAAAAACATGCTATATAAGGAAAGTATTGGAACAAATAAAAAAATTGGAAAATGGACTGTAGATTAACAGTATGGTGGTTATAAAAGGATATTCTTGTTCCTAGGGAACATACAATGAAGTATTAAAGAGTAAAGGAACATGACATTCCAACCTAGTGTCAAAAGATTGAGAAATTTTATGTGTGTGTTCACATTTGACATGAAAATATATGTATATAACATATACATATATGCACATATAGAATTTTTTTAATGACAAAATGTCAAAAATTGGTTAATCTGAATAAACTATAAAAAGTTATCCATTATTCTTGCAACTTTCTGTAAAGTTGATACTCTTTCAAGTTTTAAAAATATGATCTGGACTTAAAACTACTAAAAACCTCAGAAATCAGTACTGGAATGACAAACCACTAGAAACTTTCAGGATACCTATGATGGGTTTATTTATTTATCTCATCGTTTATGGTAAAACACTTTAATGAGTGTAAAATGGATGCCTTCATTTCCAGACTACCCAAGAACCAACGGAAATGCAGTTGGGCCTCTCAGCCTATTAAGCAATGGCCTTTTGCCTCTAGCAAAATGTACTCAAAGTCAGATATACCATCCCATCAGTTCAAATGCACTAACAGGTAGACTGCAGTTATAAGCTTCTATGTAGAAAATTCTGATTTTTACATAAAATATAAACACGAAACACTTGGTACTGATATTGAACAGGCACTGTGATCAAGGGTACTTATGCACTAGTTTTGGGTATTTGTACATGAACCATCTTGACTACACAGTGGCTCAGAGGCAGAACAAAGTTTGCATGGGCCAACCAGCCTAATATCCATTAAACCTCTTTTGTTAATCAGCCATAATGTGCAAAAGCCAGCCAAGAGCCCTTTAAAAATCACTTTACCACTTTTAATGTCAAGGCACCACAGATTAAATATCCTTTTATTTGACTCAAACTGAACAATAACATTTAAAACACACAACGGGAAGCAGCGCAGTTATCTCTCAAAATAGACAATGATGGTTTAATTAAGAGGTTGATAAAGCATATGTAGAAAAGTCAGAATGTCAAAATAAGTACCAAGGAGAACATATACTTTGAAAAGGGGGCTAAAACATGTAGCTATACAATCTGGGGTTCTTATCGATTGATGGATAGATTGATTGAGACAGAGTCTTGCTCTGTTGCCCAGGCTGGAGTGCAATGGCGTGATATCAGCTCACCGTGACCTCCAACTCCCAGGTTCAAGCAATTCTCCTGCCTCAGCCTCCTGAGTAGTTGGGATTACAGGCGCCCACCACCATGCCTGGCTAATTTTTGTATTTTTAGTAGAGTCGGGGTTTCGCCATGTTGGCCCTGCTGGTCTCGAACTCCTGACCTCAGGTGATCCGCCTGCTTTGGCCTCCCAAAGTGCTAGGATCACAGGCGTGAGCCACCGTGCCCGGTGCTGGGATTCTAATTCAACAATTTTTCTTGGTAGTCTTGCCAACAGTAATTGGAGAAACGTGTTCCTAATTGTCGGTGGGGAGAGGATTAAAGGTAAGCACACACATTTTAATACACATTCAATGTCTGAATTTGAAGAATAAAAATGCATTGCTTTCACCACTTAAAAAGAGCTAAAATCAGATCCAGTTATTTGACACAGCAAAGACATACAAATGTACATGGCAACAGCAAGTTATATAAGCTGGTTCTTTAGATCAAACTAAAATTCTAGTATTTTCTGACCAAACTAAGTTCAAAAGTACTAAAAGAAAATGAAACAGGCAAATGATGAAATGTGGATCTTTTTCATTCAAGAATATGGAAACTCATTGGACTGAAAAACCCAAATCTTCATTATACCAAACTTCTATAATGATCTTAATGGTAGTTAGCTTTAAAAAAACACAAAATAGGCTGGGCGTGGTGGCTCAGGCCTGTAATCCCAGCACTTTGGGAGGCTGAGGTGGGTGGATCACAAGGTCAGGAGATCGAGACCATCCTGGCTAACACAGAAAAACCCTGTCTCTACTAAAAATACAAAAAAAAAAAAAAAAAAATTAGCCAGGCGTGGTGGTGGGCGCCTGTAGTCCCAGCTACTTGGGAGGCTGAGGCAGGAGAATGGCGTGGAGCTTGCAGTGAGCCGAAATGGTGCCCCTGCCCTCCAGCCTGGGCAAGAGTGCGAGACTCCGTCTCAAAAAAAAAAAACAAAAAAAACCCAAAATACTATGAATTAAATTTATGACAGATACAAAAAGGACATCAGATTTCTTTGGGGGAAAGTCGCTTTTAAATTCTATATTTCCAAAAAAGATATTTTACATTTAGATACTTTTTTTTTTTTTGAGATTGAGTTTCACTCTTGTTGCCCAGGCTGCAGTGCAATGGCACAATCTCGGCTCACTGCAACCTCTGCCTCCTGGGTTCAAGCGATTCTCCTGCCTCAGCCTCCTGAGTAGCTAAGATTACAGGCACACACCACCATGCCCAGCTAATCTTTTGTATTTTTAGTAGAGACGAGGTTTCACCATGTTGGCCAGGCTGGTCTCAAACTCCTGACCTCAGGTGAACCCCCTCCTCGGCCTCCCAAAGTGCTGGGATTAAAGGCATGAGCCACTGCACCCAGCCCATTGAGATACTTTTTTACTCAGTTTTTTTCTAAGAATGGATTTTCCTCTTTATGAAAACAAAATATTCCTTTTCTTTATAAAACTTTATAGGCAAATTTATCAAGCTGGTAAATTCCATAACAGGCTGAACCAAATGAAATACCTAAGTAAAGCAAATTACATGATTAGAAGGCTAATTATGGTATTACTGCATAGGTTTAGTATTAATGCATATGTTCTAAGTTTATTGCAACTACACTAACTTCGTAATTTTAGATTTGCAGTTGCATCCTCCTAACTGCGTCTAATGGCAGAAGCACCACCTTGTGGCAAAAGTAGGAGCTTTTAAATTACAGAAGTTAGGGCTTGTTACCCAGAAAGGAGAAAACAATATAATGGGCATCCAGGACACTGCGCTATTTCTTGACCTGTAGAGGGATTCCATCAGTGCTCAATTTATAATTATTTATTCAACCATATGACTTTTCTGTATTTATTGTATTTCCTACTTTTAAAAGTTTGGGAAAAAAGTCTTTTACATACCTGAATTAAAGGTCACATTCCTAAATGCTTGAATTTTCTAAGCACCACTTATATTTTCAAGAATTTCCTAGAACTTCGAGGAATCTTTAACCTTGTAAATGCACTGTTGTATTTTTATGATAGGAAATAAAACACCAGAAAGACACTTATTCTTTGGTAAGTAACAGAAGAATTCCCTACAGATGTCTTCCTCTGAATGTTTTCATTCCTGCTCTCCCAAAGCCTCCAAGAGCAAATGCAGCTGCTTTCAAATCATCTGAAAGACTTCTACATTCCTATACCAACAGGTCTGAAAATTGTTAGAAACAAAAAACAAAACTCCCCTAAAACCAACAGATTTTGCAGGATCAATATAAAATATTAAGGATATATAGCACATTTAACTATGTAACAATATTCAATCAAAAAAAGGTTTCCCTGTCACGTTTTATTTACCATATTTTCAGGGCTTGATACATAGTATTCACAAAATGACCTGAATTAGCTGGAGAGATTTATCACCCTCTGTAACTGCTATGTCATCACTTTCCTTAGCGGTGAACTGAATCGCATTTAGTACCTCTTTTCACAGCCAAGAGCAATTTTTTTTTTTTTAAGGAAAAAAACTTTATTCCTTTTTTCCTAGGAACTTGTCAGGATACTTTAGTGACCATTCCCTCACTATAACTCTCACCCAGACCCACCTAACTGATGCATGAGAAGAGCCACTAGCTGATGTGGCCCACAGCTCAGACTGAGCCAGCATGGCTTGTGCAGGGGTAGGTAGCACAGCATCATCCAGACACTGCCTCCCCTGGTAGCTTCCATTACATCATGGACAGCACTGCTCTTCCCTGACTTAACCTTCTGCTTTGTTCAAATACTAGAAATATTAGATTTCAAGTTCAATAAAGATGTGGGCAGATCTGCCTAAGAATATTTCACAGGACAATGCCTTCCACTGAGTTAATGTTACTTGCTCAAATAACCCTTATGCTCAAGTTAGGTACAGAAAAAATATTTTTAAGAAAGTCAATAGAATGTTATATTGCAAGTTTTGACTTAGGCCTCTTCAAAAGTGCTATATGAGGCAGCCACTAACCAAGTGTCTGTCTCTTATAATTTGACACATTCCAGGTATGACTATTCTAATGGTCATGAGTATCACTGAGTCAAGTATTTGTTTCTACCTATGAAGAAATGTCGGGCCATTGTACTCCCAAGATGTATAACTTGAATTTTAAAGTAAAGCTGTCGCATAAAACTAGAAGAAGGAATAATCTCAGGGATCTTTTTACAGAGGATTATAAAGAATGGGATTATTTAACTTAAATCTGAAGATGTCTAATTCTTATTTCTCCCCGAAAACAAGTAAAAAATAGAAGCTTAACATGGGCTACTAAGATTTCTGGAATTGCCCATTCAGAAATGTATCACAGGAACCAAAGTTGAGATAAAATATTGTTAATGAGAAATCCTGGCATTGACATTCCACATTAAATATATTTCTATACTTTACTGTAAGGTTCAACTGACCACTCTACCTAAAACAAATTCTTCAATATTTTCAAGATGTAGTTTAAAACAATTTTTAACCCGTTTCCTCCTAGAACTAGGCACGCATATATGTATGAAAGAGAAGAAAAAGCAAAGGAGAAAGGAAGAGTGGGGAACGGGGGGGAGAGGGAGAGAGAGAGAGAGAGAGAGAGAGAGAGAACACCATTAAGGATACAGAATAATAAAGGAAATTACTACCACTTAATGGGAACACAATCTTTTGAAATCTTTGCTACAACTGGAATAAAAAACTCAGTAATTCTGAAAGGTTATTCTACTCTTTTAAATAAAAACATATCTGTTCAAACTATTAGGTACTTCTAATCATTTAGTCTTATAAGAAGCATTGGAAAAAAACATACATAGTAACAAACAGTGAATTTAGACATAGGTTCGCATAAATTGTTTTACTTTCAGAAAACCCAGAACCTCTAGGAAATTACTAAAATTATGAAGAAGTTAAATTTTATAAGCTCTTTCCCTCAACT
Source organism: Homo sapiens (assembly GCF_000001405.40). Lineage (NCBI taxonomy): Eukaryota > Metazoa > Chordata > Mammalia > Primates > Hominidae > Homo > Homo sapiens. Next base: position 94,419,825 of record NC_000011.10, read on the forward strand.
TTGGCTAAATGTAACCATATTAAAATACTGACATAGTTTTTCATTATGAAATAGAAATGTAAAATGGTAGCTTTATTTTAATCTTTACTCAAGAGTGATATTGAAACAAAGCTCTTACTACAACAACCAGGTTAAAAAAACAAGGTGAATCAATGCTATTGTATGTCTGTGAACTAGAAATTTCTTACTTATGGAGTTATGCTCAGGAAACAATACTTAAAATCTTAAACTGTAAACTCTTAGCTTGTAACATTTTCATTTTTCCTGTATCTTGCATGTTTCTCAGTGCCATTAAATATATTATCTTCTATTTCTTCTTAAAGAACTAGTGTTCATAAAAGGATCATCATCATCATCCTGAAATGAGATACAAATGTTGTATTAGTGATTGTTCCCTGCTTCACTGAAACAAGACAGAAGTTCTTATGGGCAAAACAATACCAGTGAGAGTCATTTCACATGGGATAGACTTTATTTTTCTATTTCCTTTATAACTGCAAAATATATTAAGTACAATTAAATTCTTAATGAGCATTAAAATGAAAATTTATCCTGCTGTGTGTGCATGTATCTACAATATAAACCACACACATTTCCCTTACTAACCTTAATAAAGATAAATGAAGTATAGGTAAGCCAGAAAAATAATTCAAGTCATTTTATATTTGGTTTTTGAATATATTTTCTCATTTACATTTTATTACAGTTGTATCTACTCTTCTGGAAATTCACAGCGAAAAAATAATGAAGCCACATGGAGATCCAACTCAGAAACAGCTGTAATTTTATTTCCCATTACCATTTAATACTAGAAATAGCTAGCTACTCTCACACTTATGCAAAAAACAACCTAGCAAAGCAAGCTTTCAAATAGTTTTTTGGATAAAAAAAGAAATACATGCAGTTATTTCAAGAGTTCCCATGCTGGCCGGGCGCGGTGGCTCACGCCTGTAATCCCAGCACTTTGGAAGGCCGAGGCGGGTGGATCACGAGGTCAGGAGATCGAGACCATCCTGGCTAGCACGGTGAAACCCCGTCTCTACTAGAAATACAAAAAATTGGCCGGGTGTGGTGGCGGGCGCCTGTAGTCCCAGCTACTCGGGAGGCTGAGGCAGGAGAATGGCGTGAAACTGGGAGGCAGAGCTTACAGTGAGCTGAGATCGTGCCACTGCACTCCAGCCTCGGCGACAGAGCGAGAGACTCCATCTCAAAAAAAAAAAAGAGTTCCCATGCTATTGGGCTATAGATTGTATGCATGGTAAGAATAAATAGGAATATCAGATATTAACTAATAATTTAATTAAAGAGAATGAAAACAAACCTCAGATAAGCCCAATTATATAATTTTATGAAGATAAAACCAATTCTTACGTATTCTATAAATATTCAGAAAATAAAGCAAATTTGTTTATAAGTTTTTTATTTGTGTTTAAGACATTAAAAGAAATTAAAAGAAATTATTTGATGCTAGGCTTTGTTGGTGGTATCAGCACTTCCAAATGTTAGCTAAATTAACTATCTCTGATGAGTAATGGATGCCTTAAGAAATATAAATTCATTTTCATTTATTGATTCATTTTCTGCTGCTATCAAAGACAAAACTTAAATAAACCAGAGACAAATCCAAATGAAGTCTAATAGATAATTTGCTAATAGTTTGTCTTTGCAGTTAACATGAACTAGTATACAAATTTTTAACTGTAACATATAACCGCATATATATCCAGATGTTTTGGAATAAACAATAATTGCTCACTTCCCTCCTGGAAGCAACATGTTAGTATTTAATAGGTAGAATGAGCTCTTGCTGCCATTTTTCTTGGCAGCCTGAGTTGAGTCCTCTCAAGCTGTTTTAAACCACAGCTTAAATACAGGGAACATGGCAGCAGCAGCCAAAGCTAAAAATGAAAGGTGTAAGTCACAGGCTACAACGTAGATAAACCTTCAGGTACTTACGCTATGTGAAATAAGCCAGTCACAAAAAGGCAAATACTATATGATTCTACTTCTATGAAGTACCTAGAGTAGTTGAATTCATAGAAAGAGAAAGTGGAATGGTAGTTACCAGGGGATGAAGAAGGGGAAACAGAGACTTGTTATTTCAGGGATATAGATTTTCAGTTTTGCAAAATGAAAAAGTGCTGAAGATCTGTTTAATATGGATCTATTTAACACTACTGAACTGTACACTTAATAATGGTTAGTTTTATGTTATGCTTTTGCTACAATTAACAATTTTTTAAATAAAAAAATAAATGAAAGGGGTCATGGGCCTAAGAGAAACACTTTCAAGCAAATCAACAAAAACTAGCAAAGGCCCTTCAAATGGCAGCCTTGAAGGAAAGGGGAAGGGCAGTATCCTTCAGTCATGTAGTTTTATTTAAACTTAATTGAAACAGCAAATTAATAAAGGCAAGAGGTAAGTCCTGACTTATAACTCTTCCTCTTCCTCCTCCTCCTCATTCATGGTGGGGAGATTTCATGGTTGCAGACGCGATCTGGAACTGGAGTTTTTTCCAGACATCCTCCCAGAGAACATTTCGGACAATGCCTGAATACCTGTATGTCATGAAATCACCACCATGCGCCACCCTCTACATGACACATGTAGAGCATATAGTGAGTACTTAATAAATATTCATTAAAGTAATATTAAAAGCTCTTGGGATATCATCATCATCATCATCATTTCTCCAAATATAAGTAAATGGTAGAAGCTAAAAAAAATTCCGATCCCACTGTTAACTGGGCAAATAAGAACTGAGTGAATATCATATTTTAAAAATCTACAGGACTTTTATATCTGAGGTATTACACTGATGGGCACTCAACATATGTTACTTGTTAACTCTTAACATTAACTATAGTTCAAAGGAAGGTTATCAATGAAACTATTTTTTTTTTTTGAGATGGAGTTTCGCTCGTGTTGCCCAGGCTGGAGTGCAATGGTGCAATCTTGGCTCACTGCAACCTCCACTTCCCAGGTTCAAGCGATTCTCCTGCCTCAGCCTCCTGAGTAGGTGGGATTACAGGCATGTGCCACCATGTCCGGCTAATTTTGTATTTTCAGTAGAGACGGGGTTTCTCCATGTTGGTCAGGCTGGTCATGAACTCCCGACCTCAGGTGATCCGCCTGCCTCAGCCTTCCAAAGTGCTGGGATTACAGGCATGAGCTACCGCGCCCAGCCTGAAACTATTTTTAAAAATAATTTTTAGTGGAAGAAGGACAAGATGGCCAACTAGACAGGGCCAAGAAGCACCACTGCCACTAATAAAGACCAAAATATCGAGTAAGCCAACATATTTTGAGCAGATCTTTGGAGAAAAAGCACCAAGAGCTGATAGAGAGGTGATACAAACTGGAAGCTGAAGAGGGAGGAAGCTGGTAACCTTGTGGGGGTTGCCCAATGCCAGGGCTGGTTCTTGGCCTTGAAAGGCTCCTAGAAAGGGGTGAGTGAATGGATGATGGGGCAGCACACTCTCACTATGGACCTCAGAGATCCTAGCTACAAGATTCCATGCCCCCTGGAGACGTTTCAACTGGCAGGGGGATTGGCCCAAACAGTAGGCAGAGACAGAGCTCCAGAATACATGGAGCCCAGGGGTTTTCATATCTAAGGCAGCTGCAGCAGAAGGTGGCCATAGGCGCCCATCCCCTAAGACTTCTTATTTCCCCTGGAGTAGGACTAGCCCCACCTGAATGCTGGGGCAGGCCAGCCTGGGGCCAGCTTCCCTGTGGGACAGAGGAACATCTGTTCTGCAGGCCCTCCTCCCCTACAGCCCCTTCCAGGGCCCCTGCCAAGCTGCCCTGCAGGAATGTGTGCACAGGGCAGCCTCTGCTGCCTAGCCTTGTTTTTTGCTGGTGGTTCCACCTGAGTACCTTCCTGGCAGCCTGGGAGCATTTCAGATTCCCCAGCACAGCTGGTGCCTGACCCTGAGGGTCCAGACGATGGAGCCACAGGCTGGTCCCAGTGCTACAGGGCTACAGCACACAGCTGGGGCTGTCGAGCTAAGAGCTGGGGCTGGCACTCAAGTAGGGGAGAAATCCCACTTTCAGAACACTGAAAGGAGTGAGACACGTGGGTTCGTGGGCCAGTGCAGGAATGGGACATGCCTTCCTCCACAGTGCTGGTCTGGGAAGGGTGTGGCCTGTCTGGCAGCCATGGCCTCTGTCTAAGGGAGCCCTGCAACCCAAGACACCAAACAACAGTAATGCAGGTACAGTGCCAGTGATAGGAGGGACCTCACCCATGGTCCAGGAGTGGCCCTTATGAGTGGTCATCTCTCTCCCCAACCCCACCACAGAGCACGGCTGTGAACACACAGAAATACAAAAGAACTATGCAGCTGAGTAAGAGCCTATCCACTGGACACTAATGTTAAATGCCAGCTACTGGATCACAGCCAAAATTACAACACCAAAATAATTCTGCCAATATACATCTCTGTGACACCCAGGGCAAGAATCTAGGCACAGTAAAGATCTATATAGAGCTGTGGCCCTCTGAAAGCACCCAGAAACAAGGCCAGTTGACTATACTCGACTTACACTGCAGTTAAAGGAACAATAGCCCTCTAACATGAGAAAGAATCAGTGCAAGAATTCTGGCAATTCAAAAAGCCAGAATGTCCCCTTACCTCCAAATGAGCCTGCTAGCTCACCAACAATAGTTCTTAACCAGATTGAAGTTACTGAAAGACAGACATACAATTTAGAATCTGGATGGCAGGGAAGCTCATCAAGATTCAGGAGAAAGTTAAAACCCAATCCAATGAATCCAGTAAAACAATTTTACAAAGGTAAAATAGCCATTTTAAGAAAGAACCATACTGAACTTCTGGAATTGAAAATTTCACTACAAGGATTTCATAATACAACTGAAAGTATTAACAACATAACAGACCAAACTGAGGAAAGAATCTCAGAGCTTCAAAACCAGTTCTTCAAATCTACTTGGTCAGAGAAAAATAAAGGAAAAAGAATGAAGAAGAATGGAAAAAAAAAACCTCTGAGAAATATGAGATTATGTAAAGAGGCAAAACCTATGACTCATTGGCATTCCTGAGAGAGAAGAGAGAATAAGCAATATGGAAAACATATTCGAGGATACAGTCCAGAAAAATTTCTCCAATCGTGCTAGAAAGGTTGACATGCAAATTAAGAAATACAGAGAATTCCTATCAGACATTATATAAGATGACCATCCCCAAGGCACAGTCATGAGATTCACCAAGGTCAACATGAAAGAAAAGATCTTAAAGGCAGCTAGACAGAAGGGTCAGGTCACTTACAAAGGGAACCCCATCAGGCTACCAGCGGACATCTCGGCAGAAACCTTACAAGCCAGAAGAGACTGGGGACCTATTTTCTGCATCCTTAAAGAAAAAAGAAATTCTAACCAAGAATTTCATATCCCACCAAACTAAGCTTCATAAGCAAAGGAGAAATAAAATCCTTCTCAGGCAAGCAAATGCTGAGGAATTCATTACAACTAGATCAGCCTTACAAGAGGTCCTTAATAGAGTGCTAAACATGGAAACAAAAAACCACCACCTACTACCACAAAAACACACTTAAGGACATAGCTTAGAGACACTATAAAGCAACTACATAATCAAGTCTACAAAACAACCAGCTAACAATACGATGGCAGGATCGAAATCTCATATATCAATACTAACTCTGAATATAAATTGTCTAAATGTCACTACTTAAAAGGAATACAGTGGCAAGTTGGATAAAAGGACAAGACCTGACTGCTGTCATCAAGAGACCCATTTCACATGTAATGACACACACAGGCTCAAAGTAAAGGGATGGAGAAAGATCTAACATGCAAATGAAAAACAAAAAAGGGCAGGAGTCACAATTCTTTTATCAGATATAGCCGATTTTAAACCAACCAACAGTAAAAAGGGACAAAGAAAGGTATTATATAATGATAAACGGTTTGATTCAACAGGAAGACCTAACTATGCCAAATATATACATGCCCAGATTCATAAATCAAGTTCTGCTTAACCTAAAAAAAGACTCAGACAGCAACAGAGTAATAGTGGGAGGCTTCAACACCCCACTGACAGTGTTAGAAAGAACATCCAGGCAGAAAACTAACAAATTCAGGACTTAAACTTGACACTTGACCAATCAGACCTAATTGAAAGCTACAAAATACTTCATCCAGTAACTGCAGGATACAAATTCTTCCCATCTACACACAGAACATATTCTAAGATAGATCACGTGTTCAGTCAAAGTAAGTCTAAATAAATTCAAAAAAATCAAAATCATACCAAGTATACTCTTGGACTACAGTGCAATAAAAAGAGATATCAATATTAAGAAGATCTCTCAAAACTACACAAATACATGGAACTTAAACAATTTATTCCTGGATAACTCCTGGGTCAATAATGAAATTAAGGCAGAAATAAAAAAATTCTTTGAAATTAATAAAAATTCATTCATTAATTAATGAAATTAATTTCATTAATGAAAATAAAAATAGAATCACAACTTACAAAATCTTAGGGATGCAGCTAAAACTGTTAAAAGGAAAGCTTACAGAACTAAATGTCTTCATTAAGAGAATCAAATTAACAATTTGTTAATTTAAATCAAATTAACAATTTGTTAATTTAAATCAAATTAACAATTTAACATTGTACCTGGAGGAACTAGAAATAAAAGAACAAACCAGCCCCCAAATTAGCAGAAGAAAAGAAATAAATTAGAGAAGAACTGAACAAAACTGAGATGCAAAAATCCATACCAAAGATCAATGAAATCAAGAATTGGTTCTTTAAAATAATAAACAAAATTGATAGGCTGCTAGCTAGATTAACAAAGGAAAAAGAGAAGATCCAACTAAGTACAATCAGAAATGACAAAGATGACATTACAATTGACCCCACAGAAATACAAAAGATCTTTAGAGACTACTATGAATAACTATTCACACACATTAGAAAATCTAGAGGAAATGGATAAATCCCTCTAAACACACAACCTCCCAAGATTGAACCAGGAAGAAAGTGAAAACCTGAACAGACCAATAATAAATTCTGAAATTAATCAGTAATAAAAAACTGACCAACCAAAAAAGCCCTAGACTACATGGATTCACAGCCATATTCTATCAGACATACAAAGAACTGGTACCAATCCTACAGAAATTATTCCAAAAAAATCAAGGGAGGCTCCTCCCTAACTCATTCTACGAAGCCAGCATCAGCCTGATACCAAAATCTGGCAGAGACACAACAAAACAAAGAAAACTTCAGTCCAATATCCCTGATGAACACAGATGTAAAAATCCTCAAGAAACTAGCAAACCAAATCTAGCAGCACATCAAAAAGTTAATATACCATGATCAAGTATGCTTTATTCTTGGGATACAAGGTTGATTCAACATATGCAAATCCATAAATGTGACTCACCACAAAAGCAGAATTAAAAACAAAAACGATATGATCACTTCAACAGACACAGAGAAAGCTTTTGATAAAATCCAACATCCCTTCATGATAAAAACCCTCAACAGACTAGGCACTGAAGGAATATACCTCAAAATAATAAGAGCCAGCTATGAAAATCCACAACCAACATCATGCTGAACAAGCAAAAGCTAGAACCATTCTCCCTGAGAACTGGAAAAAGATAAGAATGCCCACTCTCACCACTCCTATTCAACATAGTACTGGAAGTCCTAGCCAGAGCAATCAGGCAAGAGAAAGAAAGAAAAGACATCCAAACAGGAAAAGAAGTCAAACTCTCTCTTTGCTGACGATATGATTCTGTACCTGGAAAACCCTAAAGACCCTGCCAAAAGGCTCCTAGAACTGATAAACGACTTCAGCAAAGTTTCAGAATAAAAAAAAAAAGTGTACAAAAGTCAGTAGCATTTCTATACACCAATAACGTTCAAGCTGAGAGTCAAATCAAGAACAACACAATCCCATTTACAATAGCTACAAAGAAAATTAAATACATAGCTATATAGCTAACCAAGGAGGTGAAAGATCTCTACAAGGAGAACTATGAAACACTGCTGAAAGAAATCACAGATAACACAAACGCAAAAACATTCCATGCTTAGGAACTGGAAGAATCAGTATCATTAAAATGACCATACTGCCCAGTGCTACCTACAGATTCAACGCTATCCCTATCAAACTACCAACGTCATTTTTCACAGAAATTAGAAGAAAACTATTCTAAAATTCACATGGAACCAAAGAAGAACCCAAATAGACAAAGCAACCCTAAGCAAAAAGAACAAAGCCAGAAGTATAACACTACCCAACTTTGAACTATATTATAAGGCTACAGTAACCAAAACAATATGGTACTGGTACAAGGACAGACACACAGACCAATGGAACAGAACAGAGAACTCAGAAATAAAGCTGCACATCTACAGCCATCTGATCTTTGACAATGCTGACAAAAACAAGCAATGGAGAAAGGACTCCCTATTCAATAAATGGTGCTAGGATAACCGGCTAGCAATGTGCAGAAGAAAATGGATCCCTACCTTTCACCATATACAAAAATTAACTCAAGATGAATTAAAGATTTAATAGTAAGACCTCATACTATAATAATCCTAGAAGAAAACCAAGAAAATACCCTTCTCAACACTGGCCTTGGCAAATAATTTTTGGCTAAGTCCCCAAAAGCAACTGCAAGAAAAATACAAATGGACAAGTAGGACCTCATTAAACTAAAGAGCTTCTGCACAGTAAAACTATCAGGCTGGGCACAGTGGCTCACACCTGTAATCCCAGCACTTTGGGAGGCCGAGGCAGGTGGATCATAAGGTCAGGAGTTTGAGACCAGCCTGGCCAACATGGTGAAACCCTGTCTGTACTAAAGATTCAAAAAATTAGCTAGGCGTGGTGATGCGCACCTGTAATCCCAGCTACTCGGGAGGCTGAGGCAGGAGAATCGCTTGAACCCGGGAGGCGGAGATTGCAGTGAGCTGAGGTCACACCATTGCACTCCAGCCCAGGCAACAAGAGCGAAACTCCATGTCAAAAAAAAAAGAGAAAAGAAACTATCAACAGAGTAAACAAAAAGCCTACAGAATGGGAGAAAATATTCACAAAATACGTATCCAACAAAGGTCTAATATCAAGACTCTAAAAGGAATGTAAATAAATCAGTAAGGAAAAATCAAATAACTGCATCAGAAAATGGGCAAAGGACATGAACAGGCACATTACAAAGAAGAAGACACACAAAGCAGCCAACAAACAAAAAGTGCTTATCATCACTAATCATCGGAGAAATGTAAATCAAAACCACAATGATACCATTTCATACCAGTCAGAATGGCTATTACTAAAAAGTCAAAAGACAACAGATGCTAGTGAGGTTGTCAGAAAAGGGAATGCTTATACATTGTTGGAATGTAAATTCATTCAGCCATTATAAGCCATTTGGAAATTTCTCAAAGAACTTAAAACAGAGCTACGATTTGACCCAGCAATCCCATTACTGGCTATATAACCAAAGGAAAAGAAATCATTCTACCAAAAAGACACATACACTCATGTTTACTGCAGCACTTACTCACAGTAGCAAAGACATGGAATCAACTTAAGTGCCCATCAATACGGATTGGATAAAGAAAATGGTGGTACATATGTAACATGGAACACTATGCAGCCATAAAAAGAACAAAATTATGTCCTTTGCAGCTGGAGGCCACTATCCTAAGCAAATTAACAGGAACAGAAAACCAAATACCACATGTCCTCACTTACAAGTGGGAGCTAAACACTGAGTTCACATGGACATGAAGATGGGAACAACAGACACTGTGGACTACTAGAGAGTGGAGGCTGAGAGTAGGATGTGTGTTGGAAAACTGCCTACTGCTCACTACCTGGGTGATGGGATCTGTACCAAACCTCAGCATCACGCAATTCCCATGTAACAAACCTGCACATGTACTCCCTGAACATAAAAGATGAAGTTATTTATCAAAGAAAAAAAAGTTCAGCAACTAGCTGGCAGTCTCTATTTAAATTTTATAAAGTTAAAAATTAATTAAAATTTAACAATATTACTTATTTACCTCACTTGATTCAAAATCAACCCCTTTCGATACTTGACTCTGGGACATGATTTTGCTGGATGATGTGCTGGACCACCTGAGGCAAAACAAAAACAAAAACAAACACAATGAACTACATAATTCATCAAGTGTGCCTTTCTGGCTAAGTTTTTCAATCCAGCAGCTGCCACGAATATAAATAACACACAATTCCCTTAAAATCTACATTAGCGGCAATAAAACTTAACTGTAAGGAAAAGGACTCTGGGGCCGAGGTTTGAACTCTGGTTTTGCCCTTTACTACCTATGTGGCTTTGAGCAAGTTACTTAACCTCTCTGTGCTTCAATTTCCTCATCTGTAAAACGGGGATAATGGTTTTATAAAGACTAAATGTGTTAATATGCTTAAACACTTAGAACAGTGCCTGACACATATTAAGTACTACAACAATACTTACTTATATTATTATAGTACTTATCATGTACCAAAATGTATACATTACCATCTTCCACTTCTGAAAACCATGGGAACATTGAAATATTTTCTATTCAAATCTCAGTTAATAAGAAAATCATAATTCCTACTCTTTTTACTCTTTTTTTTTTTTTTGAGATGGAGTCTCGCTCTGTCACCAGGCTGGAATGCAGTAGCACCATCTCGGCTCACTGCAACCTCCACCTCCCAGTTCAAGCGATTCTCCTGCATCAGCCCCCTCAGCATGCCACCATGCCCAGCTAATTTTTGTATTTTTAGTAGAGACGGGGTTTCACCAGGTTGGCCAGGATGGTCTCTATCTCCTCTATCTCTTGACCTCGTGATCCGCCCACCTCGGCCTCCCAAATGCTAGGATTACAGGCGTGAGCCACCACGCCCAGCCGATTCCTACTCTTACAAAGCTTAACTTGCAGTAAATTCCTATGTCTTTTAATTAATAAGAAATTTAAGTCACTTTAGATCGGGGCCAGTAAGCAAATCTAGCCCACCACCAGGTTTTGTTTTTTTTATGGCCTATAAGCTAAGAATGGTTTTCACATTTTGAAATGGTTACATTTTAAATGGTTATACAAGTGTCTACCTACATAATATCCCCGGTTTTGCCTCTTGACCTGCCGAGCCTAAAATACTCCTTATCTGGCCTGTTAAGAAAAAGTCTGCTGATTCCCGTCTTCAATAAAAGTAGTGTTTATAAATTCTTAGTCTACAATTTTATTAACATGCTTTGGGATGTCATTATAGCAAAAGAAATATGTCCAAAGGTTTTATCTGGAAAAAAGAATGAGAATCACGAGATCTTATGTCAGAAGTAAATAGAAAAATTCACAGGTCCTTTGCACTAAAGGAAAGGACAGAAGGATTTATCAGGCAAACTTGAAGAGCAACTAAGGTTCAGAGGTAGCAGATTAGCACAATTATCAAGGTCCACTCTGGTAAGTGGCAGAGCTTAAATAGTTTAAATTATAAATAAAACACCATGCATAACCTGCAATTACTAAAACATTCTGCAAAAACAGTCTAAATTATCATTTAGATGCTGTAATTAGAAACACCAATCTGCCAAAGCTGATTTCTGATGTGTTTCCAAAATGTCAATTTTGGAAATTGCCTCTAAAATGTTAAACAGCCTCTCAAAACTTAAATGATTCTTATTGCTTGCACAATGGTCAGAGAAGTTAGTTACCATACCAAGAAGCAACAACAGAGATGAGTTTGGGGTCAGAATGCCTGGACTGTATGACTAGTTGGGTGACCTTAGGTAAGTTACTTAGCCACTGTGCTTCACACTTCATCTGTAAAATGGGGATGATAAAGTTATAACTATAATCTATCTCCTGGGGAAGTTGTGAGCACCACGCAAGCTAATTCACATGTAAAATGCTCAGAGAAGTGCCTGGCACATAGGAAGTACCAAACAACTGTGAGTTATATTACTATTTCATGTCTAAAGAAATCGGCAGACATTTATACAGCTGAAAAGTAAACAATCTACTGTGATATCAAAAGCAAACTATTTTTTCTTTAATATCCTTAAGCATATATCAAAAATATCAGAATAGCATTTTGATCCATTTCTGGAAAAAAAAAAACTTAGAAAGCTAGATCTGATTTGTGTGTGCTTCAATTTACAAAGACAAGAACAACCAAACAAGGACTCAGAAAGGGGCCCTTACTTCCTTCCAAAACCTGAGGTATCCCGATAATCTTCCAATAAATCTCCTTTTCTGTAAGAGAATCTGAGTTAGGTTTCTATCAGCTGGAACCAAAGGAGTCCTGTTAAATACACATAAATGAGCCTGAGAAATTCAAGTAAACCTTCGTGAGCTAAAATAAGTCCCTCCACTACTTACCATAGACATATAAACTGATTTGCATCTGCGCCCATCTTGGTATTTTTTACTCCTATAAAGGCCAGTACGGCCTTCTGCAACTCTATACTCTCCCGGATTTTTCTCATGTCTTTATTGTTTTTTTCTACTCTACCCAAAGGCTGAGTAAGGTTAAAACTGCAGGCTAGGAAAACAAACACTCTTCTGCTCTGCCTTCTTTTTTGAGGTGATCCTATCCATCCCAATGGTTTTAAGTACCATCTGCACGCTGTCCAGAGGTAAATGTAAGTACCATTTCAAACCCCTTATCTGGGACGAGCACGGTGGCTCATGCCTGTAATCCCAGCACTTGGGAGGCCGAGGCGGGCGGATCACGAGGTCAGGAGATCCAGACCATCCTGGCTAACACGGTGAAACCCCATCTCTACTAAAAATACAAAAAATTAGCCGGGCATGGTGGCAGGGCCTGTAGTCCCAGCTATTCGGGAGGCTGAGGCAGGAGAATGGCGTGAACCCAGGAGGCGGAGCTTGCAGTGAGCCGAGATCGCGCCACTGCACTCCAGCCTGGGAGACAGAGCGAGACTCCGTCTCAAAAAACAAAACAAAACAAAACGAAACAAAACAAAACAAAAACCCTTATCTGAGTTCTGAATTCACACATTCAATTGCCTATAACTTCCCTTCATGTAAGTTTCTAGGCATCTCAAACTTTTCACATCTAAAGTGGAACTTTTAATTATATGCCTATCATTCCCTACAACACATCTGTCCTTTCTTTTGTCCCCTTCTCAATATATGGCACAATGTAAATGCTCCAGCAAGAAACCAGAAAATCAGTCTTGATTCCTTATTCTCCCTTACTCCAAATGTTTAATCCATCTTCAAGTTTTGTCATGTCTATCTTCAAAATATATCCTGAAACCATCTGTTTCCTCCATTTCACCTACCACCAGCCTGTGCAAGCCTCCATCGTCTCTCTTAGCTCAGACTACCTGCAGCACCCTCCTTTCAGATAAGCTTGTTTACACTTGTTCTGCAACCACAGTGATCCTTTGTAAATGTAAATCACAAGGTGCCACTCCTCTCTTAAAATCTTTCTGTGGATTCCCACTGCATTTATAACAACATCCAATACCTTTGTAGTGCTCACCTGTTCCTGCAGCATGATTTACCCTGTGTCTCTTTTCTATTCTCATCTCAAACAACCTCCTTTTCCACCACACATTAGTCATTGGCTCCTAAATAACATTATTAAACTTGCTTCTTCAATAGACTGTGATATGGTTTGGCTGTGTCCCTACCAAATCTCATCTTGAATTGTAGCTCTCGTAACTCCTAAGTATTCTGGGAGGGACCTGGTGGGAGATAATTGAATCACGGGGGCAGTTCCCCCATACTAATCTCGTGGTAGTGAATAGGTCTCACAAGATCTTTCACTTGGCTCTTTTTCTCTTCTTTTGTCTGCTGCCATGTGAGACATGCCTTTCACCTTCTGCCATGATTATGAGGCCTCCCCAGCTATGTAGAAATTTGAGTCCATTAAACCTCTTTGTTTTGTAATTGCCCAGTCTCGGGTATGTGTTTATCAGCAGTGAGAAAATGGACTAATACAGGCTGCATGCACTTGTCCCTCTGCTTTTTGCAAGGCCACATTTCCCTTATTAAAATTTCCGCTTAAATGTAGCTTCCTCAGAGGCTTTCCATGACCATCCTTCAAAGTAGATGCCCGTCCTGTGCCACTGTTTCTTCTCTCTACACCAGATCATTTCCTTTAATGCATGCTAACTGATCGGCTGATCACCAGCTCAAATGTCACCTATCTTCTTTGTAAAACCTTCAATGACCTTTCCCAGGAAGATACTGGCACGTCCCTTAGGTTTCATTACACCTGAAGAAAACATTTATCTTGGTGGATTAGCAGTGCCCTGTAATTAGCATACCACTAAAGTGTAAATTCCTTGAAGGAAGAAACATTTATCTTTCTATCCCCAGAACCTAGCATGATGTTTGAAGGATCTAATAAGTGAACGTGGAACTATACTTACACTTGCTCTAACATTAACCTTTAAGTCACATACAGCTTATATTCTCAGTGGGGTCAGTATCATAAAGAACAAAAATTGGCTCCAGGGGATAGAGTGGGATGAAAAAGCTACGGTTTTTGGCCCTCTCAGACTCAACCATACCCAAAAAAATTTCATTCTTTAAGTATTTAATTTCTAACGTTAGGGAGAAATTGACTTACATCTAAGTTACTTAATTCTTCTCCTTGGATAATCAAGAAATGGCTGAGATAATGGAAAAAAAGCTTGAGAAACACTGATATAAGGCTTTTTCCTCAATCACCCTTCTTTCTGGAGTTCCTGCTCATGCCCTTATTCTCAGCTGGGACCACCGTTTTCCACCCTACTAAGCCAAATCTTATCTTTGAAACCTCAGGTCAATTTTATTCCCTCCATGAAGCTGCTTCTTCTAGCCCACATTCCTTGTTCCTTTTTTCACCAGCCCATAAGCACTCACACTTATGGGTCTGTAATATAAAATTCTACACCTAATTATGTACTAATTCATTCTTTGATGAATTCAAATATGTTCATTTCTCTTTTCCACTATAATTGAAGTTACCTGAAGGCAGAGGCCATATTAAAACATTCGTTATGCCCCTCCCTCATCAGACCTAATATAATGCTCAAACAGAAAATAAGTACAAAATAAGGCAGTTGATTACTTTATTAAGTAGAAATTCTCATTATTCGAGCTTTAGTTAAGCAGTATTCAACCAAAATGTTAACGTATAAAAGCAAATGGTAATAGTGAATCAAGTCAAGCTTAACAGCAATAGGCAAAAAATCCCAAAACACACAGGAAGAGCATGCAAGTCCTCTGAAGGCAGACTGAGTCTACGTGATCCCCTTTTAAGTGTTTAGTACAGTACCATGTGTAGTTAAGAATATAAAAATAAGACAATGACAAAAAGCTGAAATCAAATGATAGCAAAATACAAAATTATTTTCTGTTATTTGGAGAGAACACAGTCTTCCATTAAGAAAAGCACTGAGGCCAAGCGCACTGGCTCACATCTGTAATCCAGGCACTTTGGGAGGTCGAGGTGGGTGGATCGCCTGAGCTCAGGAGTTCAAGACCAGCTTGGGCAACATGGCAAAACCCTGTGTCTACCAAAAATACAAAAAATTAGCCACGTGTGGTGGTGCACGTCTGTAATCCCAACTATTCAGGAGGCTGAGGTGGGAGAATTGCTTGAGCCCAGAAAGTGGAGGTTGCAGTGAGCCAAGATCGCACTACTGCACTCCAGTCTAGGCGACAGAATGAGGCACTGTCTCAAAAAATAAATAAATAAATAAAAAGAAAGAAAAGCACTAATAAAGTCAAAAGGAAAAAAATTACAGGCTATTTCAATTTTCACTGAAAATCCTTGTACTAATGCTGCATCAACTCTATAAACTAGCCCTTGGTCTGTTTTCATTCCTCTACATACTTTACTAGTTGAAAATAAGTCTGTTAAACTTACATGGCATAGAAAAATGTGTAACTTTGGAATTCTGGATAATTTTTAATTTTTTTCAGATGTTTCTTTTGCAGAAAATCACTGCACCTACCTTTGATCTGTCTTTGAAGTGGTAGGAAAAATGTCTTCTTCCACATCTGATTCATCTACCTCAATCACCTGGCAAGGAAACAAAGCAACAAACAGTTTTTGTGAGAATAGACTCTGAATAAAAATGAAAATGAAGAAATGAATTACACGATTAAATCTTAAGTTATATATGAGCCACAAAAAAGGAGACAGAAAGCCATAACCATTAAAACTAACACTCAGTCTGACCTCCCTCCAATGTCCCTCTTCATTCACAAATGTTACTTTTTGCTCACCTCTCTCCTGGCCATCCCAGGAGCCTGAGCACCTAAGGGAACACAGTTACACTGGTGAATGACTTGCATAGGCTCATATGCAGACCTTATGACTTTCCTCTTAGTTTCTTATGAGAGGTGAGACCATCAGTGTTCCATCTCCAACTTTAAATGAGGTATCAGACCATGTGGGAAATACTAGATATCTTTCTGTTAAATCTGTCCCTCTTAAATACCATTTGTTAGTGTTAAGACCCAATAAAGATATTTCTGACTGTTGATTCTACCACCCAAAATACTATTTCTCTACATTTTGTTATCTTGACATTTGATACATACATTTGCCATATCTTCATCTAACTTAAGTACAGATGAGGATGAAGCCAAAGACCAAATACTGAACGAACAGCCCCTGAGGCTAAGGATGCTGTTAAATATCCTACAATGCATAGGACAACCCTTCACAACAAAGAATTATCTAGTCCAAAATGTCAACAGTGCTACTATGGAGAAACCCTGATGTAAAGGGAAGAGTATTGGCTCGGGAGTTAAGACACACAGTTTTGAAAGTGAAGTAATAAGAGAATCAAGCCCATATTGGACTCTTCTTGGAATCGAAAGGAAGAGCAGAAGGCCCAGGCTAAACCTAGGGCAAACCACATGGATCGCTGGACTCCAGCCTTTTCATTCATCTTAAGTCTAGCAACAGCTGTTAAGGCACAGCTAGTATTTTGGGAAGATAAGTAACAAAAGGAAATCCAGCATAGAAAAAACCTCTATAACCATTGAACTCACCTTCAATATTAGTATTCCATGTATGAGCTCTTTTGGTTCAACACTGTTATCCTTGAAAACATTACTGTATACATAACATTTATGGATTTCTATAATAACCATTATTTAAAAAAAGAGAGCAACCAAGAAAAAAAAAATCAAATCCTAGAAGCCCTAGAGATAATTGGTAAAGCTCCTTCCAGCTTTAATGTTCCATAATTTTTCTTCTTTTATTTACTTTGTAAATCAGAGAGTTGACAATTCATAATGCAGAAAACATAAATTATTAATACACAACCATAAAACTTTTTTTCTTACCTCTGAATAATTCTTAGTAGTGACATTTCGGGAAGGCTGCTGTCTTGTAGATTTAAAGGCTAGAATGAAAAAGATGAAATGTGCATTATGTTATTCTTAAAATAACTTAGAAAAACTTGCATACTTCTTTAGCTAAAGATTTTCTGAGTCCTATCTGCAAAACTGAATGATGCCTAATTATAAAACTATTTGATATTTTTAAAAATCTAAAGGGAGATAGAATTATAGGTACGCATAACTCAATGCCCAACTGTCAGTCTCATTATTTCCCAGCTTATTGAGATACTGTAGTGTTTATAAATACACACACTAAAAATATTTCATAGAAAAACACCTGAAGGATAAAATCTAATCACCTAACCAAATGAACTACAAATGTATTGAAGGAAAGCCTCCTAATCCCTTCTTTGTTGTTGACGATACCTTTATCCCTGTTGCTACATTAGGAGCCATGGGGTTCCAGTAGTTTCTCATTTTCCTCTACCTTAGTAGCCATATTCAATATCTAAGAAATATTCCAGAGGAGAATTCTAGAAAACAGCATTCTATGATAAAAATTCCTTTGTATCCATACCTTTTTTCCTTTTAAACTTGGTTAGATACTTGAAGTTTAGCTAGCTCTTTATCTTTCCCTTTCTTTTTCCTTGACATCGAAACCTACAATAAGGCCAGGCGCAGTGGCTCACGCCTGTAATCCCAGTGCTTTGGGAGGCTGAGGCGGGCGGATCACTTAAGGTCCAGAGTTCAAGACAAGCCTGGCCAACATGGTGAAACCCCAACTCTACTAAAAAATATATAAAAATTAGCCAGGCATGGTGGCAGGTGCCTGTAATCCCAGCTACTTGGGAGGCTGAGGCAGGAGAATCGCTTGAACCCAGGAGGCAGAGGTTGCAGTGAGCCGAGATCGTGCCACTGTGCTCCAGCCTGGGCAACAGAGCGAAACTCCGTCTCAAAAAACAAAACAAAACAAAACAAAACAAAACCTACAATAAATTTCAAACGTCTAATTTAGGTTTATTTTCTCCTATGCCTTACCAGTTTGCTAATATCAAAAATATCTTCCCCAAGATAACTCACAAACTAAATAGGGCACAGAAAAACAAACAAATACTCAAAAAATCCTGCAAAGTCCAAAATTCTCCTAGTCAGAAAACTAACGAATCTTTCTATCTAACCTAAATTTATTGTGTTTGCACATGTTTCCTATTCTAGGTTCTGTCCCCAAACTTGTAATATCTAAGAGGAGAAACGAGAGGCAGAAACAGTGTTCTTATCTGCTTTACTCAGTTACTTTTTTCACATCCTACTCTACTCAAAAGGCTAGACAGAGCAACTGAATAAAAAATCCAGTGATCATGATGATTTCAAAGAATATTTCTGTTCAGTATTTATTCACTGACTCCTTTAACTCTGAGATCCTAGAAAACAAGATACCTTTCTTTTTATCCCACTGGAAGGCAAAAGATGAGTGATGTTGTGAAATAATTTTATCAGAAAACTAAGCAATATGTTCTGTTAGGAAGACAATAAAGTGTGGTGGTTAAAAGCTCTGGTTTTGGAGTTAGACTCATTTTGACTTACTAGCTTGACTATGGCCAAGCTCCTTGGCTTCTTTAAAACTCAATTTCCTCGCCTGTAAAACAGTGTTAATACTTCATGCAGAAAACTGCTGAGAGGGTAAGAGGAAGTGTCTAGCAGATAGAAAGCATTCAAATACATGTAGCTGTTTGGGTAGCAAACATAGTAGCAGCAGTGGTACCCATAGTGGTATAAATGAAATGTAAAGGCCGTGACTTCAGAGGTACTTTTATTCACCTAGCCACTATCCTCTGCTGACTAACTTCAATGGAAAAATCTGGGCTGTCAACTCCTATTTACAACTCCCGTGGCTACAAGTGTAATTTTTATCTTTTCCAATAAAATTGCAGCACAATAATAAATTTCCATACTCCATGGACCTTGTTATAAGAGAATTTGACCTTTATTTATCTCTTCACTCCTCCATTTAAAACAGAGATCTAGAAGTTACAGTCTTAATTTGTTGCTTCTGTCCCAAAGTGATGACAAGTATAGTTACTACTTCACAGGTATTCTGTCAGAGACTTAAAAAAAAACCCACCAAATCCAACCTGATAAAAATGTTTCACAAATTTATACTTAAAAAATCAGTTCATTTTTCAAAAAAAGGCCTAGTACTGGAGGTAATCAGTTAAGTTAGCGAAACCATTATATCAAATCAATTAGATAAAAGACAAATTTAGACCAATGATTCACATAATATTCATCTTCATAATCTTATTGCAAAACACTACCACTAATATTAATAACAGCTATCATCTGTCGCATTTTTACCAGGTGCTGTGATCAGTACTGTAAATACTTAAGCTCATTTAATAAAATTACTCTGAAGTCAGTACAACATTGTCAAATTTTATAGCTAAGGGATCTGATGCTTGTAGAATAACACCAGTTTGCACTTACTGAGGGCTTAATATGCATAGACACTGCCTGATACTTCACATGCATTTTCTCATTAATCCTCAAAATAACGCAATGAGGTGGACGCAATCATTGTCCCATCCTACAGATGAGAACACTCATTCCTAAAGATGAAAAACTTAACATATTTGCTGGAGGACACACAACTAGTAAAATTGAGAAGTCAGGATCCAAACCAAGATCTTCCTCACTTTAGAACCATGGTCTTCACCCTTACGCTACACAATCTCCAAGTAATTTTTACTCAGTCATTGTCAAGTATTTAACAAGCATCTACTATGTTATGTGCCAAATATAGTGGATACAGTGATGAGGAGGAATGATGCAGACCCCTTTCTCACAGCACTTACAGTGCAAGGGTGCTAAGCCAGCAGTAAAGAGCTGGCTGTGACTGACCCAATGGACCTGACTCCAGAGCCTGCATTCTTAACCATCATGCTCTGCTGCAAAAGGTACCATAATAAGATTTTTGCTTACAACATAATTCAGGAAATCTGACGTTTCGTATTTAGTTTATTTACATAGCCTCTTTTCATAGATGAATACTGTTTCCTTAAAAAAATTAGTCAAGCCATTCTGTAAAACTTTTAAGGCATCATAACTGGTCTCCAGTCTTTCTACACAAATAGAAGCTTTATTCTATGTTGTCAATGGGTAACAGTCATTGCAGGCTAGGTTATTCAGACAAAATGACCTCTCATTGTCTTCAAACTCACTTCTGCTGACAACAATCCAAATTAGTACCTCAAACATTTAAAAAAAAAAAAAAATTCTCAATGGCATTGAAGAGCTGATCACATACCAAGGAATTACCAGGCCAAAACTGAAGAAAAGCTAGAACTCAGAGAGGTAAGCAGAGTCCTTTCCCTGAGTTCACTTTTCAATTGGGAAAATGTTAACATTGGTTTTGAGAATCCTGAAGAAAAATAGAGAGGGCTACCACAGCCCACGGCTGCCCAAAGTGAAAACCCCGATGCATTTCCCTTCCTAAGGTGGAGCCCCAGTGGTTGAAGAGAGAAGCAGAGGTAAACAGGATTTCATAAGCATGTAACTGAGTACCCTCATTTTTCTAAGAGGTAGTTCATTACTTTTTCTCTCTCTTCTTTTCTCCTTTCCCCCACTTTCTACTTAGTTCTTTAGAAATGCAACTATAGTCTTTTACTTCCTCTTCATCAGAGACTCCCTAAAAGGGGAGTTCATCTAACTATGTGCTTGGAAGCTCCAGAGTTGAACTATCACCCACCAGGGGGTTGCCTCTAGAGATAACAGTCAATTCACAATCCAAAGTCCTGCTATGAAACTCTCGCCAACCTAGAGAGTATTCGGCCACCTTTATAGCCTATTTCTACCCATGAAGATGCCAATTCAACTGCCTGGTAGATAAGACACCAAACTAGAATGCAAACCCCCCACTTGCTCGCTTCCTCCCCTGCATGCCACTCCTGATAGGTCCCCTTTAAAAGAGTCCACTTTCTGCTGCAAAGGGGGAAGCAGTACCCTTAAGGTAGGAAGCCTGTATTTCTTCCCCTAAGTTCGCTTTGGAATAAAAAGTCACTTTCTTTATACCACACCTTGCTCTTGTTAATTGGACTTTGCAAGCAGCAAGTGACTGAACCTGCATTTTAGTTACAAGTACGTATCAAATGACTGGTCCAAGAAACCCTCAAATTTAGCTTAAAGTGGTCTATGACTTGTGGTGCCCTACAAACCTAGAGAAACAAACGTGAATCTTCTCTGAAGGAAGATGGCTTCATCCAAGGTCTCAAATTATTCCTGTTGATAATTTTCTAGGGACAGTAAGTAACAAAGCATGGAAGGAAATAAGTCACCATAAATAAGAACCCACAGAAACAGACAACAGAAAGAGGCCAAAGACATTCAGACACTAGGTTATTAGATACAAAATAAAAGAAGTCCTTACTGTGTACACACGAAAAATTAAAACAGGCCTAAAAATATCTTCAGAAAACTTCTAAAAACTATTAAAAGTGACAGAGCATATTTTAAAGGAAGCAAATAGGCTGGGCAAGGTGGCTCATGCCTGTAATCCCAGCACTTTGGGAGGCCGAGGCAGGAGGATCACATGAAGCCAGGAGTTTAAGACCAGACTAGCCAACACAGTAAAACCGTGTCTCTACTAAAAATACAAAAATTAGCCAGGTGTGGTAGTGCACATCTGTAATCCCAGCGACTCGGGAGGCTAAGACAGGAAAATTGTTTGAACCCCGGGAGGCAGAGGTTGCAGTGAGCCAAGATGATGCCACTGCATTCCAGCCTAGGCGACAGAGAGAGACTCTGTCTCAAAAAAAAAAAAAAAAAAAAAAAGTGATCAGAAATAATTATTCAGAATGTAGCACAGAAAGAGAAAACAGAAAATACAAGAGTCATGTGAGGAGAGAGTAAAGAGGTCTTATCATTATTTAACTGAAGACTCAGAAGGAGAATAAGAATAGCATAGAGGTAACATCTGAAGGGATAATAGCTAAGGATTTTCTAGAAGTGACGGAAGATAGCAGTTCAGAGATTCATGAAGCCCAATAATTGCTAAGCAGGCTAAACAAGAGTACCATCTTTAGATTCATCACAGTGAAACTGCAGAACACCAAAAACAGCAAGCTGAGAGAAAAACAGGTTATTTTTTAAAAAACAAAAACCAACAAGCTTAACTGATATCTGATTTCTTAATTACAGTGGAAACTCAAAGACGACTCATTTTAAGTGATGAATTCTACCCACTGGAGTCAAGGAAAGCTTAACATAAAACAAGCCAGGACACTGGATTCCACAGGACACAAAAACACAAAAACAAAAAAGAAAAATAAAACAAGACAGGACAAAAAAAGACGATTTGGGCTAAGGTAAAGGTGGGTAATCTACATCTATGACTCTGTCGATTGCATGCTAACCAATTTTGGTGGTTTAACATGGAAGTGTTCATTATTTTATTCACTCTTTTTCTATGTTCCTGTTTTCTCATTTTTAAAAGAACACTTGATAAATGCCTACTGTGCCAGGCTTTTTGATCATTTAATCTTCAGAATAACCCAATACAATAGAGATTATTATTTCCAATCATATCTAAACAAACTAGGAGAGTGACTGATTTGTCTCAAGTCACAAAGCTGTCATTTGTTGAATGCAAGGTTGAACTCAGCATGAATCCTTTACAATTTTCCAGGCTGCCTTTTCTCTCTTTCTTCCTCTCTGCTTTTATATTAAACCTACCAAGAATGGAACAGCATCTTTCCAGATACCACTCCCTAAATGGCAATAAAGACAACATGTTTGTGAAGCAAAAAGCTAAGGATCTTAGCTAGCTCTTCTGAAGTACTAAATAATACTTGAGTAAAAATATAGCAATGGAATTTTTTGTAAGGTTTAAGAGTCATTTAATCAACCTGATTTTGTATCTTTTCTTCAATGTCAGCTGTCATTTGATAAATGTTGAAAATTCCTTTAATGGAGTGATACTTACTTCCAAGGCAAATTAGTCCATCTTTATATTAATTACATAGGTTATTCTGCATAATGCAAAAATTATTCTATGGAGAACTAGTAGCTAGGTCTCTAATCTTACCTTGCTCTGGAAACTAGTACAGTGGTCAACTACTGGTTGTAGAGTGCAGAGAATGTGAGATCATTCCCAGATCTGGTACTGACAAGTTATGAGATCTAGGATAAGCTACCTATCTTTTTAAAGCCTGTTTCCTTTTCTGTAAAACAGAAATAATATAGTAAGTACCTACCCCACAGACCTGTTAAGAGGCATGCAGTTTCATAAATATTAGCTATTATTGCTACTATTAGTGGTTTTATCAACTCAGGGCAAAACTGCTTGGCTTAGTTCCCTCACATATAAAACAGGGGAACAAAGTTGTTCTTAAATCTTCCAGGTCCATTCTATCAGATGAGAAACTTAAATCAGTATGTTTCTAGCTATTCCCATCCATCCCCATTGGGCCAGGAGTTCTTAAGCTGGAAAACACGAATGCGCCTCATGGGAGTGGCTGAACCCTTTGAAATTGGGTGCAATTGCATGTGAGTACTTATTTAAGGAGAGAAGACATAGCTTTCATCAGATTTTTAGAGAATCCATAAGCCAAAATAGATTAAAAAGCATTGCCTTTGGGACTAAACAGATCAAATCTATTCATTCCACATTTTACACGATAGAACATAATCTACATAAAGATCTGAATGTTTCCCAGGTTAGATATCCTAAATCCTAAGTTCCTTCAACCAATTTTTTTTTTTTTTTTTTTTTGGAGACGCTCCGTCACCCAGTTCAGTGGCATGATCTCGGCTCACTGCAACCTCCACCTTCTCGGTTCAAGTATTCTCCTGCCTCAGCCTCCCAAGTAGCTGGGACTACAGGTGCACGCCGCCCTGCCTGGATAATTTTTTGTATTTTCAGTAGGGGACAGGGTTTCACCTTGTTGCCCAGACTGGTTTCGATCTCCTGAGCTCAGGCAATCCGCCCGCCTCAGCCTCCCAAAGTGGTAGGATTATAGGCATGAGCCACTGCGCCTGGCCAACCATTTTTTATATTATTTGGTATCTCTTCTGAATGATCATATATAGTTGACAGTCTCCTTGAAATATAATTCCAAAGAGGAGTACAGTATCCTTGGCATGTTATGGCCAATTTAGTACACAGAGAGAACTTCCTTGCTGTGCAAGCTTGTCCAACCCACCTCATTTTGTTATTGTTTTTGTTCTGTTTTCGTTCTGTTTTCTTTTGTTTTAGGCTTTTAGCAGCTGAAGCCATGGTTTTTAGTTTCTGTCGCTAGTGATATGAGGAAAAGAAGGATGAGAAAAGGGCTTTACTGGCCCAACCAGAAACAGAAACTAAGAATCCATGACTGTATTCTCTCCCTTGGACACCTCTGCAAGACTCATTAAATGCTGTTTAAAATATCAATAGATTTGGACAGTTGGGTATGCCTGCATAACTCTTACTGACCTAAGTCTTTTTCACCTGGGTTGCTGTTAAACTCACATACCTCTCACAACTCTACTTGTGCAGCTGTCCTTTTGGACATAAATGTGGTTTATATTACCCTTGATAAACTTCATCTTCTGAGAATTAGTTCAGCTCCCCAGTGTGTCAACAATTAATCCTAGCTATAAGATTATAAATATTACAATTATAATATTTAAAAAATATTTATAATTATAAAAGTGAAACAATAACCTCAAATAACTGATAATATAAATAATATACATATGAATATATTCTAAATGCTAGGTAGAAAAAAGTATCACCACCTATCTTAATGCATACTTTTTGTAAATATGACTAACATTTTAGGCTGATCTCATCATCTATAATATTAAAAATAGTTAAACAGATCCCCTTGAGGCCAATTTTTAGACCATAGGATATACACAAATTAATTCCAAGGGCCTAGCCATAATTTCTCTTAAATATAGGTCACATGACTTCTCTATATGGAAAGCAGAGACTGACAGGGCAGTATGGGGGAAGCAAGGAAACAGTAGAGACAGTTCCTCTCTCTTTCGACCACTGTCCATATAGTGACCAACTACTTCACTTTCCTGTTTCCAGGGTCTCTCTGCCAAACAGAAACAGCATTTGTCTGAAAGTAAGAAATTATAAAACATAATTTTTGTTTTGTTTTGTTTTGTTTTTGAGACGGAGTCTCTCTCTGTTGCTAGGGTAGAGTCCAATGGCATGATCTTGGCTCACTGCAACCTCCAGTTCCTGGGTTCAAGTGATTCTCCTGCCTCAGCCTCCCAAGTAGCTGGGACTACAGGCATGTGCCACCACGCCTGGCTGATTTTTGTATTTTTAGTAGAGACCGGGTTTCACCATGTTGGCCAGGCTGGTCTCGATCTCCTGACCTCGTGATCTGCCTGTCTCGGCCTCCCAAAGTGCTGGGATTACAGGTGTGATCCACTGTGCCTGGCCTATAAAACATGATTTTAAAAGCTTACCCTCTTCAGTAACTCTAATGCATAGCAAAGATCTTTTAAAAAATAATTTATCCTGTGATCCTAATTGCCCTTATAACTTCCCAATGATTGCAACACAAATAAGGGCTACCAATGGTGATTACCTTGGTCTTTCTAATGTTGGAATTTATAAATAATCACTTGCAGTCTATACTCACCATCTATAATAGACATATTTCTAGATGCTGACACAGCAGTCTTTGAGTTCCTGCTACGGGTAGAAGTCTCCAGACCAGTGTCTGCTGTTAGAAAAATGAACAGTCAATGTACAAGCCTATCAGCAGCTAAGGTTTATTTCATACAACACTAAAAAATGAAAGCTAAATAAACTTATGTCAAATAGTTTGTCTGTAAAAAGCCAGACATATATATAAGAACAAACATCTAGAGTCTGACCAATTTTCAGAGACTATTCTTTTAGGCCACACTTCAGTTTATCCAATTTAATTTATCCAATTAAAATGTAAGGAAATAGGCTGGACGTGGTAGCTCACGCCTGTAATCCCAGCACTTTGGGAGACAGAGGCGGGAGGATCACTTGAGGTCAAGAGTTCAAGACTAGCCTGGCCAACATGGTGAAACCCCACCTCTACTAAAAATACAAAAATTAACTGGCATGATGATGGGCCCCTGTAATCCCAGCTACCTGGGAGGCTGAGGCAGGAGAATTGCTTGAACCTGGGAGGCGGAAGTTGCAGTGAGCTGAAATCGCACCATTGCACTCCAGCCTGGGCAACAGAGCAAAGACAAGACTCCATCTCAAGAAAAATTAAAAAACAAAAATAAAAATTTTTAAGGAAAAATTTTGTAAATGTAAGAATAGTGAAAATAATCATCATTAAAAGATGAGGATTTCTCTCCCTGGAGATTTTAAACCAAATTAATATTCATTTCACCAGCTTAAAATTCCTATGGATGCATATTTAATAAAAACAATTTTAAAAAATCTTTAGAGATGAACTGACATAATGTGTGAGAAAGTCACTGAGTGACCAATTTCTATTGGCGTGAACTATTCAATGACAATAGTCTCACAGTAAATACAATGTTGACTATGTTAATGACTAGTTTTAGGAATCAAATTGGGGGGCAGTTTTCTTTCTTAAACTGACTTTATAAAGACTACTTGATAAGCATATGTGTATTTGTATCTTATGACAGTAACAAAAATAATAATTGTATGATCTGGAGTTTTC
Organism: Homo sapiens; assembly: GCF_000001405.40. Lineage (NCBI taxonomy): Eukaryota > Metazoa > Chordata > Mammalia > Primates > Hominidae > Homo > Homo sapiens. The sequence continues at coordinate 94,446,848 of NC_000011.10, forward strand.
CTCCTGTTGCCAAAGGCTTTTAGCTATTTTCTTTAACAACTCATATTTGCCTATTACTTTGCACATGTGAAAATACATATGACATTAAATGTATCCAAAAGGTACTACGTGACAAACACAGTGAAGCTTTTATAAGGTATGTGCTAAGAACAATTAAAACCCTAAGTGCATGTGGCCATTCAAAATTTATTTAAGTAAAAGGCACATGTCAGAACTGCCTTAAAGACTGTCTTTATATATTATAAAAATAGATTTTTAAAGAACCGTGTTTTAGAAATAAAACTTATAATTCAACTCTGACAAGATCTAATTCTGTATTTTCCACTCAACTGCCAAGTGTGAATGTGCACAGGACTGAACTCAGTGCTCACCTCTTCCTCTTTGAGACCCTCCTCTCGATGCTGAATTCTGCCCTCTTCCACCTCTTCGACCTCTTCCTCGGCCTCTTCCTTTGTTGGTTGCTGCTGAGATGCTATCATCAGAGTCATTAGCCATCTGTTCTGCTAAATCTATACTCATAAGGTCATCAGCACTAAAGGCAGAAGCAGACTCCTCTGACTGAGATCTGAGTGCTCTGGCCCTGGTCATAGCCTAAGAGGGAGAAGAAGGAGAAAGTACACACAATGAGATAACGTACCATCCTAAAAATCATTAATTTAGGCATTGACATGAACTAATCATACTATAAAAACATAAAGGAGGCTGACACAGTGGCTCACGCCTGTAATCTCAGCACTTTGGGAGGCCGAGGCGGGAGGATCACTTGCACCCAAGAGTTTGAGACAAGCCTGGGCAACACAGCGAAACCCCGTCTCTACAAAAAAAAAAAAAAAAAAAAAAAATTAGGCATGGTGGCATGCACCTGTAGTCCCGAGCTACACAGGAGGCTGAGGCAGGAGGATCACTTGAGCCTAGGAGATACAGGCTGCAGTGAGCTATGATCACACCACTGCACTCCAGCCTGGGTGACAAAGAGAGACCCTGTCTCAAAAATAAAAATAAAAACAAAAAATATTTATATATGTGTAAAGGAGAACCTCCCCACCAATCAAATTTAATACTTATTATCTGTCAGACCAATCTACCATACTACCTATAAAATGAGACCCTTTGAAAAGGTTTACCAAGAAAAATAAAATTTTACAGAATCAAAATTTTCAGAACTAGAAGGAATACTGGCAATCATCCCTAATTCAATGCCACATTTGACAGTAACAGACTGTCATCATTTGAGCTACTTTTTAGAATCGGCTCCTAGGAAATAATAAGAAAAAAACTTACAAAAAATAGCCGTTATCTCTGGGCACTAATATTTTAGGGTGCTTTTGTTTTTTGTTCTTGAATATTACATATTTTCTATATTACACTTTTTCTAAAAAATTAGTTTTATAATCAGAAAAAAACATGAGTAACAATCTCTCACAAATATATGGTAAAGAGAATTAAGGGCTGGGCGCAGTGGCTCACACCTGTAATCCCAGCACTTTGGGAGGCCTAGGTGGATGGACTGCTTGAGATCAGGAGTTAGGGACCAGCCTGGGCAACATGGCGAGACCCTGCCTCCACCAAAAATACAAAAAAAAAACACAAAAGAACAAAATTAGCCAGGTGTGATGGCATGCACCTGTAGTCCCAGCTACTTGAGAGGCTGAGGTAGGAGGATCGCTCAAGCCTGGGGGAAGCAGTGGGGAGGGGAGTTGTTGCAGTGAGCTGAGATTGCACCACTGCACTTCAGCCTAGGTGACACAGTGAGACCTTGCCTAAAAAAAAAATGAAAAGAAACGGAAGAATTAAGGAGAATATATCAACTGAAAGCCTAAGCCTAAGAAGGAATAAACACCTTAGGACCAAGAACATGCCACGCATTTTTAATTTGGTAAGAATCCATTTAGAAAAGACATCGTGCCACTGCACTCCAGCCTGGCAACAGAGCGAGACCCTGTCACCAAAAAATAAAATAAAATATAAATAAAAGCAATTTTGCCTTGATCTTCCCTTAAACCAATCAAAAGGTAGTAAGAGAACAAAAACAAAATACATTTTCCATAAAATTAAAAAATAGTTCCAAACCCCCAAACACACAAACTATAAAGAAGAGTTAATGAATATGATAAATATTTGACCTAGCTAAGGGAGAAAGGTGAGAAGAGTTTCAGGTATTATACAGCTCTCCAAAACTGATGTATAAATCCCAAGAAGACATGATAACAGTCTCTCTTGCTTGGAATGGCAGTTCTGGGTCTAAGAATAGCTGACCAGAACATTTCTAAGCTCTGTGATACCATAAAGTAAGGAGACCCAGGGCTAAATGAGGAGATGTGAACAAGGCAGGCAGCATAAAGTGGGACTGAAGTGGCAACTTCATGATGAGATGATCTCAGCTGAGGTGAAATCACAGCTAACTCACTGCATGCAGGGTTCAATACAGCATTACAATGCAAAAAGAAAACACTTCAGGAAATACAACAAAAAATATAAGAAACAACAGTGATTTCAATTCATCTTTCCTGTCCCACATGAAATACAGTTAATCCTCATTATTCATTAATCCTATATTTGCAAATTCACCGACTTGCCAAAATTTCTCTGTAACCCTAAAAATCAACACTCACGATACTTTTGGCATCATTTATGGAGACGCAGAGTGGTAAATATTTTGAATTGCCTGACACACATATTCCCAGCTGAGGCTGAACAATGAGCCACTCTGCCTTCTTGTTTCCACTTGTGTACTTTAAAGTGTCCTTTCTGTGATAGTCATGCATTGCTTAATGATGGATGCCTCATGAGAAATGTGTCATCAGGTGATTTCATTATTGTGCAAACATCATAGTGTGTACTTACACAAAGCTAAATGGTACAGTCTACTACAAACCCAGACTATAGGAGATAGCCTATTGCTCCTTGGCTACAAACCTGTACAACATGTTACTGTACTGAATACTGCAGGCAATTATAACACCATAGCTATGTATTTGGGTATCTAAGCATATCTTAATAGAAAAGATATAGTAAAAATATGGTATTATAATCTCATGGGACCACCACTGGATATGCAGTCTGACATCGATCAAAATGTTGTATGTGGCACATGACTACATATTTATTGCATTTTCTGCATTTTTGTACTTTTGCTTTGGTAATGTGGTGTTTTCAAATGACCCCCTCAACATGTTTAGTGTTCATTCCTACATGCAAAAAGGCTGCAATATGACTTTTGGAGAAAAAATGTATATTAGATAAACTTAATTCAAGTATAAGTTAAAGTGCTACTGGCTATGAGTTCAATGCTAATGAATCAAATGTTAAATACAGTATCTTTAAACAGAAACACATTAAAAAGATTACGTATTGATCAGCTGACAAAAACGTTATCAGTGGCTCATAGAAAGCTAATTTTGTATTTCCCCTAGGAGCAATGATTCACCATTTGCTAATTCTGTGCTGGAAGTGATTTTATACGACATAACTACCACAAATAAAAGGAACCAGCTGTATGCTTTTAGAAAGCAGACTTAAGAGAAAAAAGATGATCTAAATCACATAATTAATAAGATAGATCTAATTGATAAATGTTGAATTCTATACACTGAAAATTAATAATATACTTCAAGACCCCATGAAACTTTTTAGCTGATACATAACAGGGTGCAAACAAAAATCTCAATACATTTTTGATAGGAGAAATAAATTTATCACACTGTCTAATCATCATGCAATAAAATAAAAAATTAATAATAAAGCAAAAACCTGCCTCCTGAAAACAAACCAGAGTCAAAACTATAAAACAAAACGAAAGTTGCAGAACATCTAGAAAATCATAACAAGAATACTGAACATCACAACATATGAGAGAGCTAAAGCAATGCTTATAAGAAAGCCTATAGCCTGCTAAGAATAAATGTAAATAAGTTAATTCTGTATCCAAAAAGCTAGGAGAAACAAAATAAAGCCTATCCAAGTATTAGAATGAAGATGAAACCATATATTAATAGATTTTAAACAAAAACACATTAGAATGAATAAATATAAGCACTGGTCCTTTGGGACAAAACAATAACATTAATAAAAATCACAAAGCTTTAAAGAAAGGAAGAAAACACAAATATACATCATTAGAAATAAGAGGGACGGGCGTAGAGGCTCACATCTCTAATACTAGCACTACAGGTGTAGAAGCTCACATCTATACTTTGGGAGGCCAAGTCAGGAAGATCACTTGAGCCCTGGAGTTAGAGACCAGCCTGGGCAACATAACGAGACTCCGTCTATATAAAAAAAAAAATTAAAAATTAGCTGGGAGTGGTAGCACACTACAGAGCAAGACCCTGTCTCGAAAAAAAGAAAGAAGGAAGAATGGGAGGGAAGACCCAAGACTTATGAGAGAATGCTCAATTCTAAATAATCTGGAAAATGAATAACTTAATCTGATCCAAGGTGGGAAAAAAACAGGTTCAACAAACCAATTATCAAAGAAAATTTTGAGAAAATTATTAAAAGAAAAATACTCCCAAAAAAGGACCACAATCAGAAAGTTTCGTAGGTAAATTCTACCAAACTTTCAAAAAACAGATAAGCCCACTGCTATTTCAATAGTGCCAGAGCATACAGAAAGACAGCTTCCAAACTGTTTTCACAATGCCAGTATGACACAGTACTGACAAAGAACTGCGTGCACAAAAAGAAAATTACAGAATCTTATTTATAATTATGAAAGCAAATAGAGACTCCAGAAGCTTATGGAAAGACCAATATATCCATTACCAGGGGGTAATGGATATATTACCAGGATGGGTCAATAAGCTATGTACATAATAATATAACTCACTATATTAATGGAACAAAGAAAGAAAAAACCCAAATGTATATCTTCATAAAATCAGAACCATGTAATCACCAATCATTCCTGATTTAAACAAATAAGCTGATGAATAAGTGGATACTTTATGTGTCAAAAAACCCTAAATATGCTATATTACTATGTGTATATATCCAGAGAGAGAAAGAGAGGGCACACACACACAAATGTGTTCAAGTGAGTGCTCTTACAAATCAATTAGAGAAAGACCAATACCCGGCCAGGCGCGGTTGCTCATGCCTGTCATCCCAGCACTTTGGGAGGCCGAGGCGGGTGGATCACCTAAGGTAAGGAGTTTGAGACCAGCCTGACCACCATGGTGAAACCCTGTCTCTACTAAAAATACAAAAATTAGCTGGGCATGGTAGCGCGCGCTAGCTACTCGGGAGGCTGAAGCACGAGAATCACCTGAACCCAGGAGGCAGAGGTTGCAGTGAGCTGAGATCACACCACTGCACTCCAGCCTGGGTGACAGAGTGAGACTTTGCCTCAAAAAAAAAAAAAAAAAAGAGAAAGACCAATACCCTACTCGAAAGAGAAAATGTGGCCAAACAAAATGACCATGTGTTTCATATAAATACAAATGATTTATAAACATAAAAATTAGGCAGACTCATTAGTAAAAAAAAGTAGTATGAACTGAAAACAACAGTAGGAAATAATTTCTTACCCCTTAGACTTGTAAAGATCAAAAGATACAGTAATACATCACGATGGTAAAGATGTGAGGAAACAAGCACTCCCAAATACTAATGGTGAGAATATAAACTAGTTAAGACATCTTTGGACTAATGTGGCAGTATGTAGCAAAATTTAAAATAAATATGCCCTATTATGATTACTTCTTGGAATCAATTACTAACCATCATTTCTAAACTTTGTATTTTCCCTTTGTCTAAATACTGTATCTTCATTTTTATCATCTCAAATTGTATATTCAAATTGTATTTTAACTCTACCTTTCCTATGAAAAACAGAGTTTACTGTTATCTTTGGAATGTATTACTTCTAAGAGCTTAACTCATGAGTGCAGGTCTAGAGCCAATGGCAAAAATGTTTCCATATACATTTTGTGAGATTTGAAAACATACTATCCTACTGTTAAACACTTTTTTTTTGTGGTGAAATATACATAACATAAACTTACTCTTTTTACCACTTTTAGGTATAGTAGAGTGACATTATGTACATTCACATGGTTATGCAATCATCCCCCCATCCATCTATAGAACTTTCTCATCATCCCAAACTGAAACTCCATACCTATTCAACAGTAACTTCACATTCCTCCCTCTCCCCAGTAACCACTATTCTACCTTCTGTTTCTATGAATCTGATTACTCTAGGTACCTCATATAAGTAGAGTCATATAATATTTGTCCTTTTGCAACTGTTTTTTTTTCACTCATAATGTTTTCAGAGTTTCATCCATATTGTAGCATGTATCAGAATGTCATTCCTTTTCAAGACTGAATAATATTCCATTACATGCACATACCACATTTTGTTTATCCATCTATCTGTTGATGACCAACTGGGTTGTTTCCACTTTTCGGCTATTGTGAATCATGCTGCTACGAACACTGATGTACAAATAAGTTCCTGCTTTCAATTCTTTTGGTTATGTACCTAGAAGTGAAATTGCTATATTACATGATAATTCTATGTTTAACTACTTTAGGAACTGCTATCGTTTTCCTCAGTAGCTGACCCATTTTTCATCCCCACCACCAATGTATATGGTTCTAATTTCTCCACATTCTTGCCGAAACTTGTTATTTTATGGTGTTTTAATAACAGCCATCCTAATGGGTGTGAAGTGGTATCTCACTGTGGTTTTGATTTGCATTTCTCTAATGTCTGGTGATCTTGAGTGTCTTTTCATGTGCTATAATTTGTAAAGCTTCTTTGGAGAAATGTCTATTCAAGTCCTTTGCCCATTGTAAAAATTGGGTTTTTTTGTTATTGTTACTGTTGAGCTTTAGAAGTTTTAAAAATATATTCTGCTTATTAATCCCTTATCAGATGTATGATTTGCAAATATTTTCTCTCATTCTGTGGGTCACTTCTTCACTATTGATAGTGCCTGGTATTATATTTTGAAAGAGGGTATCAACCCACCTCAAATTGAGGTAGAACATAAGAAATCAGAGGCCAGGTAAACTAACGACTGTGGGTAAGACTAAGAATAGTTTTTATATTTTTAAAGGGCCATTAATAAAAAAACAAACAAACAAAAAAACACAAGAATATGTGATAGAGACCACACATGTCCCGCAAAGCCTAATGGTTACTGTTTGCTCTTTTATTCAAATATGAATTTATCATTAAAGAAAAGATTTGAGAGTTTTTCTATGTGAACAAAAGATTTTTTTTTTTTTTTTTTGAGACAGGGTCTTGCTCTGTCATCCAGGTTGGAGTGCAGTGGCGTCATCTCGGCTCATTGCAACCTCTGCCTCCTGGGCTCAAGCGATCCTCCCAGTTAAGTCTCCTGAGTAGCTGGGACTACAGGTGGGAGCTACCATGCCTGGCTAATTTTTGTATTTTTTGTAGAGATGGGGTTTTGCCATGTTGCCCAGGCTGGTCTCAAACTCCTGAGCTCAAGAGATCCACCTGCCTCGGCCTCCCAAAGTGCTGAAATTACAGGTAAGTCACAATGCCCAGCCTGAAAGACTTTAAAGCATACTGTTTTTTCTCCAAATAGAAGAGCTAATAGTCTTGTTTGTCAGTATAAGTAATTTAAGCATGGCGCTGGGATTCATATTCTAAGCCAAATGATTCTGCAAAGCTGTGAATTACAGCTTGGCAGAGTTTCAGACTCCATTACCTAAGTTCTAAATAGTATGCTGAAAATGAAAAAATATATAATATCTTATGATATGCTGAAAAATTACCTAGGAAGCCCCAATTACATTTTAGTCTTAAAATATAGCTGAATATCTGAACTTGTAAGTTATTTCTTCTGTAAAACTCCCATATGAAATTTGTCACAGCCTCTCCCACCTTCCTTGTATAAGACGTTCACTCTTAACTCTTTTAAAAGCTTAATGAAAAATTGAGGTTTGTCGCTTCAAACATGAAGAACTCACTCAAACGTAAAGAAATATTTCTGTACCCTGTTAAATTGAAAGGGTTAATCAATTTTAAGCTAGATATTTAAGAATCAGGAATCATTTCTTCCTAGCATTATTCTTGCAATTTGGCAAACTATTTCTATTTTAAATGCACCTTATAAGATAAATAGAAATATAATAAACGTGTTAAGCCATTTCTAATCTATAGCTTCTTTTCCTTAGCTTCCAAAAAACAACCTGTAAAAGATACAGTGGTTGCAACTATGTGTATTTCAACAGTGATTCTGATGTGTTGCATGACACTTTTAGAAGTTTTTCATTTTTAGAAAACCATCCATTTGCAATGCACCGAATTAATATTATAATAATCTAAAATTTTGATAGGACACAGGATGATAGAAAAGTCTACACTTGGAGTCAGAAATATGTTCAAATTCTAGCGCCACTCCATGACCTTGAGTCTGGTCTGTCTCCTCATTTATAAAATGGGCACCTAGGAAAAATAATTCAATAAATATCTTCCTTACACAAATGTCTCTTATCTACTAAATTGAGAAAATCTTGTGGCTACAGACCTCAGCTTTTTTATATGTACAGTCCTAATATAAAGCAGAATATCTAACCCATAACAGGGACAATATAAAATGTTTGCTGAATGAAAGCAATCAAGACAAAACTAACAGTACATAGTTTATAACTTTTAAATACTAGATAGCAATCATAAAACACTAAGGGCAATCAGAAAATAAGAAAATACATTTCAATCATAAATTCAACAAGTACCAGGTAGAGGCCCCAAATTTAAGTAAATGGTTGCTAACTTGTAGATTCAAACCTGCAATGAGACTGAGAAGACAGTGATGATGGTGCTTAAGCTAATTTTAATATTTTAGAATAGATAATAGAAATTGTCTATTTGCCCATGCTTGCTTACTTATGGTTAACATTGCTAACCAAAACACTTTAAGTTTCTTTTTTGCCCAAAATAATATCAGCTCAGTAAGATAAGATTTTATCTATAAGATGCTCTGCTAACAAAGAGATATTATTTTGAGTAATAGGGGCTTTTGTTGTATATATCCCCACACACATACAATTAAATGGGTTTTATTTATTTTTATTTATTTATTTTAGAGACAGGGTCTCACTCTGTTGCCCAGGCTAGAGTGTGGTGGTGCAGCCATAGTTCACTGCAGCCTTGAACTCCTGGGCTCACGCAATCCCCTCCAACCTTAGCCTCTCAAGTAGCCAAGACTACAGGTGTGAGTCACTGCACTTGCTAAACAGGTTTTAGACAAGAACAAAATGGAAAAAAAGAGCAATGAGCAGAATATTTGTAGGCTGAACTGAAATCAACCAAAAGCAGCCATCCTAAGCCAACCCCAGCTCACTCCTATCCCCTAGACCTATGGACTGACTATTCTAACTAAACCTACTGGTTATTCTAGTTTAAGAAAGTGATATATAAACACAAGAATTTGCAGCAGAATAATTACCTCACGGACTTCATCATCTTCTTCATTAGTATTTTTTTGTCTGGTTTCTCTGAAACGACGTACCTAGATCATAACAGAGTAAATCACAAACATGTTGCCTATTCCAGTTATGTAAATATAAAACAAGGGGCTACAATTAAGAAATGCTTTATGTTATAAAACTTGCAAATTTAACAATGTCTCACAAAAGTAAATCATATTTTTCCAATTATTAACGTTAAAATTGCACAATGTACTCTTAAAAAAAAAAACTCATATTGACCCGAAGCAAAATTATATTACCTGCTGCCAAAATGTTTCACATCACTGAAAAAGTCTTTCAGACTGTACAGGAAAAATTCTAATACCCTATGGGTATTACACTTCAGTAAACTAGTTAAAAACAAAAATATCTCCTTGACAAGGCTTGAAATATTTATTACATTGCAAATCACTCTTGTGCACCTTGCTGCAAGACATCCAGGAGGCTCTGTGAAATGGGATCTGAAGTGGGTGGCCCCTGAAGATCCATTTTTATTAAGAGTCAACTCATGAAGGTTTGCTGAGCATGGTCCTGGTATCAAGAAGGAGACTACAGGTTTCTTTTTTAATGGTTCCTGCTCACAAGGCTCTTATTATACAGCTATGTATATGTTCTTTAAGCCCATTTATTTAATAATCTACTCAGCACATATTTACTGAGCACCTTCAATGTGCCATATATTATCGTAGAAACTGAGAATACAGTTATTAACAAAACAGACAAAAAGCTGCTCTCATGGAATCTATAATCAATTGATGATATGGGAGAGGGAACAGCAAATAAGACTCCAATGTAAGAGGCTGGAGCAATTAGAGGAATCAACAAAAGACACTGAAAATATGCAGCCAGTGAGGCAGGAAGATAACAAGAGTCTGGTATCCTGAAATCCAATAAAAAACATGTTTCAAAGAAGGTCAAGTGAGATGTAAGATAGAAAACTGACAGTGGATTTAGCAATGGCAGTCACTGGTGATCTTGACAAGTGCAGCTTCACTAGAATGATGGGATCAGGAGCCTGAGTGGATAGATTTAATAGAAAATGGAGAGAGAAGAATGAGTCAGCAAATACAGAAAACTCTTTGAAGCGATTCTGCTCTAGAAGAGGAACAGAGAGCAGTAGCTAAAGGAAAATGGGATCGAGAGTTTTGTTTGTTTCTTAAGCTGAAAGAAATAACAGCATGTTTGTTATGATTCAGTAGAGGAAAAATACAAGAATAACAATATTTTAAAAGATGAGACAGTATGTAATCGTGCCCTAGGTGATAAGTAGCATACCAAAGGTGCTAAGCCATTCACAGAAGAGAAATGAGAGTCAGAGTGGGAACACTGAACAGGCACTATGTGTCAGACAGTATTCTAAGGATTTTACATGGATTAATTCTTCTAATCCTTACAACAACCTTGAAGGAGGGCCTATTATCATCACCATTTTATCCTCAGATGAGGATACTGAGGGATAGGTGGGTTTAGATAACTCAATGATGGGTACACAGCTAATAAGGGTTTTGATTTTGAACACGGGTGTCTGGTCAGAGCCACCATGACTCACACACACTCTTTCTCTTTCTCTCTCTCCCTCTCTCTCTCTCTCACACACACACACACACACACACACACCCCACACAGACTTTGCTGCTCAGGAGTCATGATGTCACTCCAGGTGGGGATGGTTATGTTTTATTTCTGGTATGTACCTGAGAAATCTATTTATGCTATAAATTAGCAAACCCAACACATCCAGAGTCATAGAGTGAATGGTTTTAGAGGGTGAACTGCCTGTCCTACCTCTGGAAGTACTTGGTATTAAATAATATTAGTTACACATTGACACCATAAGGCTTTAAGAGAACCATGTTAACCAAAAGCACTAAAATAAGGGAATGAGTTTTTTTTTTTTTTTTAAATAACATTGTTTTGTTCTTCTGCTTAGGGAGAATCTGGGAAATAGAGAAAGTGATCCCCTGTAATATAACTACCTTGACATAACTGTTGATAATATATCTGGGATATTTTCTTTATTTACATAAACATACACAATTACATATAAAATAAAAATAATTGAGATTATACTACGCAGTTTTTTATCTTTGAAATCTTTCCCAATTAACATTAGATTAGAAATATCTTCTCATGTTCTTCTTCCAAAATGTCATTTTTAAGCTGTGTAAAATTTTATATGGTATATGTACCAACATTTATTGTATCAAAACATTTCCAATTATTCCCCACTATGAACAACACTAAGATGAATCACTCCATACACAAATCTCTACCTCACTATTTTCATAGGGAAATTTCCCAGGCTGAGTTAAAGGGTAAATCTTAAGCCTCTTAATATACTCTGCCAAACTGCTTTTCAGTAAAGCTATTCAAACGTAATACTACTACCAGCAGTGTGCTAGATACTATTTTTCTCAAATTGCTGCCAATTTGACAAACAAAAGATGTATTTGAGTTTCTTTGATTATCCTAGGCTAAACACCATTTTCATATGCTTATTAGCTATTTATATTTCTTTTATGAACCACCTATTCATGTCCTTTGTTCATTATTCTATCAAATGTTTAATTATTTTTAAGATTTCTAAGAGCTCATTAATATTAAGAATATTAAACTTTTTTCTGCCCACATACAAATATTTTCATGTCAATATCTTTTAATTTTGTTTTTTGACAATGTGATATGCAAACATTTATAATTTCTATGTAGTCAAGTCTAGACAGCTTTTCCTGTAATTTTTCCACTGCTTCTTGCTTAGCAGAAATTTTCTAAATGAAATTCAAGATCTCAATCAAAACTTACTAAAAAAATTAAAATGAACAAAAATTACCATCCTACAAGGTTCACTTTAAAGCCCTTTCAAAGGATCTTTAAGAGAAGATACTATCCATGGGGAACAAAACACTTTAGTACCAACCATATGCAAGACTCTGTTCTAGGCATTTTCTACATTTTCTAATTTAACCTTCATTTTATCATTTCAATTTTATAGATGAGAAAAACTAAACAAATCAGAGAGGTTAAATAGTGATTTACCAGAAAAAAATCTCAGAGCTACTCTTAAAGACAGACTATTTAAATAGACCTAGACACTCAAATTAGTTACTTACCTCCTCATCGATTTTGTCTTCGAGGGCATCAATATGACGTTCTTTAAGAAATCGCTGTGTTTTTTCCAACTGGTATTTCACTAATTCCTCAATGGCATCTTTCTCCTCCTTGTCCACAAATTCTTGTACTGCTTCACCCATCCCTCTTTCTGTTAGCAGTGAGAGCTGCACATTCTGTAAGATACAAATCACTGGATGCAGAAATAGTTTTTATTCCTTACAAAATAATTATAGATGAGCAAGGAAAATTACCAAATATGTTACCAGAGAAAAAATATAGTGAACAGCTGTAGTTAAGCCTACTAATATCAGGAACCAGAAAAAGCAAAGTCAAAACCAGAAATGGGGGAGGAGTACAGGACACGTGAAATGTAGAGGCCTGATGGCTAGGATATGGAGTCCAAAAATGGCAGCTATGATTAATAGAGATGAAATTAACCAGTGTCATAGGCAAAATAAGAGCCCCCTAAAGATGTCCACGTCTTAAACTCTGGGACCTGTGAATACATGGCAAAGAGGAACAAAGGTTGCTAATCAGCTGTCTGTAAAATAGGGAGAGTATCAGAGACTATCCAGGTGGGCCCAGTGTAATCATAAGGGTCCTGAAAAGCACAAGAGGGAGGCAGATGGGAGCTGGAAGGAAAAATAACTCTGGGGAAATGGTTAGAGAGATACAACATTGCAGGATTTGAAGATAAAAGGAGAGCAAGAGCCAAGGAACATAGTAGGCACCTCTAGAAGCTGGAAAAGGTAAGAAAATGGATTCTCCCTTAGAGCCTCCAAAAAGGAAGACAGCCATGCCAAAACCTTGATTCCAGTCCTGTGTACGATTTCTGACCTACACGACTGTAAGATAATAAATTTGTGTTGTTTTAAACCACTAAGTTTGTGGAAATTTGTTTCAGCACCCATAGGAAACTAATACAACCGGAGGATCTTAGAGTGGCATATACTTATGACGTAAGTTTCAGTGGCTTCACCATCATTTGGCTGTCTTTGTTTGTAGAATAATTCTGAAATTACATCCAAATGTGAGAAAACTAAATCTGGATTGAGATCTTTGTAACAGAGATACAAATAAAGTAAGAAAATAACAACAACAATAACAGTTATGTTAATAATGGTATTCACAATTAACATTAATTAAACACTAATTTTCTTTGATGTGCAGCAACTACAAATGAATGTAAATGTCACCCTAGTTACTTCTAAGTTTCACTTAAGAATGTCCCTGATTTAAGTTAAAATTATTCAGTTTAATAATTGCAACAGAGATACAAAGAAAGAGAATAACAACATCAACAATAACAGCTATATTAATAACAGTACTAATAACTAACATTAATTAAACACTAATTTTCCCTGCTGTGCAGCAACTGCAAATGAATGTAATTAATTGTCACCCTACTTACTTCATAGAAACATTTTGAGGATTCATTTTGTTTAAACTATCAACTAAACATATCCTAAATTAAAATCTGTTACTATAAGGTAGCCATTATTCAAAATGTGAACTGTAAGAAATTACCTTCTCTGCGGTTTGAAAGTACTGTTTTACAAGATCTTCTACCCTTAAAGTTGTTCCTTCTGAAGGCTTTGTGATAAGTTTCCCAAAGTTGATCTCTTCTCCTAGAAAAAAAGAAGTATATCAAAAAATAGCTTCTATCATAATGTTAAAATGTGCATACTCATTGCAAGTTGTCAGTGGAGAAGGTAAGGCCAAACTTTAGCAACTGCCAGCTTGCTCAACATGGTAAATTTTGAGGCAAAACAAGCCATTTTTGTTAATAGCCACGGTCTTTTCCCCACAGTCAGTATTTCTCGTTCATACCTCCAGGATAGGTGTCTTGTAGCTGTTCTCACTGGGTGAAGCACAGACTTCTGGAGGTCCTCAAGACCCATTCAGGGAGTAATAACGTCAAAAATACTTTCATAATAATCCTAAGATGTTATTTGCCATTTTGCCATCTGCCATCATTGCTACACTGACGATGCAAAAGCAATCATGGGTACTGCTGGTGCCTTGTGACGTCAAGGTAGTTCGGTATTGATGGAACATATCTCAAAATAATAAGAGCTATTTATGACAAACCCACAACCAATATCATACTGAATGGACAAAAACTGGAAGCATTCCCTTTGAAAACTGGCACAAGACAGGGATGCCCTCTCTCATCACTCCTATTCAACACAGTGTTGGAAGTTCCGGCCAGGGCAATCAGGCAGGAGAAATAAAGGGTATTCAATTAGGAAAAGAGGAAGTCAAATTGTCCCTGTTTGCAGATGACATGATTGTATATTTAGAAAACCCCATCGTCTCAGCCCAAAATCTCCTTAAGCTGATAAGCAACTTCAGCAAAGTCTCAGGATACAAAATCAATGTGCAGACCAGGCGCGGTGGCTCACGCCTGTAATCCCAGCACTTTGAGAGGCCGAGGTGGGCGGATCACAAGGTCAGGAGATCGAGACCAACCTGGATAATACGGTGAAACCCCGTCTCTACTAAAAATACAAAAATTAGCAGGGGCGTGGTGACAGGTGCCTGTAGTCCCAGCGACTCGGGAGGCTGAGGCAGGAGAATGGCGTGAACCTGGGAGGCGGAGCTTACAGTGAGCTGAGATCACGCCACTGCACTCCAGCCTGGGTAACAGATCATGACTCTGTCTCAAAAAAATGAAAATAAAAACAAAATCAATGTGCAAAAATCACAGCATTCCTACACCAATAACAGACAAACAGAGAGCCAAATCATGAGTGAACTCCCATTCACAATTGCTTCAAAGAGAATAAAATACCTAGGAATCCAATTTACAAGGATATGAAGGTCCTCTTCAAGGAGAACTACAAACCACTGCTCAACGAAATAAAAGAGGACACAAACAAATGGCAGAACGTTCCATGCTCATGGATAGGAAGAATCAATATCGTGAAAATGGCCATACTGCCCAAGGTAATTTATAGATTCAATGCCATCCCCATCAAGCTACCAATGACTTTCTTCACAGAATTGGAAAAAACTACTTTAAAGTTCATATGGAACCAAAACAGAGCCCACATTGCCAAGACAATCCTAAGCAAAAAGATCAAAGCTCGAGGCATCACCCTACCTGACTTCAAACTGCACAACAAGGCTACAGTAACCAAAACAGCATGGTGCTGGTTCCAAAATAAGAGATATAGACCAACGGAACAGAACAGAGGCCTCAGAAATAACAATGCACATCTACAACCATCTGATCTTTGACAAACCTGACAAAAACAAGCAATGGGGAAAGGATTCCCTATTTAGTAAATGGTGCTGGGAAAACTGGCTAGCCATATGTAGAAAGCTGAAACTGGATCCCTTCCTTACACCTCACACAAAAATTAATTCAAGATGGATTAAAGACTTAAATGTTACACCTAAAACCACAAAAACCCTAGAAGAAAACCTAGGCAATACCATTCAGGACAGAGGCATGAGCAAGGACTTCATGACTAAAACACCAAAAGCAATGACAACAAAAGCCAAAATTGACAAATGGGATCTAAGTAAACTAAAGAGCTTCTGCAAAGCAAAAGAAACTACCATCAGAGTGGACAGGCAACCTACAGAATGGGAGAACATTTTTGCAATCTACCCTTCTGACAAAGGGCTAATATCCAGAATCTATAAAGAACTTAAACAAATTTATAAGAAAAAATCAAACAACCCCTTCAAAAAGTGGGTGAAGGATATGAACAGACACTTCTCAAAAGAAGACATTTATGCAGCCAACAGACACATGAAAAAATGCTCATCATCACTGCCCGTCAGAGAAATACAATTCAAAACCACAATGAAATACCATCTCATACCAGTTAGAATGGCGATCATTAAAAAGTCAGGAAACAACAGGTGCTGGAGAGGATGTGGAGAAATAGGAGCACTTTTACACTGTTGGTGGGACTGTACACTAGTTCAACCATTGTGGAAGACAGTGTGGTGATTCCTCAAGGACCTAGAACTAGAAATACCATTTGACCCAGCCATCCCATTACTGGGTATATACCCAAAGGATTATAAATCATGCTGCTATAAAGACACATGCACACATGTGTTTATTGTGGCACTATTCACAATAGCAAAGACTTGGAACCAACCCAAATTTCCATCAATGATAGACTGGATTAAGAAAATGTGGCACATATACACTATGGAATACTATGCAGCCATAAAAAATGATGAGTTCATGTCCTTTGTAGGGACATGGATGAAGGTGGAAACCATCATTCTGAGCAAACTACCGCAAGGACAGAAAACCGAACCCCGCATATTCTCACTCATAGGTGGGAATTGAACAATGAGAACACTTGGACACAGGGCAGGGAACATCACACACCGGGGCCTGTCATGGGGTTGGGGGAGGGGGGAGGGATAGCATTAAGAGCAATACCTAATGTAAATGACGAGTTAATGGGTGCAGCACACCAACATGGCACATGTATACATATGCAACAAACCTGCACGTTGTGCACATGTACCCTAGAACTTAAGGTATAATAATAATAAAAAAGATTGCTATCTAATTTTTAGAAGACAAGAGAATTATTCCCACTGTCAATTTGTTTAAGACATTACAATCATATTAAAACATCTTCCATTATTATGTTACAGTTTTTAATAAAGATTCCTTCACAAATCCTATAAGAACATTTTTTTACCTCATAAAAATAACTAGCTTACCTGTTTTTTCCTTTTGTTCTCTATGCCTGAAAAAATGGATAATGTCTTTTGGATTAGCTACCCGATCCACAAATTTCTGGCTAAAGCGAAGAACACTGAAAGGTTCAAAACCTCCACTATAGTCCACCTGAAAACACAGAATAATCTATGAACGCTAGGAAACAACAATTTGCCAATTTTTAAAACACACACTAATCCTTCAGTATTCACAGTGTTTATGCTTGATACTTTGAAATTTATGAATTAATTTTCTACAGTAGATCATGATGGAGCTATATCATTTATCCTACTGAGAAACTAATGTTTGAAAAGTTTATAAGCATAAGCAAAATACTTTGTTCGATGGAATCAAGGTATTGCAATAATTTCCACAATGCAGAATGATTACATCTCCCCCTGATAACACTAATAGTCTAGGTACCTACCAAGCAAACCATCTGAAAACAATTTTCTGAACTTTCAAAACAAACAAACAAACAAACACACACCAAAATAAAATACTAGCCTTAAATGCATTAGTAAATTGGTCTATCATCTTAGAGATGTGCCTCAAGAGAAAGATGAATGCTAGGAACATCCAGGTAATAAAGAATCAAATCTGTGAGCCTTGAGAAATGATTACCTCCAAAACATGGTATCTCACTGAAACTGAGAACTTCTCTCAAGGTAGACTCTTTCTACAGAAGTCTGTAGTGGTAAACAGACCTTTACAAAGACAAATACCACCTTTCTTTCTCAGAGATATGTTCTTCTCAACTAGCTGTTCCCAAAGTACGCTATGGGGACCAGCACTGCACCACCTCACAGCTTATCCAGAATGCTCCCTAACTAAAGTGCTCCCACTTTCACTCATCATCACTATCTGCTAAGGTTTTTTGTTCATTTATTTGATATTTGTGTATCATGTCTCTCTTTGCACCTCCACCTCCTGTAAGCTCGACGAATTCAAAACCTCATCTGTTTTATCATCCCTATATCCTGCAGCATCCATAATAGCAGGTACTCAGTAAGATTTAGTCAATGAATTAATGAATGTCTTTTAGTCAGTACAATGTAGTTTTGTAATATTACTTATATGACAATATGTGCTGTTTTATGAATGAATTCGTAATTTACTGTGCTTAGGAAAAGAAATGCCAATTTTCTATTAAAGTCTGGTTAGTTTTAATGCTGTGAGGCAGACACAGATGAGAAAATTGGGATCTTTTGCCATAATGAAGAGAACTATGTGATTCCCTTAAAGTAATTATTTTTGTATTACCCAGACCATCTCTCTCTCTCTCTTTTTTTTTTTTTTTTTTTTGAGATGGCGTCTCACTGTCACCCAGGCTGGAATGCAGAGGCACAATCTCAGCTCACTGCAACCTCTGCCTCCCGGGTTCAAGCGATTCTCACGCTTCAGCCTCCCAAGTAGTTGGGATTACAGGCATGCACCACCATACCTGGCTAATTTTTTTATTTTTAGTAGAGACAGGGTTTTGCCATGTTGCCCAGGCTGGTCTCGAACTCCTGACGTCAGATGATTCAGCCACTTCGGCCTCCCAAAGTGCTGGGATTACAGGCGTGAGCCACCATGCCCAGCCTTACCCAGATCATCTCTACAGCTACCATGTTATAAAAGACAAAATACTAAATGCTAAAGCTATTAGGTCTCTCCTTCAAACTTCTCATTTATAAATGTTTGGTCATAACAAATTTTATTGGATGTCCTCAATGTTCTAAGTATGCTGTTCAGGGCCAGGGATACAACCATAAATAAATACAATCTTGGCTGTCAAGAAATTCACAAACTGACTGGGAAGAAAAACATGTAAACAGATCACTGGAAGCAGACTGTGAGTGGTGCTATAAGAGGTATGTACAAAGTTGGATGAGGACACAAAGGAAGAAGCATGTTCTCTGTGGGCAGGTCAAGAAAGGCTTCTTTGAAGACAGAGGCTTTAGGTGGGTGCTGAAGAAGGTATAGAGAAAGGAGGAGAGAAGTATGTCCCACGCAACAGGATCAACATGGACAAAGGTTCCAGTGAAATAAACTCCACTGCACCCAGGGGACGGCAGCTTTTTTGGTTTAGACCACATCATGTAGACCCCTGAATGCTAACCTAAAAAAGTTTAGACTTTTTCCTGTTAGTGCTGGGGAATAATTAAGTTATTTTTAGCAGAAAAGACATGCAAAACTGTGTTTTACAAAGATCATTTTGGCATTAGTGTGGAGAGAGAAGGAAACTGGAGGCAGAGTCCTGGTAGGAGGCTGCAGCAATAGGCCAGGAAGTATTAATAAGGGCTTCACTATGCCAGCGACAGTGGGATAAAGAAACGGGAACAGATTACCTACTGTGCAACAGACACTATTTAATCCATTTAGATCTCATAAATCTACGAAGCATTTGGTTGGTGCACAAGTAACTGCAGTTTTTGCCATTACTTTCTACGACAAAACCCGCAAATACTTTTGCACCAACCTAATACAAACCAAGGGATAAGGGATGCGGTTGCTCAAGGTCATACAACTAGTGGTTGGGCCAGAATGAAGCTCAGGAAGTCTGGCTCTACACTGTACTCTTTACCTCCACAGTCTACATCCCAGTACTTCTCAAATTTTCATGAACATATACATTTCTTGGAGATTTTTGTTAAAATACAGTGGGTTCTGATGCAGGGTCTGAGGCTCTGCATTTTTAACAATTTCCCAGGCAACAACAACACTGCTGGTTTAAAGACTACACTCCTCAGTACCAGGCCTCAGGGGACTCCTGGAGATACAGAACAAGAAGGAGGTCTACGTAAAGATTTTGAAGTCATCACTCTATTGGTGGTCATTAAAGCTGTATGCCTACACTGAAAAGAGGGCTAACTATGAGACGGGACGGATACAAATAACTCAGAGAATGCCCAAGAGTAATTCAGCAAGATGAGACACGATCTATTGGATTGAACAATTAAAGGTCATCTTTTCCACTGGTTATGGTGAAGTCAGAGCCTTGGTTATAGTGAACTGAAGAAGAGAAAGTTAAGAGAGATATAGGTTATATACTTTTAGGGGCTTTTAAAGAGAGTAAGCAACATGGGGTAGGAGTTTGGAAAAGGGAAAAGCATAGTGGTAAAGAAGAAGTCTGTTGTTGTTTCTTTGTTTATAACACGATAGAAAGGATAAGCAGATTTATAGGCACAGGAAACAATCCTAATAATAACCAAAACAAATAAACCGTACATAGATTAGAAGGATGTGTTACGGGGAAAAAAATAAGAAGAAAAGAGGAAGCAGAAGAAGGTAAGTGAAATCAGGGCACTGGAGAGAAGGTAGGGGCTGCAATCTTGATGATAGGGCTGCAGTGAGGTGACACGGGAGCAGACTAAAGGGAGATAAGAGCACATCCCACATGCCCAAGAAACTGCGAGAAGGCCAAGATGCCTGGAATGAAGTGAGTAGAGGAGGTAGTTAAAGATGAAGCCAGAGAGCTCAGCCAATCTATTAAATATAACAACAAATTATTTAGAAAATGAGAAAAATAAGTTACCAAACCTATCACTTAAACTGTGATTAACTCAAATCCTTATATCTTTGTTTTTGCCTCCGATGGTGATTGCTCTTCTTATTACTATGAGCACTCTCCTCACTACTTTTCAAAGAAACCATGTAAACTGTACATTACTATGCTTTGAAAATTAATAATATTCAATCTATATAAATAGGACTTACTCGCAGTCGTACAAGAGGCTTCTCTGGCTGGTGAGAATTACCCAGACGTTCCCGTTCAGCATTTTCAAGCATTTCTTCAATCTCAAAATTTTTAAAAAGATTAAAAAACAACGTAGTAAACTGAGTTTAACTTGGCTGAATAGCAGCTTATTACCACAGGAATTTTCCTGAACTACATAATCATCTTTATTTCCTAGGTCATTTATGACACCTTTTCAAATATACCTTCTTGTAATGCTCCTTTAATACTATTCCTTAATGTTTTCCTTTCATGAAAGTTCTTCATAATTTTTCAATCTCTAAAATAATTCTTTTAGAATAAAACTTAAAATATTACTACTCATGTTTCAATAAGGCTTTCCTCAGCTTACCAACTTAAAACCAAGTAAGTCTAGTTTTTGCAGTCATATGATCCATGGGAGACTCACCAGAAGATTTAGGGATCAATAAGCAAGGACTTTAGATTATTTATCTTGGAAGAGTTCAAGGTAAAAGAAAATAAGACTGATGTTTTCAAATATGTGGAGTTGTCTCATACTCTGAGAGGATAAGATTATAACATCTTAGACTTGAAAGAGTTCTGAAGACAAAAGCACTTGTTCTATATTGTTCTTAAGGGTAAAACCAAGTTACAAGGAGACAGCACTAGATTATTTTCATAAATGGCTGTGTGCACAGTGATTAGATATCTCCAGATGGCCAACTTCATAGCTGAACAATTCTAGTTCTTAGAAAGTTCTTGTATTGGAACAAAAACTGCCTTCCTATAACTTGGTCCTGATCTCAAGAACAATACAGAACAAGTGTTTTTGTCCTCAGATTTCTTTCACATCTAAGACTTTATAATCTTGTCCTTTAAACTGTCTGTAACAATGAAGTCCAAAAGAGTTTTCTGCAATAATTTTTTCTATGTGCATATTCAATATGGTTGCCAAAACCATATGTGGATATAGAGTACTTGAAATGTGGCTAGTACAAGTGAGAAACTGAATTTTAAATTTAAATGTAAATAATTAAATGTAAACGCCACATGTGCTAGTGAATACATATCAGACAGCACAGAGAAAATCTATAAGAATATGATCTCCTAGGTCAATTATTTCAATCCAACAAGCATTTATAGAGCATCATTTTGCCAGGTACTAGGTCAAGTGCTGAGACAGAAAAGTAAGATATGGGTCCTGTCCTCAAAGAGTTCAGAAGACACTCACATGCTTATAAAAAATAATATAACTTAACTAAGTACAATAACAGAAATGTACATAAAATACAGAGATAACAGAAAGTTATGTGCACACCTGGTGTTTAAAATGAACCTCTATTACTTTGTGTCACCAGCGTCTACTTTCCTCTCTGGATTCATGTCACCAAAGCCCACAGGATTTAGGTGAAGTTCATACAGTAGACCTCAACCAGAGGTGACTTTGCTTCTCTAAGGACATTTGGCAAGGTCTGTAAACATTTTTGATCATCACGACCAGTTAGAAGGGGTACTACTGGCATCTAGTGGGTACAAACCAGGGAGAATACTGCTAAACATCCCAGAGTGCACAGAACTGCCTCCCACAACAAAGAATTATTAGTACAAAATGTCAACTAAGCCAAAGTTGAAAAACCCAGGTCTGACTCCAGGGAAGGGCACATGACTCAGGCCTGGATCAATCAATGCAAAAGCAATTAATGCATTTTCTATCTCTTTGGCTTGAGAGATTGGATTTAGGGATGCCAGAATCTTAATCTATGTTTGAGTTTCTAGAGTCAATCATCTTGAAACAAGCGTACACTTTTGGTTACGTGAGCTACACACTGCTCAAAAAGCTGTGACACTGAATGAGTCACCTTATCTAAGGTTCAGTTCCTCTAAACTATAGATGGTAGAAACTACTCACATATAGTATTGTTGGCTAGATTAAATGCTGTCAACAGTGCACATCACATACAGTAAATCAGTAAGTATCACTGGTCATAATTATTATCATTGTTACTATGTTACCTGATTTTTCATGAAAAGAAAACATAGTAGGACAGCTGACACAGAGTTAAGAACTGAGCGTCAGCAAGTGATGCTAATTAAGCTGTCAAACCACATATTATTAAATGCATTAATCCACCCAACCTTAGTAGTGGCTGAAATTTTCTAGAGATTTAGGGGTGGCAATGTGCATAGAGAGGGAGGTTTGGGACTTACATTGCAGCAATAGGGTGGATAGCAAACACATTTTTCACATTTCATTTGGGGTAGCTTTCAGGGTGAAAGGGACGCCTAATACAGATTATTAGAAGCTAAGGCTTTTCTCACACACGATAGTCTCCCATTCCTCAATCAAAGTTACTGCCTGCTTTCATAAATAAAATGAACAAATCATCAAATCAGGATTAAAAAGGAGAAAAGATTATGTATTATGTTTTTGAAAAGGAAGAAAGAAACTAGGAGAGAGATTTAATTTTTTTTAACATCCAGTATTCCTCTCTCTCAATGACTTAAAAAAAAAAATCTTGGACACAATTAAACACATTCACTGAAGAACAGTGTCCTTACAGGCTTCATGAGAATGTAATCAACATAAAGGCTTCCCTCTACTCTATTAAATTACTTAATTGAAGGTGAATAATTCTTCAACTAAAGTAGATCTCATTGACTTTATCAAAAAGAATTACCTTCTCCAAACAGAAGCTTTGTATGGCTTGGGTTACTTTAGGATTATCTGGGTTAAAAATGTCTGGATGATTAGCTAGAACAATATCCTCCATGAAAAACTGCCGCACTGTGTGAAGAGGAATTTTATGCATATTCATCTTCCTCCCTTTAATACGCAGCAAACCAACATGTCTGAAGTGGAGAGAAATGAACACCGAGTCACAGTGTAAATTTCCTCAGGGTGATGTGCAAACGAAAGCTTTCATATTTCTTAGTTTCTAAAAATGCTTCTTTATAAAATCATACTCTTAAAAATAAATGTTTCTGCTAATTTAACCTTAATGTTATCATCACAGGAAAAGATGGTAGACATTTTCCTTCCCCAGAGTAAAATCAACTCATCCATTATTATCCCTGTCTGATCAGTCTTGTAAGATAGACATAATAAGCATAAAAAAATGTTAACAGGACTATGATGGTAGCATATGTAGACTATAGTATTACATCTATATACCTATGTATATGTACATACATGTACACATATAGACAAAATGATTTTGCAGTGGACTCATGAAGAAAAAAAACCAACCAACATAGATTCTACTACCATATTCTTTAACCCTATTATCATTGTAACAATCAGAACTCAAGTGATTCAAAAGATAAAACCCATAATAAAAATTGAGTTTAATCACTGTTAACTACTTCTTACAATCATATCATTCCCCCAAAAATGTTTTAAAAATGAGATCTATTATACTGCACTTATAATCAGAAAATTTTCAATTAAATGGTTTTAGGATAATTTTTTATAATGAACTTTGTGAAATTAGTAATCATCAACCTAAAACATCTACCTTGAAATATAATAAAAATGTGCATCTTGAATTTGCCTAATGAGCAGCAAAATAACACCAATTGGATGCTCTCTTTTTGAAAATGGCTTAAAATCTGGAAAAACAATAAGACTACACAGAATGATCAATTTTCAAAAATAAAGCTATCATATAAATGACAATACTGCCAGTTAGCGGTAACCTTAACATAGGCCTTAAACCTATGAGATGATTAGTTATTATAGCAAAGATTTCTTAAAAATTGGCTCAAAATATATAACACTCACTTCTTTACAGCTTCTCCTGGGGAAAGAGAAGTAACCACTGAGCTTCCAGGTTGTGAGATATAAAACAGCTGTTGTTCATTTTTGGTTGGAGCTATTTTACACTCATGTTCATGGCCCCAGATAACAAGATCAATGAAGTCATCCAAAAATTGTTCTGGAATGAAGTTAGTACTTCCATGTTTACTCCTGTATCAAGATTTTGAAAAATATAAATTCGGTGATTAGAAAAATTTCATATTATTGAAGTCTATACAGATCTTTCTTTCTCCATTCACTAAAGATTTTATTGCATCCTTCTATGTACCAGAAAGTGTGCACAGGATTGGGAATGTAAAGATCATCAATGCTAACTCCTGACCTTGAGAGCTTTACAAACTTATTGGACACAGACAAGTGGAAACCCGAAAAGAGAAAGCAGTCAATTCTATATTTGGAGGAAGATCATGAAAGGTTTTACATAGGAAGGATTTCCCCTTTGGTCAATCAGAAAAGCATGAATTCTATCAATAGTAGAAATCTATAAATCAGTCTAACTATATACTAGAGAAAACACACAGAAAATGCAAGTAAGTATAAATATGTCCAGTAATTTCTTAACATTATCTTTTTACTAATAAATATAATGGGAGTAAAAACATCAATCTCACATAAGTGCTAAGAGTTTTCAATATCAAATATTAAATAAACAAGTGATATGCAAACTATGGTATTATACCTATATCAGTTATTATTTAAAGATACATGAAATGCAAGGTGATAGAAGACAAGAAGGAATAGTTTTCCCTAATATTAACTTACATCATTGGAGATTCAAGTAAAAGTGTTCACATAGTTTAACCAAGCATTCATTTAATCCAAACCAATATTCTTCCATTCACCCAACAAATACTGTTACCCAAACACTGTCTACTTTATGTCAGATGTCCCAGGCTTCTTCTAGATATGGAAGACACAGCAGTGAACAAAGTCCTTGTTCTAGTGTGGGAAACAAGCAATGCAGGTTGAGTCCCTAATCTGAAAATCCAAAATCCAAAATATTTTAAGTGCCAACATGGCACCACAAGTGGTAAATTCCACACATAAATACTTAACACAAACTTTGTTTCATGCACAAAATTATTTTAAAACATGTATAAAATTAACTTAAGGCCATGTGTATAAGGTATATATAAAATGTAAACAAATTTCATGTTTAGACTTGGGTTCCATCCCCAACATATGTGCAAATATTCCAAAATCCAAAAAATCCAAAATCTTAAACACTTCTGGTCCCAAGCATTTCAGATAAGGGATACTCAATCTCTAATACAAGATGTATATGCATGTGTGTAAGTATGCACATGTATAACTTGTCAGTTAGTGATAGGTGCTGTAAAGAAAAATAAAGGGAAAAGTGACATAGAAGTGCCATACTCCTCTCTACATACACAGGGTAGTCAGGAAGACCTCTCTGACTAGCATCAAATGAGCAGAGAACTGAGATGAAGCATCAGTACGCGGAGAGAGAAAGTCCTAAGCAGTAGAAGAGCAGATGGTGCTAAAGTGGGAATGTGTTCAGTGAATTCAAGGAACAGCAAGGAGAACAGAAGGGCTAAGCAGAATAAATGCAGGGAAGACAGAATATACAGGCTTGTGTATCCAGGAATGTTTTTATGTAAAAAACATACATCTAAGGTATGAGATTATCACAACTACTAAAGAAAAGCAGAATAATTCCCAAATACAACATGATGCCATTGTGCCTTCATTGAGTGCTGGTTCTTTCCCGGAAGAAGAAGGGAGGATGATGCTGGTAGGCTGACTGTAATTTGTGACCTAGAAGTGATCACAATATCCTTGTTGAAAGATTTTGCATGACCAAGTCATCTCCAAATTCAGATTCTTTCTTCTTTGAAACAAGAGAAAAAAACAGTTGATGTAGAGAAACAAATGGGAAATAAGGCAAAATGCAGAAGGCTCAAGATTCTCACCCAATCTGTGAAAACCTTCTTTGTTTTAAATATGAAAGCAGAAGTATCTTGAGAATGCACAGGGTGACAAATGAATCTAACAGCATTACCAAAGAACCACATAACCACAGTGAAGGGGGTGGGGAGAAAATGAGCTAAGTAAGTTTGAAAAATTAGGTTTCAACTAGATACAGAAAGGCTAAAGACTAAAATAACTTACACAAACATTGTAACCTAGTTGGGAAAGTTGTTTTGCACAGGGGTATGAGTTAGCAATTTTGAAATTACTTTATAATTTCAAATTATACCAGGATTGGAAATATAATTAAACCAAGATTGAAAAAATAAGTAAACATATATATTTATAATATGATCCAGGCTTCTGTTAGACAAAGAAGTCACAAGTAAGGAAAGGGAGAAGACAAAAATGGACCTTGTAGGGCTGGATTAGAATCAGTCTGAACTTATCATTGGTTTTTTAAGCACATATATAGACATGTATGTATGCATGGGTTACTATATACACATATATCTATTCCCATAACTCTGTTCATTCAGAGTGCTGAGCAAGCCCTGGTAGCAGTAAGCACACCTAGTACGCATTTGTGGATTTCTGAATACCACTCTCCAATAAAAAGAATCAGAGCACCTTGGAGAAATGGTTGATTCCAGGGCTAGGTAGGAAAATATCAGGTTGGTGCAAAAGTAATTGTGATTTTTGCCATTACAAGAGCCAAGAGCCTAGACCATCTTGAGGTGCCAAAAAGCTAACTAAGGTCATGACCTCAAAACAGATGGGAAGACATTGAAAGGACACAGAGGCCAACATAAAAGAGAATGCAATGGTCAAAGCTGCAACAATCAGAGGAACAGTAGCAACCAAAAAACTGATAGTACTGGATCTTCAAGTCCATAATGACATAAATAAGTAAGTAAATAGAGAAGAAGGGACAAATTTTCCTTACAGAAGAATTCCATTAATAAATATAGAAAGAATGAAGGAAATCAAAACTTACAATTAAAATACCACAGTATTAATTACTGGAAATAAGATCACCCATGGATGCTAAAATTAGCGAGTAAAAGTTTAAGGTGAAACAGGATATTTGCATAGTCTCAAAGTATTTTCCCAAA
Organism: Homo sapiens; assembly: GCF_000001405.40. Taxonomy (NCBI): domain Eukaryota; kingdom Metazoa; phylum Chordata; class Mammalia; order Primates; family Hominidae; genus Homo; species Homo sapiens. The sequence continues at coordinate 94,474,657 of NC_000011.10, forward strand.
AATATTTATTAATTGAAAAGTAGAAAATGGGAACTTTACAGCAGAGAAAGCTGTTACACATTCCCTTAATCAAATGATGAGGGGGGCAATGAGAAAAATCAACATCATATGGTGACTACCCATTCCCCTTACCAATGCTGCTATTCTACCTTTCATTTGGCTTAAATTCTTAGAATTACTTATGAGTTTTCCTTTCAACTCATCATCCCTACTTTGGCATAGTACAAAAAAATGGTAGACCTGGGAAGCTCTATGGAAGAGAAGGAACAAATCCCAGTGGTGCAAAGTTATATGAAGACCACACACATATCTAAACTCTGGCCTGCCCCTCCTTTGAAACTCACAGTTTATTCAAGAACTCACACATAAGGTAACACAAGTCAGCCTCTTAAACCCTTTCTTTTACCGAGTATTTAACCTAAGTCTGCATTCACTGAATGCACAGAGTAGTCTGCATTCAATAAATGTGTTCAATAAATATAGCTGGCCCTCTGTATTGGCAGATTCGTGGATTCAACCAACTAAAGATCGAAATATTCAGGAAAAAAACAATAAAAAATAACAACGAAAAATATAAATTTTTAAAGCAATACAGTATAACAACTATTTAAACAGTATTTACATTGTATCAGGTATTACAAGTAATCTAGAGATGATTTAAAGTACATAGGAGGATATATGTAGGTTATATGCAAATGCTATACCATTTTATTCAAGGGATTTCAGCATCCCAGGATTTTAGGTCCTGGACCGAACACCCCCCGTGGATACCAAGGGACAACTGTAATAAATTATATAATCAGGCCCCAAATCCTTTGAGTTCTTCCCTGACAACTTCTCCGGTGTGTCCCTCCCATTTCTGTTTCATTGCCATCACTGTCACCACCTCACATTTTTACTGCAGTGATCAGATAATAAATCTTGCTTCTTCAAGTCTGTCTTCTTTTCAATCAATCCTATACCCTGCCAACAGATTAAATTTCTTAAAACTACTAACAAAAGAAAGGTAATCTAGCTATATTTGTATATCCTGGAAGAACACTTGCATATATGTAGCAGGAAACATGTCTAAGAATGTTCATAACAGCAAGGTTTATAAAAGCAAAAAACTCCTGTTCACTGACAGGAGGCAAAGCATAACTGTACACATCAGTAAAAATAAATTACACATCCAAGCATCAAAATGGATCTCAGTAATGTAATGCTGAACATAAGTTGGCTGTAAATATAGCATAATATGAGTATACATGTGATTAAACAGCAAAGAAAAGCAATGAAATAATTAATTCAAAATTAATAATGCTTCCCTTTGGGATAGGGGGAAGCAGGTGGGATCAGGGAAAAGGAATGGGATAAAGGAATGGATAATCCAACAAAAAGATTCTACCTTTTTGTTGAATTGAGGAGTATTCATGTGTATGCCTTATCCTTATGTTACAAATATTCTTGTAGGTATTAATATATACTAAAAACAATTTCAAAATGAAATCACACAAAGCAAATCTATGTTTTGTCTGATCTTGCATTGACAACCTTGAAAGATTAAGGGCATTTCACTAAAATAGGTAAGCTCAGAAACAGATTTGGGAAGCCTCAGCACTTGGCTCAAACTTTTTCAGAGAAAAGTTTTACCTGTTCTGATGAATCACAAATAAGTTAAACCAAGAGTTCTCATCTTCCTTTGGTCTCAACATTGTTACTTTTTTATTGACAAACATTCGATAGAGCCTTTCATCTGGAATGGATCCTGAAATGGACATTACATTATTTTTAAATTGTTTTCTTACTTCGGCTTAAAAAATGAATCTATTTTGCTTCTAAATTATGTCCTTCTCAAAGTATTTCACTTTACTGTTGGGAGATATATTTGAATTCTGGAATAATTTATAAGTGGGTATGTTGCAGGTTCTTTTTTTATCTTTTTTTTTTAACTGAGACAGGGTCTTGCTATGTTGTCCAGGCTGGTCTCAAACTCCTGGGCTCAAGCAATCCTCTCGCCTCAGCCTCCCAAAGTGCTGGGATTACAAGCATAAGCCACCATGCCTAGCTGTTTCAGGGTTTTTTTTCTTTTCTTTTCTTTTCTAAACACAGTCTTGCTCCATTGCCCAGGCTGGAGTGCAGTGGTGTGATCTCAGCTCACTGCAACCTTCACCTCCTGGGTTCAAGGGATTCTTGTGCCTCAGCCTCCTGAGTTGCTGGGATTACAGCATGCACCACCACGTCTGGCTAATTTTTGCACTTTTAGTAGAGATGGGGTTTTGCCACGTTGGACAGGCTGGTCTTGAACTCCGGACCTCAAGTGATCTACCTGCCTTGGCCTCCCAAAGTGCTGAAATTACAGGCGTGTGCCAGCACGCCTGGCCTGTTCCAGGTTCTTGATAACAGTAGTTAGTTGCATTTGAAAAACATTTTCCATTTCAGACATATACATGTTCAAAACCAGCAAAATGTAGAATAAAAATGTGAGTTTTCTATGGTAAAATTCTTATTAAAACTTCTAGTAATACTATTTTTCACCATCCCTTTGTTATAAATTATATATACTTTTGATCTAATATATACATTATAACATGTGCAGAAATAAATATTAAAAGGGATGATAAAAGTGTATTTAAAAACAATATTCTTACATTGTTTTAATATATTGTGCTTTTTAAATAACTCAATGACTTTCAAACAATTCTCATACTCCACAGGTTCACCTTGATCTAGTGAAAGAAACTAACAAAAACAAGTCAACAAAATAGTTACAAATATTAAATATTATAAAAGGAGAAAAAGCCAGGATGCTAAGATGGCGAATTAACACTATGGAATTAAAAGGGTGGACAACACTGCTACTTTATATACGGATTAGAGAGGGTCTCAGAAGAAAAGCCAACAATGTAGAAGTCTAGAAGTTAGAAGTGGCCTAGCTCCCAAGGAGAATGCTACAGGAGTGGCCAATGGAATACATGGCTGAGGTGGAATGTAGAACATGTAACTGGAGACAAAAAAGTCAAGGCACACAAAGCCCAAGGCATTAGAAGATTAATCTACTTGAGTGTTGAAACACTAAAAACACTGGCAAAATTGAAGGTAGGTAAGTAGGTAAAAAGTCTGAGAGAAAAAGCAATGCGGTTTAGCCAGATGGCAGAAGCTTAAAGGGAACAGTGTGTTTGCAGGCAGAAAAGGAAGCAGTGGGTGGAGCAAGGAGAACAGTGATCCCCGCTTCTTTCCAAAAGCCCAGGGGTAAGAGAACTGCATGGGACACAGGAACCTCAGGGGACAGCTGGGCTTCACTGAAGGTTAGAAAGTGGAGGTAACATTCAGAGAAGAGACTGATAATAATGAGGAATCTGATAATTATAAAAAGAGTTCTAGAGTTTATAATGAAGAGCTGGGGGACAGGGAGGGGTGCAGGGTGGAGACAGAGTCCAGTTAAGGAAGGTATAATAGAACAGGATAAGATAAGAGTTTGGGAGAAAATGGATGACTGGAGAGATGTGCTTCTGGTGGTGACTGAGGCATAATGGAATCTGTCCTTAGTCTGAATGGAGGAGGAAAGGCAATTTTCTGGAGATATGATCCCTAATAACACTGCAGTGATTAAAACAACTGTTAATAGCTTTTTTAAGAAAAGTATATTTCACTTCCTGCTCTTTCACTTGCAGAATCAGATATAACATCCAGATTTCATTTTCCTTATCTCTAAAATATAAATAACCATGATGCTTTTCTACTTGCCAGAGGTATTATGAAAGCTGCACAAAATTATAAGCTAGCGGTATTGTACAGTGAAGCATTAGACCTTTCAAAGACTTCCAAGATATCAAAGTGCAGTTTTGCTAATTATTCTATAATTCTAACATTCAGGATTCTACACCTGAGTCTAAAAAAAACCCAAAATAATAAATAGTAACGAAAAGACATTTTTTCACCAAAAATTTTTACCAAAACCATCCATCATTTTTTATAGTCACCAATAAAGAATAAGGTTTGCCCCATTTTTTCCAAACAGATACAAACTTATCTCCAAATTTCTCAATTGTTTAAAGAATCACACATGGACATAAACAGTAAAATAAAACTGTCTTACCTAAACCATATAGCGCAATCTTTGTGCTTCCTTTTTGAAGCAAAACCGGACTAATGTCTATCTTCTCCACAGACATTGAACGTCCAAAGTGATTTACAAATCCAGCACAACTTAAAATGTCCAAGGCACAAAGTGCATCTGCCTATGCAAAATAATTTCAAAGAATGTTAGTGTGTATGTAAAAGTAGGTATCTGCATGAATATCGTATCACCTGTTAAAAGCATACTCCATATTCTACTTACAAAAACATAGATGAGGATAGTGTCTTCTCAAAACAAAATTACAATAGTAAAAGTATTTGCTACATTTTTGTACTACAAATCACCTACAGCAACTGGAATCACATGCCAAAGGCAAGGTTAATATCTCATCAAAACTTATGATGTCTTGGCCACAAAAAAATAAAAATTAGCCATGAGATAAATGCTTTGTAATATTAAGCAACCGTCTTAAAGCCTGGGGAAAAAAGACCATAGATAATCAGTGATTCATAATATTAATGACCAGATAAAATGAAAAAATACTTGTAGGATCTCTAGTCTTACTTCCATATCAAACAGGTAATAAGATAATCTAATTTAGATTTAAAGATGGTCTTGAACAATCATTTCCTAAAAGTGAGATTTTATAAGATAGTTATAAAAACACTGACAAACTGTAAACCACTATACAGATGTTAGGTGTTCACTCCTACTCCTGGCTTCTTATTGTTAACATCAGTATTAATGAAATAAAAGCATAGCTCATACACCAATTCTTATTTCAGATTTTTAAAAAATCTAAAAAGCAGTATAAAAGCTTGTATGAATGTGAAAAGTCAACTTGACTTTTGACTCAATTTGACTACACAATGAGAAAAAGGGAAGGCATGCTTTCCACAGACAAACTAAACTGATCATTTCCAAAATTCCAACAAACTCTAAGAAAACAATAATTACCCCTGTGGGATCGTCATGATTGCCATGAATACTAAACACTGGAATTGAAATGTTGAGGTTGCCATCTTGATAGTTCACCCATGGAAACCTTAAAAAAAAAAAGTTACTTAAAATTTCCATACGGGACAAAAGCTGTTTTCCCTAAGATTCTCCTCCAAAATATTAATGCAATCATAGGCAAACTGCATAATCTACATTGGCATATGACCACTAGTTTAGAGCTTTAAAAAATAAAATCATAGGCGACAATTCATTTCAATTAGTTTGAAAATATCTCAAAGCACTACATTTTAAAGAAACCCCAACTATAATAAACAGTGCTTGTGGTATGTATGAGTAGTATATCTAATTAATGAAAAGTTAATAAGCCTTCAAAATTTTAAAAACTTAGCATATGGTTTTTATTCGTAGTGGGGGGAGGGAAGAAAATCCATATACTTTAGAATCCCAAAGAGGTAGATTAAAACTCCCAGCTCTATCACTTATTGCCTGTTCAAATTAAAGTCTCCTGTCAGCCCCTGCCCCCAGCCATCCAGCTCCTCTTCTCAGAGGCAAATAATGTTAGCAATTTCTAGTGCATCTTTCAAAAGGATCCTATACCTATCCACACAAATAAACAGATTTTTCTTTCTCCTTACATAAATGATAGAAAAATATACATTTCTGCATCCTGCTTTTATCACTCAACATATTTTAGAAATCATTCCACATCAGTACATGAAGACCTTTCTTCTGCTCTGTCAGCCACACAGTACTCCATTGCATGGATCACCACAATGTGTTTGAGCAGTTCCCTACCAATGGACATTTAGATTCTTGGCAGTCTTGTTTTACAAACAATGCTACAGTCAGTAATCTTGTACAAAGTAATCTTCTACAGCGAGTAATCTTGTTGCCCTGGTGAGTCGACCTGTAAAGGAATACCTGGAAGGGAATTGTTAGGTCAAAGAGTACATGTATTTGTAATTTTGATAGGTGCTGCCAATTTCCCACCATAGAGATTTACACATAATGCAATGGCAGTGCACAAGAGGGACAGTTTTCCCCTACCTCACTAACACAGTAGGTCATCCAGCTCTTAAATCTATGCTAGCAGTTCTTAATGCTAGCAGCATGTTGGAATTATCTTGGGGATCTTTCAAGAAATGCCAATGCCCATGACATACTTGGAGAGACTCTAAGTTAGTTGGCCTGGAGAGGGGGCCATCCATATTTTCAAAGGTTCTTAGGTAACTGTACTGTGCACTCAGGATTGAGAGTCACAGACCTATGCCAACCTTATAGGAGAAAAATATTTCAGTATAGCTCTGTCTTTTTCTTATGAGTGAAATCAAACTTTTAAAAATAGGTTTAGGCCGGATGCGGTGGCTCACATCTGTAATCCCAGCACTTTGGGAGGCCGAGGTGGGCAGATCACCTGAGGTCAGGAGTTCGAGATGAGCCTGGCCAACATGGTGAAACCCTGTCTCTACTAAAAACACAAAAATTAGCCGTGCATGGTGGCACATGCCTGTAGTCCCAGCTACTTGGGAGACTGAGGCAGGACAAGTGCTTGAATCTGGGAGGCAGAGGTTGCAGTAAGCCGAGATCGCGCCACTGCTCTCCAACCTGGGCGACAAAGCAAGACTCTGTCTCGAAAAAAAAAAATAAAAGTTAAATGTCATGTTATTTCCTTTTCTGTGAAGTATGTCCATATTCTTTATTTATTACTAACTCATGAATTTTATTGTCTTGAAAGAACTGCTTATTGGGGAATTCAACCTTAATTTGCAATTGGTTGCAAATATTCTTCCTGATTGAACTGTGACTTCTGGCTTTGCTTCAGGCAGTTTTTGGCATGCAGAAATTTATTTTTGCAAAGACAAATGTATGAATCTTTTATGACTTCTGGGTCTTGTGTCATACTTAGAAGCCTTCCCCACACCTAGATTTTTAAAATATGTGTAACAGTTTCTCCTAGCAGTTTTACTGAATCCATTATTTCCCCTACATTGTGAGATGGTGACCTTCATCAAATACTCAATTCCTACATGTATTTGAGGCTATTTCTAGAGTTTCTATTCTCTTTCACTTACCTATCTACTAATTCATGAGCCATACCACATTTTCAATTATTGTAGCATTGTTATACTTCAAATCTAATTGGCTACTAACTCCTTAGTAGTCTTCTTTTTTGGGATTTCCCTATCTTTGCCTATTTTCTACATGAACTGTGAACTGGAAGATTAAATTATCCAAAATGAAACACAAAGAGGTAAAGTTATGGGCAATATTTTTTTTAATAGTATGCTATATAAATGATATTCAGAAAGAGAAAGGAAACAATATTTGAAAACATAATGAATAGAATGGGAATTTCCCCAAGTTGCTGAAAAACAATATTACATTAGAATATATGATAAAGCCCACGCGGAACAAACAGAATTAAATCCACAGCTAAATAAGACTGCAACATGTTAAGAACAATGAGAAAATCTTAAGTTACCCAAGTATTGTCTTTATGCTGGTCACTACTCTAGCCATTTTTCTTATCATCTCAATCTTCTCAACTCTGTAAGATTGGCACATTTCTTTCCCATGTTATGAAGGACAGAACTAAGGTAGAGTAGTTAAGTGACTAACATAATTTTACAACTACTAAATGACAGAACCAGGATTTGAACTCCAGCTGTTTTATACCGGAACCCATGCTCTTAATCACTATGCTAAACTTTCTAGCAACTCACCTAACAGTAGACTCCTCAACAGCAACAAAAAATAAGAGTTTACCACTCACTGACACTCCATGAAAAAACTACTGAAAACTGTGCTTCAGAAAGAAGGAAACTGAATCTACACAAAAGAAATGAAATACAAGGAACAACAGTGAGCAAAGAAATAGGTAAACATGTATATAGGGTGGGGAAACAGTTTTCAAAACAGAATGCAATTTAAAAATAAGATGAAAGAAAGAAAATACTGAAGTTAAAAAATGTCCCGGCTGGGTGTGGTGGCTCACGCCTATAATCTCAACACTTTCGGAGGCCAAGTCGGGAGGATCACTTGAGGTCAGGAGTTCAAGACCAGCCTCACCAACCTGGTGAAACCCCGTCTCTACTAAAAACGCATAAAAAAATTAGCTGGGCATGGTGGTGCACACTTGTAGTCCCAGCTACTCAGGAGGCTGAGGCAGAAGAACTGCTTGAACCTGGGAGGTGGAGGTTGCAGTGAGCCAAGATCGTGCCTCTGCACTCCAGCTTGGGTGACAGTAAGACTCCTTCTCAAAAATAAAAAATAAAAAATAAAAAATGTCCCAAGTTTTAGATTTGAATAGAAGGAGGGTAAAGACATTGATCACAATTTTGAAAAACAAGGACAAAGTATTATACAAATCTTTTAAAACTCAATTATATATGCAGCCAAACTATCAATCAAGGGGAAAGTGAACATAAACATTTTCATGTGGACAAAATCTCAAAAAAAAATTTACCTCCCAATATAAAGTCACACTTTAAAAACTAAATAAGAAATAAATATGGGCTGGGCATGGTGGCTCACAAGTGTAATCACAGCACTTTGAGAAGCTAAGGCAGGAGGATTGCTTGGGCCCAGGACCAGCTGGGCAACACAGTGAGACCCCATCTCTACCAAAAATAATTTCTTAAAAATTAGCTGGGTGTGGTGGCTGATATGCTTTGACTCTGTGTCCCCACCCAAATTTCATCTTGTAGCTCCCATAATTCCCACGTGTTATGGGAGGGGCCTCGTGGGAGATAATTGAATCATGGGGGCAGGCCTTTCCTGTGCTGTTCTGGTGATAGTGAATAAGTCTAAAGAGATCTGATGGTTTTAAAAATGGGAGTTTCCCAGCACAACCTCTCTCTTTGCCTGCCATCATCCATGTAAGACGTGACTTGCTCCTCTTGCCTTCAGCCACGATTGTGAAGCCGCCCCAGCCAGGTGGAACTGAAAGTCCATTAAACCTCTTTCTTTTGTGAACTGCCCAGTCTTGGCGGGTATGTCTTTATCAGCAGCATGAAAACGGACTAATACAGTGGCACATGCATATAGTCCCAGCTACTTGGGAGGCTGAGGCAGGAAGATGGCTTGAACCCAGGAGGTTGAGGCTGCAGTGAGCTATGATCATGCCACTGCACTACAGCATAGGAAAGAGAGCCAGACCCTGTCTCAAAAGCAAAAATTAAATAAATAAATAAATAAATAAATAAACATGAGTATGTCTATTCTCATGGGTTAGTATGTACACATATTTTTCTTAGCTCTGTCCAGTGAGAGCCTAGAAGCAACAATACAATAGTAATGTGCACATGTAACATCCAGATCTTGGTTTCCAAATACCATTCTCCAAAAGGAACCAGGGTTCCTTGAAGAAATGGCTGAGTCTGAAGACAAGAAAGACAAAGTAAAAAATCAGAAGAAAAGGTGGGATATATCAAAAGGATACAGGAGCCAATCTCAAAAGGAGCCCAATGGCTAAAGCTGGAACAATTTAAGCCACAAGTAAATTATGATAGTAATAAATTATAACCCAAAGGAAAAAAAAATGGGTTTCTACTGATATAGACAATTGAATAAACAAATGTGGGACAAGGGACAAATCTTCCTTACAAAAGAATCCCAATTAATACATGTAGAAAGAATATAGGAAATGGAAAATCACAATTAGAATATCACAGTTATAACTGTTGTAGGTAAGATCCACTGATGAATCTAAAATTAATGAACAAATTTAAGGAGGAACAGAAAAGTCGCACAGCCTCAAAATATCTACCCTAAAATATTTATTAATTACTTTGGTGGTTTTAACTTATGTCCATCAGAAGTGGAAACTTAACTCCCTGCCCTTTGAGAGTAAGCTGGACTCAGAGACTCAATTCTAACCAACAGCATATGGAAAGGAAAAAATAATGACTTTACACTGGAGAAACCTGGCAGAGACCAGCTTAACCAAGTGATCAAGGTTAAAATCACCAGTGATAAATCAGGTTGATGTCACGCACCTCCTGATATGATGCGACTGAAAGGGTACTTCACTTCTTGAATATTCTCCCCCAAAACCTGTAATCCCAATCTAATCATAGAAAGCAGGAGAAAATACCAAATTGAGGGACGTTCTACAAAATACCTGACCTCTTTATAAGTATCAGGGTCATGAAAGACAAGGAAAGACAGAAAACCTGACATGGGCTGAAGAAATTAAGGAAACGTTTCTACTAAATGCAATGTGAGATCCTGTACAATGTTTAAGACATGATGGGCCAGAAGCGGTAGCTTGCGTCTATAATCCCAGCACTTTGGGAGGCCAAGGCAGGTGGATTACCTGAGGTCTGGAGTTCAAGACCAGCCTGGCCAACATGGCAAAACCCTGTCTCTACTAAAAATACAAAAAATTTGCCGGGCGTGGTGATGGGCGCCTGTAATCCCAGCTACTCACCTGTAATCCCAACTACTCGCCTGTAATCCCAGCTACTCAGGAGGCTAAGGCAGGGAGAATTGCTTGAACCCAGGAGGCAGAGGTTGCAGTGAGCCAAGCTCATGCCACTGTACTCCAGCCTGGGCAACAGAGCAAGACTCCATCAAAAAAAAAAAGAAAAAACACATGATGATATTTTTATAATATAGGGATTGACAAATATCATAAATAGTCCCAAAGGCACAAATGGAAAAAAAGAAAAACCAATAGATTTAACTACATAAAAATTAAATATTTCTGTCAACAAGAGTCCATAAACAAAGTCAAAAGACAAGCCATTGATTGGGAAAAAATATATGTATCACAAAGGTTTACTAATTAGAATATATAAGTAACTTCTGCAATTCAGGTAGAAAAACAAACAAAAAAATCTCAATTTTTAAAATAGGCAGAGGATACGAACAGGAGAGGATACCAAAATGTACAATATAAACCTGAGAAGATATTCAGTCCCACCATGTATTTTTTTTTTTTTTTTGAGATGGAGTCTTGCTCTATCACCTAGGCTGGAGTGCAATGGCACAATTTTGGCTCACTGCAACCTCTGCTTCTGGGGCTCAAGTAATCCTCCCACCTCAGCTTCCCGAGTAGCTGGGTCAGTTCCACTATTAATTAGGAAAATATAAATTAATACAATGATGTACAAAAAAATTCAAAGAATGATATTTACTAAGAAAATAGCTTATATGGAAGGCAAAACAGTTGTGTGTTTACGTGTCTTATACAGCAAATACCATACACAAGTAATCACTCACTCAAGTAAATAAATATACTTACTTACTAAAACCAAAGTTGACTGACTGATCACTGAGAATTTCAAACTGGACAGGCCGATCACCCATACAATATTTTCTTAATAACTCGAGGCAGGTATGTAATGTTTTCCTTGAGGGCTTATTTTCATGAAAAAGATCACCACCTAACAAAATAAAATCCACCTGATCAACAGAAAAAGGTGTTAAAATTAGTATGTTTTACAGGTAAAATTTTTGTAAACTACAGATGAAAGAGATAAAAAAAAACTCACAAAAGACACTATTATATATGGCAACTTAAAAATTTACATTTTATTTATTCAAAGGGACTTTCAATCTGGTAATTAATCTGGTTCTAATTTAGCTGACTAAGCTATCTTCAAAAAAGCCATCTTCCAATTACACCAAGTCTCTGATTCAGGCCACACAAGGTGATCATATTTTTTCTATTATTTGAATCAAACATAAACTTAGCACTTTAACAGAACGTATGGGAAGAGATACCAAATTCAATCCAAATCATTCATTTAATTCATTCAGCATTTATTTACAGAATTCCTACAGGTTCTAGAAGCTCAAAAAATAGCAATCTACAAAATAGATTATATCCCTGCCCTCATTAAATACTGACTCTATGCAAGACCCTCTACTGAGTCCTGAGGATACAATGATGAATAAAATATGATCCCTATCCTAAATATGTTCAAACTCTAATGGAAGAGGCAAACTGTTATACATTTAAACATAAGTCAAACTCTGGGGTGCACTAGAATGGACACGTAAGCAACCAGCAGCAGAGATGACACTACGATGAATTTGAACTCAAGGGAGGACAATTCGCCTGAGGACAGAAAGTCTAGAAGGAATGAACTAACATGGTGGCATGTTAGTTGCACTAGGAAAGATAAATGATTGTGAGGAAGAGAATTCTAGGAATAACTTCAGTGAAGGAGGGAAATCATACAGAAAAAGTCTAACACAGGCTTTCAAGACGTATACGATGCACCTAAAGAAACTTAAGTTCTTAATCACACAAAAGAATACAAGGTATAGATCACTGTGCGTATGGTAGTTAGGATAACTTTAATAAAAATGTGAGGTTTAAGCTAGGCCTTCCAGAATGAACACTATTTGAGTAAAAGGAAGAAAATGATCTCAATCAAAGGCATGGAAGAAACAAAACAAAAACAACAAACCAAATGAAAAACATACTGGGGCGAAAAGAAGTTGTTGCTTAATGGGTGTCATTTTTGCAAGATGAGAGTAATTCTGGAGATTGGTTGCACAGCAATATGAACATATTTAACACTACTGTACTATACACTTAAAAATGGTTAACAAGGGAAATTTTATGTTATGTATTTAATATATTTTGCCATCATTCAAACATTTAAAAAAATTTTTTAAACTGGCTGGCAGTGACTCCAGGAAATATTGAAAAGAACACGACTCACTTCTGTGGTATTCTTGCCGAAAGTGCAGAATCTGAACCTAATCATGAGGAAATACCACTTATAGCCAATTTGAGGAAGATTCTATAAAATAACTGGCCTGTGTACTCTTCAAAATATTAGGGTCATGAAAAACAAAGGCAAGGCAGATGCAGGAAAATGTACCAGATTAAAGGAGACAAAGAGACATGGCAACTAAATGCAATATGTAAACCTGGACTGGATCCTGGACACCACCAACCAGCCTCCAAAGTGCTGTAACAGACATTACAGGGACAATTGGCAACATCTTAACATTATATAATAGCACTGAATCAATACTAATTTTCTGGTTTTCTATGATTATACATGCGGTTTACTCTCAAATGGTTCAGGAAAAAAATCGTGTGTATTTGTAAAGAGAAGATAAAGCAAATGTGACAAAATGTTAGAAAACCTGGGTGACGGGTAAGGAATTCTATGCGCTATTCTTGCCAACTTTTCTGTGAGACTGATGTTGTTTCAAAATAAAAAGTTTTTTTAAAAAAAGACTCCAAGAAACTAGGGAACAGAACTAAGACTGGTTAGTGGGCATGGGCCCACATAATAAGGGACTTAAAAGTCAGGAAGACTTTAGATTCAATAATAAGAAATACTAAATACAAATCAAGAGAATGAGTAAATATAATACACATCTAGAAGTCCCTACCTGGGGTTATGGGGGGTGGAACAGTTACAATTAAGGGACGCAGGGAAGAGAAACAGTAGAAGCAGAAGTGAAGGAAAGGGCAAAGTAGAATTAAGTAGCTTACACTCAGGAGAAGATTCTGTTTTAGGGCTCAAGAGTTAAAAAAGAAAGAGCACATACAGGATTCTCTGGCAGGAAACAGACCTCCTTTGGCCACAAGTTTTTTTGCCTTCAAGGAAGGAAAAATGCACCTTACATTCTATTATTGAAAAGTCAAAAAAGAACAGATGCTGGTGAAATTACGGAGAAAAGGGAACACTTATACACTGTTGATGGGGGTGTAAACTGGTTCAACCATTGTGGAAAGCAGTGTGACGATTCTTCAAAGAGCTAAAAATGGAACTACCATTTGACCCAGCAATTCCATTACTTGGTATATACCCAAAGGAATATAAATCATTCTACCACAAAGACACAGCACACATATGTTCACTGCAGTACTATTCACAATAGCAAAGACATGGAATCAACCTAAATGCCCATCAATGGTAGACTGGATAAAGAAAATGTGGTACATATAAACCATGGAATACTATGCAGCTATTAAAAAGAACCAGATAATGTCCTTTGCAGGGACACGGATGGAGCTGGAGGCCATCATCCTTAGCAAACTAATGGAGGAACAGAAAAATCAAATACTTGTAAGTGGGAGCTAAATGATGAGAAGACATGGACACAAAGAGGGGAACAACAGACACTGGGACCTACCAGAGAGCAGATGATAGGAGGAGGGAGAGGATCAGGAAAAATAATGAATGGGTACTAGGATTAATACCTGGGTGCCAAAATAATCTGTACAACAATCCCTGTCATATGAGTTTACCTATGTAACAAACCTGCACATGTACCCCTGAACCTAAAATAAAAGAAAGAATCCAGCCATTGCCTCACTTAATTAAGAAATTTAAAATATGTATACCCACTGCTTTCTGATTCTTTCTAAGCACTAAGATACAGCATGAACAAACAAAAGATTTCCACTCTCATGGAGTTTTCCTTCTAGTGAAGACAACAGACAATAAACAAGTAAATAATTCAATAAATTATTTCAGATAGTGCTATTAAAAATATGCTATGAAAAAAAGCAGAGTAATGTGATAAAACAGTGCTTGGAAGTATCAGGGAAGACGTCTCCAAAAAGGTAAGACTTGAACTCTCAGAAGTCGGCCCCACCAAGATCAATGTGCTCCAAGCAGAAAGAACTAGATGTGCAAGGGCCTCAGAGTAGAACATGCCGGTGTGGATGTAGCACTGTAAATCAGGCAGAGAGTAGTAGGAGATGAAGTTTCATGGCAGGGGTCAAGATCAAGTCGAACCTTGTAGTTTGAATTTTATACTAGATTCAATGGAAGGACACTTGGAAAATTTTAGGCAACAGAGTGCCATGATCTGATTTATTATTTTAAAAGTTCACTTTGGCTGCTATGCTGAGTAGATGTAGCAGAAAAGAATAGAAGCAGAAAGATGGAAGGGGACCTCCTGCAGGCCATGTGAAATGTGATCGTTTTGGACTAAGTTTATTAGTGTGAAAAGAGTAGTAGAGAGGAACCATATATATTTGGGAGGAAGAACTAAGGACCTAGCAGATAAACTTAAGAGAACTCTCCAGAAAAGTCAAGGCTGGCGGTGTTAATTTGCAAGTCAATTTTTACATTTATTCTCCAACTCTCTCCTGGGCTGGCGTGTTAACTGCCTGCTGAAATTTTTCCCTGAATGTCCCATTGCAGTCTCCAACTCTAAGTTTGTCGAAATCAAACAAAGAATTTGTCACCTTCCCACATGAAGCAGTACCTCTTCCTTATCTACCTATTTCTATTTTTGGTACAACTATTCACCCAAACTCCACACACTTCAGAGTCACTGTCATCCCTTTGCCCTCATCCCCACCCCGCTACAACTAACCAAAGTACACAAATCCTCTTTTTGCAGTATCCCTTGCATTCATTTCCTCTTTTCCATCCCTAAGGTCAATACTTCAAAAAAAGCCTCTAACTGGTCTCCAATTCATGGTATTATACTCCGCTGCCAAAAGACTTTCTCTTGAACTGGATACAAATTTCTCAATCTGATATTTGAAGTCCTCATTAATGCAGCTCAAATCCTTCCTTCTAGTCTCTCAGCATGCTTGCTAACTATGACCTGCTGGTGAGCCAAATTGACTACAGGGCCCCTAACATACCTTATACTGTCTCACGGGTTTCCTCACTCCTGCTTCACATGGATGTACATTCTCTATGCTCCCCACTGGCCAAAAGTCTACCCTTCCTCCAAAGCCCAAGTTAAACACAACCTTCTTCATTAAACTCATCTTGCTATAATCTAAACGTGATTTTTTCTGCCTCTAAACTCAAAGGAAATGTTATTTAGAATTTTCTTAGGGCTCCTATCACATACAACCTTGCATCTGTGGATTGTGGATATTTGTCTTTCACACCAGTTTTCTTCTACGTTATCTGAAAGCAGAAGCTTTGACAGTCACCTTACATTTCGAATAGACACTGCCACAGGATCCTGCATTCAGTAAACACCCCAAAAACATTTGTAAATTTTAACAGACTATTTACAAAAGTAGCTCCTACTTGAATTTAAGACACAAAGCATACAAAATCAGCTTTGAGCTTTCAGTATATTGATATTCAAGCAGGCAAGGTAAGCACCTGAGCTTATAAAACAAATCTCTAACTTTAGAAGGAAAAATAACTTGTTAACCAAGGGAATATGGTAGATAGTGCACAAATACAAACCACACTCACTTCATTTTCCTGGGCAAGTCTTAAAATTTCATCGAGTGTTACAAACGTATCATTTCCTCTGACTGCATCTTTCTCCATAAATCCAAGATGAATATCTGTTGCAACTAATATTTTAAATGTGTTTTCATCATCACTATATTAAGAAAGAAGAAACATTTCAATATATTAATAATTCATTAAAGGATATTCAAACAAATTGAGACAAACTTATAAAATAAATAATAACAGTTATAGAGTAAAATCATTTTTTTTAGCCTTAGAGTTCATCTGAAAATCTGAAGTATTCAACGTTATCATTAACATTACAGTTTTCCTAACCACTAGTTCAATACAGAACAAATGTACATAAATCTTTACAAGGTTCTATAACTGCTTCAAAAATTTATAACCTTGTTATAACCAGTTTTACAAACTCATGTAACCCAGGCCCAAAAGTTTGCTTGTTTTCCTCAGATAAATAAACTTGTTATTTATCTGACTTCGTACTCTTCCAGGAAAATCGAAGTTAATTTAAAAAGCCTTCCTCTAAGTTTATGAGTCAATTTTATACTAATATGCAATAATTTACATTCAGGGCCTTGAAGACACTTGCATGACTCTACTCTCTACAGAGTTAGATTTCATTAATAAAGTTGGCCAACACAGAATTGTTTCAATTTGAATTTGGTAATATTCAAAGGTACTTTAATGTGAAGTAGCAATGTAATAGTTATTAATACTCTTACACTAAATTTAATTGTATGAAATACTTTTATTTTTATGATCTCATCTCAACCCTCACAGATAAAGAGTCAGGCATTATTATCTCTGACAAATGAGAAGGCTAAACCCAGAGAAATTAACTGCTTTATCACATAACTAGTGACAGAAACAGGACTAAAACCCATGATGAAAACTCAGGCTATTTTCAATAAACCACAATGAATTTTTAAAAAATCTCTGTATATATCTCCAAAATTCAAATCTTTACAAACAAAAGATATTTCCACAAACGATTTCTCTTCAAAAACTTCAAAAATGATATGCACACAGTTCTCACTGATATATCCAAGAAGGTAGGTCAGATACTTTTCAAATCATAATACTACATGTTTCTGTAGCAATTTATGAAGTATTTTCTCATGAATTCTCTCATTTAAGCCTCAAAATTAATCTGAAAAAGGTATAATTATTCCAATTATACCAATGGCAAAATTGAGGCAAGGCTCAGAGAACTGCTGACTTGCCCAAGGTCACACAGCTAGTAGGGTCCAAGGACTTGAAACTAGGGTAAAAGACTCCAAGTCTAAAGTCTTTCCCACATAACTTTTTTTTTTTACGATCTCGGCTCACTGCAACCTCCGCCTCTCGGGTTCAAATGATACTCCTGCCTCAGCCTCCTGAGTAGCTGGGATTACAGGCATGCGCCACCACGCCTGGCTAATTTTGTATTTTTAGTAGAGACGGGGTTTCACCATGTTGGTCAGGCTGGTCTCCAAATCCTGACCTCAGATGATCCCGCTAGCCTCGGCCTCCCAAAGTGCACATAACTTTTACAGTCCTTTTATTTATTCCCATTCCATTCAAATTCATTTCCAGCTTATTTAATACTAGAGGAATTTACTCTAAAAATCTTAAACAGAACTGCATTGACTAATAAGAATTTGTCAGGAAAATTCAAGAATATTTATCACTTCAATAATTTAAGATGAAGCCTAAGAACATAAACAATACTATATCAATATATCAAATTACTGCAAGACTCCAATCTATAGCTGCATATTAGCTTCCAGTTAACAAACAGATAAATATTTAAAACATTCCAAATACCCTTTTTGATGACTAATATTTCTGTTCATAAACAGGTTCCTTATTTACTGCTTATTAAATAAGTTTTCTTTTACTGTGATCACAGTTGACGAGCTTTAGAAACCCCAAATAACAAGGGATTCCAGAAGTCAGGTGCTTACAGTGCATCTGCAGTACTCATTTTTATGGTCAGTCAAGCTCCTCTGGGACCAGGTTCTTCTCCAAGAACCCCTGGGTACTGTACTCAAATGTCAGAAAATGCACTCGATTCCAAATTCTAGAAATTCTAAAAACAAAATTACATCATAAAACACATTTTTTAAAAGCCTGCACGTATTTAACCAACATGATTTACGCTGCACAAGGTACAGACGTCTTAATTAGACTGGCAAATTTAGAAGTCTCATTTTCATCTAAGCACCCACTATACTTTTTTTTAATGAACTGAGCATAGAAAATAATATATCTCCAGTGTACATCCTGTTTCCTAGTTTCACCAAGATGATTAAACTCCTATTTTCCTTTCCCGTGCTCTTATGGGAAATTAATGTATGCTAAATAAATGGGCAGAAAGGGTCACATACGGTTCTGGTTCAACACACAAACAACTCTAGATGTGCAGATATTTTTAAGTTGCACGCATAGGTTACTCTGGAGAACAGAGGCAATCCTGTATTTCCTATTCAAACCCCACGATTTTTTTTAAAGGACCTGGCTAGTTTGGAAAAGGGAACGGGCCCGCGTTTAAAGCGAGTGTAAATAAACAAACACGTGGTCTGCGGAGGAACACCTTTAAGCACCAGCAGGATGACTGAAAATAGCCAGGTTTGGGGAAGAGTGGCTGCCACCGCGAGACAACCCCCACCACATCTGGAGCTCCAGATTCCGTCGGGATTCCAAGCCTCAACACGCCCTCACCGCAGGGAACCTCGGAATCAGAACGCTGAGCCCGCCAGGACCCCTCCCCTGCCCACTCGGCCCGCTCTTCCCGAGGTTCCAGTTAACTCTGGGCTTCCGCCTGGGAACCTGCAGAAACAGGAGACGAATGCGATTCCTAAATTACCCCACTGCTGGACTCTTCGAAGCCCCACAATCGCGACCCAAGGCTGTCTTCTTTTCGGGAAGAAAGGGCAGGATCCGTGAAAAGAAAACAACACGGTCTGAACTTGCCTCTGAGAACCCGCAGGGCCGTAAACCTGAATTCCGCGGGAGAGAACGGCGTCCGTTTCTCTCGCGACACTTCATGGATAACGTAGATGCTTCAAGTCCAGTTCGGCTCTCATTGGCTACCGCACGCAGTGAGGGGGCGGGGAAAGTAGCGGCGAGGCCCCGCCCTCACGCAGGAGCCAATCCTGAGCAGGCTAGGAGACGAACCCGGAAGTGAGATGCAAGGCGGCGATTTTCCCTTCTGTCAGGTGGGTTGTTATTCCCTGTCCCGGACCTCGCTTTTTGATGGACCGGCGCCATCTAAGAACTCCTGAGCCCGTGGGGGTGGGTAGCCTGTGGACACAGGCCGAGCCCTGCAGGTCAGGCCGCTTCGTGGTCCCCAGGTAGGACCGAAGCCGCTTCTCCGCTCTTGGCTGTTTGGAAGGCCGCAGGCGGAGCTCACGGGCCTGTGAGCTCCCGGCTGGTGGCAGAGTGCCGGAGCTGGATCCCCTCTCCCTCCCTCCCAGTCGCCAGACCCTCTACAGGTGTCGCCCCTAGGTCCTTGAGTTCAGCACATCTGCACTGCTTTGTGCTGAGAGCAGTAAGATGTATAGTGCAGCGAAAAATAATGTAGAACTTTTGAATTAGAACGTCTGCCCTTTCAGTTCCATTGAAGGGTCCTTGATCTAGGGCAAGTTGTTTTAATCTATCTGAACCTCCTTCACCAGTAAGGTTTATAGCCCCGCCTATCACTGAGTTGTTTGTAAGGAGTTGACATAGTTCGGATCTCTCTCAAAATAGGATATGCCCTTTAAGTTAGGAAACATACCCTGACATTCCTGATGGAATATCAGGAATATCATCATCAAGTCATCAGTTTTGTTTCTTAACTGTAAGTCGGGTAGATGCGCCTAGGCTTGGCTTTTTAAACTAAATATACCAGTAAAATTTTGTACATAATTTTTTGTATCTGGATCTGTAAACTCAAAATTTATATAAAGGGAGTTTTTATTGAAAGGAAAAGCATGTTGGGGGAGAGGGTAAGATCTGTGGTATAAGGTTACTATATTTGATATAATTACAAGTGAACTTTTATTTATTAGCATCTGTTAAGTGTTTAATGAATTGATGTATGGTCATTTTTGTGTTGCAAGGTTCAGGAATTAGTTTGAGAATCAAAGAAAAAGTGGAAGCTCCAGGAGAATTAATAAAACACAGAGCAATTCTGATTGGATATCTCTGATTCCAAGGGTGTCTCTGATTGGGTGACTGAAAAGCCGGATTGGCCTTAGGAATACTTTAGTAAAATTCTTACATTTTACAATAAAGTAACAGGACCAGAAAAGTTACTGGACATGAGTAATACATTTAAACTTGAGTTTAGTGCTATTGCCACTAGTAATAAAGTTTAATACCACATTAAGATTGTATACTGTTAAACTTGTGAGATTAGGTATCAAGAAATCAGTATCTTGGGGTTATGCCTAACTCTGGAACTTCTCAGAATCCATTCCAGGCAAAATCAAGTGACAAGACTTTAATTAAATGTAATGCTACACATACTTCTTAATGCCTTCTATAGACAAGTAGGAGATAAATATAAGTTAAATGTGGTCCTTATCTTTCAGCTTATAATCTTTTAAGGGGCTAAAACAAGAACAAAGTTAGAGGTGAAATGTAGCACCAAAAAAAGTAGAAAGCAGAAAGCGATCTAAATGAGAGGATCAAGAAAGAATGAAAGAGATAACATCAGAGAAGAGCCTTGAAAGACTGATTATATTTCAACAAATAGAGTTGAGAGGCTGGGAATTCGTATTTGTAAATTATCTATTGGTTATTCTCCTTTTCTTTAATTGATTAAGGTTTATATGTTGTGTAACCCTTTAAGCTGATATTGGTTTAAAAATTAATATGGCAGCTTAGCAGAATAAACATCAGTTCCTTCAGGAAGCCTTCTTTAATCCCTTAGGACTAGGGGAATTATGAACCTCCTGTATACTCATGGTTTCTAGACAAGGTCTTGTAGTAGTACTTATCATGTTGTCTTTGCCAGACACATGATGTCTTTGCCAGTCACCTACACTAGAGTAAGCTTCCTGAGGTGAAGACATGGATCTTGCTCATTATTGAATCCCAGTACCCAGAAGTTGGCACATACCAGACATTCTATTCATATTAGTTGAATGAAGGAATGAATGACAGCCAAAATTCAGTTGAAAACAAGGACCCAACTAAGAACTATAGTTGCCTATCAATAAACAGGACTACTTTTTAAAGCAGTGAATTTTCCTAGGCCTGAAATTATCAAAGTAGAAATAGGATAATTAGTGTAGATGCTGTGATAAAGATATATGTACCGATGACAGATTGGAACAGATGTCCTTTTGGGGGCTATTCCATCTTCAAGAATCCCTGATTCTTCGAAATAGTATTTTTAGGAATTAGAAGTTTTTATTTCTGCTCTATATTATCTGTGTGTCTAGTTTATAAAAATCTTGAATGCACCTGTCTTCATTGTATTAGTTATACTTCAAAACCTTTAAGCATTCATCACTGTTAGCATAACACCATCATACCTAAACCAGTAGATTAAAAATAATAGTTATAATAATATAATTGACTTAGAAGAAAACAACAAAAGTAAGAAGCATTAGACCACTATTAGATCATAGTTTGTTGTTTTCTGTCAGCATCAGTATTTAGTGTATGTAAGGGATATCATGAGAAAAACAAGAGTTTAGACAGGGTTTAATTGTATATGTTTGCAAGACTTATCTATGCAGTTGATAAAGCCTGAATTATTGTTTTACTAATAACTTTTGTATTTGTGTTTTCAGATCTTGATGAACAAAGCAGTCATAATTCATCTCTAGAAAGATTTATATCCTGGCATTTGAAATGCTTTTTATTTAGAATAGTAGTAAAAAATGGAAAAAGAAAAAGGAAATGATGATGGAATACCAGACCAAGAGAATTCCTTGGATTTTTCTGAACACTTTAACCAACTTGAATTGTTGGAAACACATGGACACCTTATTCCTACTGGTACTCAAAGTCTTTGGGTAGGCAATTCTGATGAAGATGAGGAGCAAGATGACAAAAATGAAGAGTGGTATCGATTGCAAGAAAAAAAAATGGAAAAAGACCCAAGCAGATTGCTTCTTTGGGCTGCTGAAAAAAATCGGGTAAAAAAAAAAATTACAGAGGGAAGTGTGACAGTAGGAAAAGCACTGGGTTCAAGCCAGAAGACCTGCCTTTACTGTTATGGCCATCATACCTATCTCTTGATTGTGAGGACCAAATGAGACAATGTACATGAAAGCACATATTAAGCTGCAAAGTGTCATGCTAGGTATTATTTGGGGGTTTAAGGATAATTATCTATAAAGATAGCAAGCAATCATCTATATTTTAAAATCATTTATATAAAGTCATTAGGATCATTTAGGAAAGAGAGGATGGAAACTAACATTTATTAAAAACTAACTATACCAGGTACCTTATTACATTATTTTATTTAATCATCATGTATCCCTATAAGTAATATTCTTCTCTTTTATAGAGTAAGAAATTGAGATTCAGGAATATTAATTTGCCCAGGATCATCGAAGTGGAATGAACATCAAAAGCCTATTCCCTCTGCTTGGCCACTTCCACCTCATTTTACTAAGTTTCCCCATGTCTGTGTTAGTAAACTAATAACTAAAAGGGTCTCGCATTTTAAATAGCTTTTTAACCCAAGAGCATGCCACATTTAACCAGAGGCCCATAGAACAAACTGAAAATTACAACCTAAAAGGTTGTTTCTAAGGTTGTATTGAGAAGGAATTGAGCTCTTGAATCCCTAGAATTCCTTATTAATACTTTATTCTTCTGTTAAAAGTTTTATTTTTAAAAGTTTCATACAGTGTGTATATTGGTGTGATAATCCTACAGAAAAATCAAGCAGTTATGTTTTCTTCACAGATAACACATAAAATATTAAACAGAAAGCCTATGTTATTCATTGGACTGAAGCTTTTATGCAATAAACCTTAGTTGGACCAGGAGTAAATGTATGGTTTGATATTCAGAGAATCTCATTCTTAGAAGCAACAAAGTGTAGTTAACACTAACTTGTTCATTCTTAAATCAGTAGTCCTCTCCTCCCCAAAAAGAGATCTTAAATTATTTTCATTTTAAAGTCATCTACTAACAAGTAAGTTTTTATTCAACTTAATTAAATCTAACACCACAAGACAATTTTGTTTTAGTTATTGTTTTGGTTTGAGTTGAGTTGAAAGATTTCTTTTTTTTCTTCTCAGCTTACCACAGTGCGGAGACTCCTTTCTGAAAAGGCCACTCACGTGAACACTAGGGATGAAGATGAGTATACCCCTCTTCATCGAGCAGCCTACAGTGGACACTTAGATATTGTTCAGGAGCTCATTGCACAGGGGGCCGATGTTCATGCAGTGACTGTGGATGGCTGGACGCCCCTGCACAGTGCTTGTAAGTGGAATAATACCAGAGTGGCTTCTTTCTTACTGCAGCATGATGCAGATATCAATGCCCAAACAAAAGGCCTCTTGACCCCCTTGCATCTTGCTGCTGGGAACAGAGACAGCAAGGATACCCTAGAACTCCTCCTGATGAACCGTTACGTCAAACCAGGGCTGAAAAACAACTTGGAAGAAACTGCATTTGATATTGCCAGGAGGACAAGTATCTATCACTACCTCTTTGAAATTGTGGAAGGCTGTACAAATTCTTCACCTCAGTCTTAACAATTCTAGTAATTTTCCTAAGTTTCTAAATACCAGTGCCTCCTGTGTGTGAGATGTATTCCCATAATCAAAGTTGACGTCAAACATCTTACTACAAAAATTCAGTGACATTCATTATAACATTCTTCCAAGTGAATTGCCTGACTTTGATGTCAAAATGTATTTGAAAGTAATTTGCATATATCTTTAATTATTTCTGTGGAGTTTGTGATTTTTTTATCAGAAATAATTTTAATGTGTGTATACTTAAAAACTTGACACGGGTTGTACAGAAACTGGTATTTTTGGTGCTGATACAAGAGAAATGTATTTTTAAATATCCCACATCCTGGATCTTTGTTGGGTATTTAGTATATTGACATATATTTTTATAAGGTGAGGTAACTCAGAACTTAATTTAAAAGTCTTAAATATTCTGATACAATTCAGCTGTCTTCTCTACCTTACCATAGCCAGTTGCTTTCATTTTAAACCAGAGCAAGTAACATATTAGTGACTTGAATCTTCATAAGTTAAAGTAAAAAACAGCAAAAAACCTAGATCTTTGTCTTTTAGAACACAGACCATTTTCAGGAAAGCAGTTAGCTAAGTGTTTAATTCATGAATATTGTATACTGCATCCCCTACCACAATTTACACAATCCTGTGGATAGTCCTACCTCACCCTGGTCAACCTACATGATCCTTAAGCTAATGGCGAATCACGATGACCTTGTAGACATGCACACAACTATACCTTTGTCCAACAGATCATAATATATCTGCTATCCAACTGGTTTTACCTGCCTAATCCTACTGATTTGGGCACTGCTTGTATAGTCTCTCAAGTTCACAGGAAATGTTGATTTTCTAAGGTCCTCATTTTTACAGAGTATACAGGCAAAGTGACAGGGGAAAAGGAATTAGTCTAAGAGTAAGGGGATGATTATTATATTGAGGCTAAAACCACAAAGTGGCTCAGGCTTTAAAAAAAAAACACTGTGGATAATGACAAAAAGCATAAGTAAAAATATTTGAGAAAAATAAAGTACAAGTTTTGAACAACACAAAAGGCATGAATTCATTTTTTACCTGTGTATGTCTTTCTTGGATCCAGAACATTATTCATCCAGCACGCACTTAGTTATTTAACATCTACTCACTCAGTCTCTCCAGCAGCAATTTTGCATTGTCTATCTAGCCCCCCTGTGATTGTTCCCAAAGTTTTGTCTTCTCAACACCACAACACTCCAGGGGAAGGGAACTAAACCAGTTGCTCTTTACTTCAGTTAAATTTTTAAGATGTCCACCAAGGCTTATCTCTTTCAAGCCATCCTACGTAACCCAGTCACCCTAGACTAAGTAATAATGTTATTTAATCAAAGATTAAATATTTATTTTTGCTTAGAACTTATTAGATCATCTCAGAAAAGTCAGAGATAATATATGAACTGAATCATCGTGACAACAGGATCTTGAGAGTTAGTGCTTTAGTTTATGTTGTGATCTCTTCCTAGGGAGATGCTTTGTGGCAGAGGTTGCTTTCTGTTTAATCTGGCCTAAGTTAGTGGCACCAAATGACAGATACAGCTGACAGGCAGTGATGATAGAATAAGACCTTATTTATCCAAGCAGACTGCTGAATGAGGTTGCTTAGCCTGAAAGTCACAGAGCTGATGGCTCCTTTCTCACTTGAGAATGGATTGTACCCATGATTCCATGTAAACTTTCCATTAAAGTATGGAGCCAAAGAAGTCTTGTTTCCAATAAGGACCTAAGATGTGTCTATTCCCTTGTTTTCAGACCTCAACACTCACTCACTGATGCTAGAGAGCAAACTCTACACATAAGACAAATCCCACCCCTGAGGGCAGAATTTGTATTGTCTGCTTCCTTTATACTTTCCAGAGCATTCACTAGACTGCTCTGTGCACAGAAGGCAGTCACTAATCGTGCTTTGAAAGGATTACTTCTACTTTCCAGTTTAGGCCGGCTAAATAGCTCAGTTTACAAACAGAATTTTCTCTAATCTTGGAAAGTCTATACAAAGACTTATTAAAAAATAAAATCTGAGTTTTTCATAACTAAGGGTTTAATTTTGATTAACATATGCTTGAGGAAGAGGTAATTTTTGTGACTGTTCAAGATTCATAGCGTCATTCTTAGGCCTAAAGTGGAACTAGTTGCCTTTGCTTTTATGAATCTTAAATATGCTTTTCCAGGGAGCCTTCCAACCCACAGCCTACCACAGTGGTGGGATTTAGAGTCTTTATACTACAATCTGAAGACATTTATTTGTATTATTTGACATCTATTATGTTATCTAACACTATGCTGGAAAATCATGATCAGAAGAAGCCCAGAGACTATACTGAGATTTATGTCCCATACCAAAATGAAATCTCTGGATCAACTCTTGATTCCTGATCAACACATACACCATCTTCACCCTACCTGCAATGGCTCTAGGAATTTATGCAACTGCCTACAAAATAATATCACCAAATCATTATGTCTTTGCTATAATTAGTTTATCATAAGATGCTCCAGTCCATCTGTAGGATTACTAGATGACCACTCAATTTGTTCAATATGAAATGCTTTCTCTAAAGGATATTTAAGGTCTATCTTTATTAAGTTCAGAAGAGAGTAAACCAAGAAGGATTAAGTGTAGCTGATTGATGTTTTAAATTCCTGGAAATTTCCCTTGGAAACTCCAAAATTTTACTTCTCAGAACCTAAGTGGAAATGATCTAAATCAGTGCCAACACATAGAAACATGGGCCTCATGTAATTTTATGTTTTTAGCATGACTATTTTAGATACCTCATATAAGAGGACTCATGCAATAAGGACAGAATTGCATTTTATGGCACACAAACATAGATAAGCAAAAATCCTAGCAGTTGAAAATCGTAAGAGCCATATTAAAAACAGGTGAAATTAATTTTATATATATATGACAATACATCCAAAATATGAGATATATATTTAAAATTTTTTGAGATGTTTTACTTTTTTTTGCAGTAAGTCTTCAAAATACAGGGTGTATTTTACAGCACATCTGGATTTAGTCACATTTCAAGTTCTCAGCTATGTTTGTCTAATGGCTACTCCATTGAAAGCACAGATCTACATGCCTGAAATCATTCCCTGGAGGCACAGAAGGATGGTTACACAGAGCATTAAACTCTGAGTGAGACAAACTGAGTTCAAATCCTCAGTGCCACCTGTGGGTCACTTTGGGCAAAAAAAAAAACCCCTCGGTTTTCTCATAGGTAAATCAGGGATAATATCTATCTTGTTGTAGGCTAGTTTGTTATTTAAATGTAAAAATCATATGGTGTTATTTATTTTGTCAATTTCTTTAATACTTTAAAAATAAATATCAATATGAAATACATCGAAATCATATTGTTTTTTTAAAAAGCTATGTGTTTATCAATGTCCTCCAGTCATCTTTTATGAATGAAATAGTCTCATCTGATCTTCATGAAAGTTCTTATATATATATAAGATGTGGTACACCAAACCTCTGTGACAATATTAATAGCTAACAACTGAGTGCTCACTGTGGGCCAACTATGCTGTATGTGCTTCACGTGTGTGATACCATGTGAGCCTCACAACAACTCTCTGAGATAATCATTGTATAAAAGGAAATCAGGTTTATAGAACTTACACGGATTGCCCATTGTCATGCCATGTGCGCATGATGGAGGTTTGTCTATCTGATTCTACCACCTTTCCTCTTCACCATACACTAGTATTTGATATGTATTTGTAAAGTTGATTAAAGAATGCATCATTTGGTGCATGTTTAGTGTATCTTCTTAAGTTCCCAGAAAGCTCATGTTCAAATGTCACAGCTTTTTACCTGTGGTGTTTTTGAATATTATCTGTATACCACCAGTTTGTCTATCATAATAACCAAAATTCCATTTTCTTTAATATTATTTTTATGTAGTTTATTTATAGTAGGGTTTGAGGACATAACAATTACTATCAGGAGCACAAGCAACTGCATTTGCTTTTAAAGCTGCAGTTTATATTTTTTGAATTTGGTTACTTGTATCTACTTTTAAATATGCTTGCCATTTATCCACATATGAAGTATATGTTGTACATAGGCTATAACTAAATTTATTTATTTATTTTTCAATTTTTGTTTTTTTTCTTTTTGAGACAGACTCTCACTGTTGTCCAGGCTAGAGTGCACTGGCATGATCTCAGCTCACTGCAACCTCTGCCTCCCAGGTTCCAGTGATTCTCATGCCTCAGCCTCCCAAGTAGTTGGGATTACAGGCGTGCGCTACCATGCCCAGCTAATTTTTTATGTTTTTAGTAGAGACTGGGTTTCACTATGTTGGCCAGGCTGGTCTCAAACTCCTGGCCTCAAGTAATCTGCTGGTCTCGACCTCCCAAAGTGCTGGGATTACAGACTTGAGCCACCATGCTTGGCCACTAAATCTATTAATTATATTCCCCTTCCATGTAAGATTCCATACTTATGTGCAAATTTCTTGTTATTGTGTGAAGAACACTTAACATGAGATCTGCCCTGTTAAAACTTTAGTTCATAGTATTTTTTTTATCTATAGGCACAACGCTTGTAGATCTCTAGAACTGCAGAGATTCTAGATTGTACAGCAGATCTCTAGAAATTATTCATCTCGTATAACTAAAACTTTATACTCATTGAATAACTACTTCCCGTTTACCCTTGCCCCAGATCCTGGCAGCCACCATTCTACTCTCTGTTTCTAGGAGCATGACTATTTTAGACACCTCATGTAAGAGAACTCATGCAATAAGGAGAGAATTGCATTTTATGGCACACGAACATAGATAAGCAAAAATCCTAGTAGTTGAAAATCATAAGAGCCAAAGCAATATTTAAAAAGAAAACACGGTGGCTCACACCATCCAACATTTTGGGAGGCCAAGGTGGGCAGATCACAAGATCAAGAGATCAAGACCATCCTGGCCAACATGGTGAAACCCTGTCTCTACTAAAAATACAAAAAAATTAGCTGGGCATGGTGGCACACCCCTGTAGTCCTAGCTACTCGGGAGGCTGAGGCAGGAGAATTGCTTTTGCTTGAAACCAGGAGGCGGAGGCTGCAGTGAGCCAAGATCGCGCCACTGCACTCCAGCCTAGGCAACAGAGTGAGACTCCGTGTCAAAAAAAAAAAAAGAAAGAAAACGTTAAAATCGGGATTTTTATAACCTAATTTTAAGACTAGCTATACTTGCAGTGAGCCGAGATCCCGCCACTGCACTCCAGCCTGGGCGACAGAGCGAGACTCCGTCTCAAAAAAAAAAAAAAAAAAAAAAAGACTAGCTATAAAACAACAGTATTGAGACAGTGTAGTATTGGTGGATGGACATGTGGATCCATAGAACAGAACAGAGTCTAGAAATAAATCCAGATATAGATAATTAATTTTTGACAAAGGTGCCAAGGAATTCAGTGGGACATTCTCTTAAACAAATGGTGCTGGAACAACTGAATATCTTCTTGGAAAAAACATGAACTCATTTATAGGCAGAAAGCAGTTCAGTGGTTTCTTGGTCACGGGGACAGAGGTTGGACTACAAAAGGGCAGGGAGAACCTTTTGGAGGTGATGGAAATATGCCGTAGCTTGATCGTGGTAATGATTTTGCAGGTGTACACAACTGTCAAAAGTCACTGGGTTTTAAAGAGTAATGCAGGGTTTTTGTACATAAGTTATATTTTTATGAAGTCGATTTTTAAAAATAGATATCCAGATATGACTAATTTTATTCTTTTATTATTTTCCATGGCAAGCATAAGATGACCTCATCCTCAAATTCTAGGGATATATCTTCAGGGGGGCCTGTTATTTAAAAAAATATGTTTCACCAATTCACTGGAATTTTAAAATTCCAAGTAACACAACCTTTATAATCAGAAGGACCAATTTCTCCATTAAATGACAGAATGGGAAACAAAATAATTGCTTTAAAATAATTAGTCCATTTGGCAGGATTCAAGAAATTTGAAAAGATGGTTAGTTACTATATAAGAAGGATTTGGTTGGCTTTTAATTTAAATCAGGACTGTTAGAACCTACAAGAGGATACCAAAGTGGTTTTAGCATCTACTTTTCCGAAGAAAAACGATAGCATTCAACATCCCATTGTTCATTCAGTTTTGCTATAAGACAAACTGAGATGATTTCTTGAGACCTGTTTTAGATCTATAGAATTAAACACAAGTAATATGAAGTAACTTATTTACTCTGGTAATATATTAAAACTTTTTATTTCTTTGATAAAGACTTCATTTTTTACACGAATGTGTAACTTTTTATAAGAAAACTTTAGTCTTGGGTTTTGTCTCCATCTAGTGGTCATGTTGGTCTTTTCCATTTACAGTCAGGCTTGGGTAAATGATGTATCGCCTATACTGACAGTGATCTCATAAGATTATAATGGAGCTAAAATTTCCTATCACCCAGTGATGTGGTAGCTGACATAATGTCATAGCACAACACATTACTCACATGTTCAAGGTGATGCTAAATGTAAACAAACCTACTGCACTGCCAGTCATGTTTACATACAACTACGTACAGTACACAACACTGGATAATGATAATAAACAACTATGTTACTGGTTTATGTATTTACTATAATATACTTCCTGTCATTATTTTAGGGTGTTCTTCTACTTATTAAAAAAAGTGAACTGTATAACAGTTTCAGGCAGGTCCTTCAGGGAGTATTCCAGAAGAAGGCATTATCATAGGAGATGACATAGGAATAACTCCATAATGTTATTGCCCCTGAACACCTCCCAGCAGGACAAGATGTGGAGGGGGAAGACAGTGATCGTGATGACCCTATTTTGGCCTTGACTAAGTATGTGTTTATGTCTTTGTTTTTAACAAAAAAGTTTAAAATTTAAAAATATATAAATAATGCATATTGAAAATACAAAAAAAGCTCATAGAATGAGGCTATAAAAATACTTTTGCATAGCTGTACAAGGTGTTTGCATTTTAAACTAAGTGTTATTACAAGATTTAAAATGTTTTTAAAAATTAAGTTTATAAAGTAAAAAAAGGACAGTAAGCTAAAGGTAATTTATTATTGAAGAAAGAAAAATATGTTTGCATAAATTTAGTGCAGCCTAAGTGAACAGTGTTGATAAAGTCTATAGTAGCGTTTGGTAATGTCTTAGGCCATCACATTTGCCCACCACTCACTCACTGACTCACTCAGAGCAACACCAAGTCCTTCAAGCTCCATTCATGAAGTACACACTCTACAGGTGTACCTTTTAAAGTCAACTATACCATATTTTTACCGTACCGTCTCTATGTTTAAATTTCTTAAGATACACAAATATTTCCCTTGTGTTACAATTGCCTACAGTATACAGTATAGTAACATGTTCTACAGGTTTGTAGCCTAGGAGCAATAGGCTATACCAAGTAGCCTAAGTGTGTAGTAGGCTGTGCCACCTAGCCACCTAGGTTTGTGTAAGTGCATTCTGATATTTGAACAACGATGAAATTGCCTAACAACACATTTCTCAAAACACACTCCCACCATTAAGCGACACATGACTGTAATTGAAATTTTAAAAGGATAACCCAACCATCCTGGATTTTTTTTCATTCTGTTTTTGTTGTTCATTTTCAGTTTTTTTTTTGGGTAAGGATTGAAAAACTTTTAAGTAGTATGCTTATTACCTGGGTGATGAAATAATTTGTACAGCAAACTCCTGCAACATGTAATTTTCCTATATAGCAAATGTACCCCTGAACCTAAAAAAAAGTTAAAAAGAGAAAAATGGAAACCACAGTGCATACCTAAAACAGTACCTTTTATACTTATTTGTGTCAGTAACTTCTTTCAAGAGAATATGCATTGGTATATAATTGAAGACACACATGTAACAATTGGAAACAAAAAAAATCAAAAGCCATTTAGAAAGAGAAAGAAGGAAATAAACCACCTAAGTCAATATAGTTATTAAAATTGATAAGATTATCTTTAAGGTTTTTGGTAATGAAGAAAAAAGAGGAAGACAGTAATTGCTTTTTTTGTTTTTTTTTTTTTGAGACAGGGTCTTGCTCTGTCATCAAGGCTAGAGTGCAGTGGTGCGATCATGACTCACTGCAGCCTTGAACTCCTGGACTCAACTGATCCTCCAGCCACTGCCTCCTGTGTAGCTAAGACTACAGTGCAAGCCACCACGCCGAGCTAATTTTTTAATTTTTCTTTTATTGAGAGAGTCTTGCTATGTTGACCAGGCTGGTTTTAAACTCCTGGCCTCAAGCGATCCTCCTGCCTTGGCCTCCAAAAGTGCTGGGATTATAGGTGTGAGCCACGGTGCCAGCCTTTTTTTATGTTTGTTTTGTGCATATTTTTTAATTTGATCAAATAAACCACATTTTTATGAGTAAAAATATTTTTAGACATTTTTTTCTAAATAAAATATTCTTAATTTTTGTATAATTTTATAGAACTATAGCATACACAAAGTAAAATTCAGAAATCTTGGTGAGTTCTTCAAAGTGAATAGGGTTATGTAACTATCACCCAGCTCAAGATCTAGAACATAATCAGCACCTCCAACAGCTACTTTGTGCTTCCACTCAGTGTTCCCTCAAAGGTAACTATAATCTAACTTTTATTTCCATCATTTAGTTTTGCCTACATAAATGTAATAACTTATTGTGTATATTTTTGCATTTGGTTTATTTCACTCAACATTACATCTATGAGATTTCTCCATTTCTGCATGTAGCAGGGTTTTGTTCTTTTTATTGATGTATTCCGTTATATGAATATGTAATAATTTATATATACATGATATTGTTAACTTTTGGGGGGATTTTGCATTGTTTCCACTTTGGGGATTTTATGAATAACGCTGCCATAAACATTCTAGTACATGGTTTTGGTGTACATACTATACATTTCAGTGCATATCTAGTAAAGCCTGCTGAGCCACAGGATATACTTATATTCCACTTTAGTAAAAACTGCCAAAACAGTTCTCCAAAGTAGTTCTACCAGTTTACACTCTTAGCAGCAGAAGTGAACGTTCCGATTGCTCCACACGCCCATGGCTCTTGTTACTGCCAGGTTTGTTGATTTTCATTTCATTTTTTTTTAATAGCCTTCCTAGTGGGCATGTAGTAATAGCTCATTGTAGTTTTAATTTGCATATTCCTGGTGACTAATGATGTGAAGCAATGTTTTTATGTGTGATGACTGACCACTTGGATCTTCTCTTTCATGAAGTGCTTCATCTTTCTCCATTTTCTTTCTGGGATGTGTGCACGTTTCCTATTTTTAGAAGTTCTTTATATATTCTGGATCCTAGTTATTTTTTGGATATATGCTCTCTCGGTCTGTGGCTTGCCTTTTCACACTCTTACTGGTGATTTTAATGAAGAGAATATCTTAATTTTATTTATTTATTTACTTTATAGAGACAGGGTCTTGTGCTGTTGCCCAGGCTGGAGTGCACTGGTGTGATCGTAGCTCAGTGCAGCCTCAAATTCTGCGGCTCAAGCAATTCTCCTGCCTCAGCCTCCCAAGTAGCTAGGACTACTAATTCATGTATTTGTTTTTGTAGAGAATCTTGCTATATTGCCCCAGGCTGTTCTCAGACTCCTGGGCTCAAGCCATCCTCCCGCCTCAGCCTCCTAAAGTGCTGGTATTACAGGCATGAGCTACAGCATCTGGCCTGAGAATATCTTAATTTTAACGACCTCTACTATATCTATTGCCTTCTTTTGATTAGTGCTTTTGGTTTCCTGTTTAAAAAGTAGTTGTCTACTCCAAAGGGTAGACATGAGGAAGACATCATGAAGGTTTTTTTCATTGTTATACTCTAGAAGCTTTTGTGTTTTACCTTTAGTGCTATTTTGAGTTGATATTTGCATTTGACATGCGGTAGGAGTCAAAGTTCATTTTCCTATATTAATATCCAATTTATCAATGCCACTTATTAAAAGGAACAGCCCCTCACACAAACACACACACACTACATTGCAGTGACACTTTTATCATTTATCTGGTGATCATATTTAGTTGGGTCTGTTTCTAGATTCTATTTTATTTCATTGAGCTATCTTTGCCCCAATACCACAGTTTTAATATTTTGGCTTTATCATAAGTCTTATTATGTGGTAGTGTAGATATTCCAACTTCTTTCTTATTTTTCAAAGTTGTTTTGACCAGTCTTGGCCCACTACATTTACCTTTTTTTTTTTTTTTCGAGACAGAGTCTTGCTCTTTCACCCAGGCTGGAGTGCAGTGGCACGATCTCGGCTCACTGCAACCTCTGCCTCCTGGATTCAAGCCATTCTCCTGCCTCAGCCTCCCCAGTAGCTGGGATTACAGGCACGCACCACCACACCCAGTTAATTTTTGTATTTTTAGTAGAGACGGGGTTTCACCATGTTGGCCAGGTTGGTCTCAAACTCTTGACCTCGTGATCCGCCCTCCTCAGCCTGCCAAAGTGCTACATTTACTTTCTAATTTTAGAATCCCCTTGCCAACATCTATTTTAAACAACCCTGCTGAGATTCATATTGAGATTACATGAAATTTCTAGATCTAGTTGAGGAAAATTAACATCATTGTAATATTCAGTGTTATAATTCTTGAATATACTGTAATACATTTCTGCATTTATTTAGGTATTACTTTTTCTTGATAACGTTTTAGAGTATTCAGTTGGAGTTCTCTCTTTTTAAAGATTTATCCTTAATGTATTTTTTTGGCTCTCAATGCTGTTATAAATGTTATTGTCTTTTACATTCCATTTTTAATTTTTTTTACTATATAAAAGTAACATTTATTTTTCTCTATTGACCATGTGTCCACTGCCCTTGATAAATTTATTAATTCCAATAGCTTACCTGTACATTCATTTGAATTTTCTTTTTTTTCTTTTTGAGATGGAGTCTTGCTCTGTTGCCAGGCTGGAGTGCAGTGATGCGATCTCAGCTCACTGCAACCTCTACCTCCCGGGTTCAAGTGATTCTCCTGCCTCAGCCTCCGGAGTAGCTGGGACTACAGGCACGTACCACCACGCCCAGCTAATTTTTGTATTTTTAGTAGAGACGGGTTTTCACCATGTTGGCCAGATGGTCTCGATCCCTTGACCTCATGATCCACTCGCCTCAGCCTCCCAAAGTGCTGGATTACAGGCGTGACCCACCTTGCCTGGCCTGAATTTTCTATGTATACAGCCATGTTGACAGCCAATAACAGTTTAATTTCTTCCTTTTTTATTTTTTTAATGTGGTAAGTTATACAGTATTGATTTTAAACAACCTTGCATTCCTGCAATGATCAAAACTTGATCGTGATGTATGTATTATCCATTTTTTAACACGCTACATTTGGGTTATATTTGCTAATATTTTATTTAATATCTGAATTGATCTTCTTGAGAGATATTGACCTATAATTTTCCTTTTTAGTAATGTTCTTTCAGATTTTGGTATAAAGATGAGTTGGGAAGTGTTAACATTTTTTTTTAATTCCTGCAAGAGGTTAGACAGAACTGGTGTTATTTCATTCTTAAATGTTTGGAAGATACCAGTGAGGCTTTTTCTTTGTGGTATGTGTTTTAATTTTAAATTCCATATTTTTAGTAGTTATATTTTTATAACTACTTCTATTAAAGCTATATTTCTTCTTGTGTCTATTTTGGAAAGCTTTTAAGTAATTTCTCTATTTTATCTAAGTTGTCAAATTTACTAGCATCAAATTATTCAAAATATCTTCCTATCTTTTTAATGCCTGTAAGATCTTTAGGTATAGATTTACCATTTCTGATATTGGTGAAACTAATCTTAAAGAAGTTTATTCTGTGAGAACTAACAAATGACAGTTGACAGAATGAACAGCATCTTTAAAAATAGTTTCACTTAAAATTCTGAAATATTTCTTATTTGACTTTTTTCCCACTGCTTCTTGATAAAAACTAAGAACATAATGTTAAAATAGCATCATGAGTCAATCAAATGAAATCTAGGTGTTTTTGCTTTCAAATTATATAAACCCATATTAGGTAAGGATATAGTGAATATAAGTCATTTAGAATAACTTTTTGGAAATTATTTCTGCCATTTGGACTTCTGATAGGTGAGTTGCCATAATTCACCTATCAGAACTCATGGTGAGTTGCCATAACTCACCCATCAAATTATTTCAGCCATATGGACTTCTGATAGCCGAAGGGCTTAGCAAAAGCCAAGGCATGTTGGCAGTAACATAGCTGGGTGAGAATGGCGATGAATTCACTCCAAACATGTTAGGTAAAAGTTATACACACACGTACAAACATGTCAACAACTCTGTTCAAATCAAATCTTAGGCAGAATGTGAGCTCAACTACATAAGGGCAGGGATTTTTGTATGTTTTGTTCATGGCTGCATCCTTAGCACATATAATAGCTCCTGACACAAAGCAGTCATTCAATGAATATGTATTAAATGAATGAGGAGTGCCTGAACTGCCTGGAGAAACACTGTGGGTACTGGAGAGCAGTTTGAAATTCAAACTCATGTTAAGAAAAATCTCTCAGAAAATAGTGCAAAAATACAGAGATATAAAAAAGGAACGCAACCTTTCCACACAACCTTTTAATTGCCTCTCGCTCTCTCTCTATATATATAGATAGATATAGATAGATATCTCTCTACAGAGAGAAAGAAAGAGAGAGCGATCTCCTGCTTTTGCTATGTGAGCTGCCTGTTCCTCCTTTGCCTTCCACCATGATTGTAAGTTTCCGGAGGCTTCACCAGAAGCCAAGCAGATGCCAGCATCATGCTTCCTGTAAAGCCTGAAGAACTGTGAGCCAACTAAACCTTTTTTCTTTATAAATTACCCAGTTTCAGGTATATAGCAATGCAAGACTAGCCTAATACAATTGTCATAGTAATGTAAACAAATATTACTCTAGCCAAAATTTCAATTTATCTATAATGGGAGTATAAAGGAGCAATAAGTATATGTGACACAGGGAGTATGAAAGAGAGAGAAATCTCGTCTTTCATCGTAGGAAATCAACATGATATCTAAAATTGAAAAACATAAAAAGCAGCAATATAAGGATTTGGTATTAAAAGTGTTTGGCTCTGGGGTACAGTGGAGACAGAAGAGGTCTCCTATATTTGGTTGCAAGCCTTGTAGAACGATTTAATACTATAAAACAATGCACATTCAACTTCCATAAAATTAACACCACAACGTAATCCATTTTTAAGGCCTGCAAAACCAAACCAAGACAAAAGCAACCTTATGCTCCAAATAAAACCCTGAATTTTTCTACTTGCTCTTCAAATTAAAATTTGCTGAATTTGATTTCATCTGTAAAGTTAGTTATTAGTTTGTTATTTTGTGAATACAAAAGAGCTTGGAAACTACAATGTGCTTAATATAATAATTCACAACGTGAAAGTTGGGAATCCTCAGTATTTACTTATTCAATCACGTTGCGTGTGTGTAGCAGGGAGCAGGACGCGACAGGCACAAGGCTGCGTGAAACCAGCGACGGTGCCTTGCACTCACCTGCACACCGGTTCCACTTCTAACTTTTCTGTTCTGGGCAGTGATCTGTTCTGTCGGCTTGGGACCAGACTTCTGAGTCCACATTCCAACGGTGCCGCTTCCTAGCTATGAGGCCTTATGCAGTTTCCTTCGCTTTTTCTGAATCTCGGATTCTCTGGGAATAGTAAAGCCTCTCTTGCCGAGCTCGTGTGAGAAATTAACAATAAATTAACGAGAAATTAATGGAAAGTCCTTTGCTTTGGTCAATGATAATAATAACCCCAGCCCCATAACTTCAGCACCTTCTTTGGTGCGCGGAATACCTAGGGCCTCGGAAGGCCGGCTGGGGGCGGGGAGAATCGGCAGTCACTATGGCAACCCGAGACGCCTCGCATGCTGGGCTGCCTGCGACTGAGCTGAGAAGGAAACCGTGCCCAGGGCTCTCGGAAGACCGCTGCGGCATGACAGGCGAGGAGGCGGTGGTGGTGACCGCAGTGGTGGCGCCCAAGGCGGGTCGCGAAGAGGAGCAGCCTCCTCCGCCAGCAGGGCTGGGGTGCGGGGCGCGCGGGGAACCCGGCCGCGGCCCCCTAGAGCACGGCCAGCAGTGTGAGTTCAGCTCCAGCCGCGGACGCTACTGGGAGGAGGGGCGTGGAGAACGAGTGACAGGGCAATTGGGGGAAACCGCAGTGGGACTGGCTGAGAAGGTTTGGGGCAGGGGAGGTGGAGCTGCTGCTTTTGGCAGAACCAGAGATGATGGCACTGTGGCAGAAAGCATAGGTCCATCTTTCCAAGCCCTCCTTCCCGATAGCCTGCCTGAATTCAGGGTCTGGGCATCAGCTCCAATTTAATCATAGTGGCGTTATTCTGAAAGGAATTAACACACACACACACACACACACATTTATATGTATACCATTTTATATACACATTTGTATATGTATATGTGTATGTATGTATGTATGCGTATACACCCTTAGAAACACGCAGCTCATTTTGCCAGTTATTTCATTTTACAGATGAGGAAATTGAGATCTAGACCAGAGGAAAGAGACTTGCCACAGCCAGTCAGTGCAGGCGAAATACTAAAATCACTTTTAACTTCCATCTCTTGGACTCTCAGTCTACAATTACCCAATCCTTTTAGAATCTCATAATTATGGGCTACATTTTAACGCACTGTTCTTTGCTCTCTGCCCTGACAAACACACAATATTCAAATAGGTAAAGACAGTTCTGGCCCACAGCCATAATGGAAGTGGTTGTAATTTGAGTCCTAGCCAGGTTGTTATTCACCCATACTGTTTCATGAATTAACAGATATTTCACAGCCTCTTGCACCCCCAGGTCTTCAGTAGGTGCTAAGGAATGATGGTGAGAAGAATAAGCCAGAGGAACAGAGTAGTTTCCAGCCTTCCTGCAGCACCTTCTTGACTGCATCTCTGGAGAGCAGACTGGGTTTCTCCAAGGTTCCTCTGCACCGGGAGGCCCCAGGAGGGAGGGTTGGGCTGAAGCACCTCCATACTTGTGCTTGGTGGACCACACACTCTCCTCCCCAGAGACCTCATCAAGAAGTTACAGAACTACTGCCTCCTGGTGAAAGGGGCCTCTTCCCTGGGCATCAGCTCCAGTATGACTATGAAATGTCATTCCTTTTGTTATTATTATCAGCAGCATGCAGAGGCCTTGCTTAGAGCACATAAATTCAGTATACTTGGGTAATGGAGATTCTTTACTCCTACTTAAAATTATTATGATTATTATTATTTTTAGACAACTCTGTTGCCAGGCTGGAGTGCAGTGGCATGATCTGGGCTCACTGCAACTCAGCCTCCTGGGTTCAAGCAATTCTCATGCATCAGCCTCCTGAGTAGCTGAGATTACAGGCACACACCACCATGCCCGGCTAATGTTTTCGCATTTTTAGTAGAGACAGGGTATCGCCATGTTGGTCAGGCTGGTCTTCAACTCCTGGCCTCGAGTGATCCGCTCGCCTCAGCCTCCCAAAGTGCTGGGATTACAGGCATGAGCCACCACGCCCAGCCTCCTACTTCAAATTCTATCAGGAAATTTCCCCATTAAAGATGCTAGTTTCTAAGTTTCTTTAGTCCTGTGGCTCTAGGAGTAAAAGGTGGGATTAACATTCACTCATCAATTTAACATATTGAGTCTTTATTACATGCTAGGCATTCCACAAGTTTCAGGGAAAGAACTAATGACTTAAGGCAGGTGTCCAAACTTTCACAAGCTCACAAAGTTGGGGTGGGAAAATGAAAGAGTTCCTGCCTCAGCCTCCCTCAGAACCTCCTTTTAGGGACTCAGCCTAAGTAGAGACAGGCTGTTCGCACAAGCACAAAGTACTCAGTCAATTTTTCAAATGTCTGTAATTATTGGAAAAGTCTTCAGTCTCTTTACAGCTTCTATTCCCTATATTCCCTAATCACAGTCCTGCTCTCAAACACGAAGTGTGGTTGTTTGCTTGTAAACATCCTTGAATTATATAAAGGCAGCTCCTTGAGCACCAACCAAATCTTTCATAGACTTAATGTCACCTTTATTTTTTATTTATTTTTGCCTTTTTTTTTTTTTTTTTTTTTTTAGACAGAGTCTTACTCTGTTGCCCAGGCTGGAGTACAGTGGCGCGATCTCGGCTCACCGCAACTTCCCCTTCCTGGGTTCAAGCAATTCTTTGGCCTCAGCCTTCCAGGTAGCTGGGACCACAGGCATGCACCATCACGCCTGGCTAATTTTTGTATTTTTAGTAGAGATGGGGTTTCACCATGTTGGCCAGGCTGGTCTTGGACTCCTGACCTCAAGTAATCTGCCCACCTCAGCCTCCCAAAATGTTGGGATTACAGGCATGAGCCACCGCGCCTGGCCAATGTCACCTTTAGGATCACTTGTAGTGCTCTAACCTGGCTGGCTGGCCACTTCTTCCAACAATCTCCAGTGTATCATATCACTGAAACCTGTATTCTAGGTATGAACTGATTAGTAGAGTGTGGTGGATCTATAACTGTGCGTTGTAATAAACTATGAATAATTTGTAATAACCGTAGGAGCTTGGGAGACTCAGGTAGGTGTGGCTTCTCATTTTCATTATTTTAGTTTTATGACTCAAGGAAGCTACTTTCTCAACTATAAAACAGGAATAATTATACTTGCCCATAGGTCATTGTGAGAAAGAGAAATAATAATATATATAAGATGCAATTGTTATTAGCTCTCAGGAAAAAAAACAAAAAACAACAAAAAAAAATCCAAAAAACGTGGAATAATAATTGTTTCAAAAGAAATTCTGGAATAATACTGTTCTTAGTCATACTTCTCAGTGATCACAGCTTCTCATCCTCTATACACACAAGACATCTATCGACCAATCCACTTAAAATGCTGGTAAAGGTCAACATCAAACTGCTATGGTAGAGTTTGTAGAATTTTCTTTCTCTCTCTCTTTCCCTTCCTTCCTTCTTTCTTTTTTAAATTTGCTTTCCCTTCCTTTCCTTTTCCTTCCTTTCCTTTCCCTTTCTCCTTTTTTTTCCTTTTCCTTTCCTCTTTCCTTTCTCCTTTCCTTTCTTTTGTCCTTTCTCCTTTCCTTCCCTTTTTCCTTTCCTCTCCTCTCCTTTCCTTCCTGGCCAAGTTTGTGAAACCTTTTTCTGCCTGAAAGTTCTGCCCCCTCTCCCCTCCTTTCCTTTCTTCTCCTGAGCAGGAGATATTTACCCGTACTAGCTCCTTAGTACTCTCCCAATTACCACAATTCTTCAAATCACCTTTAATGATTTCTTCTGTGCATTTTCCTAGCACCAGGGCTGAAATTTGTCAGGAGATCTGAACTGAGAGCAGGTGGTCTTTTCCTTTCTGTTGTTCTGTTATAGGCTTAGTTTTCTTCCTAGCCAAGTTTGTGAACCCTTTTTCTGCCTGAAGATCATGATTTAACAGATTAAACCAAAGTTAGGCTTCAGTAATGCTGATCCCATATTTTATTCATATGACTTCCAACTTTGGGGAAACAAGAATGAGACCCTGAAAGTATGTAATTCTAACTTTTTCATGTCTGAGGGTGTGTCTGGGTCTTCATGACCAGGAATGACCTGGGATCACTGCCGGAAGCAGCAGGTCTCTTGCCCCATTTTTGCCAGTCTGCATCCCCGTCAAATTGACTCACTTGTGTTGTTTATTGATTAGTCTGGAAAAGATGAGATACCTGCCCATATATATGTGAGTTTAAAATCAAATCATAAACAACTAAAGTATTTGGTTGTTTAGGTTTTCATTGGTTCCTTGAATTGAGCTTTTGGATACTGAGATTAGAACTATCGGTTCACTGACATTCACAGTGACCGTATAACTGCATTGACAGACATGCACACAGTCTTTAGTTAGAGCTCCAATTTATCAGTGCTTAGTTCTAACTGAACACACATTTGTTGAGCATTTATTATCATGCCAAGCTCTGTTCTAAGACTCTGATGAACTGAAGAGACAACATCCCTGCCCTCATGGGGTTTGTGATCTGGTAAAGAAGTTATATATTAAATAAATAGCTACACAAATAATTGTGTATAAAAAAATGAAGCTGTATCCAAATTGCAATAAGTAAAATGAAAGAATAAAGGAGGGTGCCATGATAAAAAGTCATTTCCAGATTGTGGAGTAAGGGAAAGTTTTCCTAAAGAACTAATGTTTAAGCCAAGACCTAAAATTTGAGTAGAAGTTATATAGGCAAAACCAGGAGAAAGGCAGCTCAGGTAGCAAAAACAGCATGTGCAAAGGTAGGAATGAACAGAAGGGCCATGTGTCTGGAGCTCAGAGAGCAAGAGAGAGAGGCTGACCGGAGAGATTAGGGATATGGGTAGGCCCAATAGCACAGAGCTCTTTTGTTTCTCTGGAGTTCTGACATCTGGGCTGAGCTACATTTCTGAGAAGAAATGTAGCTACAGTGTTTAAAACAAACAATTCAGTCCTTGACTGTAGTAGTCATGTCCTATAGGTCCAGATTTAAAGGCCAGGGAAAAGTGCTATGTCCATAAGTGGTTCACTACTACAATTCAGTTTCAATCTTTTAAAATGTCGATTTTAAAATGCTGAGATTTTGTTCTCTCTTCTGTACCTGGATTGCAAGCTCTATACACACATCTGTCTTACTCATTGCTCTGTCTTCAGCCCCTAGCCAAATGCCTATCACAGAGTAGGTCTTTAATAAGAGTTCATTCAACAAACGAGTGCAAGTTTTCTTGAAGCTAAGGAGGAAACTTTATCTATTTCTTCATAACACCTAAAAGAGGTACCTGAAACTTACCCTGCAAGTTCAGGAATTACATGAAAACGTGAAGTCCCAAAAGAACCTAAAGTTTCCATGGAAGAGATCTTTCCAAGATAGAGCCTTCAGGGCAAATTGTCTGATATTTGTATGGAATAACATGTCTTCTTTTAAAAAAATTGTTATCATGTAGATATAATGGCTAGAAGATTGGGCAGTATTTATACTAAGTAATTGATTTTGTTAATGCCTTTATAGGGAAGAAATTTTTATATTGTGAGCCACATAAGAGAATTAAGGAAGTACTGGAAGAAGAACGTCATATTAAGAGAGATGAATGCCACATTAAAAATCCAGCTGCAGGTAATCTCAGTGACAAATGAAGTATGTTTGTGAAATGAATATGAAATTGCCTACTTGATGACAGAGTATTTTATTATAAAACCATACTATTGAAATAAAAAGTTTTTGGAAAGTTCTTGAACTAGTTTATAATTAATTTGCTTATGTCCAAATAAACCTTCATGTCTAGAAAAAAAAATGGGCTGGGCACGGTGGCTCACGCCTGTAATCCCAGCACTTTGGGAGGCCGAGGTGGATGGATCACGAGGTCAGGAGATTGAGACTATCCTGGCTAACACGGTGAAAACCCGTCTCTACTAAAAACACAAAAAATTAGCCGGGTATGGTGGCGGGCACCTGTAGTCCCAGCTACTCGGGAGGCTGAGGCAGAAGAATGGCGTGAACCGGGAGGCAGAGCTTGCAGTAAGCCAAGATCGCGCCACTGTACCCCAGCCTGGGTGACAGAGCAAGACTCCATATCAGAAAAAAAAAAAAAAAAAGATCTAGATATCAATATGTACTTTGCTGTCCCACTTTCTTGGTGGAGTTATTTCTATTTAATGACATGTACCATTTTTTCCAAGTGCCTGAAAAACACAATAATAACTTCAATCTTTATCAATATAGGTATGACAAGTAACAGTGGTTTCCAAACTTTAGATTTTTATCAGAATTACCTGGGAGCTTGTTAAAAGCAGATTGCTGAGCCCTACCCCTAGCATATTTGGCACAGTATGTCTGCAGTG
Source organism: Homo sapiens (assembly GCF_000001405.40). NCBI lineage: Eukaryota > Metazoa > Chordata > Mammalia > Primates > Hominidae > Homo > Homo sapiens. The sequence continues at coordinate 94,518,413 of NC_000011.10, forward strand.
GAGCCCAAGAATTTGGATTTTTACAAATTTCCCAGGTGATATTGATGCTGCTGGTCCAGTACCCGACTTTGCAAATCACTGACTCAGCAGAACCTAAGTCATTTACATGGTCAGATCATCCAAGGATTTCATCCCGTAGAGGATCTGAGCATTGATAGCTCTTATTGATGGTTCATGTGTGAAAGAGATGCTCTAGGAGCCCCAGAATCCCAGATGTTAGTTTGAAACTGCTGGCGTCCTTCATTTTCATGGTTCCTTCTCAACGATTACTAGATGCATATTTCATGCTCTCAAATCATCAGATTTTTATTGTGACACTCTTGGGTATCAGCAGTTGCTAGAAGAAATAACAAAACTATTACATAGACTCCTTCATTTGTGGAGAATTGTTGGTCAACCTGCAAGTGAGGTCCAAATTCACTAAGGATTCCTAAGAGAGAGGCTGCAGGCCCAGAAGTCCATCATTTCAGATTACATGATGTATGTTGTGCCCACTTTACATTTTTTTTTTTTTTGGATGGAGTCTCACTCTGTCACCCAGGCTGGAGTGCAGTGACACGATCTCTGCTCACTGCAACCTCTGCCTCCTGGGTTCAAGCGATTCTTCTGCCTCAGCCTCCTGAGTAGCTGGGATTACAGGCACACACCACCACGGCCCAGCTAATTTTTGTATTTTTAGTAGAGATGGGGTTTCACCATGTTGGTCAGGTTGGTCTTGAACTCCTGACCTCGTGATCTGCCCACCTCGGCCTCCCAATGTGCTGGCATTACAGGCATGAGCCACCACGCCCGGCCCCACTTTACATTTCTAAAGCAGACATAGAAACTCCTTTGGGTCTTCTCGTATGACCCATTCTTATAAAAGGAGAGACCAATAAAATGGTGAAATTTGCTCCCATAATATCTTCAAGGAAAGTTTTAAAGTCTATTTTGAACTTAATGAATGGATGCAGAATGACCTACTGCATTTCAGCTGGGAAGCCCCGCCTACATGTACTATTTTCCTGGTGTTTAACATTTTTTTCTAAGTCTATACTGTTATATTCTGGATTTATCTTCATTGTTTTAAAAATCTACATAAAAGCTAGTTTATACACTAGCTGTATGTTGTATTATTCTTATTGGATACACTAGATTGTGAGACAGTCTGAGTGAATAGGATGTATCTTTTGGTTTATAAAAATTCATTTTCCTAAGCAATCTTTTCAAATATCCTTTATATAAAATGAAGACTGTCTGGGCTGCTTTTTAAAATAACATCCACTAGAGGTCGCACAGAGGTACTATTTTAGCCTAGAAAAATCTTTCAATGCGGAGAATAGATTCTATAAATTTGGGTTTTAAAATGATCTACTTATGGGAAATCCCGCTGTTTTTAAAATATATATCATGGCTAGAAGCCACATACCATTGGCCAGAACAGAGAATTAGCATCTAGAGAGGGTGCCACACTCTTCCAGCCCAGCCTCAGAGCCTAGAGGCCAGCCATTGGACATTTGCTTCTAATTCGGTTTGCAGTGACCCCTCCTTTATATATCTGATGACAGCCATGGCTTCTTTTCCTGGAAGACACAGTTTGTCACATACGTGCAGAATTCTGCATAAAACTTTTAGAGAATTGTGTGGTTCCTATAGCTGCTATTTTTAAAGATAAGTACATGTTAACCATTTTCTCCTCCCCTTTACTTCTCCTTTGCTACTTCACCTATTCTAATTAGGCATTTGTTCCCATGAGTCCAGGGAAACTGTTCTTTCCAAGATTGCAAATAGCCTTCTTTTTGAAGGTCAAATCCAATGATCCCTCCAACATACTCAACCTCTCTGTAACATCTGATGTAGTTGTTTCCTCCTTCTCTCTAAAAACACTTTCTTAGCTTGGCCTGTAGGTCACAATGCTCCAATTTCCTGGTTTTGCTCCTACCTCTTTAGCTATTCTTTCTCCATCTTCTTTGCTGGCTCTCCCTCCACCTAGCCTGTATAATTTAGAGGTCTCAGTCATGGGCTCTTTTCTCTACCTACCCTCACACCGTGGGATATCTAGCCCTATTGGGCTAATGACTCCAGCATTTTTTATTTCTACCCTATACTTTTCCCCTTAAATCCCAAAACCTACTTGATTCTCCACTTGGATGTCCAATAGGCCTCTCAACCTTAAGATGTCCAGAACCAAAATCTTATTCTCTATTCCCAGGCTTTTAAAAAACCCATAGGTCTTTCCCATATCATGAGATGGTACCACCAAACACCTAGAAGTCAAGTCCTCAAACTCCGTATCCAGTCTATCAGCCAATCCTTTTGAATTCAGTGTATATCCTAAATCCCCCACCAGCACCGTTGCCAAGCCCCTGCCACCTTTTGCAGGCCTGGCAATAGCATCCTATAACAGCCTCTGCTACTGCCCCTGCTACTGTTAATTCTCTGCACTGAAACCGGAGGGATCTTTTACAAACATAAATCGTTACATGTCACCTCCATGCTTAAAGTTGTCTGATGGCTTTTTATTATTCTGAGACTAGATTTCATGCTCCTATGGCCAGCTCACCTCTCTGATCTCATCTCCTATACTTTTCCACTCCACTTTAACCACACAGGCTTTCTTGACATTCTGGAATGTGCCAAATCCATTTTCACCCCTCAGGACATTTAAAGGTCACCCAGACATTCAGATATCTTCCTCTCTCTTCATTCAGGCTTCAACTGCATATGCCATCTTCTCAGAGAGGCCTTTCCACTCCACCAGGTCAAAACAGAAATTGTCCTCCAGGTCACCTTCTAATCCCTATACTGCTTTCTTCTTTCTCCTGTTTTCTATTGCTACCTGAAATTTTATGCAGACAGTCCCCAACTTATTGTGGTTCAACTTATGATTTTTCAATGTGATGGTGTGAAAGTGATACATGTCAGTAGGAACCCTACTTCAAATTTTGAATGCTGCTCTTTTCCTGGGCTAGCGATCTGCCTTATGATTCTCCTTTGCAATGCTGGGCAGTGGCCATGAGCCGCAGCTTCTAGTTAGCCATTCTAATGTAAGTGTTCTGAGCACATTTAAGGTAGGCTAGGCGAAGCTATGATGTTTGGCAGGTTAGGTGTATGAAATGCATTTACTACTTACAATTTTTTTTCAACTTATGATAGGTTTTTCAGGATGTAACTCCGTCGTAAGTCGAGGAGGATCCATATTTCTTTACATACTTCTTTATTGGCTATCTCTCCCACTAGAACACAAGCTATCTGAGGATAGGGGCTTAATTTTGCTTACCCCAAATCCTCACAAAGCTGTATGATATTGATATTCTGATCCCCATCTTAGGATGAGTAAACTAAGATTCTGAGAGGTGTTTAACTTGCCCAAGGTTATGCATTAAGTAGCAGAACCAGATCCAAATTCAGATCTGACCCCCAATCCCATTGGCTTTCTACTCACTATGGTGTCTCTGGTGACACGTTATGGCTAAATGCAGTGGATACTGTTCTGCCTCTAGGTGGCTTGAGCTTTCTGCAACATTTCACATAGTCGATGGCTCTCTCCTTCAACCTTGTTCCTTTCTCAAATTCCATGATACTTAACTGTCCTGGTTCTCGCTCTACTTCTTTCTCATCCTCTGTTAAGCACTCTTTTTATTCACTACATTCTCCGAATCTTGATGTTTATCGGAGTGTTTCCCACAGTCTTGTAATCTTGTTCCATTAGCTTTCCTGGGATTTTCTCATACTTTTCACTACGGCCTCTCTAGGATGCCTCTGAAATGTGTCTCTGCAGGCTAAACTTCTTTTCCTGGATGTCCCATAAGTCATAAGATAACTCAGGCCCAACATGTCCAAAACAAAACTCACACCTCTGGGCTGGGCATGGTGGCTCACGCCTGTAATCCCAGCACTTTAGGAGGCTGAGACGGGCGTATCACGAGGTCAGGAGATCGAGACCATCCTGGCTAACATGGTGAAACCTCGTCTCTACTAAACATACAAAAAAAATTAGCCGGGCGTGGTGGCGGGTGCCTGTAGTGCCAGCTACTCGGGAGACTGAGGCAGGAGAATGGCGTGAACCCGGGAGGTGGAGCTTGCAGTGAGCCGAGATCCGCCATTGCACTCCGGCCTGGGCAACAGAGTGAGACTCCGTCTCAAAACAAACAAACAAACAAACAAAACAATTGACACCTCTCCCCGACTTGCTGCTTCCCCTATACCACCCATCTCAATGAATGGCATAGCCTATGGTCCAAATGCAAATCCAGAGAGCCATCCTCTATCTCCACACCAGACCACCATGTTCCACATCGAATTAGACTGTGAGGGGTACCTTAGTTTGGCTCAAGATCCCAAAATGTTGACCCATATGCCAGGTTCACCTTGCAGACATATTTATTTGCCCCGCAGTATATTTTTTAAATATCTGAACCAGTTGTCAATATTTTAAAATTAGAAATTTTATATACAAATCTAGATGTCTAGGTTTTCTTGAGCAGGGATGGAGCACGGAGGATAAAGGTTGATTTGACACCATCAAGGCACCATTTGTATTAACAACAGTGGCTGGGGTTGGGTTACAATGCCCCGTGCTGACCTGCCCACTCCACTGTTCAGCATCCTACACCAAGTTCCCCACTCCAGTGGGAAACATCACAAGCTATGTATGTTCACGTGCCCGCTGCAGGTTTTTTCTTCTCATCGTGAAATACAAAAAATTGTTTCTCTTGTATGATGCCTCCATCAAAAGTAGTAAAAAAGAGAAAGACTGGGAGAACCAATTATTTCTTACCCCTAGCCAGCTTTACTCATATTACCTGCCTGGCCTCTTCCTATGTATATTTGAATTTGTGACTTTGGATAAACGCTACATACTGTTTTGTAGATATTCCCAAGCCTGTCTAAATTCTAGGGACCCCAACATATATGCATGGATCTAAGCATATTTGTAGCTATGTATGAATTAGCTGGGTTTGTTTGAATTTTAAGACAATCAACTCCACATACTCTGACAACAAAGTAATTGATTGTTGAAGGTGAGATTTCAGTAAGAGTCCAGATTGGATTTTCCTTAACCATAGATAAAATACTGCAATACTGGGCTATTTATTGAACTTATTGAAGAGTCTATTAAGAGGGCGATCTGTCCTGGAAGTAAACAACTTAAATTATAGCACGTTTTATTTTTGAATGAGTTGACAGTGACAATTATGGAAGTACCCTGAAGCTGTGGGGTCATTTCTGTGCTTTTTCTCTTCTCCTTTGGCTGAATGAAATTGGTAAAAAATCAAAAGATTCAGAAATTGAGTTTTATGGATGTTGAATAGAATGAACATTATATTTCTTTTGGGATACCGTTGGTTGCATAGCTAGCGGGACACAGGAGAAATAGTTGTTCAGACTGGGGCTCTTATCTGAATGAACTGTGCTACTTGTTCTTGTGGTCATATTGTGACTATAGTTAATAAGGGCTGTGAAGACACTGAAATGGACAAGGTGTCTCACGTGGTTGTTACTTTGCACTCTATACTTGGGTCTAGGGAATGCCATCAGTGACAATAGAAATAATGGGCTAACAGGCCTCTTGTCCTCCCTTCTGTGGACTTTTGATTCCTTGTAGGCTCCTGATGTGTTGATACATGGGCTGAGTTAGAAGCACTGGATGCTGGGTTGAGAGGTAGGGATGTCTTTTTATATGATGATGTTGATGTTGGGAATTATGGTGATAATAATAGTAATAATGGTTATCATTTGCAGAGTTTCTTCTGCACGTGATAAATTTTTTGCAAATAATCTCTTTTAATTCTTGCAATAACCCAGTGAGATATATGCTCTTTTAATTCACATTTTGAAGAACTTGAAGCTGAGGCTCAGGGGGATGCAGTGACTTGTCCAATGTCACACTGATACTTGGATGCAGGTTTGTCAGAAGCTGATGTTGTTGCTATTAGCCATTGGGTTCTTCTATCTCTCTTTAAAACATAAGATTATGCCTTCGGAGAGGAACAGAGATTTGAAATTGATTTAGTAGCAAGTAGTGTTCTATTCAGTTAAAAAAAAGAAATGTTACTAGTTTTCTGTAGGTTCAGTTTCAGTTTAGCCTCCAGGTTCAAATTTGAGGTAAAAACAGGTTTCAGAGGCTTTCTGCATTCCTATCAGATAAGGGCAAAGAACCTGTGTCTACTTGAAAAGGTTAACCTCATCCTGAAAAAAAAAAAAAAAAAGGGAGTGTAGTTTTCTCATCAGATCTTTTAATCAGATAGAATGGAATTTGGGCAACTTATAGAACTTTCTGGATAAGGAAGAATTTAGCTAATGTCCATCATTCATGTATTCTCAGTGATTTCCTGAAGATTTTCCTTTCTTTACAACTTTTCAAAAAGAAAAATGTAGAATTGGCTGAGCTCAGTAGCTCATGCCTGTAATCCCAACACTTTGGGAGGACAAGGCAGGCCGATCACATGAGGTCAGGAGTTCAAAACCAGCCCAGGCAACATGGTGAAACCTCGTCTCTATTAAAAATACAAAAATTAGCCAGGCATGGTAGTGTGCACCTATAGTCCCAGCTACTCTTGAGGCTGAGGCAGGAGAATTGCTTGAACCCAGGAGGCGAATGTTGCAGTGGGCCGAGATCTCACCACTGCACTTCAGCTTGGATGATGGAGCAAGACTCCATCTCAAGAAAAAAAGAAAAAAAAAAAAAAGAAAGAAAAGAAAAATGTAGGCTTATGAGACATTCATTATGGAAATAGTGCATTTATTGTATTGTTTATTTTAAAACTATTTCTGCATTTCTATTCTATAAAGGACTTTGCAGAAATAAAGTGATGTATTAATTTAATGTTTTCAAGTTGCAAGGTCTTTTGTATTTTTCTGGCTAAAACCTACAGAGGTTATAGTAGTCATGAAAAATTTGATTACTGAACTTATTAATCTTCCCCTTACACAACACTTCCTTTTCCAAAGAATTTCAGAAATGTATTGCCAGATACATTAATGAGTGTCTACATGTGCGTTAATACATGTAAACTTAATTTTGAATCCAGTTTATTTACTACTTAAGTACAAGCTTAGAAAGTGCAAAATGTTGCCAAGCAAATGTGGATATATTTCATTATTTCATTCAATTAAAATGTTTTTTGTACCTACAATATAGGAGGAATTTACTAGACACCAGTTATTCATTATTTCATTCAATTAAAATGTCTTCTGCACCCAAAATATAGGAGGAATTTACTAGACACCAAAGGCTTGCCAAGACAATTATAGAGCCTAGGAGTCACCAGACATAAATTAAAATTACTTATATTTTTCTTTCTGTAGTCAAACTCTGACCTTGCTTGCACAAGAGAAGTACAGACGATATGGCTCTAAACTGGATTTTCAAGCTCCAATGTTCATTATTTACAATCCAAAGAGAGCTGAAAGGAACTAAAATATTTTTAAGGTGTGAGCTTACCTTCCCTATAAGACCAGGCCAGGTCCTACTGGCTAAAATTTTGGGCATAAAGGCATGGTTTAGTCATTTTAAAATTCAGTATAAAAATACACGTATAAAGGTTTCTGAGTAGAAGGTGTTGGAGGCATGAGAAGGGAAGAGAGAAGAGGAATCTCTAGAAGATTCTGAGCCTCAAGAACAGATTTGATTCTTTTCTTCTAGCTTCTCCCCTTGTGCCTGCTGCCCTTTTCTTTTTCAGTTGAGAGGAGTCGACACTTGAAGTCTTTCTGGCTCCGTGCCCGCTTTGTCTGCCTTCCTCCTTCTGGAATGCACATGCCCTGAGCTGAGGGAGTAAAGTTTCTCTTAAAAGAAGCAGCTGCCTCAGAGAGCACCCATGCTGTTTTCTAGACCCCCTTTTATCCAGTCAAATATATCACCTTCTGTAACTTCTTCACCCAAACATCACTTCACATGTATGGAGGGCTATTTTTTTTCCTGCAACCATTATCCCTGAATATAGTAAATATTTATGCATAACCATATTTTGCTTTGAGAGTTTCAGATGCATTTCTGGGCATCTGCATTTATATTTCAGGTGTTTTTCTCTGTGACATTCTTGTGATTGCATCTGAAAGAGCACACTTCATTTAGTACAATTCTTCCATCTAATTTGATGTGATTTGTCTGCACGGTTCTGCTTCCTGATTTTATACTGCTTTCCACGTACTGGATCTTCACAAAGTGTCAACCACAAGTTCAAATCTATTTCCCTGGTCTCCCACAGGGTATCATGCACTGGGGGTATTGAATAAATGTCATAGGCTCCTAAATTTGAGAGTTTATTATCCAGAGGCTGGGGAGCAGCCCTTTTCTATCTCTGAACAGGATAGAAGAGGAAACTGGCTTGAATGGCAGGGGAAGATTTAGGTTAGATAGAAGGAACAGCTTAAACTTTGTAAGGTCTTAAACAGAAGGAGATTGTGCAATCTTCCTTGAAGGTCTTTGAAGAAGAGAGAAACTAATCTTGACAGATAGCTTCAGCTACTCCACTCAGGAGTGGGAAAGGAGAGGCAAGTATTGACATTCAGCTTGGCAAGTCAGCTCAATGACTGTACCTCCAGTCACGGAATCTTAGTCCATGCTTGGATAGTAAAATCATTCTCCCTGTACAAAAATAGCTATCATTTATTGAGTACAAAGCACTTTACAGCCATCTCATCTAAATCGTACAATAATCCTTCAAGTAGATATTATTATCCCTATTTCGAAAATGAGGAAATTAAGACATAGTGGGTTAAATAACTTGGTCAAAATCATGTAACTGATATATGGTAGAACTAAGATCAAAACCCAGATCTCCTCTGAACCCAGAGACTATGCTGCTAGTAATTACTTGCTATGGAATCCTTTAGAGAGGGATCAAATATCAGTGAGGATGCCAGTGGGCAGCCTTGGATCTGTGGAGAATATTTGGCATTAATATTTGCAGCGTTAGAAATGGGAAAAACAACTTATGGCAACTCACCCAAATTCACCAACTTACTAGACTTGAGTTGCAGTTTTCTACACAGTAGACATTCACCACATGCTTGTTTGCTGAGTCTCAAAACCTAACCAGGTGATTTTAGGATATGGAGGATAACCAAGTGCAAATCTTTGCTAAACCTTATTGAAAGGTATCAGGACCCAAGACCTATAATTATCAATGGGCAAACATCACTTTCCAGGTATTTTGCAATGATTTTTAAAATGTAGGATCCAGTGAGTTTATTGTTGCTCTTTTTCAGAGGGAGATTAAACAGCATCTAGTTTGTGGCTTTTAGAGGATTCTTGGATCTATTGGATGAATTAACTATTGGATGAATTAATGTAGTGATTTTTGGTCCTATTATCTTTGGAAATATTTTCTCTTACTGTAGGAATTAAATCAGAATCAGATAAAGTTGACTAAATGAATTCCATTTATTAACTGTTATTTCTGATCCTTCTCTGTTTTGTTATGTATGTTTCTATTCATCTATTTATTTAGGGGCAAGTTAAATTATCTAAGAGCACTGTAGAGGTTTAATTGCATAGAGAATAGTTGAATAAATGAAATGGAATAAAAGATTAAACATATGATAAAGATTTGAGTGGTTTGATTAGTCAAACCAAATAAACCCCCACCCAAATAAATAAAAAAATCACCAATTAAATACTTTAAAAACTCTGTGCTAAAAAGAGAATACGCTAATAATTATTTTCTTGCCTTAAAAAATATTGACAGTGGCCCTGGAAGGGATTTGGAGCATTAAAAGGAATCTGCCTGTGGGAGGCTTGAAGCCAGGACTGCCGAGCAGAAACAGTTTATTGCCACAAGCCAAGTACTACTCCAGGCACGGAGGACTCAGAAGTAAGACCCTGATGCCCTTGACTTCCACTGAAGCCCCTGAGGGGACTTTACAGTTTACAAACCAGTGGTATATGCTCTGTTTAAAGATCTCAATCAAAACTCAACCTTCCTTTGACTTGTTTCTCTTGGGTTGCTTTTAGTTTGGCCATATTATGTGATTATGGAACTCAAACCGTAACAATTCACCTAACCAATTTACCCCCATGGATACAACAGAAGTTCATCCTCTGAGTTACACTCATGACTTTTTTCTTTACTTTCTATCTACACAAGACTTTCTAGCACACAGTCAGCCTCTGTGAAGAGGAATCCTGTACTGTCTTTTCTTCTCGATAGAGGATCTTTGTTTCCCAGTGGAAATGAGGAAAGGGAAATGAGGGAATGAAGGAAGAACATGGCAGCCACTTTGCTTGGCTCTCTTAGTTTCACCCTATTCCAGGAATGAGGCCACCAGACTGGGCCCAGGATACCATTGTTCCTTAGCAGACATAAACTTTGGAACAAAATATTACTCATTCCTCACTGTCATAGCCAGTGTCTGCCAGGAACATTTGTAGCAGGATGTGGGGAAGACAGAGGTCTTCATATGGAAGCACAGTGTCCAGATAATCTAGGGACATGCAGCTGTGTATATAAGTCCTCAAAATAGACCTACAATTGGGAGATTACCCTGGGTAAAAAGGGAGAAGTAGATAAAATTCAAGCTTGGGTACTCAACCAAGATATGAATCATAATAGCAATGCTATATAGCATTGCTTATTCTAGATTCTTAATATATACAATAATAGGCTGGGCACAGTGGCTCACACCTGTAATCCCAGTACTTTAGGAGGCCAAGGTAGGCAGAAACTCAGGCACAGAGAGGTGAAATAATTTACCCCGGTTCGCTCAGCTAACAAGTAGAAGAGTAGAAATGCTGGGATTTGAACCAAAGCAGCCTGTCTCCAAAGTCCATGCTTTCAACCACTAGACACTACTGCATCTCTGAGCCAAGTGCCCACGAGCTAGGATGTCTATTGGACCTGAAGTGAGATGAGAGTTCAATAAAAGTGTCACATAGGAGTAGGGTCCCCAGGGGGCCAGGGATGCAGCCTCTGGGATATGGACTCAGTAAGGGAAAAAATACAGCCACTAAGAAACTGAAACAAGAGGTTAAAAAAACAAACACAAAACTTGTTACTAAAGGGGATTCATGTAGCAAACAGGAGCCAGTTAGGAAGACTTCAGTTTAATGATAATAAAGTAGTAGTAGCCACCATTTATCAGGAGCCAGGCATGGCAGCAAGTGTTTTATACAGTTATGTAATCCACATGATCATATGAGTTGAGGATTATAATCTCCATTTTCTGGGTAAGAAAACTGAGGCATAGAGACACTTTACTACCTACAATCCCATGTCTAGCAGGTAGTGGAGCCAGAACTACAAACCCATGTCCATCTGGCTTCCAAGACTATGCCCTCAGTTCCAAGACTATGGCCCAACACTACTGGGCCATCATGGCAGAGAATCTAGTCACTGTGCAACAAGCAACAGTTGTTGTGTTGCGGTTAAATAGGTACAAATGCCAGGGATATGGAAACACAGGGTTTTAGGAATCTGGGAGGCAGCTACCTTCATAATTCACAAAGATATTAGTGTCCTGAATTAATGGTTGATTCAACCAAAGTCTGGGCCACTTGCCTATTGGAAGCTATTTATCTCAACTTTCCACTCAATTTCTTAGGTTCCACTTATTGTAGGTAATTCCATCATTCCAAGAAAACTCACTAAGTAATTTGTTTTAAAGATGAATGGTTTTCTGCGTGCATATTATGAGACTGATTGAATAACAAATTTCCTTTATTTAAAGACATACAAGTCCAATAAATTATCCAATTTATTGATTGGGGACATATGATAAAAAATGCATGTTTCATTTTGATCATAATTGCATTCCTTTCATCCATACAATTTAAGAGACATTTCATGGCTCCCGCTCATTTGTACTCATCCACACTACATTCCTAGTAGCCCTCGGCCCTCCATTTATTTCCAGCTGGTGCCAAGCCCTTACAGTGGTCATGTTACAATATGTAACTGTTATTGACACATAGCTTAGCTTCATCTCTTTAGGTTGCCAGCTGCATTTTTGTCATATCATATGAGCTGCTACTATCTGCTGTACAATCACAATTGATCAATCTATATGTCAGACTGGTAACCAAGAATTAAACCTTTCTCATTATCAATGAAAAAGGAAGATGCTAGGCACAGAAATATCATAGAAGAACAAAATCCATAGATAATTTTCAAAAATTGTCAGTAGTAATTAATACACTATCACAAACTCCATGGAGGCAGAGACTGTGTTTTACTCACCACTGTGTATCTGGCACTTAGCACAGTGCCTGGCACAGTAGGTGCTCAATTGCTATTAGTCATGAGAATGACCAATGAATGAATGAACCAGTAAGTATATGTTAAATGCCTCTTTATGTTTAGAATCTTCTTGCTGCTAACTCACATACATCCCCTGCTCCCTCAAAAGTATATCGTTTTCTCTACTTGAGACCACTAAACCAAATGCAAACAATAGAGGGAAAAGCAATGCAACCTACTTTCTTCACTGTGTGAATCTTGAAACGTTGCATATATTTTAAATACATCTTGGAACTAACACTTTCAAAGAGAGGTCTTCTGTGGCTTACAATGAGTTTTCCAGGAACTTCTCCCATAAAATATGCTTCAGTTAGATACTTCAGTCAAATCCCACTGTCAATTTAAACAATTCACTTGTGCTTTTCTTCTCTCTTTCTCATGAACAATGTGATCATGGTAGTTGGGACTCTTCCAACATATAATACACATCATTTAAAGTTTAAATTTAGAATTATGATCATCCAACTGTAGTTCTAAAGCATGTTTCCATTAGAGACTGTGAAGCATCTACTGCTTTCATCACACTAAGAGGTTTTATTCATTTACTTTTATCAATCCCAGCACTCTGGGAGGCCAAGGCGGGCAGATCACTTGAGGCCAGGAGTTCAAGACCAGCCTGGTCAACATGGCGAAACCCCGTCTCTACTAAAAATACAAAAATTAGCAGGCGGGGTGACGCACGCTTCTAGTCCCAGCTACTCAGGAGGCTGAAGAACCAGAATCGCTTGAACCTGGGTGGCAGGGGTTGCAGCGACCCAAGATTGGGCCACTTCACTCCAGCCTGGGTGACAGAGCAAGACTGTGTTTCAAACAAACAAACAAACAAACAAACGGTAATGGTTGATGACAAAAAACCTTTTATCGTTTCCTTCTTATTCTGTGCCACAAAACAAGCCAAAAAAAAAAAAAAAAAAAAAAGCATTGTCTAGTCTGGTGCTAAGCTTGAATGTGCCTACAATTCACATGGTATCTCAATAAAATTCAGACTCTGATACCATAGGTCTGGGGTGGGGTCTGAGATTCTGTATTTCCATCCAGCTCCCAGGTGATGCTGATGCTGCTTGTCCGGAAACTATGCTTCAGTCGTGAGGGTTTGGAAGACTAAGTAGTGGCTTTTCTGGTTACTGGGATGACATGGGTGTGGCTCTTACATTCTGCTCAATCAAATGGGAACATTAAGTCAAATTTAGATTAAAATGGGTGAGATTAAAGAGCATCTCCCCGAAGTAAAACACTTATTTTTTCACTTTTTTTTTTAACTCTAGGATAAGATGAATTAGATTTTCCATTAAGAAGGAACCTCTTTCTGCTGATGTCTGAAGAACGGAGAAGAAACTCAAGCTTGTTTCAGGATTTAAGATGTGTGCAAAAAAATGATAGCCTGTAATTACTATTATTGGTATTAATACCTATCTATAAATTAATCCAAAGTAATGAAAGACTATTGGTAATGTTCAGTAAGTACCTGAAAACAATAAAGGAAAATATACTTATTTTTAGTTGTCACAGTTATAATTCATTTGGCTTCTAATTCAGGTTATTTTATTAAATATGTGAAACAATGATGAAGCAAAGGCACGTTTACCGAGTATTTACTTCAAGGCAAACATTATAAACCTTAACCCTTTACTACAGCATAATGTGTTAGCCCATTTTTAAAAAACAGAACTAAATCCAGATACAGATAATGGTGAGTAAATGAATGACAGAAGAAAAGTCTTTGACTCAGAGACAAACATTTTTATGGTAACCTTGGTAGAGCTAATCATTTCTCTAGAACTTGTTCACTAAATAGTAAGGAGCCAGGAAATTTATGGTAAGATCTTAAAAAAGAAAGTATTTAGGCTGGGCACAGTGGCTCACACCTGTAATCCCAGCACTTTGGAATGCCAAGGCGGGCCGATCACTTGAGGTCAGGAGTTCAAGACCAGCCTGGCCAAAATGGTGAAACCCTATCTCTACTAAAAATACAAAACTTAGCCAGGCATGGTGGCACACTCTTGTAATCCCAGCTACTTGGGAGGCTGAGGCAGGAGAATCGCTTGAACCCAGCAGGCGGAGGTTGCAGTGAGCCAAGATCACACCACTGCACTCCAGCCTGAGTGAAAGAGTGAGACACTGTCTCGAAAAGAAAAAAAAAAGTATTTAAATAATACTGCCAAGTTAAAAAGAAGAAAAAAAAACTCCTTCCCTTTCCACCATTTGTCAAAGTAATATATGTGCAATATAGAAAAATTGGAAAATGAAGATATGTAAAGGAAAAAAACTCATCTGTAATTCCATTTCCAGAAAGAACTATTGAATTACATACTGTCCCATTCATTAAAATATCATGTTAAATAATTACATAAATTCTTAATATATTTGTTCTGAACTTATTTATTTATTACTCTATTTTTTTAATATTTGGGTTTTTCATATTTTTCATTTTATACATAACTGCTGTGATTTGTTTACACTCCCAGCCCCTACCCCTTACAAAGTTATTTTTTTCTAGTATTCTGGTTATACACTTTTCATTCTCCTTCCTCTCTAGACTCAGCTCATAAAACTTACTTCAGTTCCCTGTTCCCAAGTTCATAATTGTTTCTAATGTAACAAATCTAGTCAACAGATTTTTTGACTGAGTATGTCCCTTCCCTACTTAAAAATATTTGCACTATGAAACAGTCAATAATCTTGAGTCAAGATCCAAACCTTTCCAGATTTAATATAAAATTTTCCATTTAGCTACTGCCTGCTAGATGAGATCCTACATGTAAGCCAATTCTAGCCACCACCTTGTTTATGGAACTTTTTCATCACTGGCTACTTCAAAACAGTGTTACAGGGCAATGCCTAAAACTGAGGGATTACATCTGAAATTGGTTAAGAAATATAACACCCAAAACTGCCTAGTTAGGGCAAAGCATTTACTATTTGTAGAAATCTAAAATCTTAAGCTTCTAAAAATTCTTACACCCAACCTCATCGCATGTATGTTAGGATGTCACACAGAAAGTGCAATGGGTGGGAGACTTTTGTTAATCCATTGGAAATTATATCCTGTTCTTACTTGAGTTCCCAGTATGACTTTATAAACGTGCTCAGGGATTTCCTTTCTCACTTCCACTATATTCCTGCCAATAAACAAGCTCCTTGTCATTTATTTTCAGATTTGCTGCCTGGGCTGGGTGCTCTGAATTGGTCTCTCCTTTTCTGACCATCCTCTACTACTAAGAGTTGTTCTCATGGCACTGTTTCTGTGTTAAAGTTTCATTCTTATTCCACTCTGGGGACCTGGTTCCTTTTGTAGTTGAATTCTGTTCTTCATTGCCCCATTGCGTATTTTCCCAACTAGATTCATGTACAGGCATTATTTATAATAGTGAATAACTGAAGCCACCTAAAATGCCCGATAGGAGATGATTTTTTAAAGTTACTATATAATATGATGCAACTGTTTTGTTTTGCTTTTTAACTCTATAAGTATTTTTCTTAATAAAGCAGGATTACAAGGAGGTTTCTTTAAAATTATAAAAATATACAGCAATCTTAAGCCAACAGTCATTTTCATACTTAATGATGTAATACCCTAGAAACACTCCTACTATTATCTGGAATAAAACAAAAATGCTGTTTTTTCCAAACATGTTTGCAACTTGCTCACTTTCCCTTTTCATTTTATCTGCCTCCTGGCTCCAGGGTCCTTGAGTTTCAGGGCCCTTAGTTTCTATTTCTGTCTCAGTTTCTGCTTCTGTCTTAGGGTCCTCAGTTTCTGTTTCCTCAGAGTTTCCTCAATTCATGCCAGAAATAGTCACTGCAGATACTGGATAACTTGGTGTCATAAGGGCTTACAGCCTGCTTTTCTGTTTCTCTTACTTTGTCGCCTTGGCTGGAGTACACTGGCGCAATCACAGCTCACTGCAGCCTTGGCTTCTTGGGCTCAAGCGATCCTCCTGCCTCAGTCCTACAAGTAGTTGGGATTACAGGCATGCACCACCATGCCCAGCTAATTTTTGTATTTTTAGTAGAGATGAGATTTTACCATGCTGCACAGGCTGGTCTCAAACTCCTGGGCTTCAGCAATGCATCCGTGTTGGCCTCCCAAAGTACTGGGATTACAGGCATGAGCCACCATGCCCAGCCACAGCCCACTAATTAATTTGGCCAAATAGTCATGGCAAAAGCATCTTTGAAGTACACAGATTAAAAGTAGAAAATAAAAAACCAAATTGATTGGGAAAACTATTTTCTTACAGCTGCATCTGTTGGGACAGATTTTTTTTTTTTAGACAACTTTTTAATTTTTTTTTTTTTTTTGAGACGGAGTCTCGCTCTGTTGCCCAGGCTGGAGTGCAGTGGCGCGATCTCGGCTCACTGCAAGCTCCGCCTCCCATGTTCACGCCATTCTCCTACCTCAGCCTCCCGAGTAGCTGGGACTACAGCGCCCGCTACCACGCCCCGCTAATTTTTTGTATTTTTAGTAGAGACGGGGTTTCACCGTGTTAACCAGGATAGTCTCGATCTCCTGACGTCGTGATCCGCCTGCCTCGGCCTCTCAAAGTGCTGGGATTACAGGCGTGAGCCACCACACCCGGCCTTAAATCTTATTTTTAAAGAGCTCTATCCCATGGTTTATCTTATTAACACATCCTTTATCTTACAACTGAAATATTTATAGAGATAGAAATTATAAAATGAAGAGGTTTTTGGTTTTAATAAAAGTGGTATCATATTATATACATTTTGTGGCCCTCATTTTTTTCACTTAGCCATACATTATGATCATTTTCCTATGTAAAATATTTGACTAAATTATGATTTTATAGGTTATATGTCATGATATGGCTGTACCAAAATTTACTTAACCTCGGCCTTATTGATGAGCATTCATTCTGTATCCAATTTTTCTACACTTGGCATTTTAAGGAGTTTTTCCACCTCCTCCCATACAACACATACAAAACCCCTTATGTGTTCTTCATAGCCTAGATTACTCTCTCCCTAATCCTAATCCTGACAGAAATCTGCAAGTTTACACTCTGGAAGGAAGAAATCAGTAGGACTTGGGATGAAAATAGGGTGATCAATTTTGTAGTCAACATGGTCCATTTCAAGAACTACGCCTCCTTAGTTTCCAGAATGTTTCAGCTCCTATCAAAACACATACACACCGGGACGGGGGATTGGAGGTTAACATAGATGAACCTGGAGAACATTACGCTGAATGTAATAAGTCAGTTCCAGAAGGACAAATACTACACGATTCCACTTATACGTGGAATCTACAGCAGTCAAACACATGGAAGAAAAGAGCAGTTGCCAGGGGCGGGGGTGGGGGACTGCTGGGGAGAATGGGGGAATTGCTAGTCAAAAAGCATAAATTTCAGTTGTGCAATGTGAATAAGTTATAGAGATCTGCTGAACATTGTGTCTAGAGAGCAGGGCTTGTGATGGCTGGTTTTCTCTATATGTGCTGTTCGTAACCAAAAAAATCCTAATTAATACAGCTACCTTTAGTTTTATCTGGCTTAATTACAGTTCTTGCTTGTAGCACATGTCTGTGGGCTAAATAGCTTCCTTCTAATTTATAATTCCACATCACATCTCCATAACTAAAGGAGAGAGAGTGGAAAGTATTGAGTGGAGGGACTCATGTCTACCTCCTTCCCCCAAAGGAAACTTGCTTCCTTTTAACTTGAAATTTTTTTTTGACATTCTGAAAAGCCTTGCCTAACAAATGGTACATGGGGATGAGAAAGTTGCAAAGACGAGTGTCTAATTTTTTACTCTGACAATGACACTTGATCAATACAGAAGTCATAAAGGATGAATTGATAAGGCAATCAAGGAAATAGGGTTTCAAAAGGCATCTGGTCAGGGTTACTGAAAGTCTAATACATTCACAACTTCTGACATCAACCTTTGGACTCAGGTTTGGAATTGCTTTGAAGCTATAATTAAAATGGGTGGGTTGAGTATGATAGTTGGCATGTCCTACAAGGGCAGATATTTTTTGTTTGTTCAGTTACACATCATATGCCTGGCACATAATTGGCATTCAATAAATGTTACTGAATGGAAGTTATAGCTTTTGCAGATTTGTAAGCCCAAATAAGATCTGACCCTAATGTACCCCTAAAAATATCAATATAGAACAATTCTCAGCCCTGTATTGCTTGGAAACACTTTGAAAATAGCACCACAAGCCTCCTAATGATAAAGGAGTCATGCCATATTATATAAAAGTAAATAAAACCTAAAGTGTTTTGTCTTTTTAAGTAACTCAGCAAATACTGGGATCATCATATCAAAATCTCTACTAGCAATCTTCATCAGTATTTGTCAAACTGTGAATCGGGAAATGGGAGAGCTTCAAAGGAGCCAAGGAAGCTAAACAGCTATTCAGTGGTGGAAGATGAAGAGTGGGCTTAGTGAATGGGTGGTCAGAATGCATTTACGTTTTTCATTGAAGCCTTGCCGCTATTTCCCTGCTGCCTTGGATGATCCAGGAAACTAAGTGTTTGAACAGTGAGCTCACTCAAGAAAGAGGCTATCTTTTCATGCAGTGCCCAATGGTGCTGCCAGAAGAGTTGTTCCTGCAATGCAGTTATGTCTCTCTGTCTCTCTCTCTCCCTCTCCCCCTCCCTCCCTCCCCCAGCCCAAGACCAAAAGTTTATTGACTTGCACTAAACATTACTAAGATTAAATACAGACCAAACATTTTCTCTGGAGTGGTTAAAAATAATATTATTATAGCCAGCATTATTAATGTGATTTCACCCTTATACATTGTGCAAGACTTCTGGGCTGTGGTTTATTTGGCCACAGAAAGCATGATCTGGAACTATAAAATTGGCTGTCCGACTTCAGGAATGTGTTCTTCCTTGTAACATAAGCAACATGCATTTACCCTTTCATTTTCTATACTTGTCAAAAATCTACTATATGTCCCTAATTTTGTCCACTTCAATTCAACAAGCATTTCTTAATATTGCAAGTGCCCCAGGCCCTTTTAGAGGAAGAATCATAGGAAGGAATGTGACTGAGCCCAGTTAGAACCACTGTTCTGTGCTAATTGGCTGTTGGTGTGGTCAAAGAAGAATTACCTTACCTGTAGGGAAAAGACATCATTTCTCTATTTTCTTCCATGAAGCATGTCCTGGGTCTGTGTAAGAAATGAGGCCAGAAAAGGGGAGGAAGAGGGTACTCAAGATCCCTTCCTCCATCTGGAGAGAGTTGGTCTACCTCTCTGAGTTAGACTCTGGCTACCTTGAGTTAGGGTGCAGCCATGTAGAAGTACTGAGAGCAGGTACCACAGTAAGCCCAGACCACACATATTTGATTTTCTGAAACTGTACAGGATTTGTGCTAACTCATTTGAGGATTCAAGTAGACCTGGGATGGTGGCAAGGAACAGTGTTAGTGAATCTGGATTAGATCTGGGGAGGACAATGTGATAGTTACCATTTTTACCCTATACTTGGGTACCATAATATTTATCTTAATCATTATTTTATAGTCCAAATTCTTTCATATAAATTTTCATAAGTGCAGGAATTAAACTGTTTCATTAGTGCCTCAAGAAATGTAAAATAAATAGTGATGTTCATTCATTCATTAATTTATTTAATAAATATGTATTAAATATTTGTCAGGCATGTGCCAGGCATTGCACTGTATGATGTTAACATGTTTATCTCAATGTCAAAATAATTTTATTTTGTGTAAGCCTTGTATGCTATAATTTTTTCCACATGACTGAAAATAAACTCTATTTTAGGAAAAGGTAGTTTAATGAGAATGTAGAGGTAAACCCTTGAAATATTTAAAATATCATGAAAATACAGTCAGCCTCCATATCTGTGTGTTTCGTATCCTTGGCTTCAACCAAACTCGGATTGAAAACACTCGGAAAAAAAAAGGATGGTTCTGTCTGTACTGAACGTGTACACACCTTTTTTTTTTTTTGGTCATTATTCCTTAAACAATAGAGTATAACAATTATTTACATAGCATTTACATTGTATTAGATATTATAAAGTAATCTAGAGATTATTTAAAGTACACTGGATGATTGTGCAGGTTATATACAAATACTATACCATTTTATATAAGGGACTTGAGCATCTATAGATTTTCATATCCATGCGGGTTCTTCTACACTACTTTTGCAACCCTCAGTGTCTAAAGACCCTTCCCCATGCCTGATCTCATCTTCATGCTTGCAACTGAAAGCTAGTTCTTTCTGTGCAAATGGATATGGAAGGACGACTGCATTTCCGATTTTAACCAAAACTTCACTATGTCCATTTTTCTGAGCATCCACAATTCTTGCATTTCCTATTCTGTCAAGTAAGTGTACAGGAAGAACTTGAGTGCATAAAAAGTATAACACTAAAGTAAATATAATAAATTCCCATATTGACTATCTATAACAATTTCTTTTAGGGCCAGTACATTTTCACACTTAGATAAAAAGAAAAGCACTTACAAATTTATGTTAGGTTTATTTTTCTTTCTTTTTTTTTTTTTTTGACAAAGTCAGGCTTAAGTGCAGTGACATGATTTCGGCTCACTGCAACCTCCGCCTCCCAGGTTTTAGTGATTTTCATGCTTCAGCCTCCCGAGTAGCTGGAACTGCAGGCATGCGATACTACGCCCAGCTAATTTTTTTTTTTTTTGTATTTTTAGAAGACATAGGTTTTCACCATGTTGGCCACGCTGGTTTCGAACTCCTGACCTTATGTGATCTGCCCACCTCGGCCTCTCAAAGTGCTGAGATTACAGGTGTGAGCCACCGCTCCAGCAGTTTTATTTTTCTGTAAAAGATTTTGCAGGGCAATGAACAATAGATTGTGGGTGTCATTGATTGTACACAATTTTTGATTTTTTAACCAACAGTCCATTCCATACTTATCTGTCCAACTATGCAAGGTTAAAAAATTGTTCCTGACAAAGGAAACTGCCTCCACCTATTTGCACACAGATTAGCCATTCCAACCACACCTGCTCACTGACGCCCTCAGCATTTCCTGGTAAGTACACAATGTAGGAAGGGACTCAACTGCCTTTTTCTCTCTTCAAGGAAAAAAAATTAAAACATACTTAGCAGGCCAATGTTCAGACACAGAAATCTCAGAGCCAACCAAGGGTAACAACCCATTTGAGGGTAGCCTGAATCTCAGGGAGTTTATGCTGACAGAGCTTGGCTCCGCCTAGAAAGCTAGGCAGTCAGAACCTATTCTGGGGCTTCCATAGGAAATATCAAATCTGTCTCTGGTGAGTAACACTGGGAGAGCCTTTAAAATGAACTAGGATGGTCTTATTATCAAATGAACTATATCCTTGAGAAAGAATAAGGAATGAGTTCGAATTTTAGGAACCACAGTTGGCCTGGTTCTTGCTCCCAAAGAATTCTGTCCAATATAAAATTTTGGAACCGAATAGGTCACTTTTGGCATGTTGTGAGTTCATTGCTCATTCAGTGTCATAAATTAAGTCTTGAATTATGGAGCTCTCTTCTACACTACTTTTGCAACCCTCAGGGTCCAAAGACCCTTCTCCATGCCCATCTCATCTTCATGCTGGCAACTGAAAGCTAGTTCTTTCTGTGCAATATTTTGTGGAAACTGAGAGGCCTTTAAATGCACAAAGAATCATTTGTTACCAAATGTAAAAGAATCATGGACTATTCTTCCATGTTCGAAATCTAAGATGATTCAGAGTTCATTTAGTCCAGCCTCTTCATTGTAAGAATAGTAATATCTCCTTCCACATGGGTAGCAGACATGTTTTTGCCCACCTAGCATCCTTTCCCTCTTTTTCAGGTAACACCACCTCATTTTTTCTTTTGGGTAACTTCTCTCCCCGCACTGTTATTCAAGAATAACAGATTATTCCACATCTGTTATTCAGATGGGACTGATTCTAGCTCCAGAGGAGGGTCTAAAGAGAGTACCCATTCCCTGACCACAGTGATTGCTTCAAGAATGAGCACTCATCCCAGGTTTGGCCAATGACAGCAGTCTAATTTGATATCATTTCTGATGCCTGTTGCCAGGACTATGCTTAATACATGTACAATATTTTCCACTGAAAGCTTAAGGGACATTTCAAGGTCATAGCAAGTCATTCACATAGCCAAGATCTCCGGATGTCTTCTCATTTTGTAGTGGGGAAAGAGATACCAACAGATAATTTCGGTGATACATTAAGGGCATACATTCATTCAACAAATATTCACTACTAGAAACCTGGTTCCGTGGTGGGTGTTCAGGATGGAATTATGAATGAAACAGTCATGATCTCTGGATGTCCCATGATGTTCTGAAAGGTGCAGCATGTGTGAGAGTGCACAGGAGGGCCATGTAAACTACCCTGGATATATGTTTGTGGGTATCCAGAAAGGCTTCCCAGAGAAAGAAACCAGCCTCCTAAATCTCTCTGAATCTATCCTCCTTTAATTTTCTTCCTCATCCTCACAGCTACTGTCTCAGTTCAGGCCCTCTTTATTTCACATCTGAATTACAGCAATAACTTTCCAACTGCACACCACCACACCCCTACTCTTACCCTATTTTTACCCAACTCACTCTTTACTAATGACAGAATGATTTTTTCTTAGAAACTTTTTTCTAAAGTATAATGTCCACCCATAAAAGTACATATGTAAGCATACAGTTTGATGAACTTCCATAACCAAACACACCCATTAACCAGAGCCTACATTAACAGTCAGCATTCCGCAGCCCCCCCGTGTCCCCATCCATATACTCACCCTCCTTATACGTAATAAAAATAAGAATTCATTTTAAAAATGAATATCGCTTCCTTCCTTTGTTAAAGCCTTCCAAGGACTTTCTCGACAGCCTGCAGGATAAACACCATCTCCTTCGCCAAACTATACCCTAGTAATTCCTCGCCTACTGCCCCAGTCTTCCCTCCCTGGCCTCTGCAGTGCTGCTCCCTCTGTGGCAACTAACACCTCAGCCCTCTTCCTCTGCATTGTAATGATTCCTAATTATTCCAGGAGCCACCTCCTCAAAGCCTTCCATGATCCCTTCCCTCCCCACTATCTGTTTCTCTCGTAGATTTTTGAAGGTAGAAACCGTGTTTTGCATTTGTTTCCCAATTTGTTAAATGAACAAGTGAGTAAATTTATTAATTTCCCATAACTCCTTTCCTCCCTTTCCTTCTCCTCTACCCTACCAATGGCTCTTTTAAAATAAGAACAATCCAGTCCCCTGTGAATGTTTGTGCATGTATGAGATGCACAATGATCACGTATGACCTTCAACCAGCAATTTGCGAAGTCACGACTGGTTTCCATTCATCCAGACACACCTTACTACCTAGTATCCCCTCCTCCCACATCAAATAAGGGTATAGTAGGGGCAGTTTGTGGTCTCAACCCTACCGAGGTAAGAGGGCACAAAGAAAATTGATATGCATGAGACCTCGGGCATTCTTCAGGTAAAAAGATGGCTTAATTGGAACATTCGGAGGCTTAAGAGAAAATCGGGAGTGGTGGAAGGAAGCAATCAAGCAGGGTAATATTTCCCAAATGCCTACCGGCCACGTGCCAGACACAATGTTAGGCTCTATCTGTGATGTCTTATTTAACTGAAGAGGGAGAAGAATGTGAATAAATGGCTGGATTCTTGAATTGCATAAAAAGAGAAGCCAATACACTTTTTCCTTTATTTCGTTTAAACAAGTAATTTGTGCATTTATAGCTTTTTCTTTTAATTAAAAGTAAGAGTGGAAAAAAGTCACTGAAATGTCTAATTTCAAATAAAATATTTGATTTCTAATTTCTGTTTTTCAAACAAACAAAAAACCCCAGAAGCATTATGAAAGGTTTTACTGTGCAGGAGGAAATGTTACTAGGTTGATGGGCCTAGCCAGAACACCTAACATCCTCCATCTAGTCTCCAAACTGAGGCTGTGGCCCTGCAGAGAGCGCCACCCGGAAGCCACTTTTATAGAAGCTTTTACACACAATGCTTGATTTTTTTTTTTTTTTTTCCGAGACGGAGTCTCGCTTTGTCGCCCAGGCTGGAGTGCAGTGGCGCGATCTGGGCTCACTGCAAGCTCCGCCTCCTGGGTTGACGCCATTCTCCTGCCTCAGCTTCCCGAGTAGCTGGGACTACAGGCGCCCGCCACCAAGCCTGGCTAATTTTTTTTTATTTTTAGTGGAGACAGAGTTTCACCGTGTTAGCCAGGATGGTCTCGATCTCCTGACCTCGGGATCCGCCCGCCTCGGCCTCCCAAAGTGCTGGGAGTATAGGCGTGAGCCACCGCGCCTGGCCTATACTTGATTTTTAATGAAAACATTCTTAAATTCATATGGCTAACGCAAATTTATTTTCTGTAGGCATAACATCAAAAACACCTGGCAGGATTGCCCCATTCCCAGCACTGTCTATTTCTCCCCTAGTATCAGTGGGACTCCACTGATGCACAGCTGTGATCTACTAAAACTTCTCTCAAAACTTTCTCCTCTCCTTAGGTCAGCAGCCCCGCCCCTGATCTATTTGGAAATCCCCTGAATAAAAGTTGAATATCATAAACCAAAGCGAACACCCAGAAATTCAAATTCAACCCGTAGGTAAAAAATTTCTCAAGTGACTGTAGACGTAGATGTCTCCAGTGTCGCCTAATAAGGTAGAAGAGGCCAGTGCGATACTGTCTTTACACCCTTAACTTGGGTGCTAGAATATTTATCTTCGTCATCATTTTATCATCCAAACTATTTTGCATAACTTTCATGGGTGCAGAAAATGTTTTTTAAGTGCTTGGTAAAATTAATAGTGATATTCATTCATTCATCTCACTGAACAGGCAATAAATTCCTTGACGACAAGGGCCTTGGGGGGGTCACATCTTCATCTTTGGTTTATGAGTCCTGTGCGTCTTGGTACAAGCAATACTACTATGAGCCGGCAAGTCAGACTTATTTGGTAGGGGACCAAAGGAAAGAACATGTTTTGATTGCTAAGAAAACATTTTGTTCTCTATCCTTTACTGGGCTGGCAGGCAAAGGAAATGTTCTTATGAGCACTCACATTGAAAACTTAAGTTCTTCACCAAATGCAGAGACTCTGAAGGCCACGCCGCTGCGGGCTGCCTCCACAATTCGACCGTCTCGGCGGGCCACGAGATCCTGGCCACGGATGCGGTGGCCGCGCCTCTGCTCGCACGTTCCCCCGGCCTCTGGACTCCCTCCCTCCCTCAATCCCTCCCTCCGGCGGGCGTCGCTGGCGGGTGGCTAGGCCCAACGGCAGGAAGCCGACGCTATCCTCCGTTCCGCGGCGCCGGGTCCGCCTTCCGTCTGTTCTAGGGCCTGCTCCTGCGCGGCAGCTGCTTTAGAAGGTCTCGAGCCTCCTGTACCTTCCCAGGGATGAACCGGGCCTTCCCTCTGGAAGGCGAGGGTTCGGGCCACAGTGAGCGAGGGCCAGGGCGGTGGGCGCGCGCAGAGGGAAACCGGATCAGTTGAGAGAGAATCAAGAGTAGCGGATGAGGCGCTTGTGGGGCGCGGCCCGGAAGCCCTCGGGCGCGGGCTGGGAGAAGGAGTGGGCGGAGGCGCCGCAGGAGGCTCCCGGGGCCTGGTCGGGCCGGCTGGGCCCCGGGCGCAGTGGAAGAAAGGGACGGGCGGTGCCCGGTTGGGCGTCCTGGCCAGCTCACCTTGCCCTGGCGGCTCGCCCCGCCCGGCACTTGGGAGGAGCAGGGCAGGGCCCGCGGCCTTTGCATTCTGGGACCGCCCCCTTCCATTCCCGGGCCAGCGGCGAGCGGCAGCGACGGCTGGAGCCGCAGCTACAGCATGAGAGCCGGTGCCGCTCCTCCACGCCTGCGGACGCGTGGCGAGCGGAGGCAGCGCTGCCTGTTCGCGCCATGGGGGCACCGTGGGGCTCGCCGACGGCGGCGGCGGGCGGGCGGCGCGGGTGGCGCCGAGGCCGGGGGCTGCCATGGACCGTCTGTGTGCTGGCGGCCGCCGGCTTGACGTGTACGGCGCTGATCACCTACGCTTGCTGGGGGCAGCTGCCGCCGCTGCCCTGGGCGTCGCCAACCCCGTCGCGACCGGTGGGCGTGCTGCTGTGGTGGGAGCCCTTCGGGGGGCGCGATAGCGCCCCGAGGCCGCCCCCTGACTGCCGGCTGCGCTTCAACATCAGCGGCTGCCGCCTGCTCACCGACCGCGCGTCCTACGGAGAGGCTCAGGCCGTGCTTTTCCACCACCGCGACCTCGTGAAGGGGCCCCCCGACTGGCCCCCGCCCTGGGGCATCCAGGCGCACACTGCCGAGGAGGTGGATCTGCGCGTGTTGGACTACGAGGAGGCAGCGGCGGCGGCAGAAGCCCTGGCGACCTCCAGCCCCAGGCCCCCGGGCCAGCGCTGGGTTTGGATGAACTTCGAGTCGCCCTCGCACTCCCCGGGGCTGCGAAGCCTGGCAAGTAACCTCTTCAACTGGACGCTCTCCTACCGGGCGGACTCGGACGTCTTTGTGCCTTATGGCTACCTCTACCCCAGAAGCCACCCCGGCGACCCGCCCTCAGGCCTGGCCCCGCCACTGTCCAGGAAACAGGGGCTGGTGGCATGGGTGGTGAGCCACTGGGACGAGCGCCAGGCCCGGGTCCGCTACTACCACCAACTGAGCCAACATGTGACCGTGGACGTGTTCGGCCGGGGCGGGCCGGGGCAGCCGGTGCCCGAAATTGGGCTCCTGCACACAGTGGCCCGCTACAAGTTCTACCTGGCTTTCGAGAACTCGCAGCACCTGGATTATATCACCGAGAAGCTCTGGCGCAACGCGTTGCTCGCTGGGGCGGTGCCGGTGGTGCTGGGCCCAGACCGTGCCAACTACGAGCGCTTTGTGCCCCGCGGCGCCTTCATCCACGTGGACGACTTCCCAAGTGCCTCCTCCCTGGCCTCGTACCTGCTTTTCCTCGACCGCAACCCCGCGGTCTATCGCCGCTACTTCCACTGGCGCCGGAGCTACGCTGTCCACATCACCTCCTTCTGGGACGAGCCTTGGTGCCGGGTGTGCCAGGCTGTACAGAGGGCTGGGGACCGGCCCAAGAGCATACGGAACTTGGCCAGCTGGTTCGAGCGGTGAAGCCGCGCTCCCCTGGAAGCGACCCAGGGGAGGCCAAGTTGTCAGCTTTTTGATCCTCTACTGTGCATCTCCTTGACTGCCGCATCATGGGAGTAAGTTCTTCAAACACCCATTTTTGCTCTATGGGAAAAAAACGATTTACCAATTAATATTACTCAGCACAGAGATGGGGGCCCGGTTTCCATATTTTTTGCACAGCTAGCAATTGGGCTCCCTTTGCTGCTGATGGGCATCATTGTTTAGGGGTGAAGGAGGGGGTTCTTCCTCACCTTGTAACCAGTGCAGAAATGAAATAGCTTAGCGGCAAGAAGCCGTTGAGGCGGTTTCCTGAATTTCCCCATCTGCCACAGGCCATATTTGTGGCCCGTGCAGCTTCCAAATCTCATACACAACTGTTCCCGATTCACGTTTTTCTGGACCAAGGTGAAGCAAATTTGTGGTTGTAGAAGGAGCCTTGTTGGTGGAGAGTGGAAGGACTGTGGCTGCAGGTGGGACTTTGTTGTTTGGATTCCTCACAGCCTTGGCTCCTGAGAAAGGTGAGGAGGGCAGTCCAAGAGGGGCCGCTGACTTCTTTCACAAGTACTATCTGTTCCCCTGTCCTGTGAATGGAAGCAAAGTGCTGGATTGTCCTTGGAGGAAACTTAAGATGAATACATGCGTGTACCTCACTTTACATAAGAAATGTATTCCTGAAAAGCTGCATTTAAATCAAGTCCCAAATTCATTGACTTAGGGGAGTTCAGTATTTAATGAAACCCTATGGAGAATTTATCCCTTTACAATGTGAATAGTCATCTCCTAATTTGTTTCTTCTGTCTTTATGTTTTTCTATAACCTGGATTTTTTAAATCATATTAAAATTACAGATGTGAAAATAAAGCAGAAGCAACCTTTTTCCCTCTTCCCAGAAAACCAGTCTGTGTTTACAGACAGAAGAGAAGGAAGCCATAGTGTCACTTCCACACAATTATTTATTTCATGTCTTTACTGGACCTGAAATTTAAACTGCAATGCCAGTCCTGCAGGAGTGCTGGCATTACCCTCTGCAGAACAGTGAAAGGTATTGCACTACATTATGGAATCATGCAAAAGGAAAAAAAGTTTCATGATATCTGTTGTTGGCAGTTTTTGTTTATCTCTGACAGTTTTTAGTTAAATGTTTAGATCCTCAGAACTACATTAGTGCCTACTATTAACTTACTCTGTCTCTTGTTAAAGGCTAAATCTGCGCTTCTCCCTGGTGCCAGCAGGTTCCCCTCACAGTCAATGCAGTGGTATAGCATATCCTCACATTTCTAGTGCCCTTGAGACTGTGCTATGGAACCAATCTTGAACATACATGCATTGACTTGACAAGTTACTGAGTAAGCAGCATATTCAGCAGGTGCCACTACATGCCTACTCTGCCAGACACTGAGCTTGGGGCCCTAGGGAAGATAGAGAATTATACAAGGCAAAGTCCTTCTCTTTAGGGCTCTTACAATCTATCACTTCCAAAAAGTAAATGGTGACTGATAAAACAATTGGCAGAACCTGTTTGATTACTGTGACAGTCTTAATGATACCATAAATCAATATTAGAAAGCTAGTTGACTTAAAGCCTGAAATAATGGGAGTTTTCTCCTCCACTTATTAGAATAAGGACCCTCAGTGACTAATTATTGTGGGTAGGGTCAAGATTAACTAGTTTTATACAGAGTTCTGCTGTAAATAGTCATTTTGCATTTGATTAGTGCAGTTCTCTGAATCATAAAGCAAGTTTTACCTCTCTGTACATGTTTTTGCAGACATACTTGAAAAGCTCACTTAAATCTAGGTGCTTCAATTCACTTTCTTGAGAGGACAAATGAAAAGCTGTGGAGAAAATGTCCTCATTAAAGTATTAAAGTGTGGGCAGAATTACAATTACAAAGTGCCAGCCACCGAATAAAGATAAAAGTTCAGTTCTTAAAATGAGTTTTTATGAGATAACAGTCAGTGATCTTGGTGTTACCGGGATTCCACATGGGGCAGTGGGAAAGAGTTCAGGTTTTGAAGGTAACCTAGTTTAGATTTGAATTCCAGCTATGTGACATTGGGTAAATTAGTAGTAGTCCTGAGCCTCAGCGTCCTCATCTATAAAATGACTGGCGAAAATACTTCACAAGCTCATTTTGAGCACTTTAGGAAGTAAGTGAAAGTACCTAAAATAGCAGGCACCCAATTGATGATTTTATATCTTCCTTCTTTGCTTGCAGTGATTTCAGGATGTCCTCATATCTATTTATAGGTCTAAAATTATATCTTAAGGTATGTTGTAGAATAAATTAAAAGGATAATCTAAATCACCATTTAGATTAAGCTTGACTTGCAAACTAGGAAGAAGCACCTAGGCTTTCTTTGAAAATATTTTTTTGGTTCGTTTTGGTAAAGCTCTATAAATTGGTATCTATTATTTTACCAATTTTTTTTTAGTATTAAGTCCATTTAGAACTAACCATATTATTTATGGAATAATTAGCATGAGGAAGGTATAATTGCATTTTTTTTTTTTTGAGACGGAGTCTTGCACTGTAGCCCCAGCTGGACTGCAGTGGCGTGATCTTGG
The DNA here is from genome assembly GCF_000001405.40 of Homo sapiens. Classification (NCBI taxonomy): domain Eukaryota; kingdom Metazoa; phylum Chordata; class Mammalia; order Primates; family Hominidae; genus Homo; species Homo sapiens. Next base: position 94,548,314 of record NC_000011.10, read on the forward strand.
CTCACTGCAACCTCCGCCTCCCAGGTTCAAGCGATTCTCCTGCCTCAGCCTCCCGAGCAGCTGAGACTACAGGCGCCTGCCACCACGCCTGGCCAATTTTTTGTATTTTTAGTAGAGACTGCGTTTCACCATGTTGGGCAGGCTGGTCTTGAACTCCTGACCTTGTGATCCACCTGCCTCGGCCTCTCAGAGAGCTGGGATTACAGGTGTGAGCCGCCGTGCCCAGCCATTGCATTTTTATTCACATACACATTGTTAATGTGGAACAATTTAACACTAATCTCATCAGAGAGCGAGATGAATGTGGCAATTGCTCATTTTATTTTGCATATATTAAATTGAGTAGGTTCAGCTCTAACATACCTTAAGAAAAATGCATATCGGTGCACTGTATGTATTTCAAAATGCCTTTCCTATGATTGTCATGTCCTCCTTTAAGGCTTTTCCCTCAAATTTATTACAAATTTAGTATTTTTAGTACTTGATGACTCTAATTACATGAATGCACCTGGAATGACATTTGTAACAGAAGACGGTCTGACTTGCTTTCAGTATTCACAAGTTCTTTCCAGTTTCCAAGTCTTTTCCTAGCAGTAATTTAGGGGAGACAGAGGAGTTTCATGTAAAGAGCATGCAGTTTGGAGTCAGAACCTGGGTATGACTCTGTGGCCTTGATGAAGCAAGTTACTTAAACTCTTGAGTTTTAGCTTTCTCCTTTACAATGCATGAATGCCTATCCCCCTACAAAACAAAGATTAAATGTGATGATGTATGCCAAGGTGCTTTGTATATTGTAAAGTGCTATATAATTATAAGATGTTCTAAATTTTCAAGGATCTAAACCAGGGATTGGCAAACGTTTTTCCAGGGAGTAAATATTTTACGCTTTGCATATATAATTTATGGAGGTGTTGAGAGGATAGATTAGACACTTGAAGTACTCAGGATAGTGCCTGGCATGTAGGAAGCACCTGGAAAATATTCGCTGTGATTACCATCAGTCCATTTTACCGAGGAAGGAGCCAAGGTCCAGGCCCACTGAAGGACTTGCATAACATTACAATAGCAGTGGCAGAACCAGCCATGCTTCTGCAAATCACAACCTCTTTGAGCCTCTGTCACCTGAACTGCAAAATGAGTGGGTTAGACAAAATCATCTGTTGGGACCTCCTAGTTCCACGTGCTATCATTCTACTAACTGGCACCCTAAGGTTGAAAGTGCTTATCTGCTTTCCAATGTGGCTTCCTTACAGTCTGGAACTGACAATATGCAGGAGCAGTAAACTGGCAGAAAACCAGGAATCAGAGAAAGAAAATATAATTTAACTTTAAAGATGTAAATTATATATATAGTATATTATATATATTTTTAAAGCTTTATATGCCTCAAATATCAGGGAAAGGAGCCAAGTCCTTGGTATTTAGTTTGGTGAATACTTGCATTGAATACATGTCAAGATGTCAAGTCATTTTTGAATGTGTCTCAGGGATTTCTATGCTACACATTCTTTTAACAAATCAAGTATTTATGTACACATGTTCAGATTTTTTGACAAAATGATTAAAATAATGAGATGGAAAATGACTCTGTTTATAATGTATATCCTCCATGCACTAATGTGTTCAGTCGTCACCCATGGGATATTTCTTGGCTTGGGGCAGTTTCTGTAAGTTCACTAGTTCTAGATTGGTAATTGGAATGTGATGGCTTTGCCTCTTCTGTGTTGCACAAAGTCCAATTCAGCCTGTCCTCTTGTTCTTTCTTGCCTGTCTTTTCCACTTTATTCTGAGGAATCATCTCCAAGGGCATAAGTAGTATACTCCTTTCTCTCAGTCCAGTTTATTTTCCTGAGTGCTCTGATGTGATGCCCTCCATGTATTGTCTCTAGCTCCTGTTCACTAAATTAAATGCCATTTTAAAAAGAGTAGGATCAGAACTGGGAACATGATGATGGGCAGAGAGAAGGGGAGGCAAGCTTTCTTCTTAACAGCCGATGCTTAAATTATTGAAATAGGAAAATACGAAGTGGTAATAAACACTAACTATTGTCTCTTCTTTCCTACCTGCCCTCCTCCAACACCACACACACGCACGCACGCACACACACATGCATGCACACACACACACTCTGACATGTTCATTTAAGCACAGACTTTGAAAAATTATGATGGCCAGCTGAAGATAGGAGCAGGATTGGCAAGAAAAAAGGATTCAATAATGAATGAGTAAAAAGAAAAGTGCATTGTAAAATAGAGCAGGTGGTGAATATAGATGGGGAGTGAAGAGGAAAAGAAAGATGGGGGTGGGGATAAAAGTACAAAGTGAAGAGACGATCAGATAGAAGAAAGGCAGAGGCTAGGAAACATGAGAAAAGTAGAGGAAAGATAAGTGTTAAACGGCAAGAGTGGCAGGACAAAGGAGGAACATATGCGGCAAGAATGAGGAAATAGGTTAAAATCTACCATTCTCTGCCACAATGCTGAAAAGAAACCTTTGCTCCAGCTTGAAACGCAGCATCTGTCAGCAAATGGGGAGTCAAATCAAGAAGTCTGAACTCACTGACAGGGAAAGTCAGAAACTTAACAAGAAATCACCTAACATTTTAGCAGAAATATAGAACTGTCCCTTGATTCATGACAACAGATTCTTGAACTTGAATGAATGGTCCTTTTCTTCATCTTGGAAAATTCGCATTCATGGCCACTTTTTCATTTCTAGACAGCATATTTCATCTGTACTCAATATTCACTTTTAAAGAAGTATATTTTGTTATGTTGTCATAATCACCAATTTACTGTTTTAAAGAATAGAAGGCCAGGTGCGGTAGCTCACGCCTGTAATCCCAGCACTTTGGGAGGCTGAGGTGGGCAGATCATGAGGTCAGGAGATGGAGACCATCCTGGCTAACACAGTGAAACCCCGTCTGTACTAAAAATACAAAAAATTAGCCGGACGTGGTGGTGGGTTCCTGTAGTCCCAGCTACTCGGGAGGCTGAGGCAGGAGAATTGCTTGAACCAGGGATTTGGAGGTTGCAGTGAGCTGAGATCATGCCACAGTACTCCAGCCTGGCGACAGAGCAAGACTCCATCTCAAAAAAAAAAAAAAAAAAAAAAAAAGCTATTTCAAGTAAGTTTTAAAGAATTGGATTTTTATGATGGATTTATTTTCAGATCTTCAAATGAATGTTTTAAAAACTTACTGAAGCTGAGTGCAGTGGCTCATGCCTGTAATCACAGCACTTTGGGAGGCCAAGGTGGTCGGGTCCCTTGAACTCAAGAGTTCAAGACCAGCCTGGGCAACACAGAGAAACCCTGTTACTACAGAAAATGCAAAAGTTAGCTGGGCATGGTAGCGCGCACCTGTAGTCCCAATGACTTAAGGGGCTGAGGCAGGAGGATCGCTTGAACTTAGAAGGTCAAGGCTACAGTGAGCCAAGATCGCGCCACTGCACTCCAGCCTGGAGACAAAGAGATCCTATCCCAAAAAAAAATTACTGAATCTCACCTAATATACTAAAAAAAAAATGCCCTATGAGACCATGAGTGCTAAGCATCTTAATCTGAATTATTTTTAAAAGGGGAAGAAATGGGACTAAAATCAGCAACTTTTAACCAACATTTTTCGAGTGGCTTCTATGTGCAGGCACTGTGCTAGGACTTCGGGATGTAAATAAAATTAAAGCAGGGACCCTGCACTCAAAATAGTCTGTTGGACAAGCGTATGCCTTGTCAGGGAAACAGTCGTGTTGAGAAATAATCCCAACACATGATATATATGTTAGATCAAATGTAGAACCAAATAATTTAAATAACTGTCAGTAGGAGCCTCAGAGTTGTCAGAGGATTGCATTTCAGGAATGAATGTCCTTCATCAAAAACTAAGTCATCTTAATGTTATTTCTGGGAAATATAAGTGCTGCAGGCTCCAGTCTCAGCACTTTAGGCACCTGATGGTTTTCACTAATACTGCAGTTAAAAATAAGTGTTATTATTAAGCATCACCTTCAAAATGATTAATCTCTATAGGGATTTTGTTCTCCTAGCAACTAGGAACACCTGCCCTTACCCTATGATTTTTCTGGTTCTCATATGTTAAGTACATGTTTTAAAAATCTCTGTTCCATTAGCTGAAACTTATTCTGAAATATAATTAAGCACATCCATCTTGGTGATCAAACAGTAACACCTTTAGATAACTTTAGATAACCTAGGGTTTATCAAGCCTTCTTGGGGAGGTACAAATTTGTGGCTTTGAAGTTAGGATTCTTTGCCAGATGTTTTAATTCACTAATATTTGTTATTATTAAGCTCCTACTATACACAGGATGCTTTACCTAAGTATTGTTCTGTTTTTTAACTCTTTAGTTAAAGGCATTGTGGTACACAGCCACGATGACTGACATTGGTCCTTGCCTCCTGGTATCCATGCCCTCCTGTATTCTTTCCCTTGAGTTTGGTTTGGATTTAGTGACTCACTTCGAATGAATAGGATATGGGAGAAATGCAAGGCTGAAGCTTCTGAGATTAGGTTATACAAAGACCAGCTTGCTTTCTTGGGAGCCCTTTCTCACCCTCTGCCTTCGTTGCTCTGAAAGAAGCCAACTGATGTGGCGTGAACTGCCCTGTGGTAGGAAACTGAGAAAGGCCTCTGAGATCCTCGGTCCAACAGCTGGCTAAGAACTGAGTCCAGGCTGGGCACAGTGGCTCACGTCTGTAATCCCAGCACTTTGGGAGGCCGAGGCGGACAGACCACGAGGTCAGGAGATCAAGACCATCCTGGCTAACATGGTGAAACCCAGTCTCTACTAAAAAAATACAAAAAAATTAGCTGGGCATGGTGGCGTGCGCCTGTAGTCCCAGCTACTTGGGAGGCTGAGGCAGGAGAATCGCTTGCACCTGGGAGGCAGAGGTTGCAGTGAGCCAAGATCACGCCATAGCAGTCCAGCCTGAGTGATAGAGCAAGACTCTGTCTCAAAAATAAATAAATAAATAAAATAAAACACCAAAAAAACCTGAGTCCTGCCAACCACAACCACACAAGTGAGTTTGGAAATGATTCTCCCCAAGGTGAGCCTTCAGATGAGGCTGACATCCTAACTGCAATCTTACGAGAGACCTTGAGCTAGAGACCCCCAGCTAGGCCACACCAGGATTCTCGATGTTTTTTGTTTTAGGGTTTGTTTGTTATGCAGCAATAGATAACGCAGACATTATCTCAATTTTTGAGATAAGAAAACTGAGAATCAACATGTTAATCATGGACAATTATGCAGATAGTAACTGAGCCAGGATTCTAACAGGTCTATTTGACTCCAAAGTCTGTGTTCTTTCACTATCGTACTCTTTCATTAAGTCTAAGTTTTTTTTGTTGTTGTTTTTTGTTTTGAGACGGAGTCTCACTCTGTCGTTCAGGCGGAGTGCGGTGGCGCGATCTCAGCTCACTGCAAGCTCCGCCTCCCAGGTTCACGCCATTCTCCTGCCTCAGCCTCCGGAGTAGCTGGGACTACACGGCGCCCGCCACCGCGCCCGGCTTATTTTTTGTGTGTATATATATATATGTTTATATTATATATATAATATATATGTTTATATATATAATATATATGTTTTTATATATATATATATCTTTCTTATCTATATATGGGGCACATCTCTAGCACTGGTTTACCAGGAGGCTTGTGGAGTCTCAGTTTCTGGATATTTGGAATGAAGCAGGAGACAGGACTGGGAAGGGCTTCTTGGACAAGGTGGGCTGACTCACTAGAGGCAATGCCTTGGGTGGTTGCCAGCAGTTCTTATGGTGTTTACAAGAGCCTACAAACCTTATGGTGAGGGCCAGTATCAGGTTAACAGCAGTTGTGATCTTGTGAGATAAGTATAATACTCTCCAGGTGGACATGACATGGGGCCACATGGGTAGCAGCCTTGCTGTTTCAGGTATCCAGTCCATGTGATTTGGAGTATAATCACCATCACTGGCCAGGATTACAGGAATCAGGGTCCAGGGTCGCTCTGGTACTGGGTTCCTCATCATTCTACGAGCTTTCTAATTTTCTGCATTCCCAGTGATGGACAGGGAACACTGGTAATATAAAGAAACAGTACTGGCTCTAGAGTGATACAGAGTCAAGCCCATTGATTCCAGGTCCCGACTTATTTCAGGTCCTGGATTTCCTCAGGTACTTTTAATTTATAATATTTTGTAATATGTGCCTATTCCTCCATATTTCCCAAGTTTGGGTTTGGAAATGTGGTACTGTAATTTTGGAGGACAGCCTCCCTGTTCACAGATTGGTGATTGCAGGTTTAGGCCATCTATAGTGGATGGGATCCAATCTTAACAAAATCTTTTTGCCTGTGAGTGAAGCGGGAGGGGAGGTGTGTGTGTACTGGGATGGGGGCATGGGGGTGAGCAGGGTGATGCTGCTGAGCTGTCCACTGGGACTTCTGAACCCCAAATTTTTAACCTGAAAAACTTGAAGAACACTTGGCAAAGGAATTTGGTAGCTGTCCGCAACATTTTGGCCTAAGTATTGTTGATGTAGTGTGGATTTGTGGATTGTTCCTTATGTGGATTTTTCTACAACTGGAACACTAGAATGTACCTATCTCCTCTTAAATATCAGCTATGTCCTGTCTTGTTATCATGTCATTATGCTGGAACTATGATCATATGTAAGACATCTTTGTTGAGAATTATGTTTCTATTATTAATAGGTTTATATTACTTAAAATTTAAGCTGCAGGCAAACAGAAATAACTAGAAGCTGTAATAAAATTTGGGCACTAGTCATTCCAATTATCAGAGCTCAAATTTTTTTACTCTGATTTTCGGTATTATTTTAATAATAACAGCCTGCCTAGCTGGCAGAGGTTGCAGCGAGCTGAGATCACACAACTGCACTCCAGGCTGGGCAAGAGAGACCCTGTCTCAAAAAATGAAAAAAAAAAAAAAAACCCAGACTAATTCGTTGCTTTTCTTTTCATAACTCATTATGCACATATTTATAGTTATTTTTATTACTTGGATTATATACTATACCAATTTATTAAACTTAGAAGAAGCCACTGTGATGCCAAAAGTACATGTTCAAAGTACTTTTAATTTTCATGTTGCTCCTTCATGTGTAGCTACTTAATTTATTCATTTTTTTTTTCATTTGTCTAAGCGTAGCTGTGTCCCCAAACAATAATCAATGTGTCTCCTCCTCCTCCCTCTCTTCCCACTCCTATAATTCTCCTTTTTCCTCAATGTGGACTGGGCAGAATTCTAGTTATATTTCAGTTATTTGAACTTATACTTGAGATTAAATCTGCACCTATAGACTCTTGATGTAATTGGAACAGTATGTAATAGCTTTGACTTGTCTGATTTGCCTGATCATCTTGATATTGTGCAAGTGATAAGACTAGTATTTCCAGAAAGATGCTGCCATAAAGGTTATCTGTGGCCAATCAATGTCCAAATATGTGTGTCTCCTACGACCTGGCATATATTATCTTCTACCACGATTACAATTTAGCTTAATCTGTATAAATTCCATATCTGAAAACAGAGTGGTAGTGGGATAACTAGAAATCCAAAATCAGTCAGTCAATCAGATTTATTAATGCACAAGGATCACAGAGACAAAGCTGGGATTACAGGCACGTGCCACCATGCCCAGCTAATTTTTTGTATTTTTAGTAGAAACAGCGTTTCACCATGTCAGCCAGGCTGGTCTTGAACTCCTGACCTCAGGTGATCCACCTGCCTCGGCCTCCCAAAGTGCTGAGATTACAGGCGTGAGCCACCGCGCCCAGCCCTGTTCTTTTTAATAATAGCCATTGTGACTGGTGTGAGATGTTATCTCTTTGTGGTTTTGATTTGCATTTCTCTAATGATTGGTGATATTGAGTTTTTTTTTCACATGCCTGTTGGCCACATGTATGTCTTCTTTTGAAAAGTCTGTTCATGAAAGTCTGCTCATGTCCTTTGCCCACTTTTTAATGGGTTTTTTTTTTTCTTGTAAATGTGGTTAAGTTTCTTACAGATTGTGGATATTAGACCTTTGTCAGATGCATAGTTTGCAAATACTTTCTCCCATTCTGTAAACTGTTTACTCTGTTGATCGTTTCTTTTGCTGTGCGCAAGCTCTTTTGTTCAATTAGATTCCATTTACCAATTTTTTTGTTGCAATTGCTTTTGGCATCTTCGTCATGAAATCTTTGCCCATTCCTATGTCTAGAATGGTATTGCCTAGGTTGTCTTCCAGGGTTTTTATAGTTTGGGATTTTACAGTTAAGTCTTCAATCCATCCTGAGTTAATTTTTGCATGGGGTATAAACAAGGGGTCCAGTTTCAATTTTATGCATATGGCCTGCAGTTATTCCAGCACCATTTATTGAATAGGGAGTCCTTTCTCTATTGCTTGTTTTTGTCGGCTTTGTCAAAGATCAGATAGTTGCAGGAGTGTGTCCCTATTTCTGGGCTTTCTATTCTGCTCCATTGGTCTGTGTGTCTGTTTTTGTAGCAGTACCATGCTTTTTTTGGTTACTATAGCCCTGTAGTATAGTTTGAAATTGTGTAGTGTGATGCCTCCAGCTTTGTTCTTTTTGCTTAGGGTTGCCTTGGCTATTCGGGCTCTTTTTGGTTCCATATGAATTTTAAAGTAGTTTTTCCAGTTCTGTGAAGAATGTCATTGCTGGTTTAATAGGAATAGATTCAATGCTATTCCTGTTTGGGATACTCTGAATCAGGAGACTGAACTGGCCAATGTGCCAATAGCTTTGTGTGGCGCTATCCTAGATGTCAAGCCAGCACATTAGGAAGGTTAGGAAGGTTAGAATAGATTACCCCACACAAATGACAGGCAGAAATCTTGGCATGAAATAATATTATTCATTTATTGAAAAGGACTGGTGTGATGTAAAGGTGATTAACTCATAGTAGCACAGACAGCTTTGCTCTCTGATTCTCAGTCTGTAACGCAAATCAGAGAGATTGACTACAAAGTTCCCCTGTATTTCACTGGGCTATGTATCTGAGTTTTCAGAGCACTATAAACACTTGGCTGGCAGTATTTTCTGAAGTTTTAAGTGAGTATCTATTTATCATGCCCCATACATAATTAAACATAAAATTCTTAGTAATTCAAATGCCATTTTAAATGTTTCTTCTTTTTATACTTTTCTACATTATATTTATGCTTCCCATGAATCTTAACAAATTCCTTTTGAAGCCAAAAGAAATGAATGTCTTACTCATTACATCTTCCTTGCTCTGTTTGAAAGCACTTTATTTTGCCAGCATTCATCTAGCATGACTAATAAAGTTTTAAACTTATTTTTCATTGTTTCATGCTAAAATAATCTAAAGTATTATATAGCATTTTGGAAAATTAGATGTACTCTCCTAGGTGTCTTCTTTAAAGATTTGTTAATGTCCTTTATTAACCAGTAATTCTATAAGCATGTAGCATATACCATTAACCACAATTATTTAGACATCAACTTTGGCAATCCTGCCATTCTGCTTAAAATTCCACTTGCATTCTCTTGATATTATGAATATAATATCTCACTTTATTTATTAAGTATAACAGTCTGGTGCCTAGACCCTAGACAGTAAGCAAGTTGAATTAAGGAAGAAAGATTAAACTTATTTCTGTATATCATAATGTGTGAGAGTAAACAGTTTCATCCTACTTTAACTAGTATTCTGCTTTCTTAATTGCCAAAGTTGTTGAGTGATTTGAGAAACATGATTAAGGAGTTGGAATAAAGGTTCTTTATGGAAGCATGTGAAGTGATGAGACAATATAAACCAGAGAAGAAAAAGCTATGGGGGAATTTTCTCATGGTCTTCAAGCATCTTTAATCATTCAACAAATATTTTGCCAAGTTGCTTGGCACTGTTCTAGTTGCTGGGGATAAAGCAGTGAACACTCAGGCAAGGCTCAAGTACTCGTGGTGGAATCTTCTGGAGGAAAGAGAAAATAAACAAGTAACTAAAGAAGTAATTTTCTATAGCATATGAGGGCTCATTGTTCAGAATGATATCCAGCATTTTCAGAGGCCTTTGAACCAGAGCAACAACATCTTGAATAGAGGCTGAGTAAAATAAGCCTGAGACCTGCTGGGCTGCTTTCCCAATAAGTTAGGTATTCTAAGTCACAGGATAAGATGGGAGGTTGGCACAAGATACAGGTCATAAAGACCTTGCTGATAAAACAAGCTGCAGTAAAGAAGCAGACTAAAACCCACCAAGACCAAGATGGTGATGAGAGTGACCTCTGGTTGTCCTCACTGCTCCACTCCCATCAGCAGTATGACAGTTTACAAATGCTGTGGCAATGTCAGGAAGTTACCCTTATGGTCTAAAAAGGGGAAGCATGAAATAATCTACCCCTTTTTAGCAAATAATCAAGAAAAAGCCACAAAAATGGGCAACCAGCAGCCCATGCTGCTGCTCTGCCTATGGAGTGGCCATTTTTTTTATTCCTTTACTTTCTTAATAAACTTGCTTTCACTTTACTCTATGGACTTGCCTCAAATTCTTTCTTGTGCGAGATCCAAGAACCCTCTCTTGGGGTCTGGATTGGGACCCCTTTCTGGTAACAGCATCTTTTATCTTTGCTGAGACCCACATAAAAGAAAATGAGTTTTGTACCATGGGGTAGCGAAGAAGTTCCTTTAACAGGGAGAGTACATGAGGTTGACCTAAGTGGGAAGACGGCAGCTCAGAGAAGGTGAACTCTATTGAAGCTGCAATATGGCTATCTAAGCTGAGTACTTCCCTACATACATTATCCCATTTTACACTCACAACACCCCCTGTTGAGCTAAGTTTTATAATCCTCTTGTTACAGATAACTGAGAAGCGGAGCTACTCACTTCGGATCACACAGCTCCTCACTGCACAGCAAAGGCTGATTCTACATGTCTTGGACTCCAAGGCTACTGGTTTTCCCTGTGAACCACCTTGAGATTAGGTGGATGAAAGATCAACATTCTAAATATTTAAGCTTCTGTTTAGGATTGCTTAGGTAGTTTCTGGAATAAAAGTAAGAAAAAAAGACTATATTGGTGGCTTTCAAACTTCGTTTTTAAAAGAGCAGAATCTAATTTTCAAACAAAAGTTTATGTAGAATCCCAATATATGAAACAGATTAGAATAGAGCAGTCCTGTTGGAGCTGAGTCACTCATGACTCCCCTCACCCACCCCCTCAGGAAATTCCCCCTCAAAGACTAAGCCCCAATGTCCCAACAACCTTCTCTTTGCCTAGTGAATATTACCATAGTATTAAGCCAAAACAGGGTCTGAACCAATTAGGATGTTACCAAATTTGAATCGTATTACCTCAAGAAATCTCAGCTTTCATACTCCATGTGGGAAGACTTGACTAGCCATGAAGTCTGACAATAGTGTGGATTGGGGTCATTGTTATTTGAGGCATGAGTTCAGTAAGGGAATTACTGGGGCTGAGTTCAGTGGTTAACAGAAGGCTTACTGTTCCCAATTTTTCAGACTGAGGTCAACAACTCTGAACTTTGTAGATCTTAGGCCTGTTTGTTACTCTTGGTAATGCTCCTTTATTTACAGAGTTGCTAATGAAAGATATCCCTCCATTCCAATCACCCAGCACTGAGAAAATCAAAAGTTTTAACTGAGTCCTTACTATAGTCATAAATTGGGAGACCCTTCTTAGGGTAACAAAATAAGCAGCCAATGTTGAGGGAATCTAACTTCCTTGTTTATCCTGGTAGGCCCCAAGCTGGAGCTGGAAAGACACCAAATACAACTCCGTACAATAAGGGCGGAAGTACTGACTTGGGGAAAACAGGGAAGAGCTTTGCTAATTGAGAAAATATTTCCTTTCCCAGTATGAATGGAGGCGGTCCTGCTCCCTACCCTCCTCTATATGTTACCTGTCCTTGGGAGAGATGCATGCACTGCTCTAACACATTCCATAATTAAACAGAGTAAGTGGACATGCCTGCAGCTCACACAGAAGGGACTACTGCAAAGGACCCAGGTCTACCCTGGCCATTGACATTAGAGGGCCAGGGATCCTCCCTCACCCCACCTTCTGCACGCTTCTGTAGGGCCTGGGAGCCAGTGGCCATCCCTGACCTGATTGCTGCATTCACTGAGTGTGCTTCTACATCTAATCACTCAGTTTGCAGAATGCATATGGGGGTGAGAGCAAGACCAGTGTTATCTGTTGGGCACCATAAGCACAGTGCATAGGGCCCACAGTGCTTTTGGGGGCCCATGAAAATGTTTTAATTTCTTTTAAAATCAAAAGAGAAAAAATTTGGCTGGGCACGCTGGCTCATGCCTGTAATCCCAGCACTTTGGGATGCCGAGGCGGGCGGATCACCTGAGGTCAGGAGTTTGAGACCATTCTGGCAAACATGGTGAAACCTCGTCTCTACTAAAGATACAAAAATTAGCTGGGCATGGTGGCACATGCCTGTAGTCCCAGCTACTTGGGAGGCTGAGGCAGGAGAATCGCTTGAACTCAGGAGGCAGAGGTTGCAGTGAGCCGAGATCGTGCTACTGCACTCCAGCCTGGGCGGCAAGAGTGAGACTCCATCTATTAAAAAAAAAAAAAGAGAGAGAGAGACAGAGAGAGAGAGAATTTTTTCTTGTAATGGAAGAAAGAGCTCACAAAGGAAAGTGCTTACAGCTGAGGAAAGTCAAAATGACATCACTGGGTCATTGGAATGGGGGACTTCCTGTTGGAGGTGGATGGATTTTCTTAGGGAAAGAGAGTGCTTATGTGAGGAAGTGCAAACCTAATGGAGAGGAAACTAGGGGAAGAACTAGGGAATAGAAAAGCTCTCTCTTGTAACCATTTCCTCCTCTTTTATCTTGTACATATAGAAATAATCTTAAATCCTTTCTGGAGCACAATGGGACAAGGAAGCAGATGATGCATTTTGGAAAGATTTCCATTACAATGTTTAAGCAGTTTAACATCTAATGCTTAATGTGAATTTTTCTTTCTCTGAACATATCAATAATATATTTTTCACAATTTGTTTTAAAAAAGAAAGCAAGACTGTTCATGTTACAGATTCAAGAAGAGTAAAAAAGCATGACAACTAAATGCAATGCATTATTCTGACCTAACCATATTCCAGGCCAGAAAAAAAATTGCTTTTTTGAGGACACTTAGCAAAGTTAACTATGGACTATAGTTTAATCAGTAGTATTTACCCATTTTAAATCTCCTGATGTAGATAATTGTACTGTTGTTGTATAAGGGAATGAAAAATATTCTTACACCTAACAAATATAGTAAGTCCTCAACGTTGTCAGTAGATTCTTGGAAACTTCGACTTTAAGCCAAACAACGTATTATGAAACCAATTTTACCATAGGCGGCTAATTGATGTAAACAAGAGTTAAGTTCCTATGGCTTACTTCTGGTGACAAAGATATCACCAAACTTCTAAATACAGACTCAAAACACTTCTAATATTAAACATTGAAATGTAAGCTATACATACATTTAAGAAAGATTAATAAAAACAAGTAAGATAATTATTTACCCACATTTTCCAGTTTAGGGTCATGGGTAGCTGGAGCCTATCCCAGCAGCTCAGGAACCCTTCCTGAACAGGACTCCATTCCATTGCAGGGAACACTCACATCCACACCAACATTCACTTAGACGTGGACCTTGTAGACATGCCAATGAACCTAACACGCACAGCTTTGGGATGTGGGAGGCAATTGGAGTATCCAGATAAAACTCAGGTAGACATGGGAAGAATATGCCCACTCCAGGGGCCGTGGCTGAAAATAGATTTTTTTCTCATCAACATTATAAGGAAATGATGTTGAATGAAGCGACATTATTCAAAGATCTGCTGTGCACACTAAACTATTTAAGAGTCAAAGGTCATGATGTCAACTTCTTTGCAACATGGACCAGAAAAAAAAAAAATATATATATATATATAGATATATATATATGCACACACACACATACAAAGAAAAAATAATAAGGCAAATATAGCAAAATGTTAATTGGTGAATCTTGGTAAAAGGTTTATGGGCATTCTTTGCGTTATCCTTGCAACTTTTCTGTAAATGTGATATATTGCAAAATAAAAAGTTAAAAGAATGAGACAGTTCAAAATTAATCCAGTATTATTAAAAGAAGGCCCAATGAAGGTAACATATTGATGCACTAATTCTACAGATGTTGAACCACCTACACCTGTGCCTGAGGAATTAATTTTGTGTTAGCAGGAACCATGGGTATTGTCAAATAAATTAGCTGATGTGAACAGGCCTACACTTGTACATGATCAGGGTCTACCTAATAAAAAATCATTTAAAAAATTAAGTTACAGCCACAGACAAGACTGAATAACTGAAAAACTAATTTTTACAGCTGACTTGCAGGATGAGTTTAGGCAAATCTTCGGACTGTGGCTTCTCATTGATAAAATTTAGACACTAATGCTTGGACATTTAGATACTAATGCTTGGAACCATTACCATTTACAGTATTTCACAGCAAGCATGGAATCTGTTTTAGAATGAATACTATATTTTCCTACTGAACTATGTTAGCTTAAGTTTCCTCCCAAATAAACCTGAGATAAGGGCTTGAAAGTGGGTGGTTTATTTTAGTGACAGCAAGGAACAGGAGAGAGGGCCTGGGAAGAGTGAAATAAGGGAGGATGAAATTCAACTCAAGAATGCATTATCAAGCTCATGACTTCTGTGGCATCTGGTACTTGACCCCACTACGGACCCTCTGTGAGGCTAAAGAATGCACTGTAGAATTGTCTGCCCAGTGGATGGAAGAGGGAGGATTTATCCACATTCTCCCACCCCTTTTGGCGAAAGGTTGCCCCATGAAGGTGTTAACTTGAGGTTTGCTTCTGTGTCAGTATGGCTGAGTGGGTGTCCTGCTGTAGCAGAGAAGCCCTAGACAGAACTGAGAGATACAGGATTCAGTTGAGGTGCGATGCTATCAGGTTACACTGTGTGCAGTTGATTGCCATAGCAATGGCTGGAGTTGAAAGGTGGACTGAGAAAAATGTGAAGGAAGGGTGGCATGAGACAAGAGGCACCTATGACTAGCAGTATCCTGAGCCAATACATGCACATGGAGTGATCCTGATGCAAGTTCAAAAGTATGACACACTGCAAAAAATGTACTGAATTCATTTTTATAAAATTTGTTCACCACACACGATAATAATAATAATAAATTATGCAATTTTTATTGTGTGGCAAACACCATACAAACATCATTATTATTTCATTTAATCCTCAAAACAATCCTTGGGGTAGACATATCTCAGCGATTCTCAGCCAGGAGTGACTTGCCCTCCAGGATACAGTGAGTCATGTCTAGAGATATTTTTGGCTGTTACAATTAGAGGGAATGCTACTACCATCTAGTGAGTAGAGGCGAGAGATACTGCTAAACATCCTGCAAGGCATAGGACAGCCTTCCACAACAGAGAATTTTCCAGTCCAAAATGTGAATACTGCTAAGGCTGAGAAATCCTAGTGTCACTATCCCCACTTTATAGTCAAATAAACTGAGCCTAAATGAGATTACATAAATTTCCTTGGGTGAGAAAGCTAGTAAACAATGGAGTTGGGATACAAACTCTGGTCTGCCTGACATTAACCTTATGCCATGCATACCTGTAACCTTACCGTACTGCCTCCCTACTGATGGAGAACTTTGCTCCTTAGTTCAGCTAAAACCGAGTTCTTGTCACATGACCAGGAAAAGTTAGGCATGCACACACATTGAAGGGTGAGGAAGCAGAATTTATTGGGCGAGAAGGAAAAAAACTTTCAGCAAAGCGACAGGCCCCCACCTCAGAGATTCATTCCAGGCCACATATAGGAACTGAAGAGCCCAGGCTCCTCCCCACTGCCAGCGGTTGGTTCCAACTTGCTGTGGCTCCAACCCCATTCTCCCAGTGTGCAGGCCAGTCAGAGGTTCTCCGGGAACCCCCCTCTTATCTTCCTCCTGCATCTATCACTCCCACAGGGAAAGTACACGTGCATTTAAAAAACCCTATGTGGAAGGCACAATGTGACTGATTTGTATGTCGGTTATCATAGCAATCATAGAAGAGAGTTGAAAAATGCAGATAATAATTAGAAATCATCAATATTTCTGATTTTATAACACATTAGTATTTGGAAAATCGAAGGGATCTGACTGTTCAAAGGTCTCATGTATTCTTAGCCTTTCTTGTCACTCTGTCATGTTACCACATCAATGCAGGTCACATGAAAAGGAATGTGGTATCAGGAGGTGGTAAATTTGGAAAACATGGGCTGGAGACTATTCTTACATTCAGAAACAAAGCACAGATTTTCAGAAGCAGATTCCTTGTCCACACTGTGTTTTCCATCTGCCCCTCCTTTGTAGCACAGCAGTTTATGATCACTCACAACTTTCAGACTCTTTCATTTTCAAAGAAATCTATTATTATTCATTAGAGTAGCTTCACTGAACCAAGTCCAAGGCTGGCCATCTCTGCCCAAGGCCATCATTGTCTCTTGCACTTGCCAGCAGTCAGGGTTAATATGTTCCAAGAGAACCTGATGAAAGGGTATTCTAATGGAGAATAAATAGAATGGCAGAGCAGGGCATAACACACAGGCTTTGGGCTTTTTCCTATAGTAAGAGCTGCATCAAAAGTAAGGCAGATCACCTTCTTGGAGGGAGGAGAGTAGAAGATGAGTGGATACAGTGTGAGCTTTACAGGCTGACAGACTTGAATTGGGATCCCAGCTATGCCACATAATGTAGGGCCTTGGGCAAGTCACTTAGTTTGCCTAAGCTTTAATTTCCTAATCTATAAAACTGGGGCAATAATGCCTAGCATACTGTAGGTATTCAATAAACATTAGCTATTATATTTATTAAATTTTCAGTCCCCAAGTACAGAAAATTGAATTAATCATATTCTTTGATTCATTTTGTATGATTCTCACGGGTCTGTGCAAGTTCTATATTATATTATACTGTCTTTTGCTTTCTCTTTCTCTGCCCCATTCACATTCCTGTTTTATTCCCTTATATAAGTACATAATCTATTGTGTCTGTTCTTGGATATATATATTTACTTAAAAAATTAGTACATATCCCATATACAGGTGTCCTTAATGTTTTAAAAATTAATGTAATATTTTACCATTGTATAGATCTCAATCTTTTTTTAAGCTTTTCCTTTATTCAATACAATGTGTTTAAGATTTATTCATGTTGCTAAATATATTTTTAGGTCATTATTCCTGAATGTTAGCCTAGTAATCCACTCCATGTGTCTACCACATTTTACCTACCTGTTGCCCTTCTGATGGGCACATAAGCTGCCTGCAACTACCTGCCACTCCAAATAATACTCTGATGAACAGCCTGTACATGTGCCCTTATAACTTCAGCACAAGCTTTTCAACAAATCCAGGGTAGTATTTAATAAAATTCTACACACATTTATAATTAAAATAATCTTTGAAAAGCAGGAATAGAAGAAAGCTTTCTTAAGATGATAAGGTCTATAAAATAGATTTTTATAGCAAATATCAAACAAAATGGAGACATTTCAGTCTTTAAAATCAGAAAGAAAACAAGAATTCCAACTACCATAGTAACCTTCAACATTGTACTGAAAAATCTGAGCAACATAAGACAAGAAAAACAAATAAAAAGAAAAAGAATAAGAATGGATGAGACAAAATTATCATTATTTGTAGATGATATGATTATCTACATACAAATTCAATGAAATCAAAAGACAAGCTCTAAGAACTGAGGAATTCAGCAAGCTTGATAAACAATATCAACTTTACAAAAACCAGTATCATGTGTCTACACTAATAATTACCAAGTATGAAACATGACAAGAAGATATAGTTCACAATAGTAACAAAAACTATGAAATTTTCAAAAGTTAACTCAGTATATGAGACTTTTATGAAAAAAATTAAACTCTATTAAAAGATAAAAAGAAAGACTTGAATAAATGGAGAAATCTAACATTGTAAAGATGTAAGTTCTTCCTAAATTGATTTATATATTGGATACAATGCTACTGAAATTTAAGCAAGATATTTAAAGAAACTTGACGAACTTATTTTAAAATTTATATGGAAGAATAAAGTCTGTGAATAAATAAATCAGTTGGAAAAAATATCAAAAAGCAAAGACTTATACCACCAGATTCTATGAATAACACAAAGAAATAATGATACAAAGTGTTGAAGTCTTGGTGCAGAAATGGAAGGCACAGACTAGATCTATTGATACGTGGGAATCTGTCATTTGCTGGAGGTGGCTTCACAAAGTATTAGAGAAAGTATATGCTATTTAACAGATGATGTCAAGGAAGAATGGCTCACTATATGGAGATAAAGTTGGACTTCTATCTCACTCACATTGCATGTATACTTACATATGTGTGAGTGTAAATACCTGAGGGATTGAAGATACTTGCTGTGAACAGTACACTTACGAAGTTAATGAAAAGAAAATATTATATAATGTCCTTGTCCTTGTAAACTGAGGACAGGTGGAATTTTCTTTTAAAAAGACCCAAAAAGCACGAATTTTAAAATGGCTGAATTTGACAACATCGAAATTTAGGATTTTGGTTAAAGCATTTCATAGTAAAAATTAACAAGTGATAGATAGGAAGTAGATATTTGCATATTTGCAATTTTTTAAAAAAAAGTTTTCTTCCAAATCACAAAGATGAGACACTCAACTTTAAAAATGGGCAACGGATACGACAGGCAATTTGCAGAATGGAAAACTCCAAAACTATCACATGTATGAAGAGGTACTTACCCTCATTGGTGAGCAGAAAATACAAACTGAAAAAAAAATTATTGTTTGATGCCACCCAATACACATAAGATTGGTAAAAATGAAAAAGCTGGATAATGCCAAATTTGGGGGTGGGGGTGGAAGTAATGGGAAGAAAAAGGAAGTCCTGCACAGGCCCACGTGCTCGCGCCAACCCCTACGCCCCAGCGCGCCTTCTCCACCCACGCACGGGCCTCGGACGCATTTCCAGCCCCGGCGTTGGTTGTGGATGCTGGACATCCACCGCCTCCAGGCAGTTTCGCCGTCACACCGTCGCCATCTGTAGCCAAAGCAAAACATATCCTAACTGAGACTTTGCAGCTCTTGTGGCCACTCTGGGCTCACCGGGAACATGAGTGGAAGAGCCCGAGTGAAGGCCAGAGGCATCGCCCGCAGCCCCAGTGCCACAGAAGTGGGGCGCATCCAAGCCTCGCCATTGGTGTGTAGAATGCTTATTGCGCATGGTTTCGTTTTCTCCTACCTCTGTCTCTAGCCTGAACAATGCCTTCCTCTGCATGTATCTCCTCCTCTCTGTTACGAAGTAGTGCGTTATCTTTTCTCTCAAGTTTGAGTCTTTCCAAGGTTTCTTCTAACAGTTTTCTCCTTCTAGGGATCTTGTCTGAGTAAGATATTAACGTAGGTATATTAGCCAGTAAAGAGGACTGAAGATTGGGGACAAATATGTCATTCTCTTCTACTTTCTGAGTTTTAATTTCATGATTTCGTTTTAAATTGCCTTGTAAAAAGTGATGTGCTTTCATAACATTACACGGCATATAATCTAATGCAGTTTTTCTGGCTAATTAGTATATAAAAATAAGTACTCTCACACATGTGGTTTAGATTAAACTACTGTTTCTTGAGCAACCACTATAGAGAAAGCTCCTTGCTGGATTTAGGCAACTAGATTGACCTGCCAATAAGCAACTTTGGGGTGATGTTATTAATACAACTACATATTCTTAGCATTTGGAGCAAGTATCCAAATGAATAGTTTGTGGTCCTTATGCCTTTATTCTCATGAAGTGGTCTTCTCTGGACTTTGTTCATTTTTTAGCAGGCCAAGATGGAGTAACTTCTTGAACAAAGAGAAGTAGTTACTATGAAAAGAGAAAATGCTAATGGTTCCCTTGGCCTATTTTGTGAACCTGTTTTGGCCCTGTTTATTCATGCAGAGTCATGATCTGAGCTGCTGACCCGGGGCCTCTGTTCATTTTATGTCCGTGGGCTATGGAAGCATGAGGTCCATGTGCATCTGTGCCGCATGCCCTCTGGTGAGCTCCCTGGGCACAAGGATCTCATCTCTGCTTCTTTACACCTCCAGCTATATCTGGCGACAGTTGGTACTAAAATCAAAGTTTGATGAGTGAGGAAAACTATAGCGTGTCCTTATCCTCTTTTCTAGAATGGGCACTCTCTTCTCATCTCTCAAGGGTTTTACCTGTTAACATTTTCTTTGCCTAGTTCATGGTAATCTAAAGACCTGACACTGTTCTTAGGATAATCTTTTGGTTTGTGACTTACCATTGTAAATCTGAACAAAACTTTTTTTTGCCATTTTAGCCTAGATCTGTTGATCTTAGTAACAATGAAGCATCCTCTAGCAATGGCTTCTTGGGAACAAGCAGGATCTCAACCAACGGTAAGTGCAGCTCAGCCTGTTCATTTAGTACCATTCAACCTGAATGGAGCAAGAGGAGCCCTGCCAGGCCTTACAGCAGTAGGCCCACCTCTTGCACATCCTGATTTCCTTTCCTTGAAGGATCCCCTTTGTCATGTTCCTTTGGGACTCTTTAACATAGAAGCACGTGCTGAATTTCCTGACAGTGTTTGGTAGACGGGACTCCATAGATATTAGGAAGCCAGTTTCTGTCTCTTTCTATTCACTGAAGGATTTTGAAAAAATGCTTTAAAAATCTTTATGGTGTTATATACGAATACCATTTGATCCAGCAACCCCACTGCTGGGTATCTACCCAAAGGAAAATAAATCATTATATCAAAAATTTATCTGCACTTGTACGTTTATTGCAGCACTATTCACAATAGCAAAGATATAAAATCAACTTAAGCATCCATCGATGGATAATTAGATAAAGAAAATGTGGTAACATATATAAGAGAATACTACTCAGCCATAAAAAGAATGAAAGCATGTCTTGTAGCAACATGGATGGAATTGGAGGCCATTATCTTTTGTTTTTTTTTTTTGTTTGTTTGTTTGTTTTTGAGATGGAGTTTTGCTCTTGTTGTCCAGGCTGGAGTGCAATGGCGCAATCTCAGCTCACCGCAACCTCCACCTCCCAGGTTCAAGTGATTCTCCTGCCTCAACCTCCCAAGTAGCTGGGATTACAGGCATGTGCCACCACGCCCAGCTAATTTTGTATTTTTAGTAGAGACAGGGTTTCTCCATGTTGGTCAGGCTAGTCTTGAACTCCTGACCTCAGGTGATCTGCCCACCTTGGCTTCCCAAAGTGCTGGGATTACAGGTATGAGCCACCGCCCCCGGGCGGCGGCCATTATCTTAACTGAAATAACTCAGAAACAGAAAGTCAAATCCTGCATGTTCTTACTTATAAGTGGAAGCTAAATAATGTGTACACATGGACATAGAGTGTGGAATAATAGACATTGGAGACTCGGAAGGTTGGGAGGGTGGGAGGGGAGTGAGAAATTGCTTAATGGCTGCAATGTACATTATTCAGATGATGGTTACACTAAAAGCCCAGACTTCACACTATGCAATATATCCATGTAACAAAACTATGCTCTTATGCCTTAAATGTATACGCATTTTTAAAAAAGCAGAAAAAAAAAATCTGAACGGCATATAAATGCCAATGCCATTGCTTGGAAGGATGGTAGAAACCTGGTATCTACCAGTGCATGTAGCCAACTGCTCTCTTTCTTCCCCTCCTGTGGTAAACATCACCATTCAATGGTAGCTCTCCTCACAGCAAAGCCAGATTTGGTCTCAGGATACTTGTCAACATGCTACTCCAAGTCACCACAATCACACACTGTGAGTTGGCATGCCCCATGTGTTAGTCTGCTAGGGCTGCCCTGACAAAGTAGTACTAAGTAGGAGGCTTAATCAGCAGAAATTTATTTTCTCACAAATCTGGATGCTTAAAGTCTGAGATAAGGTGGGGACAGGGCTGGTTTCTTCTGAGGACCCTCTCCTTGGTTTATCCAAGGCCGTCTTCTCCTTGTGTTCACATGATCTTTCCTTTGCATTTCTATGTCCTGATTCCTCTTCTTATGACAACAGTCATACTGGATTAGGAACCACCATAATGACCTCACTTTAACTTAATCACCTATTTAAAGACCCTGTCACCAAATATGATCACATTCTGAGGCACTGGGGGTTAAGACATCAGCATATGAATTTTGGGGGAACACAGTGTAGCCTGTGACCCTGAATAAAACCAGTTAGCCAGGCCGGGCGTGATGGCTCATGCCTGTAATCCCAGCACTTTGAGAGGCCAAGGTGGGCGGATCACCTGAGGTCAGGAGTTCGAGACCAGCCTGGCTAACATGGTGAAACCCCGTTCCTACTAAAAATACAAAAAATTAGCCAGGCATGGCGGTGCACACCTGTAATCCCAGCTGCTTGGGAGGCTGAGGCAGAAGAATCGCTTGAACCCGGGAAGTGGCGGTTGCAGTAAACCGAGATTGCGCCCTTGCACTCCAGCTTGGGCAACAAGAGGGAAATTTCATCTCAAAAACAAAAACAAAAACAAACAAACAAAAAAAACAATTTAGTCATCTCTTTTGTTCTGACCCCGGTGTTTTTTATTTTCACAAGCAATTGATTTCTAATAAATGTGGAAGCTCTAAGCATTAGGTTCTCCCAGACTCTGAGGGTCTGGTCCCCCCACCCATCTCATGTCTGACTCTGCTGTTCCTCACTGGGAGTTTTCCAGTCCTGTGTATGTACCCCTGTGATCCAAACACACAAATGAATGTGCAGCCTCTGAGCACAGAAGCCCTACTCTGACAGGCCCAGTGCCCTCCATTATTTTCAAACATTATTCTATCCTTGCAAATGTTTTTTCACATCTGCCACACATTTTTTTTTGTTATTAGGTTTTTTTATTTAAAAATTTTTTATTCTTATTTATTTTTTATTATACTTTAAGTTCAAGGGTACATGTGCACAACGTGCAGGTTTGTTACATATGTATACATGTGCCATGTTGGTGTGCTGCACCCATTAACTCGTCATTTACATTAGGTATATCTCCTAATACTATCCCTGCCCCCTTCACCCACCCCACGACAGGCCCTGGTGTGTGATGTTCCCCACCCTGCATCCAAGTGTTCTCATTGTTTAATTCCCACCTATAAGAGAGAACATGGGGTGTTTGGTTTTCTGTCCTTGGGATAGTTTGCTCAGAATGACGGTTTCTAGCTTCATCCATGTCTCTACAAAGGACATGAACTCATCCTTTTTTATGGCAGCATAGTATTCTATGGTGTATATGTGCCACATTTTCTTAATCCAGTCTATCATTGTTGGACATTTGGGTTGGTTCCAAGTCTTTGCTATTGTGAATAGTGCCACAATAAACATACGTGTGCATGTGTCTTTATAGTAGCATGACTTATAATCTTTTGGGTATATATCCAGTAATGGGATGGCTGGGTCAAATGGTATTTCTAGTTCTAGATCCTTGAGGAATTGCCACACTGTCTTCCAAAATGGTTGAACTAGTGTACAGTCCCACCAACAGTGTAAAAGTGTTCCTATATTTCCCCACATCCTCTCCAGCACCTGTGGTTTCCTGACTTTTTAATGATCGCCATTCTAACTGGTGTGAGATGGCATCTCATTGTGGTTTTGATTTGCATTTCTCTGATGGCCAGTGATGATGAGCATTTTTTCATGTGCCTGTTGGCTGCATAAATGTCTTCTTTTGAGAAGTCTCTGTTCATATCCTTGGCCCACTTTTTGATGGGGTTGTTTGATTTTTTCTTGTAAATTTGTTTAAGTTCTTTGTAGATTCTGGATAGTAGCCCTTTGTCAGATGGGTAGATTGCAAAAATTTTCTCCCATTCTGTAGGTTGCCTGTTCACTCTGATGGTAGTTTCTTTTGCTGTGCAGAAGCTCTTTAGTTTCATTAGATCCCATTTGTCAATTTTGGCTTTTGTTGCCATTGCTTTTGGTGTTTTAGACATGAAGTCCTTGCCCATGCCTATGTCCTGAATGGTATTGCCTGGGTTTTCTTCTAGGGTTTTTATGGTTTTAGGTCTAAGATTTAAGTCTTTAATCCATCTTGAATTAATTTTTGTGTGAGGCGTAGGGAAGGGATCCAGTTTCAGCTTTCTACATATGGCTAGCCAGTTTTCCCAGCACCACTTATTAAATAGGGAATCCTTTCCCCATTTCTTGTTAATGTCAGGTTTGTCAAAGATCAGATGGTTGTAGATGTGTGGTGTTATTTCTGAGGACTCTGTTCTATTCCATTGATCTATATCTCTGTTTTGGTACCAGTACCATGCTGTTTTGGTTACTGTAGCCTTGTAGTATAATTTGAAGCCAGGTAGCGTGATGCTGCCAGCTTTGTTCTTTTGGCTTAGGATTGTCTTGGCAATGTGCGTTCTTTTTTGGTTCCATATGAACTATAAAGTAGTTTTTTCCAATTCTGTGAAGAAAGTCATTGGTAGCTTGATGGGGATGGCATTGAATCTATAAATTACTTTGGGCAGTATGGCCGTTTTCACGATATTGATTCTTCCTATCCATGAGCGTGGAATGTTCTTCCATCTGTTTGTATCCTCTTTTATTTCGTTGAGCAGTGGTTTGTAGTTCTCCTTGAAGAGGTCATTCACATCCCTGTAAGTTGGATTCCTAGGTATTTTATTCCCTTTGAAGGAATTGTGAATGGGAGTTCACTCATGATTTGGCTCTCTGTTTGTCTGTTATTGGTGTGTAGGAATGCTTGTGATTTTTGCACATTGATTTTGTGGCCTGAGACTTTGCTGAAGTTGCTTATCAGCTTAAGGACATTTTGGGCTGAGACGATGGGGTGTTCTAGATATACAGTCATGTCATCTGCAAACGGAGACAATTTGACTTCCTCTTTTCCTAATTGAATACCCTTTATTTCTTTCTCCTGCCTGATTGCCCTGGCCAGAACTTCCAACACTATGTTGAATAGGAGTGGTGAGAGAGGGCATCCCTGTCTTATGCCAGTTTTCAAAGGGAATGCTTCCAGTTTTTGCCCCTTCAGTATGATATTGGCTGTGGGTTTGTCATAGATAGCTCTTATTATTTTGAGATATGTCCCATCAATACCTAATTTATTGAGAGTTTTTAGCATGAAGGGCTGTTGAATTCTGTTGAAGGCCTTTTCTGCATCTATTGAGATAATCATGTGGTTTTTGCCTTTGGTTCTGTTTATGTGATGGATTACGTTTATTGATTTGCGTGTGTTGAACCAGCCTTGCATCCCAGGAATGAAGCCAACTTGATCGTGGTGGATAAGCTTTTTGATATGCGCACATTGTTATGAACAGTGAATGATGAAAATCCTTCATCCTTGGAGGGAAAATTGGAGTTTTATTTATTTATCTTAAAATATATATAACATAAAATTTACCATTTAAATTACTTTTAAATGTGCAGTCTTGGGAGATGAACTTCATTTATTTTGTTGTGCAGTCATCACCACCATCCAACTTTAGATCTTTTTTCACTGTGCAAAATGGAAACTCTGTACTCATTAATTAATAACTCCCATTCCCCCCTCCCTCCAGCTCCTGGTAACTGCCATACTATGGTAGCTTGAATTTTCAGAAACCACCTAACATCTTTTGAAACCACGAGCAATGGCTTATATGGACAATTTAGTGAGGGTAATAGAATTCTAGAAATTCATATTACTTTGCAGTAACATTTTGTATTTTTATAAAGTTATTTTCAACATGCCAGAAAGTCAGCATCCCCCGTACTAATTTAAACAGAAAATACTCATTTGGAAACAGATTTTAATTTCATGTTTTCTAGAAGCTGTCAGTAAGTGATATGCCCTGAGGTGAAACACTGGCTTTTATTCTTAGGGGGAATGACCTAGAATAAAAACTGATGGCAATGTTCTGGGCAATTTCTCTTCTTTTCTTTGGGAAATGTCAGATTCATCTTCTTTCTGGGCAGAAGTTGCTGAGGACAGAAGTTAGTCTGTAATCCTTCAGGGTGTTACACAAGAGCTAACGGCAGGAGAGCTGCCCTCCCTAAATAGGTATGGAGAAGGGAATGGGGAGGGAGGGCTTTCTCCTTAGCCAAGAAGTGAAAGTCTACAATATTACAAGGGCAAGAACTAACTCAAGATCTGTTTTTGTTTTTGTGAGACAGGGTCTCGCCCTGTCGCCCAGGCTGGAGTGCGGGCGTGACCATGGCTCACTGCTACCCCCACCTTCTGGGTTTAAGTGATCCTCCCACCTCAGCCCAGGCACATGTCACCACGCCCAGCTGATTTTTTGTGTTTTTGGTAGAGACAGGGTTTCAACACGTTGCCCAGGCTGGTCTCTAACTCCTGAGCTCAAGCGATCCGCCCGCCATGACCTCCTAAAGTGCTGGGACTACAGGCATGAGTCACGACATCTGGCCAAGATCTGTTATTTTTAACAAAACGTTCTGTGTTTTCTTCACAATTTTCCGTTTTTAGGCTGAAGACTTCTGTAATAGTCATGAATGGTTTCAGCAATATGGGCAAACTGTATTCAAAACCACAAGTTTGGATTGCAATGCATTTTTGACATAGTAGTTGCAAACAGTATCACTAGAATGAAATATTAGCTGTTACCACATTCTCTTCATGTTTTAGATAAATATGGGATATCTTCTGGTGATGCTGGAAGTACCTTCATGGAAAGAGGTGTGAAAAACAAACAGGACTTTATGGATTTGAGTATCTGTACCAGAGAAAAATTGGCACATGTGAGAAATTGTAAAACAGGTACCCAGTTTTATGTCACTTACTTTTTTAATGTTACCAAATCTTGCTTAAGGACTTCCAAATTCTAGGTCTAAAATAAATAAGTTCATATGTTTGCTTAACAGATATTTACTGATTGTCTTCTATGTTCAAGGCACTGTTAGACGCTTTAATTTTCTAGCCTTAATTTTCTCTTTTATTAGTAGAAATAATATCTTCCCCCAAATGACATCTCACTTTTGGAAAAGATTTTCTTCATATACTGGGGTGGGAGTTAAAAAGATGTTTCTTCTCTTTCCCAACATGGGAAGTAAAAATCTTTCTGGACTTCAGCTGTAAAAAGAAAGACATAACCTATTTGGGGGATTCTTTACCCAGATTCCAGGCTCACCCATAAAATTGCATGCAAATTGTCAGTATATATATCTTCTGGGAAGTAGGTCTATTGTTTTCATTGGATTCTCAAAAGTCTTTGTGGCCACCTCACGAAAGTTAAAACTCACTGATGCGGATCAGTGTTTTCCAAACTTTTTAAACCAAAATAAGAAATATATTATTATCCAGCATACACACACTGTCCACACACAACTGAAGCAAAAGTTTCATGAAACAATGCGTCTCTTCCTTTCTGTTTTATTCTGGACTTTTCATTAAACATGCGATTCACCTCACCTGATTTCATAACTGCAGCACTAATGGGACCCAGCTGCCGTTTGAAAACTATCATATGTAGACGATCTTGAAGGGTCTTTCCGGCTCTGACAGTCTAGGTTGACTACTCTTTATTTATATGAGCAGCTAAAATATGTTGCTTTGCCATTTCCTCAGGATCTGGGAGAACAAAAGAGATCTGTTATTTAACTAAAATAGCACGGAGATTTCTTGCTCCTACCAGATATATACCCCAGGTTGAAGCTGAGGAAATACTGAAGCACAGCTGATACCTTGTATTCCTCACCACCTTGGAGTCTCTGGGTTGCTTTCCTCCATGAGAAAAGCAAAATAGCATCTATTCTATATCATTCTTTTCTTTTCTTTTTTTGGAGACAGCGTCTCACTCTGTTGCCCAGGCTGGAGTGTAATGGTGCGATCTTGGTTCACTGCAGCCTCTGCCTTCCAGGTTCAAGCGATTCTTGTGCCTTAGCCTCCTGAGTAGCTGGAATTACAGGCATGGGCCACCATGCCCAGTTAATTTTTTATTTTTTATAGAGACAGGGTCTTGCCAGGTTGGCCAGGCTGGTCTCGAACTCCTGGCCTCAAGCAATCCACCCGCCTTGGCCTCCCAAACTGCTGAGATTACAGGTGTGAGCCACCGTGCCCAGCCTCTATATCATTCTTTTCTATAAGACCAAAACTGGATGATTCTCTGTAAGGGGAAGTGAGAAGAACCTCCTTTGTACCCTCCTGGATTCTACCCTGGGGGGAGCTTACACCATCCTGATCACTAACTGACTATATCGTGGCCATCTCTGATTTTGTCCTATAGACTTTTAAGATGTGAATAAAAATGTCTGTAAGGGGCTGGAAGTCCCGGAAGCACACATGGCCTCCATGTGTCTGCAGAAAACAGAAGCCCAGAAACCTTGTCTGTTTTCACGTCGGAAAAATGACAGTTCCTTCCTCTCTCCGCAGCCTTCCCCTTAATCTCTGAGGGTCTTCTCTGAGATTGTTTGGTCTAACCACTGATATAACTTTTTCAGAATTTTCAGAAATATGATTAACTTTTGATTATCTGGATTTCCCAGAGGTTGGGGGTTGTATATTCATAGTAAGAACCAGACTGTTTCTTTATGAGAGCAGTATAATTTCAGAGCAGCATCTGAAAATATTACTTGAGCCGATTTGAATTGCAGAGAATGAGAGCGGGAAGGCAAGCTTTGAAAGGTGTCCTGGAATGGTTGAGTTCAGATGCTTCTCGTCTCACAAGGACAGGAATGTCAGTGTCTGCTCGTATGTTCTTAAGAGGCCTGTTTCATGCATGATCCCATTTTAGCTCCCAAAGGTGTTATTAGGCTGCAAGTTTTAGGATTTATCCTGTGTCACTGTGCAAAAATCCTTGCTTTAAAGCAACTACTATGCATAGGCAAATACATTTTTAAATGGTGTGATTAATATTAACATGATGTGATTTCCTGATTAAAAAATTGTTTTTTGTTTGTCTTCTTCAGGTTCCAGTGGAATACCTGTGAAACTGGTTACAAACCTCTTTAACTTAGATTTTCCCCAAGACT
This sequence comes from Homo sapiens, assembly GCF_000001405.40. Lineage (NCBI taxonomy): Eukaryota > Metazoa > Chordata > Mammalia > Primates > Hominidae > Homo > Homo sapiens. The sequence goes on from NC_000011.10 coordinate 94,577,341, forward strand.
GGCAGCTATACCAGTACCATGTGACATATATTCCAGATTTAGCATCTAGAAGGCTGAGAATTGCTTTACTTTATAGTCATAGTGAACTTTCCAACAAAGCAAAAGCATTCGACGGTGCCATCCTTTTTCTGTCACAAAAGCTAGAAGAAAAGGTATAGTATGATTAGTTTTTTTACTGTATATGTGGGTGTGTGTTTATTATATGTGTATACACACACACATATATATGCATATGCAAGGAGATTCCAAAAGGTTTGTGGAAAAATAGAATTAAAAGGTAAGAATTTAAAAAACTACCTTTATTTCTTACCAAGAGTTTTACCAAGGTCAAGACACTTTTATAAGCAATTATATCAGCCATTTAGTCCATCCCTAGAGAACTAAGGGTCCTGGGAATTTAACCACATCAGTGCAGTCTTTTTTAGCTTATTAACGAAAGAAAAATGGGTGCCCTTTACATTGTTTTATATTTTAAGATTATAAAACAAAAAAAGTCAGAAGGAGCCAAATCAGCAGTAAAGTGTATGCCTAATGATTTCCCATTGAAACTTTTGCAAACTTACCCTTGTTTGTTGAGAAGAATGAGTAGAAGCATTGTTGTGGTGCTTTCCAGGGAAGCTTTCCTGGCCATTTTTCTGCTCAAGCTTTGGCAAAGTTTCTCAAAACACTTTCATAATAAGCGGATGTTACCATTCTTTGGCCCTCCAGAAAGTCAACAAGCAGAATGCCTGGAGCATCTCAAGAAACTATTGCCATGACCTTTGCTCTTGATGGGTTGGCTTTTCCTTTGACTGGACCACTTCCACCTCTCGGTAGTGATTGCTCTGATTGTGCTTTGTCTTCAGGATCGTACTGGTAAAGCCAGGTTTCATCTCCTCTTACAATTTTTTGAAGAAATGCTTCAGGATCTTAATACCATTTATTTAAAATTTTTATTGACGGCTCTGCTCTTATCTGCAGCCGATCTGAATGCAATGAATTTGGCAAGCGTTGAATGGAAAGTTTGCTCAACTTTAATTTTTTAGTCAGAATTGTATAAGCTAAACAAATTGAGATGTCTGTGGTGTTGGCTATTGTTTCTGCTATTAATCTTTGGTCTTCTCAATTAGGGCATGAACAAGATGAATTTTTTTTCCTTGCAAATCTGTATAGATGGTCTGCAGCAGGCTTCATCTTCAACATTGTCTCATCCCTTCTTAAGATGAGTTATCCATTCGTAAACTGCTGATTTCTTTGGGGCATTGTTCCCATAAACTTTTCATTATACATCAATGATTTTGCCATTCTTCTACCCAAGTATCGCCAAAATTTGATGTCTGTTCTGGCTTCAATCATAGCAGAATTCATATTGCTCTGACAGGGTCTCTGTTCAAATTGAGGTCTTATTCTTAGTGTCTCACACTGGATCCTGTTAGTATGAGTTTATTTGGGTGCAAAATTTTTGAAATCCATGCATAGTTTTTTCATAATACATATTTTCCATGAACTTTTTGAGGTCTCCTCATATATACTTATATATTTAAGAGATTAGTTGATTTTCATGACAGTTGGAATGAGTGAATCACTCCTTTCCTTTTTCCTGTTCCCTTGCCTGAGAGCTAAAAAAAGACTTCCTAATTAAGATTTCACTAGTAATTGATTTCTTAATTATGAAGCTGGTGGTCTGGTATTTTTAAAATAAGAGCTGTAAGTGTCCTTGAAATTGGCACCTTAAAAAATAATTCCCAAAGTAGGCAAGACTAAGAAACACCATTTGGCCTATGGCTTCAGAACTTTAAATTAATTCTACCTTTTTTTGCTCCTGCACCCTTGTGCCTGTATGTCCAAATAATTTTACATCAATTTTTGATTCTAGAATTGCCGTTTATTTAACTACTTGCTCGATCATAAGAAATTATGAGTTATTTATATCAATTTTTAAAGTTTTTTTAATGCAACCATTGGAAATAGCTATTGTGTATTTCATATTCCTTTATCCACCTTTTTACACATTTGACATATTCAGTCCTAAAATAAAGATGGTATGGATGTTTTTAACATATGTTTTGTTCTAAAACAATGTTACAATTACTACAAGAAAAAAAGAACCAATTTCTGTGTGAAAAATTAAAACAGAGCATTGGATTAAAATTTTATGCTTCTATCCCTTAGAAATCTTAGTCCCTTGGTTCAGCTGTTTGTTTGCAGAGTATGGTACCAATAGCTTAGATTTAAATTTTTAGACTCTAGGTAAGTGTTTGTGAATTTCCTCATGAAATGTGTTTCTTAGCACTCTTGGGCCTTTTGCCTTTTATGAGACCCTGGGATCTATAGGAGCTGCTTGAGTGATTGTTGCATTGGATATGGAACATTAAAATTATACCATATGATTAAATTTAATGGCTTAGAAAATCTAGATTTGTAAATTAAGAAACATTTTTATTCACCATAATTTTTTATTGATCCTTCAATTCTTTGTCCTATGACCAGATGTTGATAGCACGCTAATATGGCTTCTCATACTTAAATGATATATTTCAAGTCTGTTGTTACCATTAAAAATGTTCTTGTAGATACATTTCTAGCACTAGTTTAGAAATTTAGATACGTTGAAATTATTAAATACTACCCTTGAAGTGTCCAGCTTACTTCCATTGTACCTAAACAGAATGAAGACCGTATACGCTACAAATGCTAAGAATATGTTACTGCTACTCATTTCTCATTCAAAATGAGCATGTAGTATGTGTCAAACACCTTTCTGTTGCTGGGAATGGAGCCTAATAAGGGGACAAGTGAGAAAATAGACCATAAAAACATGGTGTGACAAATCAGGCCTGTTTATTTTATTTCCCAGATATAGGGGATACTAGGTTTAAACAGAATAGTGTTGTCTTATTTCTTATAAACATATGACCTGTCACCCAGTTACAGTGCAAAAGAAAGTGTCCTAATGAAGATACTCTCACCTTTTTATTCTGATCTTGGTATTGACTGAGGCTTAATTCTGCATCCTCATCATCCCCTACACATGTCCTAGGATGCTTATTTAAGTTGAAACATCTCAGCCACTAGTTGACGCAATGAACTCCTAGGAGTTCCAGGATTCCTGTTCAGCTGCCTCCTAGCCTTCCACTGTCCAGGTCCTATCTGTGCACCTGCAGCCAGACTGGTGTTGCTATTCATGTCCACATCTATTTGCCACTCTCATATACTTATAAAGAGCCTACTCTGAACCTGGCAGGGTGTTGCGACCATGGAGCAAACAAAGATAAATAAAACAGAGTACTTGTTCTCCAAAATTTCAATTTCGAATAAAAGTTCTTTACAAATAAATACTATGTAAGGTAGAATGAAATAAGTGTCATAATAATTAGTATCTTTATTATGCTAGCATTTATTGAGCACTTACTAGGTGTTAAGTACTGTCCTTCTTTGTTCTCCAGGTTATCCTCAACATCTCTCTCTTGAGCAGATCTATACTTTGTGTCCCACAAGTAGCTGCTACCACCACTGCTACTACCAGTTACACCTATCAGATTACATGTGTTGATCACTTACTCTGCCAGGCTTTTTTTTTTTTTTTTTTTTTTTTGGAGAAGGAGTTTTGCTCTTGTCGCCCAGGCTGGAGTGCAATGGCATGATCTTGATTCACTGCAACCTCCACCTCCTGGGTTTCAAGCAATTCTCCTGCCTCAGCCTCCTGAGTAGCTGGGATTATAGGCACCTGCCACCACACCCGGCTAATTTTTGTATTTTTAGTAGAGACGCGGTTTCACCACATTGGGCAGGCTGGGCTCAAACTTCTGACCTCAGGTGATCCACCCGCCTCAGCCTCCCAAAGTGCTGGGATTACAGGTGTGAGCCACCACGCCCGGCCTGCCAGGCTCTTTATAGCATGATCTCATTTAATCCTGTCATCACCCTTGGGGCCTAGTGAGGCTAAATATATTGCCCAAGGTTGTCAGAGAGAGCTTGATGAAAGGCAAGAATATTTCTAGCAGGACACCTGAGCGAGAGTGATAGTTCCTTGTTTAGGATTTTGATCAGTGAGGTGGACAATGGGAGATATGGGATTCCTAGGCAGAAGAGGCAAACATGCAATGATGGGAAGTGAGGGCCATATTTTAGAAACTTTTGCTCATTCAGGTTTAGCTAGGAAGGTGTGGGAGTTGTGATTTCAAAGGTAAAGAGAACTTTAAATGTCCTGCCAAGGAACAGAGACTCTTCCATGGATCACTGAAGACGTTGGAGAGCATTTCCATGGCAGCTGTGTTAAATTACAGTTACTCTGATCACATCCTATTGAATGGTTTACAGAAGGAGGTGGGAAGAGTAGTAAAGTGCCACTGAAATAGTGTGGGCAGGGTGTCGAAAGGGCTTGAAAAGAGATACAAAGTGCTGCTATTTATTTGAATTCCTGAGTGCCTGTGCAATGGATGGAAGTAAAATCAATGCATTATCTCATTTAATCGTCACAACCCTGTGACTTTAGTTAGACTCAGTATCAGAAAGGTGTTCCACATCACACCAGCTGTAAGAGGCAGAAGACCAGGGTCCATCCAATTCCACATCATGTGCTCTTAAGCACTGTGGTAAATAATGGTATTGGAACAGCTGAGATAGATCAGAGACATTCCTGGTGTAGATACAATAAGACTTGCCATCTGATTAGATTGTGAATTGAGGAGGAGAAATGAAAGTTTACTGTGAGGTTAGCAGCCTGGGGACTGGAGGGTCTGAGGTCCAATAGGAGATGTAGGAAGTGAAACAGGAGTGGGTGTTTGGTGGGAGAGGTACAAGGCGGGGCTGAAGAGTTTGCTCTTAGGTGGTTGTTGAAAATGCAGTTCCTGAGACCATCTGCTGCCACCTCCCCTCAACCACTCATCCCAAAGGATTAAGACATCCTTTGTTGTCTTAATCCTTTGTTCCAAAGCCCCTGCAGCAGTTTGAGAGGTGGGCATCCCTTCTGTCTGCCAGAGTTTTCCCCATGTTGATGAGCTCTTTCTATAGCTGTCCACCTCTGATTTCTGTACAATTTTATCTGAAGCAAGAAATTATCTCGATGAAATCTTACATCCCTGTGAAAAGATCAGTTTCTCTTTGTTTCCATGCAGTGACTGGTTCCTGCCTTACATTCTTGATGCAATCTAAAAGTGGTTACAACCATACTGTAGCTGTAGAAAGTAGAGGCAGAATACATAAATGCTTGCTAATTAGCTGACTTTATCTAATTGCTTATCCCTTTGAAAAATCCATGATCATTGATTGATATTTATTGACTGATTTGTATATTCCTTTATTTCAAGAACCTATTCTGAGTCCTTTCTGGTTCAAGAAGCTTTACATTTAGTGGGAGCTGTTATAGAATCATATTCATGTGTTCATTATATTGCTAGAACATTGTTCCAAGTTATAAGGACTCTAGGTTTCTCTAGACCTTTCAGCAATTTATAAAATCAGATTTCTGATCTGTTCTAATTTCCACCACTTATTCCTCTCTCTCCCCATGTTTACTTTCCCTCTCATTTATCCTCTCTCCTTTCTTTCCTTCTCTCTTGTTCTCTGCTCTTCTACATTATAAACAGACTTTGGGAGGCTGTCCTCTGGAATCCATGAACTTGGGATGGGCAGGACAGTCCACTAGTGGGCTTCTGAGTATCAGTGAATACCCTGAAAATGGGTACAATTATGTACACTGTTGTGGTGTGTGTATATATATATATGTGTGTGTGTGTGTGTGTGTGTGTGTGTGAAATTTTATTGAGAAATATCTAACTTTTATCAGACTCTCAAAATAATTTGTGACCCATCTCCCTCCCGCTCCCTAGAAAAATCAAGAACCACTGCTCTGGAACTCTCTTTGGACCAAACTTTGAACCATGAGTCTGGCTTTAATTCTCCCTTAAGAAGTTAGAGAGTAGAGAGATGTGTTGTTTTTTTAGGATTGGCAAGATACAGAGAAAAAAAGCCCTCTGAACATAATGTGATGATTAGATTATTACTCATACTAACACCTGCAGTTTTGTTTTTGTTAATGCATATTACATTGTGATGGCTTTATAATCTGCATTCTGCACACTTGGGGATAATTTGTAGGGTGCATATTAAGTACCTCTTTTTCCCAGGTCACAGAGTTGTCAAGTGAAACTCAAAGAGGTGAGACTATAAAGATGACTATCACCCTGAAGAGGGAGCTGCCATCAAGTTCTCCCGTGTGCATCCAGGTCTTCAATATCATCTTCAGAAAGTAAGGCACTGGAAATGTGAATTTAATTTGGGCTAATGATACCTTTCAGCATAGAGCCTGGGTATTAAAATAATCGACCATTTTGTAGGCAGTGTGCCAGCAGTGATGCCACCGTTAGGGCAATTTCTCAAGCACCTTCTCCTACATGAACAATAATGTGCAATGCAGCCCATTACAGCCACTCAGTGGCACAGACTGTTAATATCCAGTATTGTCCTAAGTTGAGACAAATAATACGGGGATTATTGCTGTCTCACTGGTAGCAGGGAGGGTACCCTTTTCCTTTTCTTCTTTTTCTGTGTCTTTTCCCAGACTTAAAAGTTCATTTAGCAAACTTAGTTAAGTTTGGCTTAATAAACTGAAGAATTTGTTTTTCTCCTAGCCGATTGATTTAGGAAAGAAGATCACTGTCTGCTTTCTGCCCTGGCTCCACCCTCAGCCCATTTCTTTCCCCCACACCTACATGGTTGTAGCTCAGCTCTTCAGTGTTCTGCAGACTGGTCTAAGGATCACATACTCCAGCGTCTTCTTAGGGGTGGAATGGAGCTCCATAAAAGGCATATTCCCTGGACCTTCACTGAATCTAGTTAGTAAACAGAAGTTCACAGATAGGCCTGAAAATTCACATTTTTAGGATACACTGAAGCTTGAGAACCACTGTTTTACATGCTGCTAGTGTGGATCATTAAGATGATCTGTTAGAAACCTTACAGGCAAGTTCTTTGTTCAACAGTGACCTCTGGAAGGCATGAAGATGGGGAAGTTTGGGGATTTCCTGAGTCGTATGAGCACATCAGGAACTTCCCCCACCCAGATGTCCTAATTCCTAATTCCAGTCAGATGTCTTGTCCAGCACCTTTTGGTCATATCTGAGCCTCAGCTTACTGCATATCAGCTCTTCAGAAGCCAGTCTTGCATGCTGACATTTGGAAGATGCTTTCAGTGAGAAAGTTCTTTCACTTGTCTTTTATCTTACTTTACCCTCACTAGAGCAACCCGAGGCAAGTGCTATTAAAATCCTTATTTTTAAGAGAAAGGGGCTTAGGCTCAGTGACATTTGGCAGCCAAAATCACAGTTGAAACGCGTTTCCTGACTTGAAACCCCCATGTAGGTCAAATTCCTAAGGTGACCAGGATTACTTGCTGAAGACACAGTCTTGGTCATTTGGCAGTACCTGGGGAGCCTGAGCAGCCTCATTAGAAATAAGATCCTCGGCTGGGCCGGTGGCTCACACCTGTAATCCCAGCACTTTGGGAGGCAGAGGCGGGCAGATCACCTGAGGTCAGGAGTTCGAGACCAGCCTGACCAACATGGAGAAACCTCGTCTCTACCAAAAATACAAAATTAGCCGGGCGTGGTGGCGCTCTTGCCTGTAATCCCAGCTACTGCGGAGGCTGAGGCAAGAGAATCGCTTAACCCGGGAGGCGGAGGTTGCAGTGAGCTGAGATCACGCCATTGCACTCCAGCCTGGGCAACAAGAGCGAAACTCCATTTCAAAAAAAGAAAAAGAAATAAGGTCTTCATCCCCAAGTAGGGAAGAGGTCAAAAAGGCCTGCAGGCATGGCTTATCTCACCCCATCCAAGCTAACCAGAATGTTACTACCCATAATGGCTAATTGACCACATATTTGTCACTGCAGCTAAACCCAGACAGATAAAAATAATTTCAGTTGTAGTATTCTCAAATATGAAGAAGTGATAGTTCTTTATAGACATTCATATGTATATTTAGTATCTAAACCTTGCAGTCCTGTGAGAATGAGAGGTCTGTATTTCCTATATATTTTTAACATTATGTTCAGTAAGGGTTTGAACTTAGAATTACACTGTTACTGACTGATATTTACCAAAAATTCAAAAAAATATACTTGCAGGATCCTCAAAAAGTTGTCCATGTACCAAATTGGACGGAACTTCTATAATCCTTCAGAGCCAATGGAAATTCCCCAGCACAAGTAGGTTTATTTATATTTTCTGTTACTCCGAAATTATTATAATGTGAGCAACATAATTTATGATGCAATATTATACCATTATGCCTCCTGTGAGAGACTCTGTGATATGAAATGTAATGAATTTTTTATAATTTTCAAGTTTTTTTAATAAAATGGTTCATGTGAACGTGAAGCTAGCAGCTTTGTTTTCTTATATTAGTGTGATAGATAATTATCACAAATCCTAGAAGGAATTCAGAAACTGAATTTTCTGTGTGTAATAAGTAATAATGAAAGCAGGATGAGCTGTATTTTGTTGTTGAAAGGTTGTTAGCACAGCCAGAGTGGTTGACATGAAATTGGCAGGGCAGCGCGGGTCAGAAAGAGAAGCCAACCAAATAACTCTGGTGAAGGATAGAATCCTTATGAACACCTGCAGAATTTCTACCTAAACTGGGAATTCGAGGCTTCAGGGAAAGTGGTCAGCTATGTCTTGAACTGGTTGTTACTTAGCTCTCAAAAATACTGTGGTCAAACTATAGACAGAGAGGCAACTGGTAGCCCAAACGTAGATTCATAAAGGGAGAAGTGCATAAAAGATAGAAAATGGGAGTAGGGTGTTTGGCCTTCTGCTTGGTGGAGGAAAAATGACGGAGTTTCCATATGTTCATTCAGAGTGTCAGCGTGCTCTCTATAAAGCACCCAATTCGTCCTTGTCACTAATCTGTCCACCCGGATTAGAAAATCTCATAGGTGCTGATTGTACTAAACTGCCCTAGGTGCTCAGCACATATGCCTGTCCCGGAGGCTGGCTTAGTATCACAGTGTCTACTTAATAGTCCACAAAATATAAACTGGAATTATTTTTTAAAATAGTAGTCTATTATTTCATGCCATTTCTGTAACTTCTTATTCAAGATTTTTAAGTTTATGTGGGAAGAAACTGTAGGCTGTGTTCCGGTTTCTCTTGTATATCTGTTTGTGGTATCACTTTTGTATTTTTTAATCTCGTCATTAAATCTATCCACTGCCCTCACCTTTGAATTGGGGTGCTTTTCTGAACCTAGATGTTTTCCTGCGGGGACAGATCACTCCATAAATGTATTATTCCTATAGTTACGGTTTTCAGGCAGGGACATTTCCCCCCCCTCTTCAGGGAACATTTTGTATTGTCTGGAGACGTTTCTGGTTGTCACAGCTGGGAGGCTGCTACTGGCGTCTAGTGGGTAGAGGCCAGGGAAATGCTGCTAAACATCCTACAGTACACAGGACGGTCCCTAACAAAGAATTATCCAGTTCAAAATGTCAGTGGTGCCAAAGCTGAGAAACTGCTTTACAGTAAGGTATTTTATCCTAAATGTATGCTTAAAGACACTGCAGCTGAAAAAAAGTTTTCAGTCAACAACTGGAAGAAATCAGACTAAAGAAAAAAATTATCTTGTTAAGATCTCGAGAATTAGAACAGAAAATCACCATTTAAAAATCTTTATTGTGTTTCCGGTATAACATTGACAATATTCCTTTTTTTCTTTTTTGTTTTTAAAGATTATCCCTTTGGCCTGGGTTTGCCATTTCTGTGTCATATTTTGAAAGGAAGCTCCTGTTTAGTGCTGATGTGAGTTACAAAGTCCTCCGGAATGAGACGGTTCTGGAATTCATGACTGCTCTCTGTCAAAGAACTGGCTTGTCCTGTTTCACCCAGACGTGTGAGAAGCAGCTAATAGGGCTCATTGTCCTTACAAGGTACAAGCCTGCGTCTAAATAAACTTTTCTTCAGAAATCAATCATTGATGGTATTTGGGAATAGGAATAGTGTTGGAGTATTGGCCCAATATCACAGATCTAATCCATTTACTCATCTGTTTAGAAGACCTGGTTGTTTTGCTGTCTGGAGTTCACATGTCCTTGTGTGGCATTCTGGACTGTCCACAAGCTCCAAATTCTCGCTTGCGGTACCCTCCTTTCCCCTAATGCCACTCTCTATTCTAACCCCCAGCGGTCTGCACTTTGCATGCTTCAGTTCAGTTCAATTCAGTTCACTTCAGTTGCCTGGATTCCCTTCCCCAAATTCTGCCTTTTAAACTTCAGTTTTCACAAAGCTCAATTCTAATGTCCTGGCTTTTCTGACACCTCCATTTGCCTACTTAGTTGGAATTATTCAGTTTCTTCCCCTGGGCGGCGCCCATAGCACTTTGCTTATGGCTACCTTGTTGTGGCCATCTTATTTCATTTTACAGGACAGAAGGTTAGTTCCATGTCTCACCTTCTTTATTAGATTCAGGAGTCTTTTAAGTTGAGACCACATTTTACTTCTTTGCAACCTCTAGGTTTATGTATATAAAATTTGCCCTCATTGCACATTGAGCTGAGTTAAACACGGAAAATTTAGATGACTTCCTGAGTACTAAAAAGCTCACATATACTGCTGCTAGTCCAAGAACACTTTTTAAAAATTTTTTATTTTAAGTTTTGGGATATATGTGCAGGATGTGCAGGTTTGTTAAGTAGGTAAAAGTGTGCCATGGTGGTTTGCTGCAGCTATCAACCATCACCTAGGTATTAAATCCAGCATGCATTAGCTATTTTTCAGAATGCTCTCCCTCCCCCCGACCCTATCACCTGAGAGGCCCCAGCGTGTGTTTTTCCCCTCCTCGTGTCCATGTGTTCTCATTGTTCAGCTCCCACTTATAAGTGAGAACATGCGGTGTTTGGTTTTCTGTTCCTGCCCTGGTTTGCTGAGGATAATGGCTTCCAGCTCCATCCATGTCCCTGCAAAGGACATGATCCTGTTCCTTTTTATGGCTGCAAAAATACTTCTTTTAGGGGACTTGTTAGCTTTCTATTCTGGCTTAGAATTTCCACTTAAACTTGTTTTTCTGGGATATATAGCAGAGGGGTGGGACTGGCTGGATTCCACACTACTCGGTATGAGAAGGCTACCCTCTTATCCTCCTGTCATGATCTTGATGGATTAGCTTATCACATTTCAAAGTCATCTTGGAAAGAATCAAAAGCTCTAGAGAAACCTGCTGTGGTAGTTTCTGCCCCTAGGCTAGGTCATCCTGAGAGGACAGTCCAGGCTACACAGTGCTGAAGGGGAGAAGGAGCTTAGAGTAATCTTAGCTAACCTGTTTTGTAGTTTTGCCAAGGGCCAGCCCTAGCGGGTAGGTTAAGCAAGATGCCAGCATTGTGGGTTGATTGGCCTTCTTTTGGTGCTTTTTTAAATCAGAAAAACTACCTGGGAGGTCAGAAACTCTTGAGTGACACCAGAAGATAATGGGAAAGTTTTGAGCAATGCTTCAGCCTCTGAACATTTAAGAATGATTTACCTGAAGTTAGAGTATCTATCAGTGAGAAAACTAGACTGTGGTCTAAGGACTTTCCCACAGGTTTTGTTGGAATGTGGACAGAAGTCTTCCTGTATAGGAAATTATTAAGGAATGCCCTTTTCAGATAAGAGCTGAGTATTTTTTAAAAAGTGAATATTCTTGTTTTATTGTTTTCATAATTTCTGACATTCTGGAGTCTATCTTATGTGTTGAATTAAAAGTGTGGTGAAGTAGCTGCTTATGTTAGATGATTAAAAAACAATTTAAAGACTTTTTATATTTGGCAGATACAATAACAGAACCTACTCCATTGATGACATTGACTGGTCAGTGAAGCCCACACACACCTTTCAGAAGCGGGATGGCACCGAGATCACCTATGTGGATTACTACAAGCAGGTAGGACTTTTCTTCATGCATCTCTATCTCCTTTTCTTTTACCTCAGAGAAGTCTCCTTATTCCAAGTCTCAGAGGTCCCCCAGATTGGAGGCTGAGTCTGCCTCCGACCTGATTCTCTGACTTGTCTCTCTCCTTCATCCCCACCCTCCCAGTCTCCTGTTGACCCTCATCCTATCTCCTGTTTCCTTCTTCCTGTAGTCTGAGTAATCTCCCTTTAAAGCATATCTGATCACACTGCTCGCAACGCTAATACATTTCCATGTCTCCTTATTGCCTTAGGACCACCTGTAAGCCCTTTAGCAGAGTTTCCAAATCTCCTTATGATGTGGCCAATTCCTGCCTTTAAAGCCTCATCTCTTCCCATTCCCCTGCTCCCTTCCCTGGCTCTGATGTAATTGCCTCTTGTGATTCCATGACTCAGTTTCTCCCCTGTGCATTTTCACACGTTGCTTCTTTTTCCTGGATACCCCTTCACAGCCAGACGAACACTAGACACCCTTGCATACTCAGCTCAGCCATCAAGTCTCAAGGGAGCCCCAAAGCATTCCTCCCAGAATCCCCTCCCTGTCTCAGGTCATCACAGGCACCACACGAATGGTCTGAGCCCCATCCTAGACATTGAGCTCTGGGGAGGGGGCTCCTTGTTTTTGGATTCCCAGGACTAGCTCAGTGCTTTGCGCATATTAGATACTCAAGAAACTATTGATGGAATCTGTTGCTGCCTCTAGAAGCTCTAGCCGCATTTGCAACAGTTATCCTTACCCCTCATCTTCCATGTTCAATTCTTTTTGAAAGCACCTTCTCTTTAATGTATAGTAATATTCAGGTTAAAACAAACAAACAAAAACAAAAACCCTTTCTTGATCATTGTACACTTTCAGGAAAAGCTCTTTTTCTCCTTAGCTAACTTTAGAAAGTCATTTACACTAGCTCCAAGCACCTTTTCTGTTCTTCCTTCCTGAAACCTCAGCAGTCTGGTATCCAGTTATGCTGCTTTAGAAGTAGTTCTAGAAAGGTCAAGTTCAGTTACTGTTCTTATCCTAAAGGGCTTTCAGTGCATTTGATACCTGTGACCTCTCCCACCGGCTGGAACTGATCTCTTCCTTCCTTGACTCCTGGGACACATCCCTGCGGTTCTCTGCTACTTTCAGGTTGTTCTATCTTAGTCTCCTTTGACGTTTTCCTCCTTCCTTCCTCACAAAGGAACCATTATTCACCATGGTTCCCTCATATAGAACCTTTTCATTGTATTTTGAGATGGCTCAAATATAGTGCTTTTGCCTAGCCCTCATTCCCAAATTACATATTCATCTCCATTTCCAGAACATATTTGCATGAATACCCTGCAGGCATCTCAAACTAATATAATTCAGACTGAATTCATTGTCTTTCCCATTCCTGTTTCTCCTTGGAAATTCTGTAGCTCAGATAGGAATGATTTTGCTTTCTTCCTCTTCTTCACCTTAACCTCCTCATTCACTTGTCACCAAGACGAGTTCTGTATCCTTTATCCGTGAATTTTCTTTTTGCCAGCCCTGTTCCCACTGCATTAATGCAGGCCATCTCGTGGATCCCCTCCCACTACCGTCACTCTTTATGCCCTAGCTCTCTCCTCACTGTGATCCCTCACCCTCACAGCCATCAGAGAGATCTTTCTGAAGTGCTGCCCAGAAATCTGATTACAAGCATAAGCTCTGGAGTAAGATGGTCCTGGCTCCAGCTGTGTAACCCTGGGTAAATCACTAAACCCAGAGTGTCATGTGTAAAGGAAGTTTATCTGTCTACCTTCATGGTGTAGTGTAAGAACCGAGTAAGATAATTATGCACACAGAGCACTGAAGTGTGCCTGCACTTTGTGAGCACTGGGAGAACAGTGGAGACCATGCTCCTCCTTTTCTATCCTCTGCTTCTTCCTCTCTAGCACTGCATAGTTTGGCCCCCTCTTTCTTTCTTATATTTCTCAGCATCCCTCCTATGCACCCCATGCCTTTATCACCCCATCCACTCACTGGCCTACACCTTCCTCAGCCTTTGTGTGTGTTCACTAGGCATCTGCAGAAAGCCACGCTGTACCTTTCTCCTTTACCCCTAGGTCAAATCCTAGCTTCAAGGCCAAGTGTGAAGTCCTCTCTGACTTTGCTTTCTGTCACACACGTAGAAGAGCAAGCTGTTCTCCTTTCTAAGTACCTGTGCATTCATCACATTGTTTCTTGAACACGTATTCCTTGGAGAGCAAGGATGGTGTTTGGCTAATCCTTGATGCATAGTATCTAGCAAAACATCTTGTGCATAAAATGTGTTCTGTGTTTATTAAACCAACAGTTTGTTAAACATTTGGGTTTCTTTCTTGCATGATTAAATTTGTTCATATTTAAACAGAAGTATTTTAGGACCTGTGACATTCTGAAACGGGAATCATGGTAAAAATCCCAGTCACTGTTTTTTTGAAATGAGTTGTGCTTCACTGCATATATATTGTAATTAGGGAGGAAAAGAAAGAAAACTGTGACAGCTTCTAGTATGCCCTCCTCCCTGTCCCAGGAAAGAAAGACTGATTATTATGTAGTCAGTTTTCAAAGTGGAAGACATCCTGATATTGACCTTTATATTTCTCTATTTTATCTTATCATACAAAGTATTTTCAAATGCTAAGAAAATTGGGGCAAGGGAGAGGGTCACATTTACCTTGTGAGAGCAGGTTAGGGGCTAGAGTTCTTGACCATGCTCCAGCTAGAGTCCTTCTTCCTGGAAGATGCCTTTGTTTTGCTGGAGCTGTTACCTGAGACTATCCGTACTCCCATGTTTTCTTCAAGGTCCTCTCTTGGTCTCCACCTGCATGGAGGCTTCCCTGATTTGCCAGCCATAATTGTGTCACTACCACCATCTCCTTTTCCTCCCCACCCCTCCCACTCCAGCCCAGGGATCCAGTACTGAGTGGTATAATAAGCAGAGTCTTAACAGATCAATCCTAGCTGTGCTAATTTCCAGTTATGGAGCCTTGGGAAGATTGCTTAATGTTTCACAGTGTTTTCTCATCTGCAAAGGGGACAATAATAGTATCTCTTTCATCAGTTTGTTGTGCTTTATCGTGCTTTGTTAAGCATTGTTTGTGCTTCTTGTGGACCTCGCTTTGTAGATAATGTATTGATGCAGAAAGGCAGGGACTGTGCCTCTTTTATTTTCTTATCCACTGCCGTTCCTGGAACACAGTAAGCACGCCATGTGTTCTAAATTAATGGAGTCATGCATACAAACTCACTTGATAAAGGCTTCTCCAAACTTTTTAGCCATAGCATCAGTTGCACCTGCTACTTTCAAATGAGATTCTTGACTTGGTTTTTATTTTAATGACAAAGTTTTTCTTGAAATATAGAAATGCTCACATTTGACTTCTTTTATTGTGATTATTGATCTCAGTGTCACAATACCCAGGCATTTTGTAAATTATAATTCCAGTTGTTCTGTCACTAATGTGGATTAAATTATAATGGAAATGAGTGTTCATTGTAACCTTTGTCATTAGAGGGTAAATGAGCTTTTGCCAAGGTGAGACTGCTGAAACTTAAGTTTAGGATGGTAAAGGGAGAGGAATATGAACTAACAGTTGCCGGGGATTCATTATAAACCAGACCCCATGCTAGTGGTTTACACAGGATACCTGTGAGCTACTGTTATCCTTATTTCATAGATGAGGAAAGTTAAGTCACTTCCCCAGTGTCACAGCCCAAGCAAATAGAAGAGCTGGGGATCAGATTCACATTTGTCAGACTTCAGGGCTGCTTCCCCGTAACATCCTACTATCCTAGAAGGTAAGGACAGTCATGCTGTTTTGGGAAATCTGAGATTGTCTCAATATAACTCGCCTCCAGCTTGTGTATAGATATTTTCAAAATGAATATAGATGTTTAGAGCCAGATAGTTAAGCATGGGGCAGTCTACCTCAGTCATCAGTAGTAGAAATGCTGGCTCTGAGTCAGTCCCAGTGATGTCATTGAACTATGTGTAGAACCAGCTGGAGTCTATTCTGAATCTGGCTGAAACCAAGAGACAGCAGGGAAACGATATTTTTAATGGTGTTGCATTAGAAAAGATAATTAAAATAATAAAACTGGCCCTCAGATATAAAAGATAGGTCCTGGGAAGAAAGTAGCAATAAGTAGGTAACTATGGGATTGGTTAGATTTATTTATATATTAATGTTAGGATCACCTTGTTGAATGTAAGGATGCTCACCTGGCGGTGCTTCCATGTTAACTTTTTACTTATTAATCTTGCATTTTATAGCAGTATGATATTACTGTATCGGACCTGAATCAGCCCATGCTTGTTAGTCTGTTAAAGAAGAAGAGAAATGACAACAGTGAGGCTCAGCTCGCCCACCTGATACCTGAGCTCTGCTTTCTAACAGGTAATGTTTGTGTTTTATACCTCTGTCAGGCTCCTGGATACAGGCCCCTGATGCTTGGCAGTGGGCAGACCCTCTTTAAGTTACATGAATGCCAGGACATCGATTTAACCCATGGAGGATGGTCCTTTTAAGTAATTTATTCAATAATAGAGACATGTTGGGGGAATCGATTCCCTTTATCTCATATATTCCATGTATTACTTTGATGTAAAATAGACCCCCTGATATCATCCTAAAACCAAGTTTCTCTTTGCCATTATTTGAATTTACTAGTATAGGAAGGAATGTGACTCAGATTTTCTTCAGGTGTATCAGTAGAGTGGTGCCAGAATGATCCATACTTTCTTTTTGCGTGAATTTTCAGAATATAATCCTCATTATACAGTAAAATCTGAATAACTGCCTCGAGTACTTTTAACAATGTTCTTTTGACTAACAGGTAGGCCTAGGAAGTGAAGACTTTCTACGTTTTGCATTTGTGTGTTCCTTGAGTCAGTTATGATGTGTATATATCTATTTTGCCATTAGAAAAATTAATAAGAAGGGCCGGCGTGGTGGCTCACACCTGTCATCCTAGCATTTTGGGAGGCCAAGGCGGGCGGATCACCTGAAGTCAGGAGTTCGAGACCAGCCTGGCCAACATGGTGAAACCCCATCTCTATTAAAAATAAAAAACTAGCTGGGCCCGGTGGCACGCGTCTGTAACCCCAGCTACTCAGGAGGCTGAGGCAGAAGAATCACTTGAACCCAAGAGGCGGAGGTTGCAGTGAGCCGCGATCACGCCAGTGCACTCCAGCCTGAGTGACAGAGCAAGACTCTGTCTCCAAAAAAAAAGGAAAAGAAAGAAAGAAAAATTAATGAGGATATAATCCTTGAAGGGAAGGGTGTTCATTCTTTTTATTTTTTTTGAGATGGAGTTTCACTCTTGTTGCCCAGGCTGGAGTGCAATGGTGCGATCTTGGCTCACTGCAACCTCTGCCTCCCGGGTTCAAGCGATTTTCCTGCCTCTGCCTCCCGAGTAGCTGGGATTACAAGCAAGCACTGCCACGCCTGGCTAGTTTTGTATTTTTAGTAGAGACGGGGTTTCTCCATGTTGGTCAGGCTGGTCTCAAACTCCCAACCTCAGGTGATCCACCCGCCTCGGCCTCCCAAAGCGCTGGGATTACAGGCATGAGCCACAGCGCCCGGCCTAAGGGGTGCTCATTCTTAATGGTGTTCTGATATTGTAGGTCTGCAGGACCCAATACAGTAGCCAGTAGCACATGAGTTTTTGAACACTTGAATTGGGACTAGCTCTACTAAAAGACTGAGAGGAGGTGTGCTTTAGGTGTAAAACACAGCCCAGATTTGAAAGGCTTAGTATGAAAAAAAAGAAGGAAACTACCTCAACAATAAATGTTTTATGTTGATTGCATGTTGGAATGATAATATGTTGGATATACTGGGCTAAATAATATACACTATTCAAAGTAATTTCGTCTGTTTCTTTTTTGCCTTTTCTTAATGTGGCTACCAGAAAACTTAAAATGACATACGTGGTTTTCATTTCTATTGGATGTGCTATACAGATGGTGAATGCATTCAAGTGGAAAGGTTTAAACTGGGCCTTTGATGGGCTGAGTTGCTTATGTTCATTTTCTCACTTTGTCTTCATTTGCATTTAATAGGGCTGACTGACCAGGCAACATCTGATTTCCAGCTGATGAAGGCTGTGGCTGAAAAGACACGTCTCAGTCCTTCAGGCCGGCAGCAGCGCCTGGCCAGGCTTGTGGACAACATCCAGAGGTACTGGATCACCGCATGCATCCTTCCTGGGGCTGAGTTTTTAGTATTAGATGGCCTATGTAACACTGATATATTCCTTGAAGGAAATGTGTCATTCATATTGATTCAGAGCAAGGAGCTTTTGAATTGTGCTGTCCACAGCCCTTCATCTGAGATGTCTCAGGACTAAGGGGTTGAAGGGAGTTGGAGGCCATGCTGATAGGAATAACACTTGCTTTACCTCCATGCCCTGCTTTCATCTATTTCATACATTGAAGTCTGGATAAAATGTTGAATAAAGAAAAAGGTTATAATCTAAACAATAACAACAACCTTCAAGCAAACAAAGCAACCAGAAAAACACCAGGCCCCCAGTATTAAGGGTCAGGAATGCTCAGCTCTTACTACAATGGCCTCAGCAGACTGAACTTTAGGAAAACCCCACTATGTGCCTTTTAAATTTGAGATATACCTTTGTGCCATCTGGTTCTGCCCATCTGATTATCAGACTATGTTTCCGTTCTTATTTATGACAGTTTGCTATAACATGTGATTGGAAAATTGAGCTTCTCCTTGGTTTTCCTTTCTGACCCTCTAAAACTGGACTATCTAGGGTGGCTGCTGCGCACTTGAAATGTGGCTAGTGACACATCTAGAAATGACAGTTTTTTAATCTATTGGGTTAAATAGGTTAAATAACATATATTTAAAACGTAATTTCACACTTGTCATTTTTTTACTTTCTTAAGGTGGAAGTAAAAATTTTCCATTTTTACTGGAAAATTTATAATTATGTATGTAGCTTGCTTTATATTCCTATTGGGCTATATTGTTGATCAACAGTCTTTTTTTTTTTTTCTTAAATCTTTTTTAAAGTAGTACTAGCTCATGGAGGATTTGGAAACTTACGTAGCACAAAGAAAGGAGAGAGAAAAGAGTGTGTATGTGTGTTTACTCAGTAAATATTTAACAAATGAGTGAATCACAATTGAATTAATAATTAATTCAATTAATATTAGTAATATTCTTTCAGACTCTGCAAACGCATATAATCCTATTTTTTAAAAGAGAAATGGTATAATACTGTACGTCATGTTTTGTAGCTTGCTCTTTTCACTTCAGGGTTTTTCTCAAACATTTCCATATGATAAACATGATCTCTATTATCATGCTAGTGTTTTCATAGTTTTTTAATTTCATGGATATACTTTACGTCATTTACCCTGGACGTCCCTCAGACTTATGCCGAATTGAGAAGGAATTCCTGGTTCGTTTCCCTTATAGTGACTGTGGATTAATCTTCCTGATGCATCTATCTGCCACCTTTCAGTAGTACCACACACCTCACCCCATTTCCTGACCAATGATGGCCTCACTCATCTCATCTTGGGCAGTTGGTATCTGAAGCAAAATAATTAACTCAAAGGAATTAGTGTGACCAGAGAAGACATAATCCGAATAGGTGGAAATAGTGAGCTATTGCAGAGAGACAGTGGTGAAGAGGTTTGAGCTTCCCTAAAAAAATTGGTAGAGCTTTAATAGGGAAACAAAAGCGTGGGGATCTCCTCCATGTCCCGCAAATGCCTGGCTTACTGTGTGCTGAGTCCTATATATGGTTGTCACTCTCAAGGAGCTTATGGCTCAGTGGAAGTTATCATATACTCCCATGAGCTAAAACATCAACTATGATTAAAGCTTATTAAGTTATAAATGGAAAGTACTACACAATAGAAAGCAGTGTTATTATTGCTGATATTAATATTCTCCTCATAGGATAGAGAGGGTAATAGGAAGATCCTGAATCTTCTGAAGCTTACATTCTTATGTTCCCTTCTTTTATCATCCTTCTTCGACTCTCAACCCAAGAAATTCACATATTCACAAAAGACATCTCCACATCCACTGGCTCCAAAATATCTCCTTATTAACGAGTGTGTTATCAGGAATGATAATATCTCATAGGTTTTGAGCACATGCCATGTGCCAGGGACTGTGGTGAGCACTTTCTGTGCATTATCATATTTCATCTTTATATCAATCCTACGAAGTAGGTGCTTTTATTATCCTTACATTTTGCCAGTAAGGAAACCAAGGCCTTAAAGATGAATAGTTTGCTCAAGGTCATATATTATTAAATGTTAGAGCTAGGAGTTAAACCCAGGTCTGTCTGGCTCGAAAGCTTATTTTTCTAACCACTGTACTCCCACTGGAATCCTTTTCCCATTCCTGAACATCCCAAATGAGCACAGTTGTCCCGTAATTCTTTTAAGCAGGGAAAAAATATGCTGAGTAGAATTAGAAGCCAGGAATCCTGAAGACACAGAAAATCAGCCCCTGACGAATTCAGTAAGTTATAATTATATCTCTCTTTAATGATTTAAAACAACTTTATCAACAGGAATACCAATGCTCGCTTTGAACTAGAGACCTGGGGACTGCATTTTGGAAGCCAGATATCTCTGACTGGCCGGATTGTGCCTTCAGAAAAAATATTAATGCAAGACCACATAGTAAGTGCTGTGATTTTATTTTCATTTAAAAGTATTTACTTGAATATGTGTAAGTTTTGTGCATTGGCCAGAGTGGCTTGTGTGCTTATAATATTTGGTTTGGCCATGTACTTCCATCTCTTTATCCTAAGACTTCAGATCCCCTGTGGTTTCCTTTTCAATCTGAATTTACTTGCACGGACTTAGCGGCACCCAGTGGACATGATTTAGGTTAGTCAGAAGACAGTATTTCAAATCATTGCAATTAAAACATACCTATCTTCTGTTGGGTGGTGCATTGCTCTTAAAAAAGAAAGCCATAGTCATCTGAGGAAATTCTATTAGCTGGTGGACATTAGTTCTAATAGATTGTTTTCTGATACCAAAACTGAGCCCAGGAGGTTAAGGCTGCAATGAGCTTTTGCAATGACTTTTAGTTGCCATGTCAGTTATGTATGTTAATCTTTCGAAATAAAACACTGCTCAATGGACATTAAAATCAAGAAGTATGCACAGAACCCAGCCCCAGACATAGTACTTGGGGAGAGAGGCATTCTGAAACCTGAAGAGACAAATCATCGCCACTTCCAGACTTCGGCTGAAGAAATGAACCTATTAATATTTTACGCAAAAATTATACATTATCTTTCTCCCCTCCCCCTCCGTTTTGCCCACTTTAAAACACCAGTCACATGTCATGTTTAAAGGCTCTCTTCTTGCCTTTATTGGGTGTAATAAACCAGTATGTCTAACTGATATAATTGAACAATGAATGTATCATGTTGGTAGAATGGGGGGAATTTTTTCCATCTTTTTTTTTTTTTTTTTTTTTGAGACAGGTCTCATTCTGTTGCCCAGGCTGGAACACAGTGGCATGATCACAGCTCATTGCAGCCTTAACCTCCTGGGCTCAAGCGATCCTGCCATTTCAGCCTCCCAAGAAGCTGGGACTATAGGCGTGCGCCACCATGCTCAGCTAATTTTTGTATTTTTTGTAGAAACCAGGTCTCCCTGTGTTGCCCAGGCTGGCCTTGAACTCCTGGGCTCAAGCCATCCTCCCACCTCAGCCTCTCAAAGTGCTGAGATTACAGACATGAGCCACCATGCCTGGCCTTGTCATATCTTTACAATAATCTATCCAAGTTACAAAAACTCTCATTGGAGAAGATAAGGAAGTACTATTTTTCAACACAAAACAAAACAAAACTTTATGGTAAAGTACTAAAATGTAGACTCCCATTAGGATCTTGGCGAGAGTTCAGTAAAGAGAAGCTCAGTTTCAGATCCACATGTGAAGAAGGACTTATGTACTTAAAATGATCCATCTCATAATTTCTATAAGTAAAGTCGTATTTCCCAGAGCCTTTCATTTTTATGTATTTGTTTGCATTTTTTTGGTGTAGAAACTGGTGTCCATAGGAGAAAGGGCATTAAAACAGGAGAACTCATGCACTGGAGGTAGCAGGTGTCTAAGATGACAATATCATCAACTTCTTGGCCCATTCTGCTTTTCTGAAATTAGGTCCTAGGAACTGAATGAACTAAAAGTTCATAGGACTCAGGGTACATTGTCCTGGGTCTCCTCCCAGCCCCATAAGACAACAGCAGGAAGAAATGTTGTGGGCAGAAGGAGTACAGCTCTCCTCATGCCCTAATGGACAGGAATGAACGTTGACTCCAGAGGGAGCCATTGATGGAAAGCTAGCCCTTCTCCTTTGCTCTCAGGCCGAGGTAGGTGGACTCCTGGGGCTGAATCCAGCCCAGCCAGTGGAAGGCATCATGAGGATGGCTGATGGTTGGAAGTCAGATAAGTCAGAGTGCTTGGTCACAAGTGCCCTGGCTGCCATGTCAGGAGACCAGCATTCTAAACCTGTCGCTGCTGCCAAGTGGTTTCATAACCTCTCAGTCACAGCTTTCTAGTTTGTAAAACAAGAGGATTGGGATGTTTCTTAAATATTAATGTACATGTGAATTACTTGGGGGACATGTTAACATGCAGATTCTGATTCAGTGGGTCTCGGGTGGTGCACAGGAGTCTGCATTTCTAACTGGCTTCTAGGCAGTGCTCAAGCTGCTGGTCAAGTAACACTTGACAGCACTTCAAGTAGCAGGAGATTAGCATACAATGTGGTCCCTTTTAGTTCTAACAGTGGATCTTCCCCACTTGCTGTGCCAAAGGCATCATTCAATTATAGTCTGAGGATATAAGCAGAGGTCTGGGAAGCAGGCTAACATTCCCCCTCTTCAGCGCAGGAAACCTGTTTTTCCTGGTCACATGAGAGACCTTTTGAGAGTGAGAAAGGAGTCTCCATCCTGGCTTCATCTTTGCTTCTAAGCATACCTACTCCTAGCTTAATATATAATCTTAACTATCAGGGAACCTGCCCCGATAGTCACATAGGTTATTTTCTATTTTCCTTAAGCATCGGCTGGTTTGAGAAATAAAGGGACAGAGTACAAAATAGAGAAATTTTAAAGCTGGGCGTCCAGGGGAGACATCACATGTCGGTAGGTTCCATGATGCCCCACAAGCCGTAAAACCAGCAAGTTTTTATTAGGGATTTTCAAAAGGGGAGGGAGTGTACGAATAGGGTGTCGGTCACAAAGATCACGTACTTTACAAGGTAATAGAATATCACAAGGCAAATGGAGGCAGGGCGGGATCACAGGACCGGGCGAAATTAAAATTGCTAATAAAGTTTCGGGCACCGTTGTCACTGATAACATCTTATCAGGAGACAAGGTTTTGAGAGCAACCGGTCTGACCAAAATTTATTAGGCAGGAATTTCCTCTTCCTAATAAGCCTAGGAGCGCTATAGGAGACTGGGTCTATTTCACCTCTATAGTCTACAGACCATAAAAGACAGCCACGCCCAGGGGGGCCAGTTCAGAGACCTACTCCCAGGCGTGCATTCTCTTTCTCAGGGATGTTCCTTGCTGAGAAAAAGAATTCAGCAATATTTCTCCTATTTGCTTTTGAAAGAAGAGAAATATGGCTCTGTTCCGCCCGGCTCACCGGTGGTCAGAGTTTAAGATTATCTCTCTTTTTCCTTAAACATTGCTGTTATCCTGTTCTTTTTTCAAGGTGCCCAGATTTCATATTGTTCAAACACACATCCTCTACAATTTGTGCAGTTAATGCAATTATCACAAGGTCCTGAGGCGACATGCATCCTCCTCGGCTTACGAGATGAAAGGATTAAGAGATTAAAGTAAAGACAGGCATAAGAAATCACAAAGGTATTGATTGAGGAAGTGATAAGTGTCCATGAAATCTTCACAATTTATGTTTAAACACTGCAGTAAAGACAGGCATAAGAAATTATAAAAGTATTAATTTGAGGAACTAATAAATGTCCATGAAATCTTCACAATCCATGTTCTTCTGCCATGGCTTCAGCCAGTCCCTCCGTTTGGGGTCCCTGACTTCTTGCAACACTTAACTGTTCTGTAGGGTGTGTTAGTTTTATTATGATGACCTAGAGTATTGATAATCAGCATTCTCTGAGATATTTAGATGCTTAAAGTAAAAGATAAAATGATACAGGCTGTTTGCCTGAGTCATTCATAATAAAGGCATAGATACTCAGAGCTGGAAGGGAACCTCAGAGATCTTTGAATCAGACACCATTCTCTGTGCACCGCAGAGAATCATGAGGTTAAAGGGACCTCCAAGGGCCACCAGTGCCTGGAAGACCTGGGATGACGCCCAGATGCTTCCACTCCCAGAAAGCACATGTATTCTGTTCGGATGTGCAGTGCCTGCATCTGTGTTTTAAGACTGAATAGCAAACTGTGTTAAACAGTTATAACAAAAGTTGGCCATCTTCACACTGTCTTTATTTAGCTGCTCTCTGAATAAATTTGTTCAATCCTTTCATGATCATTATTTTTCTCAGTGTCAACCTGTGTCTGCTGCTGACTGGTCCAAGGATATTCGAACTTGCAAGATTTTAAATGCACAGTCTTTGAATACCTGGTTGATTTTATGTAGCGACAGAACTGAATATGTTGCCGAGAGCTTTCTGAACTGCTTGAGAAGAGTTGCAGGTTCCATGGGATTTAATGTGGACTACCCCAAAATGTGAGAATACATTGAATTTTGTTCATATATTAATTTGGTTTGGTTAGAAGGTAGGGAATAATGGCAGATGTATCAACAAAAGCTTCTTTATCCCAGTAGTTTCCTAATGTAAAGTGCCAAGAAAGTAGTCATAAGTAGATAGATTTTGTAATGACTAAACTTTTATAAAGTTAGAATATATTTTATGTTGGCCTTTGTAAAACTTGTACCCAGTTCTTAAGCAGTAGTGTCATTACCTGAAAATCTTTCCAGTACCAGTTGGGATATAAATCTTTAATAAGTCCATATATTGTCTTCTCAACTGTTTTTCCTTCTTTCAGATCAGTTTTTCATATCAGTTATTTACTTAATAGGAAATGGATATTAAAAAACAGAAGTTGCATGTCCTGACTTTTACTTGATTTTATGCTTTAAAATTTAATATGAAAATAGATCTCAAATAAGCTTTTCTGATTCTGTTACTGTAGCATACTATTAGTCATTCAGAGAGTTTTCTGATAAGACTAAGGTCAACCATTTATTCTTAGAATGTTTATTGAGTACTAATATGTGTAGATACTATGCCAGTTGCTGGGAATGAGAAAGATAAATAAATAGTTTTTCATTGAGTAAGAGATACATATACAATCACACTGAAAATAAATACTGTTTTGCTTTAGAAAAGCCATAAAGTTGGTCATGCCTCATTTTACTGAAACTGATATGCTTAGAAAAGAGGAACAGATACTTTTCTTTGTTATAATGGAGTTATTCTTTAAACACATAGTTACTAATTAATTGCATCAGCAGCACAAGTATTAATCCCAAAGTCTCATTTAACACCATTGTTTAGAACTCTCCTCTTATCAAATCTGTTAATAAATAGCCTGGATTGAGTTTCACCCGCTCTACTTTCTCTAAACCCATGAGCTAATAAAGCAGGAAATGATTATGAAAGAAGCCACAGTCCGCAGATCCTGGGCTGACATCACAGGCTCTTTCTCATGTGAATTCTGGAACAAGCCCATTGCTATGTTCTGTCCTTGGCCTGTTTTATTTGAAAGCTCGTATTTTATTTCAACCTTCTTTTTTCCATGAAGTATCCATTTACCTGTTAGATTTATATGCATAGCTTCTGTCTTCTAAAACATTCACCTGATGATTTTAGGAGTGGACTGTAAGTGCAGCAGAGTCAGAGTGCGAGAGTTTGAATTGGATGAGTCAGGACCATCTAGTTGCTGAGACGGTTCGGCCAGCCAGTCACATAGGTCTGTTAGTATCTGCAGTCATGGGGTTGATGGTCCTGTCACCTGCTGGGCGAGTTTTAAAAAGCCGCTGGGCATTGGGACAGTTCACTTATATACACATAAAAGAGGCTGATTCTACATAAAGAAACTAGTTTTACAAATTCCTATGTGTGTGAGAATTACTTTTGGAGCTGCTGGCCCCTAACATAATGTAAGCACAGAACAGATAATTGTTAAGTACTTGTGCGCTGATTAAGGCTAGACATTCCAGGCTCCAGACAAGCAACCACTAAGGAAAATAAAGATATTTTTGTCTAAATCATGCAAATTAGCTGAATATCTTGGTCTCATTAACCTGATGTTTTCTGAAACATTCATTTTTAGATTCCTATAGCAATTCACTCTTACAGAAATCTTAATCCTGGTTGAGCTTGAACACTCTTTCAGACATTTGATACTGTGAGACTTGGGATTTCAAAAGTTCACTTTCAACCCCATTTTGAACAACAGAATTATTGATTATAGGGATTCTGGACAATTGAGAAGATCTGATTTTCTACCAAACCATTTTTTACACTGTAAAAATTATTGCGAAATGTTTTTGTCATATTTTGTAGTTTAAGAAACAATTTTAGACTCAAAAGGTTATTTTCTCTAATAATTTTTCCTAAAACTACTAGTTTGTTATGAAAATTTATTTGTATTATTTCTAATGCCATATAAGTATGTGCTACTAAGAAGGAAGTTACATAGCTTCAAAATTAATCTTTTTATGTAGCATAAAAGTACAAGAAAATCCAGCTGCATTTGTTAGAGCTATACAGCAATATGTTGATCCTGATGTTCAGCTGGTAAGTACAGGATACTTTTTGAACTCCTTTAATCTATAATTTTAGTTCTGCTTTATATCTACAGTCTGAACATACCCTCCCATGATATATTTGCAAATTGCCATGCATTTCTCCAAAGCACCGAAGAAAATATTAATCTTAGTATTTTAATCAATATTTTATTTCCTTTCCACATTTCTAATATTAATTTTAAAATACAGTACTTCTTGTTACCCCTATAACAGCCATTGGTGTCTGCATATTTTGCAACTCATTGGGGTCATCTTTTCCTTAAGATTTAAGATAAACTGACTCCCACCTCATCACATAAATGTTGGTATCCAGTGTTCCCTATATTTCAGGGGATTCTTGGAGGGTTAGGTTTTTCCAAGTGACCTATGGCCCCAAATTCCTGCTTCCTGTGAATTCTTGCCACCTTCTGTGCATTTCAGAGAGGACCACTTCCTCCGGTGCTGCATCACCTGGTGGGACATCCACAGTTGCCTCATTTCCCAAAGGGCATGTGTGTGTAGCTGACTTTGCAGACTGTTTGGGGCCAAGGCATGATTACATCACATCCCAACATTCCAGAAAAATTAGAATTGACATCCCTGTTCTTAAAAATCTTTCAACGATTCCTATTTCCCAGGAATGTTTACTCTTCTACCAGACCTCAGCACCCCCAGGCTATTGTAGGGCTTTTCCTGTCCATTCCATCTACCCTTCTTACCTCCCTCGCTCACTCAGTTCAACATCCAACATTCTTGTTGTTATGTCATGCAAACTAACTGAACTAGCTAAGTGCTATCTCTTTGCTTTTCTTTTAGTGAGTTTCTCTTTTACTCTAAAGGATCTTATATGAAACAGAGAATTCTCACCCTAAGAGCATTTATTTTTTACTTAAATCAAACTTATAGAAAAGTGACAAGAACAGTACAAACAACTCTCTCATATACCCTTCACCCAGAATCCCAAATTATTGACCTTTTACCATATTTGCTTTATTATTTTCTATCTTTTTTGCTGAACTATTTGAGCATAAGTTACAGGCATGATGCCCCAGTGCCCTTGACTATTTCAGTGCATATTTTCTATAAACAAGGTCTCTATCTTACAGAAGCATATGACAATCATCAAAATTAAGAAACAGTTTTCTTCATTTGTCTCAATTGTCACCTCTGTAGGAAAAGGCTCTACTGTCCTGCACTTAGTTGTCCAGTCTCTATAGTCTCTCCTTCAATCTGGAACAGCTCTTTAATTTTCCTTGACTCTGATGACCTTCCAATTTTGAAGAGTACAGACTAGTTATTTTGTATAACGTCCCTCGATTTGGGTTTGTCTGATGTCTCCTCATGATTAAATTCATGTTATGCACTTTTGGCAAGAGTAGCACAGCAATGATCCTATATTCTAAGTGCATCCTACCAGGTGTCACTCCACTGTATGGTGGATTATGGTGACATCTGCCCGATTTCTCCACTGTAAAGTTAAGCTTTATCAGTTGCATGTGTACATATGTAGATATTTTGAGACTATATAAATAATCCTGTTCCTCATCAAACTTTTACCCATTTGTCTTAGCATCTATTATAATTCTTGCCTGAATCCATCATTATTATGATGGTTAACAAATGATAGTATTCCATTCCATCAGTCCTTCTACAGTTATTAGGTGGCATAGGAAGAACTTTCTCTTCTCCCCATTTATTCGTTTGTTTCTTTATATCTGCATAGACTCATAGATTCCTATTTTGTTATAGTCCATTACTCTTATTATTTATTTTGTTGCTCTTAATATTGTACCTGATTTTGCCAGTGGGATTCCCCTTCAAGCTGGCTTCTGTGTCTTTTTCATGTGTCTCCATCTTTCTTGGAACACTTTCTTACTTTCTGGCAAAATAAGATATTCCAGGCTCATCTTACAGTGTTGCTTCCCCGCCCTGGAATCAGATATCTTTCCCAGGAGTCCTGATTCCTTTTAGCAGAGAATAGTATTTAGATACAAAGATTTGGGGCACTTGGTGTGCTTCATTGCTACTGGGTTGTTGCTATCCCCAGGCTTTCTCAATGGACATAGCTAGGAAATGTATGTTGCATGGCTCCTGTTATTCCCCGCATACCTGCTTACTTGTCCAGCCCCTGGTGTGGAACCAGTCTCACTCGGCTCCCATCTTCTCTCAGCCCATTGGGCCACTGCCTTGTTCTACCACTTTTCTTGCTTGGAGCCAAACTCATGAATTGGAAGGAAGGAAGGCCTCTAAGAGCCTTTTGCTGATAATTTAAAAATATTTTTCTTCACTTTATATAATTAAATGTAAATAATTTTAGCTTTTGACATTGTGACTTTAAATAATTCTATAGGTGGAAAAATTACTTTGTTTTCTTCTGCTAATCATTGACAGTGCATGTCTTTTCTACAATTTGGGGGCTTTTGAAAGTGGAGAATAAAAGATGAGAAGGAGGCGGAGGTAGGCCCTTCAGTGCGGAAAGCATCTGATAAGAAGTAGGAGTAGGCCAGGGGCGGTGGCTCACGCCTGTAATCCCAGCACTTTGGGAGGCCAGGCCGGGGTGAGTGGATCACAAGGTCAGGCATTTGAGTCCAGCCTGGCCAACATAGTGAAACCCCGTCTCTACTAAAATTAGAAAAAATTAGCCGGGCGTGGTGGCAGGCGCCTGTAATCCCAGCTACTCGGGAGGCTGAGGCACAAGAATCGCTTGACCCCAGGAAGTGGAGGTTGCAGTGAGCCAAGATCGTGCCACTGCACTCCAGCCTGGGTGACAGTGTGAGACTCTGTCTCAAAAAAAAAAAAAAAGCCAGGGGACTTGAAACTTCTCTATCCACCCCCCACTCATATCCATACTCTCAACTTCAGCTTTTTTTTAAAAAAGTGTATTTTTGTGTCCTTTATTTTGGTTATCTTGTACCTAATGGGAAAAGCACCATAGTTTAAGCTAATTCTCAACTTTGGCTTATCTTTGGGTGGGGTCAGGGAGGGACCAATGGGAATGATAACTCGAAAACCATAGGAAAGGATCACTGCAAAGTTGGGGGTGAGGGAGTGGAGATAGCTGGAGAAGCAGCTCTGTGAGAAGGGAATTTGAGGGAATTGACAGAATCAAATCAGGAGAGAAATGAGGAGAAAGGAAAAGCCAAGGGAAATGGGTAGGAGTGGGTGGGGCTTTGCAGAGTGAATGGCTAATGAGAAGGCATTTCAAATGGATTGATTAATTCACCAGTGTTTTAATGGCCATTTAAGAGAACTGTAGGCATGTTAGTGTTGCTTCTTGGGAACTTAAGGGTAAAAGATGTTTGGAGAATAATTCATGAATTCATTTCTTTAAAAAGCAACTTCTTAGCAGAAGTAAATTAACTTCCAAAATCTTTTGCTGTTTTTGCTTTTAGGTAATGTGCATTCTGCCTTCTAATCAGAAGACCTATTATGATTCCATTAAAAAATATTTGAGCTCAGACTGCCCAGTCCCAAGCCAATGTGTGCTTGCTCGGACCTTGAATAAACAGGGCATGATGATGAGTATCGCCACCAAGATCGCTATGCAGATGACTTGCAAGCTCGGAGGCGAGCTGTGGGCTGTGGAAATACCTGTAAGGACCCTGTCACATTTTTTCTATTAGTAATTAATAAATTTATTTTAAAGATTAAAGTAGGAGATGTTATCACATGATCCCAGAATTATTTGGTTTGCTTGTTTCTTGAGCCTTTGCCCTGGGTTCTGGCATTCCATAAGCCATTGTGAATCTCCAAAAGAGGCTCCATACTTCTCAGGGAGCTTCAGTTAAGCTGCTAACTCAGCATAGGGACCTGATTTGAATCCTCTTGGCTGCTATTTTAAAATCTGTGTTCCATTGCCTCCACATTTACTTGCTTTCATCAGGGTGCTAACTCTGAGAATAGCCTTGCACCCTGGATGGGGCCTCCCCAGAGCCTGGGGAGCTGGCATAGCCTATGACCTGAACCTCCAAACTGTGGTAGGTACTGAGAAAATCCTCTTCTCTTCCCTGAACTGTAGCCACCATGGGAGTAAGTGAGGAGAATGAGAAGTGAGGGAGTGTTGCCCATTTCCTTACATGTCCATAACCAGAATGAACATGGTTACCCTCAGCCTCCCTCTCTCCCACTCCCCACAAAGGTGCATAGCCAAGTGAGGATTCCTTAGAGATCTGAAGAATGAAGAATGGAATTCCTCTTCAGATTGCTCCAGACCAGAGGCAAGCGATAGATACACTGACCACACTCCCAGAATCTCTTTAGCCACTGGTGCCCCTTCCCCACCCCACAAAGGATGATGGTTATCTTGGACGGTAGTGTTTCTCTTAAGATAAGTGTGTACCATATTCTTCCTGCCTTCTTTAAGTCTCTCTCATTTCTGGTTTAATAATCTGGCTCACGGATCTCAATCTCCCTTACACATAGCTTAACTTTAAGAATTCAGTAACTGGAGTCTGTTTTTAAAAACTTTCCTATTAAACCATTGGTAGGGGAAATGATACCTCATCCCATTAAATCATGACAAATTTAATTTTATAGTTAAAGTCCCTGATGGTGGTCGGTATTGATGTCTGTAAAGATGCACTCAGCAAGGACGTGATGGTTGTTGGATGCGTGGCCAGTGTTAACCCCAGAATCACCAGGTACTGCTAAAACTACCTGAACACATGCTTCATTTAGTTAGACTATTAATTGTGGTTTCACTAAAGAATGTAACAGCAAGGAATATTTTGTATTATTCACTCATTTTAAACACCAACATTTAGGTTCATAAATTACACTTACATATAAAAATGTGATTGATAATATTGGGGTACTATGTAGCCTCATTAAAAAATCTTTTATATATTCATTAGGGTGAGCTATTGCTCATCTTCCCCAAATGATAGATGTGTACAAATTCTTGTGCATTTATTTATTTTCTGAGTGTCTGCACCATATTGGGAACTGAACTAGGTACTTTACATATATCATGTCGAGCAGTTGATCTTTGAAATCAGATTGCCTGGATTTATACCCTGGTCTGCCACTTACTTACTCTGTGACTGAGGTCTAGTTATTTAACTTTGCTGTGCCTCACTATGGTAATCTGTAAAATAGAAATAATAATGATGACTATTTCATAAGGCATTTATGGGAATTATCTAAAATAAGGTGCATTGAACATCTCCACCCATAGTAAATACTCAATACATACTTCTTGTTATGATTATTAATATTTGCAGACATTTGACGTGGCTGTTGTTCAGACAGCTATTAAAAACAGGCAAAATCAGGGATAATGCCTTAAACATTGGCTAATAGTACTCATTAAACTATGGGTCTTAGAATTGTTTCCACCTTTGTAATTGAACAATATGTTTTGAGCCTATAGCAGCCCTTTGCAAAATGTTTTCTTCCTGGCTTAAGCTATTTTATTTACTCCATTAAATTCATGATCAGGTATGTATTTTGGATTGTGGGAAACAGAAAAAGGAACACCATAATAACACCATACTTGCATGCCTACAACTTCATTCCAGGTTGTATGAGATGCTTCTTATATATGCCACATCATTAATCAAGTTGATAAAGGACTTTCATTTTTTTCTTTGTATATCTAAAATTTATTTTGATATAGGGAGTGAGGTAGGGATCCACTTTAGTTTTTTTCTGAAATGGTCACCATTTATCAGAAAATTTATTATAATTTTTATCAGTTTTGATAATTGATGCATACATTATATATATTTTGAATGTACAGTGTGATGTTTTGATATATGTATACATTGTGAAATAATTACCACAGTCAAGGTAACTAACATATCCATTACCTCACATAGTTACCATTTGTGTGTGTGTGTGGTGAGACTACTTAAGATCTACTCTCTTAGCAAATTTCAACTATACAATAGTACATGATAATTAACTATACTCAACATGCTGTACATTGTGTCCAAAACATATTCATCTTATAACTGAAAGTTTGTACCCTTCAAACAACATCAAATATTCCTATCCTCTGCCCCTGATAACTATCTTCTACTCTCTGTTTCTATGAGTTTGACATTCTTAGATACCACATATAAGTGATCGTACAGTATGTCTTTTTGTGTCTGGCTTATTTTACTTAATATAATGTCCGTGGGTTCATTCATGTTGTTGCAAATGGCAGGATTTTCTTAAGGCTGAATAATATTCTATTGTGTGTGTGTGTGTATATCTCACAATTTCTTTACCTAACCATCCATCAGTTGTCACAGGTTGATTCTATCTTGGCTATTGAACATGGGAATGTAGATATCTGACATACTGATTTCTTTTCCTTTGGATATATAGCCAGAGTGGGATTTCTGGATCATATAGTAGTTCTACTTGAAATTTTTTGAGGAACTTCTTTACTGGTTTCCATAATGGCTATGCTAATTTACATTCCCACCAACAATGTATAAAGGTTCCCATTTTTCCACATTCTCCCTAATATTTATCTTCTGACTTTTTGGTCATAGCCATCCTACAGGTGTAAGGTGATATCTCATTGTGGTTTTGATTTGCATTTCCTTGATGATTAGTGATGTTGAGCACCTTTTCATGTATCTGTTGGCCATTTATATGTCATCTTTGGAAAAATGTCTATTTAATTGGATTTTTTTTCTATTGAATTGTATGGGTTCTTCATATATTTTGGATATCATCCCCGTATCAGATATGTGATTGCAAATGTTTTCTCCCATTATGTAAGTTGCTTTTCATTTTGTTAATTATTTCCTTTGCTATGCAGAAACTTTTATTATATTGTTGTATTTTTGGTGTCATATTCAGAAAATCATTGCCAAGATCAATGTCATGGAGCTTTATGTTTTCTTCTAGAAGTTTTGCAGTGTAAGATCTTTTGTTTAAGTCTTTAATCCATTTAGAGTTAATATTTGTATATGGTATAAGGGTCCAATTTCGTTTTTTTACATGTGAATATCTAGTTATTTCAACACCATTTATTGAAGAGACTTTCTTTATCCCATTGTGTATTGTTGGTGTTTTTGTCAAAGATTAGTTGACTGTATACGTGTGGATTTATTTCTGGGCGTCTTATCCCATTCCATTTGCGTATGTGTCAGTTTTTATGGCAGTATCAGGCTGTTTTGATTATTATGGCTTTGTAATATAATTTGAAATCAGGAAGTGTGATGCATCTAGCTATTGATTTGCATATGTTGAACCATCCATTCTTACATCCCAGGTATAAATCCCATTTTCTCATCATTTGTGAAACTTTTAATATACTGTTGAATTTAGTTTTTAGTATTTTGTTGAGGATTTTTACATTTATGTTTATCAGGGCTTTCCTTTTTTTTCACATAGGCATTTATTGCCATAAACTTCCATCTTAAACTACTTTTGCTGCATCCCATAAGTTTTAGTATGTTGTGTTTCTATATTTCAATTTTGCAGTTTTCCTCCATTATTAATTCTAGTGTCATACTATGATGGTCAGACAATAGTAAGCTTGATTGATATAGTTTGTTCAAATATTGATATAGTTTGTCCCCTCCAAAAAATGTGATCCCCAATGTTGAAGGTAGGGCCTGGTGGGAGGTGTTTTGGTCATGGGGGTAGATTGCCCTCCCCATGGTAATGAGTGAGTTCTTGTTCTGTTAGTTTGTGCAACAGCTGGCGGTTTAAAAGAGCCTGGCATGTCTCTTGATCTCTCTCTTTTGCTCCCTCTTTCACCATGTGACACCCTGGCCCCCCTTTGCCTTTCATGATGATTATAAGCTTCCTGAGGCCCTCGCCAGAAGCAGATGCTGGCACTATGCTTTATGTACAGCTTGTAAGACCATGCGTCAAATAAACCTTTTTTTTAAATAAATTGCCCAGTCTAAAGTGTTTCTTTATAGCAATACAAAACTAACAGATTGATATAATTTCAGTCTTCTTAAAGTTGTTAATACTGGCTATGATTTGTCTTGGAGAATGTTCCATGTGTGCTTGAGCAGAATATGTATTCTGCAGTTGTTGGCCGAAACATTTTATATATCAGATTCATTTGGTCTAAAGTATAATTCAAGTCCAATGTTTCCTTATTAATTTTCTGTCAGGATGATCTATCTGTTGTTAAAAGTGGAGTACTGAAGCTCCCTACTATTATTGTATTGCTGTTTCTCTCTTCAGATGTTAATATTTGATTTATATATTTAGATGCTCAACTATTAGGTGCATACATACGTAAAATTGATGTATTCTCTTAATGAATTGATTCTTTTATCCTTATCCAACGACTTTGATTTTTGTGAGGTTTTTTTTTTTTTTTTTACAAAAGTCTATTTTGCCTAAGTTTAGCTACCCCTGCTCTCTATTGGTTTCCATTTGCATGGAATATTTTTTCTATCCTTTTACTTTCAATCTATGTGTGTCCTTACAGCTGAAGTGAATCTCTTTGTAGGTGGCATTTAGTTAGGTTTTCTTTTTTATCCATTTAGCTACACTGTGTCATTTGATTGGAGAATTTAATCCATTTACATTTAAAATATTGATAAGTGATGACTCACTATTGTGATTTTATTCATTGTTTTCTGGCTTTTTTGTAGATTGTTTCTTTATTCCTCTCTCTCTGTCTTCCTTTGTGATTTGATGATTTTCTGCAATAGTATGCTTTACTCCTTTCTCTTTTTTGTTTTGAGTATCTACTATGGATTTTTGCTTCATAATTACCATGAGTCTTACATAAAACATCTTATGGTTATAACAGTATATTTTAAGCTGATAACTTTATCACATACAAAAACTCCTCACTTTTACTTTCTCCCCTACATTTTATGTTTTAGATGTCATGATTTGCATCTTCTTATATTGTGTATATATGCATTAATTATATTGTGTAGCTGTTTTTATTAATTGTATTGTTATTTTCTTATGTAGCTATATTTTAAAATACTTTGATCTTTTATCCCTACAACTAGAGTTATAAGTAGTTTATAAACAACTATTACAGTATTAGAGTATTTTGAATTTGATGATATACTTACCTATATTAGTGAGTTTTATGCTTTTATATGTTTTTATGTTACTTATTACATCCTTTCATTTCAGCTTGAAGAACTCCCTTTGTTATTTCTTATATGGCAGGTCTAATGGTGATGAACTTCCTCAGTTTGTTGTTTGAAAACTTCTTTATCTCTTTTTCATTTCTGAAGGACAGCTTTTCAAGGAAAAGTATTCTTGATAGATCAGTAGTTTTTTCTTTCAAAACTTGGAATATATCATCTCATTCTCCTGGCCTGTAAGGTTTCTGCTGAGAAATCTGCTGATAGCCTATGAGGGTTCCTTTGTATGTAATAAGCCTCTCTTCTTGCTGCTTTCAACATTCTCTGTCTTTGATTTTTGACAGTTTGATTGTAATATGTCTTGGTGAATTCTTCTTTGGGTTGAACCTGCTTCAGAACTTTTGAGCTACGTGTACCTGGATGTTCCTATCTCTTTCCAGATTCAAGAACATTTTAGCCATTATTTCTTGAAATAAGCTTTCCACCTATCTCTGTTCTCCTTTTGAAACTTTCGTAATGCAAATGTTAGCCCTCTTTATGGTATCCCAAAAACTCCATAGGCTTTCTTCCATCCTTTTATTTTTTCTCCTTTGTGTATTTTCAAATGACCTATCTTCAAATTCACAGATTCTTCTACCTGATCAAGTCTGCTATTGATATTTTCTATTGCTTTTATTTAATTGTATTCTTCAGCTCCAGAATTTCTGCTTGGTTCTTTGAGATGGAGTCTCACACTCACCCAGGGCTGGAGTGCAGTGGCACAATCTTGGCTCTCTGCAACCTCCGCCTCCTGGGTTCAAGTGATTCTCCTGCCTCAGCCTCCCAAGTAGCTGAGATTATAGGCACCTGCCACAATGTCCAGCTAATTTTTTTTATTTTTAGTAGAGAGGGGGTTTCACTGTGTTGGTCAGGCTAGTCTCAAACTCCTAACCTCCTGATCCACCTGCCTCAGCCTCCCAAAGTGCTGGGATTATAGGTGTGAACCACCAGGCCCAGCTTGCTTGGTTCTTTTTTAATTGTTTCTATCTCTATATTGAAGTTATTGTTTTGTTTCTGTATTTTTTTTTTAATGTCATTGAGTGGTCTGTCTGCATTCCCTTGTAGCTTGCTGAGCTTCCTTAAACAATTATTTTGAATCCTTTCTCAGGCAATTCACAAATCTCCATTTCTTTGAGGTCAATTACTGGAATATTATTGTGTTCCCTTGGTTGTGTCATAGTTCCTGATTTTTCTTTTCTTTTTTTTTTTTTTTTTCCTTTTTGAGATAGAGTTTCGCTCTTGTCACGCAGGCTGGAGTGTGGTGGTGCGATCTCAGCTCACTGAAACCTCTGCCTCCCAGGTTCAACTGATTCTCCTGCCTCAGCCTCCCTAGTAGCTGGCATTACAGGTGCCTGCCACCATGCCCAGCTAATTTTGTGTATTTTTAGTAGAGTCAGGGTTTCACCATGTTGGGCAGGCTGGTCTTGAACTCCTGACTTCAGGTGATCCTCCCTCCTCGGCCTCTAAAAGTGCTGGGGTTACAGGCATGAACCACTGCACCCGGTCAGTTCCTGATTTTTCATGTTTCTTGAAGTTTTGCATTGCTGTCTTTGCATTTGAAGAATCAGTCATTTCTTCCAGTCTTTATTGGCTATCTTTGGGAGAGAAAAACCTTTAACAGTCAGCCCAGCTAGGGATTCT
Organism: Homo sapiens; assembly: GCF_000001405.40. Lineage (NCBI taxonomy): Eukaryota > Metazoa > Chordata > Mammalia > Primates > Hominidae > Homo > Homo sapiens. The sequence goes on from NC_000011.10 coordinate 94,614,744, forward strand.
GAGGCTCTCTTACACGTTTTCTATTCATGTGCCCACTCCACACTTCTGGTTCTCACTTGGTGGGGGGATCCTTAAAATTGCATGCACTTTCTCAATCCCACAAAGCCAGGCCAGCTGTCAAGAGGCTCTCATCTGTTTTCCCTAGGGTGGTGCCCTGAAATGCTCATTTTGTGTACCTTCTCCAAATCCTGAAGAGTCAAGCTATCTGTTTGTGTGAAATGCTTGCACTCAACATCTGAACAAATGTGGTTGGGGAGCCAGCCTGGTCAGGGGTGGTGGTGAGATACATGTAGCATTTGGGGTGCCTGTGAGTCAGTTGAGGTGCTCCATAGGCAAGGTATCCTAAGAAACCCACAGGAGGGCCTCTTGATGAAGCTCATAGAGCAGTCAGTAGGGTTTGCAGCCACTCTTTCCTGCCCCCAGACTCTCCTAACCTCCCAGCTGTGCTGATAATCTTGTTGTTCTGGTTGAGGCAAGAAAAAAGTGGGCATCCTAGGCAGTATCCTGAATGGGTGAGGGAGCTGGGTACTCACTCACTACACTCTAATTTTCACCCTGTAAGAGAAATCATGGGCTGATGTGATCTGTCATGGCACTGAGCTGTGCCCTCCGTAGGGGAGGAGCAATGCAGGTAAAGTGAATCTCTTTGTGTTACCCTCTTTAATGCATCCATTCTCTGATGTTTTACTCCAGTGATGTGCTGGAACGTCACCATTGGAGTTAGTCTCATCCATGGGTAATTGTCAAAATTGATGCTTCTGGAAGGGAAATGATGGTAGAAAGCTCCTATTCTTCCACCTTGCTAATATCACTCAGGACTTCTAGTTTGTTGGCAGCATTCCTAATTGTGTTCTGTTTTTTTTGTTTTGTTGTTGTTTTTTACAAAAAAACAAAATGTTTAGAGATGGGGTCTTGCTTTGTTGCCCAGGCTGGAGTGCAGTGGCTATTCACAGGCACAGTGATAGCACAATACAGCCTTGAACTCATGGGCTCAAGCAGTCCTCCTACCTCAGCCTCCCAAGTAGCTGTGACTATAGGCACGCGCCACCACATGTAGCTGTATTACTGTTGTTGCATATATTTAGAGAGGTATAATAATGCTGGAACATACCTAACACAAAGTCATGATCTTCATTTCCAAGTGCTTTAAGTTAATTAATGGTGGTAGTAAGAGAACTTGTTTCTGAAATCTACACAATAATGTTAAGATTTCTAATCCAAAAGGATCACCTATAGAAATGAAAGTTTATGCTTCAGAAATCTTTGAATATTTTGACAGTAGAAGCTCTATTGCTAAATTAGTACATTAATTTATAACAATAATAGTGGCCTCTATTACTCTTTACTATATGCAAAGTACTATGCTAAATATTTTACAAATATCATGTGATTTAATTTTTACCACAACCCTATGAGGTAGTAACTAATCTACTTACCTTGTAAATCTCCTTGGTACAGATGAGGAAACTGAGACTTAGGTTCACATAGCAAAGTTACACAGCTGGTGAGTATATTGACTAGGATTTGAAGCTCGATATGGCTGATGCCAACACTATGTTTAGCTTCTGTTCTCAATAAATTCTTTTTGGGTAAAGGGTCTCTTTGATATAATTGTGAACACATAACACATACAAAATTGCGAACATTGATTTTTACTCATAATCTCTGTTTCTTAATTTAATATTAATGAATATTTATGGTAGAAAAATTGAAGTTGAATTTTACTTTTATTTTTTTTTTTAACTTTAGGTGGTTTTCCCGCTGTATCCTTCAGAGAACAATGACTGATGTTGCAGATTGCTTGAAAGTTTTCATGACTGGTACTAAAAATATAGCAATGTGGGTGGGCTCCAAGGACTGTTCCTTCAGACCTCAAATCCACATGCTTATAGAAGACCACATAGGTCAGAGCAAACTCTCTACACCTGTCTTTGTCAACTGTCACCCAGTTGAAGATCTCTGAAGCTGCATGCCGATTTAGGCCAACAATCAGACTATGTAGCATTTACATTTACATTTGTCTGTGTGTGATAACATGAAGCCAGAAGGAAGGAAAATTTGTGGCTGCTGGTTTCCCTGACAAGCAGTTTGAAGGTCAAAAGAAACCAACCCTGGAGGAACTCGAGTTATGACAGAGCAATGTTAAGTGTAGACCTAGGAGGGAAGCCTATAGGGCTAGGATAGGGGTGCTAACAGATAAAGTGGCAAAGCAAGAGAAGAAGGGAAAGACAGCAGATGAGGAAAGGTGCCCTATCCATAGCAGGATGCAATGCAAAGACAAATCTAAGGTTTCTGTTTCTTCACCACTCCTGGCCTAGGTCTGGCTTTGCTATTTCCTAGCAGTGTGACTTGTACAAACCCTTCCCTCTCCTGATCTGCATTTTCCCATCTGTAAATTTGGGAGTATTGTAAATATTTTTTCTTAAAAAATGAATTTGCTTATACATGTTGGTAATGGACTTATATATATGATTACCTTCTATCAAACTAAAATGAATTTCCTAAACAATAAACTCTTAAAATAACTATGCAATATATACATGAAAATAATTATTGCATTCTATTATATTCCCCTCACATCGAAACCTGGTAAATTTTTTTAGCAGGTAATTTTTTTTTTAGCAGTTATTAAAGGTTTTCGTTGGGTAGCAGTTACTCTATGGTCCCTGTTCTTTAGGAAATTCATAGTTACAGTGAGTAGAAATGTTTTCAGAGTTCATTCCCTCAGTGAGAATTGGAATCAATTGGGTGAGTCAGTGTGAAGATATGTTTTCAGAGGAACAGCAAAGCCATTTCCTTAGATTTTCATATTTATTCTCATTAGGAAGGAAAATGACATAAAATTAGTTTATATCTAATTAGAGGATTTAAAGACTTGAAGACACTAATATTTGATTTTAGGCATTTGTCTATTGCATTAATTTTTAATTTATTGCTTAAATATTAAAATTTTATTTAAAGAGATAGGCCAAGTTTAAGAATATATCATGCCATAGAAACCATTGTGATTCCTTGAATAGCAGAGACAGAGGAATGCTCCCTAAAGTTATCCATTGTTATATTCTTGCAAATATAACCCAAATTATGTATTGCCCTATTTTACAGTGGTCTGAAATAGCAAACCCATTTAAACACTGCAATATATGGGAATGTTATTTTTTGTTGGCATTAGAAAAGTAATTCTTTTCTTACTGACACCAAATTCTGCAGGAGCACTCAACAAATGGTACAAGTACAATCATGATTTGCCAGCACGGATAATTGTGTACCGTGCTGGTGTAGGGGATGGTCAGCTGAAAACACTTATTGAATATGAAGTCCCACAGCTGCTGAGCAGTGTGGCAGAATCCAGCTCAAATACCAGGTATTCAATTATTGTTCTTTCCTCCATACTCCCAATTATAGCATATTCAGCTGTAGCTATTACACACAAGGTATTCAAGCATAAGTTTTGTTTTTTATGCAATTAAGTTTTGCTGTGTTTCTGTATCATGCCAGTAGAGCTCTATCATTTCCTTCAGATTGGAGGGTAGTTGGGATGGTCTAACATAAATAGCTTGGGTGGTATAAGCTTTGGGGGCCCTGGGAGGGGAAACCTAGACAAAGAAAGGTACCCTCAGAGCAGCTGACACAGATTCAGCATGAAGCCTGCAGGGCTGCTGGCAGTGAAAATACTTCATACATATTAATATCACATGGAAGAAAACAAACCGTGATTTCAAATTCAAGGCCCTAATACACACAGAACCAAAGCCTCTGAGTTGCAGGCACTGATGTGCACTTAAGGTCTATGGAAGGTTCTCAAAGGGTTTGAGTGCCATGAAAGCTGAGCTGCAGATGGAAATCAGACCATCCTGAACACCAGGCTTCTTGCTCCACTGTTGTCTGTGTTTCAGTACAAAATTTTCTGCAGTGATTATGTGAAATGGCAAGTTCAAGAAAATGTTGGAAATGGAAAATAGGAGAGGACAATAATCTAAAGTCAGCTTCTTAAAATATTTGGAAAGCATCTTATTCCAAGCAGGACACATAGCCCTATCTGTAGGGTTACATCATCATCATCACCATCAACCAAAGGGTCACAGCCACAAGTCACAAAGGAGCTGAGTCTTGACCTCAGTCGGTTATTGTTAGAGTGGAGGGGAAGCCTGAAAGTTTGGTGGCAGTATCATCTGCAGCTTTATCCCAACTGTTAGGGCCAAAATACTTTGCTCTCCACTGATCTCAGGTGCATGTGTTTATTAAGAATCACAGGTATGCAACTGAGGGATGCAGGAGTAAATTTAGCAGCTGACAGTGCTAAGGAGTTACTTTTCTTGCACTATAACATCAACTTTTGATAGTTTCAATATTGAAAACGTTCGTGATAAATTTTAAAAATAATTATAATGCTTAAAATGAAACTCCGCAGTGATCCTTACATCCCAGAGGATGTAAGGATGCCTTTTGTAATGACAGATATTAGGATTTCGCCTTGGCTTTACCAAATACATTAACACTTCACCATTCAGCATTTGGCCAGAACATATATTTGGTCCATCCATCCATCCACCCAGGCATGAGTTTTGTGTAATACAGAAGGGATGACAAGAGGAATAGGAAGAACTTGTGGTTCTTCCTTTGCTACTTGGAAATAAAATTGAGAGGAAGAGCGAAGGGGAAAATAGGTTGAGTCACTAATCACACACACACACATCTTGTCTCCATGGATAATTCTGGAAAATCTTTCGCAAAAGTGCCAGTTGAAGTTCAGCATTCCTTCCTGCCCCCTTTGAGTGGTATAAACTAGGCAAATGACTTGGGATAGCATCCTTTTGCAACAAATACGGACAATCCCTAATTTAAAAAATTGTATGTATCTCTAGGGAAGGAGGGATTGTAGGTAATTTTTATTTTCTGTTTTGCAGTGTTTTTCAAATGGAATTTTTATTTATTTCATTTTTTAAATTACACAAAAATAGAAAGCTATATAGATTGGATTGAGTTCTTTTCATATTTTGCCTCTCTAATTTTTAGCTCAAGACTGTCGGTGATTGTGGTCAGGAAGAAGTGCATGCCACGATTCTTTACCGAAATGAACCGCACTGTACAGAACCCCCCACTTGGCACTGTTGTGGATTCAGAAGCAACACGTAACGAATGGCAAGTGCCGCTGGAAAATCAATTTTTAACAAAACATTCATTGCGTCCAGTTTATGTTTGACCTTATTCTGTTTGCCTTCTTTCCTACATTCATTCCATTTTCCCCCTCAGGTATGACTTTTATCTGATCAGCCAGGTGGCCTGCCGGGGAACTGTTAGTCCTACCTACTATAATGTCATCTATGATGACAACGGCTTGAAGCCCGACCATATGCAGAGACTTACATTCAAATTGTGCCACCTGTACTACAACTGGCCGGTGAGTGAAAGCTGTTTACTTAATGTAAATATGATACTCAAGAGTCCCACCTAGGAATTATCATACACGTCATCTTTGTATCCCTAGATATAGCACAATACCTGATATTTCCTAAAGAAGGAATGAATGAATGAATGAATCAATGAATGAATCACTTCTTGAGTCCACAGTGGGAGGAAAGCAGTCTATCATAGAAACAAAATAACAATAACTATTATAATACATTAATAGTTACAGTTTCTAGACGACTTTGTTATATACATTATCTTATGCAAACCTGGGAGGAAATCAGGGTATTGTTATTTACATGTTACAGATGAAGAAATTGAAGCCAACTCAGATGTGCCTGGTGGGGAAGTGTTAACAGGCCTGGGTCTGCCCTTTGTTCCTGTGCATTAGGCCAAGAGCTGTTCCCAAAGGCCAAGCCCAAGGTTTGCACGAAGCTCCTCCAAGGAGTTCCAAACTTGAGATCACAGGACAAAGACTAGTCTGAAGTGTGATGGCTCCCTACTCCCAGCACCATGAAGCCAGAGTGACTTTTCACTCCATCCTCCCCAGTGAGCTTAAGTTCCCAGTAAGTTAGGTTACCTTTTGTTGGTTGAGGTTACCTGTTGTTTACCCAGAAGCCCATTCTATTATCTGTGTAACCAGTAGACAAAGTAAAATCAGAAAAAATCTCTTTGAAGAACAAGGTAATCTCTTAATTATTATCAATACTTTTTTCTCCTCAGGGCATAGTCAGTGTCCCAGCACCATGTCAGTATGCTCACAAGCTGACCTTTCTGGTGGCACAAAGCATTCATAAAGAACCCAGTCTGGAATTAGCCAACCATCTCTTCTACCTGTGATGGCATGAACTACTGGCATCACTAGATGGACAATCCAAGAAGAAATTGGTATACTTTGTGCAAATCTGCCATAAGCTCAAGGCTGTGACTGGGGAAAAAGATTGAGCTTAGTTTTCATGTCTAGGAAAAAAAGCAAAACAACTTAATCTGAAACAGTTTTAAAAAATGTGTGTTATTTTGTTTTAAAGAGTTGTATGCTTGGGGTAAATTTTCATTGTCATATGTGGAATTTAAATATACCATCATCTACAAAGAATTCCACAGAGTTAAATATCTTAAGTTAAACACTTAAAATAAGTGTTTGCGTGATATTTTGATGACAGATAAACAGAGTCTAATTCCCACCCCAAATTTTGCTGAGGTTTTCTTAATGTTGTAGAGCATTTTGTAGAGTGGTTTAAATAGTTGAAAATAAAGTTCAGAACATCATGTGTTTATTGTTATTTGAATTTTACGTTGATATTACATGTGAACCTCATAATTGAAGTATTTTCAGCAAAACCTCTTACCCACTAGAGCACATCACCATTAATCTTTGAGTTCTATTTCGGAAACTGAGCTGATCACTTGCTCTCTTGATGGGACTTTATTTCACTTAATAGCAGCTTCTCCCAGTGATGACCTTGCTTCCTATTTACTGATAAAAAGGAAGCTATCAGAAGAGAACTTTTGCAAACCTCTCGTTATCTCTACCTTCACCTAACGGCATCTGTACCCATAGACTCTGCCTGCCCTTCCCTTTATTATGAGTGCAGCATGTCTGTTCCTATAAGGCGCTCCACCTCTGTACTAAATCTCAATCCCTCTGACCTGTGAAGGATGCTGCTCTAGCAGTTCTCCCTTCTCCTTTCTGCATCATCAGTTTTCTCTCTCACTACTGGCTCATTCTCACTGGCATTATAAATATGCTGTTATTTCTCTCATCTTAAAAAGCCATTTCCTCTAGCTTCCACCCCATTGCCTGGCACTTCTTTACAGGAAAAACATCGCAAAAGAAGAGTCTGTGCTTGATGTATCCAATTCTGTATTCCAATCACAATTTCACCACAACCACTACAGCAAACTTGCCTTAGTCAACACCACCAATAACCTCCACTTTGCTAAATCCAATGGTCACCTCTTGGTCCTTGTCTTGCTTGACCCAGTCAATCATTTCCTCCCTCTGAGACATTCTTTATTTGGCCTGTAGAATAACACTCTCCTGATTTCTCTCCTACTGCATATTGATCACTCATGCTGTCTCCTTTTGTGGCTTTTCCTCATCTTCTCAACCTTTTCATGTTGGAATGCCCCAGGAATGAGAATACAGCTACATGCAAAAGATATTTTGATGAGGGATAGATCAGAGTTCAAATTCTGCTTACCACGGGAAGGTCTGTGGAAGTCTGCAACAAAGGGTGGCAGGAGAGTGGCAAGTGCTCTCTGGGGACAAGGGAAGCAGGCCACAGGAGGGATGCCAATGCACAGGTTACATCACTTTGCACTGAAAATATTCTTTTCCTATTTGAGAGTTTTGTCCAGACATAGTAGAAATGCACCCAACAGGGGTCTACCAATAATAGGATAACCATTTTGTGAAGCATGAGGGTGGAGGGGACTTAATAAGTTTCAGGGCCAGTGCCATGCCTACATATACACATTTAATCTCCACAAGAACTGTATAAATTAGGTTATAATGACCATTTCAGATGGTAAAGCTGGGGATTAAAGATACCACGTGACTCACTGAAGTTTATGAGATTAATAAATTGTGGAGCTAGAATTTGTCCTCAGGTTTGTTTGCAAAACCTGTAAGATGAACCAAAAGAGTCTACACCCTTGATAAAAGATACTCTAAGATTTAAAAAATTTCTCCCAGAGCACTAATGTGAGGTAGTGCCTTATGGGATTTAAAGATGGCATTATATGGCGGGCACCTGTAGTCCCAGCTACTCGGGAGGCTGAGGCAGGAGAATGGCGTGAACCCGGGAGGCAGAGCTTGCAGTGAGCCGAGATTGCACCACTGCACTCTAGCCTGGGACGACAGAGCAAAACTCTGTCTCAGAAAAAAAAAAAAAAAAAAAAAAGATGGCATTATATAGCAAGTCTTTGGAGACAAGGCACTGATCCAATTCAAGGTGGTGGGTTTTGTTTTTGTTTATCTTGTTGTTTTCTTCCTTCAAAGTAGAACGGTGATATAAATCCCCACTACCTAACCAGCCAGCTTGTATAAATCCACACGAAACATTTTGATTAGGCAATACAACCTTCTGCAGAGCGCCCACCCACCCTTTTAAGTACTGCCCCAGGAAATGACTTCTTACCCCTTTAACCCACCAGAGGGCACACAAGGACTGCTGTGTGAATAGAGTCCTTCATCATGGCAGTGTCATAGGCTTCAACAAACAATTTCAGGTAAACTCCTAGAGGGCAACATGGGACTAAGAAATCTTCATATGAGCTCTGGTTCCAGCACGTTTGGTTGTCAGATGTGATAACTTCACTTTCTGGGACTCAGTTACCCAATCTGTAATATGAGAGGGCTTGGACAAGACCAGTGGTGCCTAATCTTGAGAAGATTAGAAGTTCCCATGTTTAAAAGCTTTAGAACAAAAAAATAGAGATGCCTGGGTCTACCTCTCAAAATAGTGATTTAAATGGTCTGAGATGGGGCCTGATCATCCGAATATTTTAAAAGTTCTCGAAATGGTTCTGATGTTCAGCCAGGGCTGAGGAATACTGGTTTAGATAATATATGAGACCTATTTCAGCTTCACGTTATGTGATTGCCACCTCTCACATGCATTAATTAGTTTTCCTTAGGCTACCAAGGACAAAGAGGAAAGGGAGCCTGTGCCAGGCTTCAGAGCAGCACTGGATTTGAATCCTAGAACCACCACTTATAGTCGTGTGACATTGGGCAAGTTACTTAACCTCTCTGAGCCTCAGTGTATCTACTTGTAAAAATGTCTAACAATGTCTGCATTGTAGAGTTATTGTAAGGATTAGAAATGTCAAATCTGAAGTATCTGGCCTTAATAAAGGGTATCATCTTATTAGACCTGAGGAGAGGAAATGAATCAAATGGCACAATTTAGTTAACAAATAGTTATGGGTTTCTATTATGTGCCAGGCACTGTACTAGATTCTGAATTCTACAATTCTACTTAAGGGAAAGCTTAATATTGTCTCTAGAAATAAACAATCTACCAGTTCCTATTTTATAGAAAGGATTTTGTAGTTTTTCTTTTATTTTGAGAACTGAGGGAGAGACTCTGGAAGAAAGTATACTTTAAATACATTTCTGTGGCCACCATGGAGTGGCCCATCAGATTATCCTTTAAAAGAACCTTCTGCAAGGAGCATAGTTGGCTGACAGCCTCTAAATGCTACAGCTTCAGGATCCACCACAGGGGTGATGAGACCATACCCTCCCCAGACTGATTCTAGCCCATTACTGAGCACAGGAGAGGTAATAGATCTGGGTTGTTTCTGCCCAACATGGGACTCCACTATTAGTCTCTGATAGGTAATATGCTGTGTTTAGCTCTGTGTCCCCACCCAAAGCTTATGTTGAATTGTAATCCCCATGTGTTGGAGGAGTGGCCTGGTGAGAGGTGATTAAACCGTGAGGGTGGATTGCCCCCTTGCTGTTTTCATGATAGTGAGTGAGTTCTTACCATATCTCGTTGTTTGAAAATGTGTAGCACTTCCCCCTTCTCTCTCTCTCTCTCTCCTGCTGCCATGTGAAGATGTCCTTGCTCCCTTTTTGGCCTTCTGCCATGATTGTAAGTTTTTTGAGGCCTCCCCAGCCATGCCTCCTGCACAGCCTGTGGAACTGTGAGTCAATTAAATCTCTTTTCTTTTTCTTCATAAATTACCCAGTCTCAGGTAGTTCTTTACAGCAGTGTGAGAATAGACTTAACACAGTAGGGGAACCCACTTTGTCTTGACCAAGGTTTTCTAAGAACTGCACTAAAGTTTTGAGCTTTTTCTACTGATCCTCTTTCCTTCCCACTCCGTTTCATGTATTTCAGATTAGCACTGAGGTCTTAAGGCCCTCCCTAGTCACTCCTACTTCCTCTCACCAGTATTCTTCACAGGTGTTTCTCCCAGTAAATCTTCTGAATGCTTAATTCTGTCTTGGTGTGTGCTTCTTAAGGGACCCAAACTGACACAACTTTCTTCCCTATTAAATGACTCTTTACCTTTTAATAAAAATAAGTCTATTTTTAATCTTAAGCACTTTGTCAACCACAACATAAAACATTTTTAAAAACCTTTTACCTAGAGATATCATAACTTTTTAAATACTAGGTGTATTAGTCCGTTTTCACACTGCTGATAAAGACATACCTGAGACTGGGCAATTTATAGAAAAGAGGTTTAATTGGACTTACAGTTCCACGTGGCTGGGGAAGCCTCACAATCATGGTGGAAGGCAAGGAGAAGCATGTCACCTTACATGGATGGCAGCAGGCAAAGAGAGAGCTTGTGCAGGGGAACCCCTCTTTTTAAAACCATCAGATCTCATGAGACTTTTTCACTGTCACAAGAACAGCATGGGAAAGACTTGCTCCCATGATTCAATTACCTTCTATTGGGTACCTCCCACAACATGTGGGAATTCAAGATAAGATTTGGGTGGGAACACAGCCAAACCATATCATTCCGCCCCTGGCCCCTCCCAAATTTGATATCTTCACATTTCAAAACCAATCGTGCCCTCCCAACAGTTCCCCAAAGTCTCAACTCAATTCAGCATTAACTCAAAAGTCCTCAGTCCAAAGTGTCATACAAGACAAGGCAAGTCCCTTCCGCCTATGAGCCAGTAAAATCAAAGGCAAGTTAGTTACTTCCTAGATACAATGGGGATACAGGCATTGGATAAATACAGCCTTTCCAAATGGGAGAAATTGGCCAAAACAAAGGGGCTACAGGCCCCATGCCAGTCCAGAAATCCAGTGGGGCAGTCAGATCTTAAAGCTCCAAAATGATCTCCTTTGACTCCATGTCTCACATCCAGGTCATGTTGATGCAAGAGGTAGGTTCCCACAGTCTTCAGCAGCTCCACCCCTGTGGCTTTGCAGGGTAAAGCCCCCCTCCTGTTGCTTGCACAGGCTGGCATTGTATGCAGCTTTTCCAGGTGCACAGTGCAAGCTGTGGTGGATCTACAATTCTAGGGTCTGGAGGATAGGATAGTGGTCCTCTTCTCACAGCTCCACTAGGCAGTGCCCCAGTAGGGACTCTGTGTCGGGGCTCCAATCCCACATTTTCCTTCTGCACTGCCCTAGCAGAGGTTCTCTGAGAGCCTTAGCCCTGCATACAACTTCTGCCTGGGCATCCAGGCATTTCAATACAACTTCTGAAATCTAGGCAGAGGTTCCCAAACCTCAATTTTTGACTTCTATGCACTCACAGGCTCAATACCACGTGAAAGCTGCCAAGGCTTGAGGCTTGCACTCCCTGAAGCCATGGCCTGAGCTCTACGTTGGCTCCTTTCAGCCACAGCTGGAGTGACTGGGACACAGGGCACCAAGTCCCTAGGCTGCAGACAGCACAGGGACCCTGGGCCTCACCCACAAAACCACTTTTTCCTTCTAGGCCTCCAAGACTGTGCTAGGAGGGGCTGTGGCAAAGATCTCTGGCATGTCCTGGAGACATTTTCCCCGTTGTCTTGGTGATTAACATTCAGCTTCTCATTATTTACACAAATTTCTGTAGCTGGCTTGAATTTTTCTTCAGAAAATGGGATTTTCTTTTCTATTGCATTGTCAAGCTGCAAATTTTTCAAATGTTTATTCTCTGTTTCCCTTTCAAAACTGAATGCCTTTAGCAGCACCCAACTAACCTCTTGAATGCTTTGCTGCTTAGAAATTTCTTCCACCAGATGCCCTAAATCATCTCTCTCAAGTTCAAAGTTCCACAAATCTCTAGGGCAGGGATAAAATGCCGCCAGTCTCTTTGCTAAATCATAACAAGAGTCACCTTTGTTCTAGTTCCCAACAAGTTCCTCATCTCCATCTGAGACCACCTCAGCCTGGACCTTATTGTCCATATCACTATGAGCATTTTGGGCAGAGCCATTCAACAAGTCTCTAGGGGGTTCCAAACCTTCTCACCTTCTCACATTTTCTTGTCTTCTTCTGACCCTTCCAAACTGTTCCAACCTCTGCCTGTTATGCAGTTCCAAAGTTGCTTCCACATTTTTGGGTATCTTTTCATCAGCACCCCACTTCTGATACCAATTTACTGTATTAGTCCATTTTCACACTGCTGATAAAGACATACTTGAGACTGGGCAATTTACAAAAGAAAGAGGTTTAATTGGACTTACAGTTTCCATGTGGCTGGGGAAGCCTCACAATCATGGTGGAAGGCAAGGAGAAGCAAGTCACGTCTTACATGGATGGCAGCAGGCAAAGAGAGAGAGCTTGTACAGGGGAACGTCTCCTTTTATAACTGTCAGATCTCATGAGACTCATTCACTGTCACAAGAACAGCATGAGAAAGACTTGCACCCATGATTCAATTACTCCCACCAGGTCCCTCTCACAACACGTGGGAATTCAAGATAAGATTTGGGTGGGGACAAAGGCAAACCATATCACTGGCTTTGAGTTAACAATTTCCTTTGGGAAAATTTACTCTTAAATCTTTCTAACACACTTCAAGATCTCAGACATGAAATGTAAACAACTTTTGAGAGCTGTTGTCAAAAGGCTGTATGTTGCACTGTTAACCTGTATGTTGCACTTTCATCTGACCCAGGGCCCACTGGCCAAGAATAATCCAACAGCTCCTACTGGAAGATAAGGAAAGGACTTATTTTGAAGGGACAGAGGATGAGGAGGACTAAAGAATTTATGACTGAATCAATATCCTTCCAATTTATTGGGAAAGCTTTTTTCAAAAAATCATTGACTTTAAAATTATAAAAATAATAGATCTGTAGTATGGAATATTTGAAAAGCACAGAAAAGTATGAAGAGATAAAGAAAAATATCACCAACACAGCTAGGAATTTGAAACCTAGAAAATCTATCTCGATGTAGGGATTTGAGAAATATTAACTATTTATGGTTTTAATTTCCTTTCATTTAACTCTGTAAATCTATCTATATTACATTTTAGTGTAAAGTGAGAATCTAAACTATTTTTTCCAAGTAATTTTGGAAAAAAATTGGTGGACTAAAAAAGAAAGTAGAAATTCTAAAAATGAAAAAAATATTTGAAGTAAAAATTTCAAGAGATTTGTTAAGCAGTAGACTAAAAACAGATGAACAGAAAATTAGTAAATTGGGAGGCAGACTTTAGGAACTCACTTAGAATGCAGTAGATAGACATTGAGTGTAAAAGTAGACACCCACCACAGATTTGGTAGGTGTTCCTGATACAGAAAATATCAAGAATGAGATAGGAATCAATTCTTAAATAGACAATGCTTGAAAGTGTTCCAACATTGAAATACACACTCTTAGAATGAAAAAAAAATCACAAGTAGAATAAATAAGAATTTTCATACCTAATACATTGTCATAACATTGCATAACATCAACTATAAACGGAAAAGCTTAAGATTTCAAGGAAGAAATGCAGACTTGCAGACTGCCTGCAAAGAAGAAATTACACTGTGTAGGCTTAATGTTACAAGAAAAGATAAGAAAAAATGAAATAATATCTTTAAAGTCCTGAGGGGAAAGAATAATGAAGCTAGAACTTTATGTGAAACTAAATGATGTTTGAAGACTGAGTGATAAATTTTTTTTTTTTTTTTTGAGACGGAGTCTCTCTCTGTTGCCCAGGCTGGAGTGCAGTAGTGCAATCTTGGCTCACTGCAAGCTCTGCCTCCTGGGTTCATGCCATTCTCCTGCCTCAGCCTCCCAAGTAGCTGGGACTACAGGCGCCTGCCAGCACGCCTGGCTAATTTTTTTTTTTGTATTTTTAGTAGAGACGGGGTTTCACTGTGTTAGCCAGGATGGTCTCAATTTCCTGACCTCGTGATCCACTTGCCTTGGCCTCCCAAAGTGCTAGGATTACAGGTGTGAGCCATCATACCTGGTCAAGTGAGTGATATATTTAAAAATTCAAATATAATAAGAGTTTACTGCCCACAGCCCTTGCTGAAAGAACTACTAAAGAATGTACCTCAGCAGAACAAAAAATAAACCCATTGAATAAAGGATGGGTGAGCAAAGAAACCACTAAATATGATGCAAATGTAAATTGTACTGGCTGTTTAAAAAATATTTTTTCAGGCCAGGCATGGTGGCTCACACCTGTAATCCCAGCACTTTGGGAGGCCAAGGTGGGCGGATCACGAGGTCAGGACATTGAGACCATCCTGGCTAAGATGGTGAAACCCTGTCTCTACTAAAAGTACAAAAAATTAGCCAGGCATGGTGGTGGATGCCTGTAGTCCCAGCTACTCGGGAGGCTGAGGCAGGAGAATGGCATGAACCCGGGAGGCGGAGGTTGCAGTGAGCCGAGATCGTGCCATTGCACTCCAGCCTGGGTGACAGAGTGGGACTCCGTCTCAAAAAAAAAAAAAAATTTTTTTTTCATGTTAATAAAATTTAGAAATCAGCATGGGCAATACAAGCACATAACACAAGCAAGATGATAGCATTTAGAGGGAAGCTAAAGTGAGCTCAAGTCTTTATGTTGTTAGAAAGGATATTAGAGATTCTAACTTTACATTTGATTAGAATATAGTAAAGTTAAATATGTATGTGATTATTTTCTAAAAGAATGAAGGCACCATCTATAACTTTGAATTCAGTGGAAGGAAAATAAAGAGGATAAGGATTGTTGAAAGAATAACTTTAGACAAATTAAATTTAACAAAGTTTGTTTGAACAAAGAATGTATCTGGCAGCACTCAGAACCAGAAGAGATTCACAGAGCTCCACCCAGCAGTTGAGTGGCCAGCTTTTATAGGCCAAATATGAAGCAAAGTTGAGAAATCACCTGATCAGCTAGGCTTTTGCCTTATGTGGCATGAACTGATTCATGATTAGCTGTGATTGGCTGAAGCTCAGCTGCTTCTGATTGGCTGAAACTCTGCTATATTTATTACAAAAATATATCGTTGACCCTTGAAAAATGTGGGGTTTGGAGCTTCAGCCTCTCACACAACTGAAAGTTCCCATATAAATTTTGACTCCCCCAAAAGTTAACAGCCTACTCTTGACCAGAAGCCTTATGAATAACAAAGTCTGTTAACACGTATGTTGTTTGCTATACGTACTATCTACTGTATTCTTACAATAAACTAGAGAAGATAAAATGTTATTAAGAAAATCATAAGGAAGAGAAAAATACGGTTACTGTTCATAAAGTGGAAGTGGGTCATTATAAGTTCTTTATCCTTGTCATCTTCATGCTGAGTAGGCTGAGAAGGAAGGAAGAGGAGGGGTTGGTGTTGTTTTTTCAGGGGTGGCGGAAGTGGAAGAAAATCCATGTTTAAGTGGACCCACTCAGTTCAAACCCTTGCTGCTCAAGAGTCAACTGTAGTTAGGTTGTGGTTTCTTACACAGGATCTCGAAGTACACAGCCAGCCTCAGGCTAATGGACTGCTTACTTGATTTACTGGGATACTATCAATTCAATAGAGGAAAAGAGAAGAGGGGGAGCAAAGAAAAAAGAATATGATAAATATGAAATACCAAATAAGATGACATATATACACTTACAAATATAATCAATGTTAATAAATGTAAAATATTAATTTTACTTATTGGAGACTGTGAGAGTGGATCTAAAAATCTATATATTGTATATAAGAGACTCATCTAAAATGAAAAACATAGAAAGGTTATAAGTAAAAAAATAGGAAAAGATATACAGTTGAGCATGAAACAACTTTTTTGAGCTGTATGGATCCACTTATATGCAATTTTTTTTCAAACAAACGCAGACTGAAGATACAGTATTCTCAGGATGTGAAACCTATGTATACAGAGGGCCAACTTTTTGTATTCATAGATTCTGCAGGGCCAACTGTGAAACTTGAGTATGCTTGGATTTCAGAATATGTGGGGGTCCTGGAGCCAATTCCCCACATATTCCAGGGATGACTGTACTTTGAATAAATAGTTAAAATAAAGCTGGGATAGCAATATCAAATGAAATTGAATTTAAGGGTGAAAGTAAGGACATTATATATTTATAAAAGTAGCAAAAACAAAGCCCCAGAAGATATAGCAATCATGAATTATTGCGTATGTTTTAACTATAGCTTTGAAACACAAAAGTAAAACTGCAAGGATTACAAAGAGAAACTTACCAACTTTTTAAATCCACAAGTAAACAGGGAGACTTTAATATGTATCTCTTAAAAATTGGCCAAAAAGACATGATTATTAGAAATTATATAGATTTGAAAAAGCTGTTAGCAAACATGATTTAAGAGACACAAAGCAATTCTCCACAAATTCCAAATAATTGATAGTATATAGACACATTGAGGGAAACAGTTTATGGCTTAAAATAAATCACACTGAAAATTTTTGAAATGAGAAAAGAAGATTAAATAATAAAAAACTTGTAGGGTAAAGTTAAACTGATATTTACAAGGAAATTTGCAGTGTTCAATGTGCATACTAGAAAACAAAAGAAGACTGAAATTTATTTAACCAAACAACTAACTAAAAGATGCTACAGAGCAATAGGGAAAAACCCAAGGGGGAAAAAAAGGAAATAACAATAATATAATATATCAGTGAAAAATAACATGAATTTTAAAACCCAATAGAAATTATGGGAAAAAGAACAAAATCTGATTTTTTTTGTTTAGTTTTTATTGTGGAAATTTTCAAATACGGATAAAAGTAGAGAATAGTACAATGAACCCAATTTACACTGTTTCAGTAATTACCATACTATGGACAATCTTCCTTCATATATACTCCCAGCACTCTTCTTACCTTATTATTTTATAGCAAATCCTAGGCATCTTATAACTAAAATCTAGTTTTCTGAGGGTAAAAACTCAGAAGGGTTTTTAGCAAGATTCATGAATTGAAAAAGAGAAGGCACAAATAAAACAATGTTAGGAATTTAAAAAAGGTGTAGTAAAGACTTCAAAATATCATGTGAATACTACGACACCCTTATGCCAATAATTTTAAAAATTTTAAATGAAGGTATAATTTTCTAGGAATATGTAAATTAACAAAATTTGCCCAAGAAAAAATAGAAAAACTTACTATAGTGTGGTAGTTAATAGCATAGATTCTACAACCAGAACTCTTACTGCCTGGGTTCAGTTTTGGCTCTGCTTCTTTGCCTCAGTTTCCTCAGATGCAAAATAGTAATAATAATTTTACCTAGCTTATAAGACTGTTGTATTGATTAGATTAGTAGTAATTGTAGAAATGCTTAATTAGAAGGAAGCCTGACATGGTATAGGTGTATCCTATTGCAAATATGGTACTAACAAAATAACAAGAGATTACATCAGTAGTCAACAATGACCTCCCTCAAAAGAAAACAGAGCCAGAGAGATTTGCAACTGTTTTACTATAGTCAAAGAACTGATAATTCCCATGTTATACAAGCTGTTCCAGATAATAGACAAAGACAAAGCCATTCAACTTATTTTATGAGACAATATAATTTAATCCCAAAACCAGTAAAGACAGTATAAAAAAGAAAACGACATGCCAAGTCACTTGTAAACATCGACATAAAAAAAATCTAAGTAAAACATTAGGAAATTCCATTTAGCAGCATAGAAAAATAGGTTTTAAATAAGACTAAGCATGGTTTATTCCAGGAATGCACAGATTTAACTTTAGAAAATGTATCAATGTAATTTACCACATAGCAGATTAAGAGGCAATCCGTATAATTACTGTAACAGGTACAGACCAAGAATTCAGAAAAGTTTAGTGCTCATTTGTGATGTAAAAAGACAGTTTCTAACAAAGTATAAATAATAGGAAACTTGATTATCTTTGGCATAAAAAAAGACATCTCACAAAAACCTACATTATATAATAAATTTTATTATATATCATCAACTAAGTGTTTAAAAGATTTTCCGGCCGGGCGCGGTGGCTCACGCCTGTAATCCCAGCACTTTGGGAGGCCGAGGCGGGTGGATCATGAGGTCAGGAGATCGAGACCATCCTGGCTAACAAGGTGAAACCCCGTCTCTACTAAAAATACAAAAAATTAGCCGGGCGCAGTGGCGGGCGCCTGTAGTCCCAGCTACTGGGGAGGCTGAGGCAGGAGAATGGCGTGAACCCGGGAAGCGGAGCTTGCAGTGAGCCGAGATTGCGCCACTGCAGTCCGCAGTTCGGCCTGGGCGACAGAGCGAGACTCCGTCTCAAAAAAAAAAAAAAAAAAAAGATTTTCCCAGAAAGTCAGAAACAAGTCAAAGATATCGTTTATCACAGCTATTATCAATACTATGCTAGAGGTTCTAGCCAATAAAGCAATGGAGATACAGCAATAAAAAAAGAGAGAAAATTATCATTATGTCTTCATGGTATGGTGTCTATAAAATCTAAGAGATCCTTCAGAACTAATAAAATTATTCAACAGTTAAATCATATAAAACTACCTTCAAAAATCAATAGCATTCCTAACAACCCAGTATTTACACAAAACTTGAAAAAAAATCTAATTTAGCAATAAAAGTGATTGGAAGCCTAAGCGTAAATAAGACAAAACATTCGTAAAACTTTTTTTGCTGAGAAAATTTCAAAACTTGAAGAACACATAAGAAGGTCTTAATAAGTGGACAGGTAAACTGCTCATGAATAGGAAGATTCAATATGGTAAAGATGGCAATCCTCCCCCAAATGCATCTATAATTTCAATGCGATTCCAATATAAATCCTAACATGGTTTCCCATAAAACTTTATAAACATTTTAAAATTTATGTGGCAGAACAAAAGTCCAAAAATATCTGATAAATCTCTGAAAAAGAATAACAAGAAAGGGTTGCTTATTCTACCGGGTATCAGAGTTTATTATGAAGCTAATTAAGTAAAACTGTGGTTTCGGCTGAGTCATAGATAAAAGCTCAGGTGAACAGATTAAAATCCCAGAAACAAATTGCTGCATATATGAATCTGTCATTTAGTAGAATTGGCATTACAGTTGAAAGGATGAACTACTTAATAAAAGATACTGGGATAGCTAGGTTTCATATAGAAAGAAAATTAGACTCCTAGCTCACATGAAAAACAAAAAGAGACTTCATGTAGCTTAAAGAAAACATGAAAAAGAATTGCAACAACTAGAAGAAAATATAGGGAATATCTTTAAGATATTAAAGTAGGGGAAAATTTCTTAAGCAATATAGAAAAAGTATAAATTATACAGGAAAAGACTGATGACTTTGTCAAAATGTAAACTTCTGAATGACAAATGAGACAGTAGTAATGCTAAAAGACAAACTGTAGGCTAAAACAGTATATGTGTAACATACACAACAAGAAAAGGATGATTAACCCAAATATGCAAAAACAAAAAAAGTTTAAGTTAGTAAGAAAAACAGACAAAAACACCCAGTAGAAAAAAGGGCCCAAGAGCAATTCACTAACAAATATCTAAGATGATACTCAACTTCACCAGTAGTAATAAGGAAAATTAAAAATAAAACACCAATGAGATTTAATTTCACTCTTATACATTCGGAAAAAATTAAACTATCTGTCAGTAATAACTGTTGTTGAGAATGCAGAGAAACAAACTCTTAAACATTGCTGCTAGGAGCATGAACCGGTTCAATCATATCTGGAAGCCCATATCCTACAAACCAGCAATTCTACCTTGAGGTTTATACTTCAGAGAATTTCTTGCACCTGTCTATAAGAAGAAAATGGATAAACTATACTGTAGGCATACTACAGAATACCATATAGCAATGAAAAGAAATTAACTGGCTCAGACTATGTAGATCTACATGAATAGTTATCAAAAAAAAAAAAAGGTTAAGTGAAAAAAAATCAAGTTAAAGAATGATGGGTACATCATGCTGTCACTGAAACCAAATGGGGTCTGTTTGCCCATGTGCAGTGGAAAGCCAACACCGAAGCACTGGGTTTTTGCTGTGAGAAAGGTTAATCGCAAGTCCACTGGCCACATGAGAGGAGGAAATGCTCAAATGTCTCCCTGAGCTGGGGGTGGGTCAGATTTTAAAATGGGTAATAAGGCATGATCTGATTGGATCTGGCAGTGAGGTGAGGCCAGGACGCATGCTCTGGCTGGATCCTGCCATGCTGTGTCTGCTGCTTCTTAATTCAGTCCTGCTCCTTCATCCCAGCACTTAGGTTCCCCTTGTGGTTGCACATTTGGTTCATCTGGGCATGCTCAGATTATGTGCCCTTTAACCTGGGGGTCCATGGCAACTGAAAAACAACTCACAACTTTGTCACATAAAAGTTGAACCAGTTGGTCTGATGTGCTTACAATGTCATTCATAGACAAGAATTAACATACATGTAAATACCACATATTTCCCTGGTTTTATAGGCGTGTGTGTACATACATATAAAAGGAAAAAGTGGAAATGGAAGATTGCACACTAAATTCATGACAGTGGTTACATCTATGAGGCAGGGAGGGTTGTGAATTATAGGTAAGGATGCTCAATAAAGGGAATTTGACTATAATTCTATTAGTTTTCTTAAAAAATGAAACAAATACAAAAATGATAACAACTGTCAATTCTGGGTTGATGATATTTGCATCTTTGTCTTATTTTTTTTTTCTGTAATTTAAAAGTTTACCAAACTTAAAATTATAATTAAAACAAAAGCAGACAACTCCAATCTAACCATGAGAAAAATATCAGAAAAATATCCGTTTAAGGAAAGTCTACAAAACACTTGTCGAGGTCAAGAAAGACAAGAAAAGACTGAGAAACTGTCACAGCCAAGATAGGCCTAAGGAGACATGGTAATTAAATATAATATATCTTGGATCCGATCTTGGAATAGAAAAAGAGCAATGAATAATAATTAAGGAAATCTGAATGAGGTATGGATTTTTGATAACAGTAACATATAAATATTAGTACATTAACTGTTACAAAGGCAGTGTACTAATATAAGACAATAATAGGGAAAACTGGGTGTAGGGTATATGTGAACACTTTGTCCTATCTTGGCAACTTTTCTTTAAATCTAAAATTATTGTAAGATAAAAAAGTATGTAAAAAACGGAATAGGTATAGTATTCTTCCAGTTTCGTGTGAGTGTGTGTGAGTGTACACAAAAAGACAAGCAGAATATTTATCAAAAATATCAATGATTAGGTCTACATGGTGGAAGTATGGGTAGCTTTCCTTTCTCTTTCATTCTTTTATTTTTCAAATTCCTGCCTTCTAATATAAGTCAAATGTGATATACTGATAGTTTTAGCTATCAGAAACATTATCAAGACCTTGGCACCGTTTCTATCAGCACATGGTAATTATGGGCCCCATTCTCCTAACACTCACTTCCTATATTTGCCCGGGATGCTTGCTAAAACTGAGTTCTATACTAAGAATTTCCAGGGAAGAAACTTGAGAATTTATTTTTTAACAAGTCCCTAGGTGATTTTTGTGTGTGTTTGTGTCTGGTGGCTGTTCAGATAAGTTTAGGAAACTGACTCAGCTAATTCTCACTTAAAGCTCAGCTCAGTGTCAGCTCTGCTGTCAAAACTTCTCTGTCCATCTCAGGCACTTAGAATCTCCCTTCCCTGTATCCTCCCTGTACCACACACACAACTCCATTCCTGCCCTTCTAACAGTGCAGCATAGTTTTTTCTACATTTTTCTCTCTGGCTGTTTTGCATATCTTTGTGATCTCATCGAACAATAGCATCTGGTAGGCCCTCAATATCCATTATTTAGATAAATGCATGGAAGCTTAGATAGTCAGATGGGCTGCTTTTAAATAAATGGGGTGATTCTAAGAATTTCATCAGCATCTATCTTCAAGCCCCTCAATAATGGCATCCCTGGTTGCTTTACAATAGGTGGGATCAGCCTCTTTTATTATCTCTTTAGAAGGAAGCATGGGAATATTCAATTTATTCCAAAATATATTGCTTTACGCTTGGATAATGGTCAGAAAAACTGGAAGTATGAATATATATTTGAATCATCTGGGAATCTATTGAAACCCAAACTTGCATTTGATGAGTAGTGCTTACCCTGGGCCAGGCCACTCAGTGCTTGAGCTGTGCTATCTAAGATGGAGGCTCTAATCACATGTGGCCTTTGAAGGCTACATTTAAAGTAATTGAAATCAATCCAGTTCCTCAGTCATACATTTCAAGTACTCAAAGGCCACACGTAGCAGCCACTGTATTGGAAAGTGAAGACATAGAACATTTCCATCATCACAGAAAGTTCTATAGGAGAGTGCTGACCTAGATGATTCCTCTTTATACTTCGAATCAGATAGTTCTCTTATTTAAGGCTTCCCTCATCCCTCCAAGCCATATTCTGTTTGGTTCGCAGTGACAGAAATGTCCTGGGCACCAGGGATTCAGAGATGAAGAAAATGTCATTGCTGCCCTGGAACAGCTTAAAGCAGGGACTCTCAACTGGGGCGATTTTGCTGCCTAGGGGACATTTGGCAGAGACTTTGTATTGCCATTAATAGTGTGGGGGGTATGTGTGTGTCTGTGTTCATGTGTGTGTTGTGTGTGTCTGTGTCATATGTGTGTATGTGTGTGTGTGTATTACTGGCAGACAGAGGGCAGCGATCCTGGGTAGAGGGCAGAGATGATGCTAAGCATTCTACAACGCACAAGACGGCTCCCCCTCCCTACCATCAAAAATTTGGCCCAAAATGTCAATAATGCCAAAGCTGAGAAACCCTGGCTTGAAGCCTTGTTGGGGAGAGAGACACAGGAGCACAAAGTACCAATGTCATGTGGAAAGTGAGCAGAGAGTGGTAGAGCACAGCCGTCGGACTGGGAGGATTCCCAAGCTGAGTCTGGAAGGAGCTGCATGCCTAGTCATTCCTTCTATGATCTAATAATGCTTTGCCCATTCCCCTCTGCAACACCTAACACTGTGATGTATTTTAACCATCAGTTTACACATACTTCTCTCCTGTGAGACTGTGAATTCTTCAAAAGCAGGTACTGTGTTTAATGAAGTGTGCCCAGGACTTTGCTCAGTGACTGGATGACACAGTAGGAGTAACAAGAAAGTTCACATGGGTGAACCGTGGTAGGTGGACATCGTCTCTCTCACCTCTTCCCAAATCAAGGATGAAGTACATCTTCATAAATCCTCATGTGAATTATTTTGCTACCTCTAGAAGCATTTTCTAAAACAAGGTGCAGCAATCAGTTGAGTGAATTTGTCACCAGAGCTTATGTTTTCTGAAAGAACCCTATCCTCAGGCAGTTGTTCCTAAGAGGTGAGTTGTGGATTTAGTTCACATACCTTCCTTCGTGGCTTAAAATGCTCCACATGCCTGTCTCCCCAACAGCATCAGATCACCATGCAGTAAAATACCAAGTCAGAACAGCCAATGCTGAAAAGAGTGACAGTTTCCTTTCATGATGCAATGCACTTGGAGCCAGGGGACAGGGAGACAATAACTGCAAGGAGAAGTGATGACAACCCTACTTTAATATAGTAGTTCCTTTTGAATTTTATAGACTTACCCGTTAATCTCTAGAATTTTGAAAAAATTCCTTAAGTGATGTGAGCAAATAACACTTTGCCTTGGGTTAGCCTTTTCCTTTCCCTTGAAGATTCCACAAATATGTCAGCGCTGGAAATGATCCTTTGGCTTTGAACTATGTGAAGACTGCAGAAGGACTGGTTGGTAAGCACCCACATCCTGGGGTGAGAATCACATCCAGTTTATACCTCCCTGTGCACACTTGTATAAAACAACTATAAGACACACGAGAGATCTGGAAGCCAGTTCCTCATAAGTAAGAATTGGTAAGAGCTCTTAAGCAGCATGTCTGAGGTTTAATAACTCGCCCTGTCTGGAGCCTTTTGTGTGTCTCACTTTCTTCTTAGCAAAACATGAGCATTACACTCTGTGCTGGAAGATTCCCTTCCTTCTTCCGGGCTTTTGATTACCCAATCCTTCTTTACTTTCACTTCTTGCTCAAAGCAGCTCTTTCTCAGCCATTTCTAAAAAAGGTTTATGAGATGCTGCAGGGCTGTGTCTCTAAATTGGGCCCTGTGTGCCTATATCCTCATTCTCTGCAGCTGCTGAATTCTTTCTGTGGGATCAGCCTTCTTCTAAGTGCTGGGGTGATGGGAACATAGCTGTAAACTGATTTTGACAGGAAGCATCACTTCCGGCTGGAAACAAGTCCCTGGTTTATGCAGCACATAGTACTAACTGTGGAACACTGTTAAACATGTCTCATTCCGCCCCCTCCACCAGCAAAAGGCCTTGCTGCTCAGTTGTGCACCAGATGATGTGGCATATGCACATACTGGCCACTAATGACAAAGCCTGACACCATGCAGTGGACATCTCTTGGGACCTCAGCCTCTTTCTCCTGGAACTGACCCCATCCTCCCTTCGCTACATGATCACCATGGGTGGATTCCCAGCAGCCATGCTTGTAACATGCATCCTGTCCTCTCTGGCCACAGACAACTACAATACAGATGAGCAGCCCACCCAAGATTCCTTCTCTAAGAATTTAGAACTGGGAATGGAGGAGAGAAAGAGAGAGATACTGATTCTACCAGAGACAATGGGATGAGATAGCATGGTTGTTGGAACCATGGCTGGAACTGTAAAGCACAAATTGGACAGCAGATAAAGTTGGTTCACAGAGAGAGAGAGAATGATGAAGCCATAGGGATCCAAGTTTCCCTATGGCTTTCCTCACCCTAACTCCTGTCCTTCCACAGGTCAGGCTGCATTTGTATCCTGGGTCCACAAGACATCGTTTCCTTAAAACCAATCCCCCTGATTTTGCTAAGGTGAGTCGGAACAAGTTGATTTCTGTTACACACACAAACACACACCCCACATGAGACAGCCAGGTAGGAAGTGCTCCCTGGCAGAGCCTCCCTGACCTGCACACTGGGAGGAATGCACGCTGGGGTGGAGCCTTGGGAGGTTCGCGTGGTTTGCAGTGGGGAGGAGCCTGCCGCCCTCTTCCTGGGTGGAACCTGGGATTCAGTTCGCCAGGCAGGAAGTGCAGTAGCAGGACTCTGGCTTTCCGGAGAGTCTCTGTTTTTCCTTTTTTTTTTTCCCTTTTCGCCCAATAAATACCATTTTTCTCACCCTTCAAAGTGTCTGCAAGCCTAATATTTCATGGATGTTTGACAAGGACCCCGTCTTTAGCTGAACTAAGGAGAAAGTCCTGCAACACACACATGGAGCTCAGCAAACGGAGGATGTAGTAGGTAGAATTTTTAAATGGCCTCTATGATTTCTTTGCCTGGTATCCACATCTTTGTGTCATCCTCTCCCCTTCAGTTGTGGGAGGGATGTATAACTTGCTTCTGAAAAGTAGAATATAGTAAAGGTGAAGAAATCCTGCAGTTGAGGTGAAGTTAATGAAAAGGGAGATAATCCTGGGTGGGCCTGACCTAATCAGGTGAGTTCCTGGAGAATGTCAAGTAAGAAGCCTAGAGTCAGAGACTCACTCTTTCCTGTTAGCCTTGAAGAGGCAAGATGCTTCAGTTCTACAGCTGCAAGGAAATCAATTCTGACAACAACCACGTGTGCTTGGAAGACCACCACCACCATCACCACCACCACCACCCCCCGCCCCGCCCCTGCCCCTCTGAGCCTCAGATGGGACGCTAGACCCTCCCTGATTATAGTCTGCGAGACACTGAACCTGGACTCCTGGTCTATGGGAGCTGTTTTAAGTTTTAAGCTGTTAATTTTTGGTAATTAGTTATGCAGCAAATGGCTGTGTTGTTATTCCCATCCCCCTCTTCCCACCTGTCTCCTTTAAATAAAAACCAGCATTTCAGGTCTGAACTGTCATGACTCCAATCTGCTTGTCAAGATGGACTCTAAGTAGAGTCAGGTGAAGAGGCCAGGTTAGCTATATTCCTTCTTATTTTCCATCCTTCAGTCATGGCCTGAGCCTTTTCCTTCCCTGAAATCTAATGAGAATCACTCCTCAGCTGATTATCATGGACTCGATGGCTTGTCATTAAGAATACCTCAGCCACAGGCAGCAGTGAGAAGAGAAGTGAAGGAGGAGGGGTGTTTAGGAAATGCCTGGTCCTGAGGGCGGAAGCAGTTTTGAAGTTGCACCTGCTCTGACAGAAAACTCGAGTGTAAGACTTACTGATGTCATTCTCCTCAGTTCTTCATGGACGTAGGACTGTCATGGGGAAATTAGGCAAAGATTCTGCTTTGGCAGGAAGAACTATGGCTCCCTGCCCACATCCCTTCGTTCAGCTCCCTCCCCCATTGGCCAGAATACACCAAGTTGTCAGCACCAGCCGGCCCGTGGCTATTCAGAATGTCTCTGGAAACCATGAAGGCTAGGAGGCATGAGATCTGGGTGCTGGGGCTGGTGAGTCCTCTAGTAACCAACCCAACTGTAAAGAAGTAATAATATATGGCATCTGCATAATGGTCTACGGCTTCCAACTTGCTTTAAGCTCTATTTATCCTTTGGGTCTCTCATCAGCCCTGGAAGAAAAGCAGTTGTCTTTGTCAGGCCTCTGAGCCCAAGCTGAGCCATCATGTCCCCTGTGACCTGCACGTACACATCCAGATGGTGGGTTCCTGCCTTAACTGATGACATTCCACCACAAAAAAAGTGAAAATGGCCTGTTCCTGCCTTAACTGATGACATTGTCTTGTGAAATTCCTTCTCCTGGCTCATCCTGGCTCAAAAGCTCCCCCACTGAGTACCTTGTGACCCCCACTCCTGCCCGCCAGAGAACAACCCCCTTTGACTGTAATTTTCCTTTACCTACCCAAATCTTATAAAACGGCCCCACCCCTATCTGCCTTTGCTGACTCTCTTTTCGGACTCAGCCCGCGTGCACCCAGGTGATTAAAAGCTTTATTGCTCACACAAAGCCTGTTTGGTGGTCTCTTTACACAGACGCACATGAAATTTGGTGCTGTGACTCGGATTGGGGGACCTCCCTTGGGAGATCAATCCCCTGTCCTCCTGTTCTTTGCTCCATGGGAAAGATCCACCTACGACCTCAGGTCCTCAGACCGACCAGCCCAAGGAACATCTCACCAATTTTAAATCGGGTAAGCGGCCTCTTCTTACTCTCTTCTCCAAGCTCTCTCACTGTCCCTCAACCACTTTCTCCTTTCCACTCTTCAATCTTTCCCTTCTCTTAATTTCAATTCCTTTCATTTTCTGGTAGAGACGAAGGAGACACGTTTTATCTGTGGACCCAAAACTCCGGTGTCGGTCACGGACTAGGGAAGGCAGCCTTCCCTTGGTGTTTAATCATTGCAGGGATGCCTGATTATTCACCCAAGTTTCAGAGGTGTCAGACCATGCAGGGACGCCTGTCTTGGTCCTTCACCCTTAGCAGCAAGTCCCGCTTTTCTGGGGAAGGGGCAATACCCCAACCCCTTCTCTCCATGTCTCTACCCCTTCTTCACCTTTCTGGGGGGCAAGAAACCCCCAACCCCTTCTCCTTCACCCTTAGCGGCAAGTCCCGCTTTTCTAGGGGAGAGGCAAATACCCCAACCCCTTATATCTCTGCGCCCCATCCCTTATTTCCCCACCCCAACCCCTTATATCTCTGTGCCCCGATCCCTTATTTCCATGCCCCAACCTCTTATATCTCTGCACCCCAATCCCTTATTTCCGCGCCCCAACCTCTTATATCTCTGCACCTTTGTGCCCCAACCCCTTCTCTGCTTTTCTGGAGGGCAAGAACTCCCCACCCCTTCTCCGTGTCTCTACTGTTTTCTCTGGGCTTGCCTCCTTTACTATGGGCAAGCTTCCACCTTCCATTCCTCCTTCTTCTCCCTTAGCCTGTGTTCTTAAGAACTTAAAACCTCTTCAACTCTCACCTGACCTAAAATCTAAGCATCTTATTTTCTTCTGCAATGCCGCTTGACCCCAATACAAACTCGACAGTAGTTCCAAATAGCCAGAAAATGGCACTTTCAATTTTTCCATCCTACAAGATCTAAATAATTCTTGTCATAAAATGGGCAAATGGTCTGAGGTGCCTGACATCCAGGCATTCTTTTACACGTCGGTCCCTCTCTAGTCTCTGTTCCCAATGCAACTCATCCCAAATCTTCCTTCTTTCCCTCCCACCTGTCCCCTCAGTCCCAACCCCAAGCGTCACTGAGTCTTTCTAATCTTCCTTTTCTACAGACCCATCTGACCTCTCCCCTCCTCCCCAGGCTGCTCCTCGCCAGGCCGAGCTAGATCCCAATTCTTCCTCAGCCTCCGCTCCTCCACCCTATAATCCTTTTATCACCTCCCCTCCTCACACCCGCTCTGGCTTAGTTGGTCTGGCTTAGTTTCATTCCGTGACTAGCCCTCCCCTACCTGCCCAGCAATTTGCTCTTAAAAAGGTGACTAGAGCTAAAGGCATAGTCAAGGTTTAATGCTCCTTTTTCTTTATCCCAAATCAGATAACATTTAGGCTCTTTTTCATCAAATATAAAAAACCCAGCCCAGTTCATGGCTCGTTCGGCAGCAACCCTGAGACGCTTTACAGCCCTACACCCTAAAAGGTCAAAAGGCCGTCCTATTCTCAATATACATTTTATTACCCAATCTGCTCCCGACATTAAATAAAACTCCAAAAATTAAATTCTGGCCCTCAAACCCCACACCAGGATTTAATTAACCTCGCCTTCAAGGTGTACA
Organism: Homo sapiens; assembly: GCF_000001405.40. NCBI lineage: Eukaryota > Metazoa > Chordata > Mammalia > Primates > Hominidae > Homo > Homo sapiens. Next base: position 94,643,752 of record NC_000011.10, read on the forward strand.
ACAATAGAAAAAAGTTGCAATTCCTTGTCTCCACTGTGAGACAAACCCCAGCCACATCTCCAGCACACAAGAACTTCCAAACGCCTGAACCGCAGCGGCCAGGCGTTCCTCCAGAACCTCCTCCCCAGGAGCTCGCTACAAGTGCCAGAAATCTGACCACCAAGCCAAGGAATGCCTGCAGCCCAGGATTCCTCCTAAGCCGTGTCCCATCTGTGCAGGACCCCACTGGAAATCGGACTGTTCAACTCACCTGGCAGCCACTCACAGAGCCCGTGGAACTCTGGCCCAAGGCTCTCTGACTCCTTCTCGGCTTAGCGGCTAAAGACTGACACTGCCCGATCGCCTCGGAAGCCCCGTAGACCATCACGGACGCCGAGCTTTAGGTAACTCTCACAGTGGAGGGTAAGTCCGTCCCCTTCTTAATCAATACGGAGGCTACCCACTCCACATTACCTTCTTTTCAAGGGCCTGTTTCCGTTGCCTCCATAACTGTTGTGGGTATTGACAGCCAAGCTTCTAAACCTCTTAAAACTCCCCAACTCTGGTGCTAACTTAGACAATACTCTTTTAAGCACTCCTTTTTAGTTATCCCCACCTGCCCAGTTCCCTTATTAGGCCGAGACACTTTAACTAAATTATCTGCTTCCCTGACTATTCCTGGATTACAGCTACATCTCATTGCCACCCTTCTTCCCAATCCAAAGCCTCCTTTGCGTCCTCTTCTTGTATTCCCCCACCTTAACCCACAAGTATAAGATACCTCTACTCCCTCCTTGGCGACCGATCATGCACCCCTTACCATCTCAGTAAAACCTAATCACCCTTACCCCGCTCAATGCCAATATCCCATCCCATAGCATGCTTTGAAAGGATTAAAGCCTGCTATCACTCGCCTGCTATAGCATGGCCTTTTAAAGCCTATAAACTCTCCTTACAATTCCCCCATTTTACCTGTCCTAAAACCAGACAAACCTGACAAGTTAGTTCAGGATCTGTGCCTTATCAACCAAATTGTTTTGCCTATCCACCCCATGGTGCCAAACCCATATACTCTCCTATCCTCAATACCTCCCTCCACAATCCATTATTCTGTTCTGGATCTCAAACATGCTTTATTTACTATTCCTTTGCACCCGTCATCCCATCCTCTCTTCGCTTTCACTTGGACTGACCCTGACACCCATTAGGCTCAGCAAATTACGTGGGCTGTACTGCCGCAAGGCTTCACAGACAGCCCCCATTACTTCAGTCAAGCCCAAATTTCATCCTCATCTGTTACCTATCTCGGCATAATTCTCATAAAAACACACGTGCTCTCCCTGCTGATCGTGTCCGATTAATCTCCCAAACCTCAATCCCTTACAAAACAACAACTCCTTTCCTTCCTAGGCATGGTTAGTGTGGTCAGAATTCTTACACAAGAGCCAGGACCGCACCCTGTAGCCTTTCTGTGCAAACAACTTGACCTTACTGTTTTAGCCTAGCCCTCATGTCTCCGTGCAGCGGCTGCTGCTGCCCTAATACTTTTAGAGGCCCTCAAAATCACAAACTATGCTCAACTTATTCTCTACATTTCTTATAACTTCCAAAATCTATTTTCTTCCTCATACCTGACGCATATACTTTCTGCTCCCTGGATCCTTCAGCTGTACTCACTCTTTGTTAAGTCCCAAAATTACCATTGTTCCTGGCCCAGACTTCAATCCGGCCTCCCACATTATTCCTGATACCACACCTGACCCACATGACTGTATCTCTTTGATCCACCTAACATTCACCCCATTTCCTCATATTTCCTTCTTTCCTGTTCCTCATCCTGATCACGCTTGATTTATTGATGGCGGTTCCACCAGGCATAATCACCACACACCAGCAAAGGCAGGCTATGCTATAGTACAAGCCACTAGCCCGCCTCTTAGAACCTCTCATTTCCTTTCCATCGTGGAAATCTGTCCTCAAGGAAATAACTTCTCAGTGTTCCATCTGCTGTTCTACTACTCCTCAGGGATTATTCAGGCCCCCTCCCTTCCCTACACATCAAGCTCGAGGATTTGCCCCCACCCACGACTGGCAAATTAGCTTTACTCAACATGCCCTGAGTCAGATAACTAAAATACCTCTTAGTCTAGGTAGACAGTTTCACTGGATAGGTAGAGGCCTTTCCTACAGGGTCTGAGAAGGCCAGCACAGTCATTTCTTCCCTTCTATCAGACATAATTCCTCAGTTTAGCCTTCCCACCCCTATACAGTCTGATAACAGACCAGCCTTTATTACTCAAATCAGCCAAGCAGTTTTTCAGGCTCTTAGTATTCAGTGAAACCTTTATATCCCTTACAGTCCTCCGTCTTCAGGAAAAGTAGAACAGACTAAAGGTCTCTTAAAAACACACCTCACCAAGCTCAGCCACCAACTTAAAAAGGACTGGACAATACTTGTACCACTTTCCCTTCTCAGAGGTCAGACCTGTCCTCAGAATGCTACAGGGTACAGCCCATTTGAGCTCCTGTATAGATGCTCCTTTTTATTAGGCCCCAGTCTCATTCCAGACACCAGACCAACTTAGACTGTGCCCCCAAAAAACTTGTCATCCCTACTATCTTCTGTCTAGTCATACTCCTATTCACCATTCTCAACTACTCATACATGCCCTGCTCTTGTTTACACTGCCAGTTTACACTGTTTCTCCAAGCCATCACAGCTGATATCTCCTGGTGCTATCCCCAAACCACCACTCTTAACTCTTAAAGTGAATAAATAATCTTTACTGGCAAGGCTATGCTGAACCTCCTTAGGCACTCTCTAATTAGATGTCCTGGGTCCTCCCAATTCTTAGTCCTTTAATACCTGTTTTTCTTCTTCTCTTATTCCGTTTAGTTTTTAATTTATACAAAACTGTATCCAGGCCATCACTAATAATTCTAAATGACAAATGTTTCTTCTAACAACCCCACAATATCACCCCTTACCACAGAATCTTCCTTCACCTTAATCTCTTCCACTCTAGGTTCCCAAGCTGCCCCTAATCCCGCTCAAAGCAGCCCTGAGAAACATCGCCCATTATCTCTCCATACCATCCCCAAAAATTTTCGCCATCCCAACACTTTACCACTATTTCGCTTTATTTTTCTTATTAATATAAGAAGACAGGAATGTCAGGCCTCTGAGCCCAAGCTGAGCCATCATGTCCCCTGTGACTTGCATGTACACATCCAGATGGCCAGTTCCTGCCTTAACTGATGACATTCCACCACAAAAGAAGTGAAAATGGCCTGTTCCTGCCTTAACTGATGACATTGTCTTGTGAAATTCCTTCTCCTGGCTCATCCTGGCTCAAAAACTCCCCCACTGAGTACCTTGTGACCCCCACTCCTGCCCGCCAGAGAACAACCCCCTTTGACTGTAATTTTCCTTTACCTACCCAAATCTTATAAAACGGCCCCACCCCTATCTGCCTTTGCTGACTCTCTTTTCGGACTCAGCCCGCGTGCACCCAGGTGATTAAAAGCTTTATTGCTCACACAAAGCCTGTTTGGTGGTCTCTTTACATGGACGCACATGAAAATCATCATTCCTGTTTTACAGATGAAGAAACTGAGGTCCAGAGAAGTTAAACGACCTTCCTAAGATTACACAGCTTAGTAAGTGGCAGAACCACAGCTGGAAGCCAGGTCCTTCCTCACGCAAGTCCTGGCTCATTCATTCCTCTTCCAAAGACTTGCTGAGCACCTTCTAGGTGCCAGATGCGGTGCTGGCTCCTGGGGACATGGGAGTGAACAGGCCAGGCGTGGCCCTGAACCATCAAATAGACAACCACAGAAATAACAACGTGAGTTAAAATGAGATTATGAAGAAGAGACACAGGTTTCTACAATGGTTTAGTAGAGGGATCTCTAACCAAGTTTGGAGAGTTGAGAAAGTCTCTATGAGGCAGTCACATCCATGTAAGCTAAGATCTGAAAGACAAAAGTTGTTATCCAGGAGAGTGGCAGCAGGGAGAGCATTCCAGATGCAGGGAATAGCTTGGCACGTTTGTGGAAGAGAAAAATCTGTTAACGTGATTGTAGGGTAGGGTGGAAAAAAGGAGAAATGGAGCAAGATGAGGCTAGGGAGGCAGGCAGGGACCAGACTACGAACTGCCTTAAAGCTCTGCTTAAAAATGTTTGCCACGATTTGAAGAGTAATGGGAAGCCTTGAAGGTTTTTAACCAGAAGAGTCTTATATTTAGATTTGTTATTTTTTAAATATCACACTGGCTGCTGTTTAGGAATGATGCTGGAGGCTGACGAAGATAAGGGTGGAAAGTGGGCAATAAATCAGGAGCTGTTGCAACATTCCCAGCAAAGGATAATGGTGAATGTAATGGCAATGGGGATTTGGGGAAGCAGGGGGGCCTCGTGGCTGATTGGATGTGGTGTTGGTGAGGGAGGAGGGGTCACAGATTTCCATCCTCCCATGGGTGTTTCTATCTCCCAGGCTAGGCTTCTTGTGTTTGCTTTCCTTCTTGCAGAACAAAGACAAAACCGGGCCCTTCCACACAGTAGCTGGAACACAAAGGAAGATCAGCCAAGCCTCAACATAATCTCATAAAAATTCTTCAAATATCCCATTGTTATGGATTCATACATCAGGAAAGCAGGTAAAATATTTCACCTTGATGCTCACCTAGATGGTCAGACTCTTTGAGGAAGACATCAAACTTTTCCCCAGAAAGAAAAAATAAATAACTTTTTAGACTATACAAAAGGGTCAATGTCATGTTACATAAGATGCTCAAACTCCTGTCTTGATGTTAAGTCCACTGGTCTTACCACAGCTTCTGAACACCAAGACTGCTGCTGTGACAGTGACAAGAGAATTATTTAGAATTAAAAAACAATTGTCCTTACATTTTCTCCTCAAAATTCTAGGGGAGAAAGAGCTTCCAAGTAAGCAGAGCCAAGGCACTATTGAGAGTGACAGACTGGAAAGAAAGGAATTAAGTGGCCTTTAGCTCCTGTCTGTTGGAGAGTGGTGTAGTAGAAAATACTTAGGCTTTGGAATCTGAGCTGGGTTCAGATCCTGCTTCTCTCATTTACTAGCTGCATGTAGATGAGTATCTTAAATTGCTTTTTCTGTGTCACAAATGACAATTTAAAAAACCTCTATCTCACAGGTTATTATAAAAAGTAAGACACGCATTCAAGGGTAGCATAGTACTAGGCACAGAGGAAGAACATTCAACAGGTGTGAGAGACAATGTTGTCAATATGCTATATGCAAGGAAAAATGTTTTTAGGTATTTTTTGACTCTTTGATGCTGAATGGAAAATTCTTCACTGTCATTAGCAATAATGGAGAAGATAATTTCAGTTTGCAATTGGAGGCTCATAAAACAAGTAACTGGATTTTCAGAAAAGTTAAGTATTTGTTGAATCTATAATGCACTAATCGTTTTGTAAGGTGATGTGAGATACTTAAAGAGGCATTAAGATACAAACATAGAGACTAGTGGGTGAGACATAAAAGCAAAGACCTAGGAGAAGGAAGCTCATCTAGGAAAGGAAGCTCCTTAGATCTAGCTTGGCTGAGTTGCAAGCCAGACTGGAGAAGGTAAGTGCTCTCAGAAACAGGAATTGCTGTCTGGCAGGGCCTGAATGATAAGATCTACTCTTCCCCTGTCCAAATGCAACCCCTAAAAGCCAGTTCAGAATAAATAAGGAAGAATATTTTTTTCAGAGCAATTAAGAGTCATTATGAAGTAGGTCAGAATAAAATATGGCAGCTTCAGGCTGTGTGCGATTACTGCTCTGATATTTATCTGCAAAGCAGGAGTCATTTATCCTATTCTAAAATAAATAACTCGGCCAGGCATGGTGGCTCATGCCTGTAATCCCAGCACTTTTGGAGGCCAAGGCAGGTGGATCACCTGAGATCAGAAGTTCGAGACCAGCCTGGCCAACATGGTAAAACCCTGTCTCTACTAAAAATACAAAAATTAGCCAGGCATGGTGGTGGGGATCTGTAATTCCAGCTACTCGGGAGGCTGAGGCAGGAGAATTGCTTAAACCCAGGAGGTGGAGGTTGCAATGAGCCGAGATTGTGCCACTGCACTCCAGCCTGGGTGACAGAGCAAGACTGTGTCTCAAAAAATAAATATATAAATAAATAAAATAAATAACTCAATGAGTTTTCAAAAACAACCAAAAAATCAGCTTGAGAAATAGTTTTCAGACAAACTTAGCCTGAGTAGACCCACCCTGAGAGATTTGAGGGCTCTACTGAGGCAGGAGACTAGGGCCTGGAGGCAGGGAACATAAAGCCAATCCACACTGACTTTACTAAATCAAATGAAAGCACCTTAGCAATGACAGGAATGTGAATGGTTTTGTAAATTCCCTTCATCCTCTCCATTCATACCATTTCCACTTTGTAACTTCACTTTCATCCTCTCCATTTACATAGATCACACACCAACTAACATCCTCTCCATTTACAGTAGGGCACATTCTGAGTAAATGACTCTGTGACTTCACTTTATTCACTTCATTTACATAGAATATTCACCAAGTGACCAACGGGAAACCTCTAGAGCATTAAAACCCCAGAAAATTCTGTAAGCCGGGCTCTTGAGCCTCTATGATTGGGCTGTTCCCACACTGTGGCGTGTACTTTTATTCTCAATAAATCCCTGCTTTTGCTTTCCTTGCCTCATTTGTGCATTTTGTCAACTTCTTCATTTGAGATGCCAAGAACCTGAACACCTTCTACTGGTAACATATATTTTGGCGAGCCAGCCTGGAGACAAGGTAGGCCCAAAGTTTGGGATTTATTTTTCTTTCCCCTTTTACATACAGGGAAACCTTTTTCTCTCTCTTTTTCCTTTCCAACTTGGGACCCTCCGTGATCAGCGCCTAAACATAGAGACAACTGCAAGTTTCCAGCCAGGGCCACTCTCTGGTGAAACCTACAGGTTTCCATGTGACGCATCTGACCACCACCACCCGGCTGGGTGGGCAACCTGAGTCCTTTTCCTTGGTTTTGTTTTTCTGAGTCCTATTCCTTTCTCCCTTTTACTGAGTTATTTTTCTTTTTCCTGTTTCGGTCTTTCAGCTACTCCTAGTAGCTCCCGGTTAATTGAGGACAGCTGGCCGGGGCCACTCTCGGGTGCCTTCTGAAGGCCAAGAAACGAAAAGGGATGGCTGCCCTGCCCAGAAGGGGGAAGGACTTTTTTCTATCTCTCCGGTTAGAGTTCCTCATCCCAACATGTGACGCAATTGCTGTGGCAGCTCATCCAGGGTGAACTCACACATGTTTCAGACAACTTAAACCTTCTTTCCTCATGCCAAATTCTTCCCTTCCTCCATTCAGCTGTCTAAGGACAAGATAGAGGGTTCAGATATGTCATAAATTGTGAGAATTAGGGAAATTAACAAAGGGGATTTATGCAGGAACTGACGTGTAGGTTTACTGCCCAAATTTATAGAGTTAAAGGGTTGCTTTAACTGGGATAGAAAATCCTCAAGGAAAAGTTAACAGTAGGTCCTCAGTGGAGGAGGGAACCATTCCAAAGTGGTGCCGGCACCCATCTAAGGTTGGAGATGTGCAACAGACTAAGTCAGACCCTTAAGGGGGAAGCCCTCAGGGACCCCGTGCTGGGCCCAGAATTTTTCCAGGGGAATGCCCCGGGTAAAATTTGGGTCACCTAATAAACCCTCCACTTTTCAAAGTCCTCTTCTCTTTTCCAGACCACTATGGGCAACTTCCTGTCTATTCTACCTGGTGTCACTGTGGACAACTTCCTATCTATTCCACCCGATTCACCGCTTGGCTACATCCTCCACCATTGGGATGAATTTGACCCTAACAATCTAAAGAAAAGGCATATGATTTTTTACTGCAATATTGTTTGACACAATTATGAGCTGCCCAATCCGGAACAATGGGCAGTCAATGGTAGCCTTAATTATGATACCATCCTGTATCTAGACCTATTTTACAAGAGGCAGGGCAAATGGTCAGAAGTCCCACATATACAGGCCTACATGACCCTATACGAAGACCTAAGAATCTAGGAAACTCCCAGAACCCATCCCCCGAAGGAAAGTTCTGGGGCAGAACTAGATATTATAGATGAACCCCCTTTTACAAGGGATACCTGTCTCTCAGAGTGAGCAGTGACTGTCCCCATATAACCCCTCACCAAGTGCTCCTGAGGCTGAAACCCAGGGGCAAACATGGGGAACCCTACTAAGTCCCCCTCACACTTGGAGGGGAACACTGTATTCAACTCTCTATCCAGCCCTGCTACTCTCAGAGAAATAGCAGGGGCTGAGGGGCCAATCCTAGTGTGGGTCCCCTTCTCTATGATTGATATACAACAATGTAAGGAAAAGCTAGGAAGCTATTCTGAGGATTCCGGGAAGTTTGCAGATGGGTTCCAAACTTTGACCTTAGCCTTTGATCTCTCATGGAGAGACGTTCAATTCACTCTAGCAACCTGTTGCACCTCCTCGGAAAAGGAACGAATCTTTGAGGCTGCCCTCCGAGAAGTGGACGAATTATTCACCCAAAACCGTAAAGGCAGTCACCCAGGCCCAGCCACAGTTCCCACTACGCATCCTAATTGAGACCAAGACACCCCCGCAGGAAGGAACAACTGGGCTAAATTTCTTGAGGCTCTTGGAGGAATGAGAAAGGGAATAACTAAGGCAGTAAATTATGATAAAGTAAGGCAGATTACACAAGGCAGGGAGGAAAACCCAGCTGTGTTTTACGGCAGGCTGCGGGAAGCCTTTAAAAAATATATACTAATTTGGTCCCTTCCTCTCCTGAAGGCAAGTTATTAATGGCACAACGTTTCATTAGCCAATCCACACCAGACATTAGACGTAAGCTCCAAAAGCTACACATGGGGCCACAAACTAACCAAAATCAGCTTCTTGGTACTGCCTTCATGGTGTATAACAATCGTGACCTGGAGGAAGGAGAAGGGAAACAGAGTAAAGAAAAACGGCAAGCCAAAATTATGTTAGCCATCACTGGTGATGCCCTAAATGCACAAAGATTGTCCAAGGGAAACTCAAAGGGCCATAAGGATAATGCCAGCAAAGGCTCTTGCTTCAAATGCAATAAAAGTGCGATTGGGCACAGGAATCCACTAAGCCCCCGCCAGTCCCCTGCCGTCAATGTAAAAGCACCAGTTGTGGCTCCTGGCCCTGGAGAATTGACTGTCCCTGCTCCCACCAAGGGGCTCAGTCAGTCAAAACTCTGGCAGTGCACAAGGAGGAATCAGATGAAGACTGAAGGGGCCTGGGGCCTTCCTCACTGCCCCGTCTAGGAACATTGTAATTACTACTGAGGAACCCTGGGTAACTCTGGACATCATGGCCACCCAAATTCAGTTTTTATGTGATACCAAGGTGAATTATTCTGTACAACTGCTTATGCAGGAAAACTTTCCTCCCGGTCCATGAGTGATATTGGATGGAAGGGAAGCCACAAACAAGATTCTTACTCCTCCTTTGGTTTGTCAATTTGAGAAACAAATCTTCCAACAGGAATTTTTAGTAGTACCAAGCTGCCCAATTCCCCTGTGGGAAAGAGATATTATGGTGAAAATAGTGACACTACTGCAATTTAAGCAATATTAGCAGGTGAAACTGCTAATAGTAAGAAATAAGGCAATGTCCCAGACCATGTCAATAAACAGGTTAACCCACTGGCATGGTATACTGGAAACCCAGGGAAGGCTAAAACAGCAGTGCCAGTCAAAATACAGCTTAAAGACCCCAGCCATTTTCCCAATGGAAAACAATACCCAGTTGAACAGGAAGCAAGCAAAGGTCTAGCTCCCATAGTTGAGATATTACTTACCCATGGACTCTTAAAACCCTGCAATTCTCCCTGCAATACCCCCATCTTACCTGTTCTCAAGCCTGGGGGGAATACCAGCTAGTACAGAACCTCAGAATAATGAATGAGGCTGTTATCCCCGTCCACCCATTGGTGGCAGATCCATATGCCCTCCTGGCTCAGGTGCCAGGGCATGCAAAATGGTTCTCAGTCCTAGACCTTTCTTCTCCATTCCTCTGGCCCCGAGCCCCCCAGTACCTTTTTGCTTTCGAATGGGAAAATCCTAATACCAGATAAAAACAATACACTTGGACAGTGCTTCCTCAGGGCTTTCGGGATAGCCCCCACTTCTTTGCCTGAGCATTAGAGCGGGATCTGAGGGATTTCAAGTTAGAAAATGGAGGTATTCTTCAGTATGGGGATGACCTTGTGTGTAGCCCAACCTAGGAGGTTTCTGACCAAAATACTATAAAAACTTTGAATTTCCTGGCAGACAGAGGATACAAAGTGTCCAAAAAGAAGGCTCAGATTACCCTCCAATGGGTCCACTATTTAGGATATGTCTTAACACCCGGAACCCGGCAAATATCCCCAGAAGGAGTGCAAGCTATATGTGGTTTGGCCGCGTGCACCACCCCCAGCCCCCACCCTGACCCACCTCCAAGCAGCAGCTTTGTTCCTTTTTGGGGATGGCCGGGCTTTGGAGAATATGAGTACCAAATTTTGGGCTCATAGCAAAGCCCCTATATGAAGCAACAAGGGGGCCTGAAAATGAGCTAATGGAATGGACCCCGGAAATGAGGAAAGCCTTTGCCAAGTTAAAACAGGTTCTCACCCAGGCTCCTGCTCTTGGTATCCCAGACCTAATTAAGGCCTTCTCCTTGTATGTAGCAGAGAAGAGGGGCATAGCTGTGGGAGTGCTAGCCCAGAAATTAGGATCAGAACCCAGACCAACCGCCTACTTCTCAAAAAAGTTGGACGGAGTGGCCTCAGGATGGCCAAGTTGCCTGCGGGCAATAGCAGCCACTGCTGTTAGTGGAGGAAGCCACTAAAATCACCCTAGGGCAACCACTGGAAGTTCTAACGCTCCATCAGGTAAAGTTAGTCTTAGAAATAAAGGGACACATCTGGATGACAGGGGAAATGTTAACTAAATACCAGCCCATGCTCCTAGACAATCCAGATATAACTCTTAAAACCTGCAACACTTTAAATCCAGCTTCATTGCTGCCCACAGGCCCAATAATTGATCATTCCTGTGAGCAGGTCATTGCACATACATATGTTAGCCAGCCTGATTTAAAAGATGAGGCTCTCCCAGATTCTGAAGCTGACCGGCTCACAGACGGCAGTAGTTCTTTGTCGAATGGGGAGCACAGAGCTGGATATGCAGCAGTAAATCATGACACAATTATTGAAGCCCAGCCAGTGCCCCCTGGCACATCAGCACAAAAGGCTAAAATCATTGATCTTACTCAAGCATTAATGTTGGGACAAGGGAAAAAACTTAACATCTATACAGATTCTAAATATGCATTCCTTGTGGTTCATGCTCATACCGCCATCAGGAAAGAAAGGGGATTACTTACTAGCAAGCACTCCCCTATAGAGCATGGACCTGAAATTCTGCAGCTATTGAAGGCAATACACCTGCCAAAGGCCATAGCTATCATTCATTGTAGGGGGCATCAAAGGGACTTAACCCCTATAGCACAAGGGAATGGAAAGGCTGACGGAAGCCAAAGCAAAAGCCCTCAGCGTGCAATCCCAACAGATCCTAGCACTGCTTCCTTTCTACAATTCCCCAGTAGAACCCAAATACACACCACAGGAAGAACAGCTAATAAAAAAAGCAAGGGAGACAAAAACAAGGATCCTGGTGGCATATGGAGCCAAAAATATATCTCCCTCAGGCAGCCCAGTGGAGAGTTATAAAAGCCCTGCATGACTCTTTCCATGTGGGGAGGGATGCGGCTCTGGCCATGGTAAACAAGTTCTTTACTGGGTTTAACTCAGCTTCAATGGCTAAGCAGGTCTGTCAAGCCTGCTCACTGTGTGCATTTAACAATCCAGGCATCAAAATGCCCCCTCTAATAAAACCAGTCCAAAGGAGGGGAACTTATCCAGGGGAAGACTGGCAGTTAGACGTCATCCATATGCCAGCTTGCAGAGGATACAAGCTTTTGTTAATACTAATAGATACTTTTAGGTTGGGTCAAAGGTTACCCCAGAAAAGGCTAATGAGGTTCTAAGGTCCTCTTAAAAGAAATAATTCCCCAGTTTGGGTTACCTCAGGGTCTCCAAAGTGATAATGGCTAATCCTTTATCTCCCAAATAACTCAAGGGGTTGCTAAGGCTCTTGGAATAAAATACTATTTACATTCAGCCTGGAGGCCCCAATCCTCTGGAAAAGTGGAAAGGGTTAACCAAACTCTAAAATAAGCACTAGCTAAACTATGTCAGGAAACATCAGAAACTTGGGTTAGCTTATTGCTCACAGCCCTTTTAAGAATTTGTAATACCCCTAGCTCAAAAATTAACAGAAGCCCATATAAAATGTTATACAGAAGGCCATTCTTAACTAATGATTTAATTATTGACCCAGAAAGAGTTGGTGTAATTAAATACCTAGTCAACCCAGAACAATTCCAGCGGGTTTACAAGAGTTTGGAATTCAAAGGCTCCTCACACTTGGAACTAACCAGCAACCCAAAATCAGGCCAGGAGATAGGGTACTTGTTAAAACATGGAATGAGGGATCACCTGCCCAACAATTACAACCCCAATAGAAGGGACTTTTTTCAGTAATACTGGCCACGTCTTCTGTGGTCAAAGTACTAGTATTAGATAGCTGGATACATCTTTCAAGGATCAAACCATCAATACCAGAAGCTCCAGACCAGGAACCTGAAGTTCCCATCAGCCAGTACACCTGTGAACCAGTGGAGGACCTGAAGTACCTGTTTAAAAGATAGCCAAAAGATAAGTAAATGCCTACCAACTTTCTTTGGTGTCTTTGTTGCATAGTTACTGTGGGCTGGAAAATAGTAGCCATTTTTATCTTTGCAGTTTAATTGCCTTCTTCCAAATAGATAAAAATCACTTCCTTTGTAATAATTAAACAGAATTTAAAAAATACATTTCTATGACAAATATTCCTGATGGCATAAGTATCCACCCCAAGGTTCCCATTAAATCTTTTAACCTAAAGTATTTCCTCTCACCTAGAGATCATCGAGCTGTGTGACAAGGGTGCCAGCCACTCCAGGTGAAGACACCACCCCAGGCCATCAAGGATCTTCCCTACCTTCACTAAACAGAGCAGGGTGAAAGTTGTGTGATCCCCAATAGGTAGGGACTACACCCCAAGTCAGCAGGAAGCAGTTACAGAAGAAAGACCATTGGTCCCTCTGCTTCCCATAAAGATTTATGGGGATCACAGCTTTCACGGGGGAGATGAGGCAAGAGAATAGGGCATGCAGGCAGGGTACTTGAGGCCAATCCACGCTGACTTCCTAGAACTGAATTAAATGAAAGCTCCTCAGCAATGACAGGAATGTGAATGGCTTTGTAACTTCTTCCTCTCCATTAATGCTATTTCCACTTTGTAACTTCACTTTCATCCTCTCCATTTACATAGATCACACACCAAGTAACATCCTCTCCATTTACAGTAGGGCGCATTCCGAGTCAATGACTCTGACTGCACTTCGTTCTCCTCATTTACATAGAACATTCGCCAAGTAACCAATGGGAAACCTCTAGAGTATTGAAACTCCAGAAAATTCCGTAAGTGGGGCTCTTGAGCGTCTACACTCGGGTCGCTCCCACACTGTGGCGTGTACTTTTATTCTCAATAAATTCCCGCTTTTGCTTTCCTCGTTCTGTTTGAGTGTTTTGTCCAATTCTTTGTTTGAGGCGCCAAGAACCTGGACACCTTCTACCAGTGACACTACCAATTTTTGATTCCATTAAAGATCACAGGTATTTTCTGAACATTTACCCTGTACCAGTCTTGCAGGGTCCAAACTCCTGTTAAAGAGCTTGTGGGCTAATGGAGGGAGCAGGCATGTGAACAAGCAAATTATGAAATAGCGTGCAGAGTACAGCAGTAGAGATGTATTCTAGGATCAGAGGTCACACAGAGGAGGGGTGCCTGATTAACTGTGCAGGGAGACAGGGAGGGAAATGTCTGAGGTGGGTCTGAGGTGAGAACAGTAGGGTTCAACAGAAGGATGAGGGAAGTGTGAAACAGTGTTCAGGGAATCATAAGCGGTTGGAACTCTAAACAGTCCTCACCTTACCTGGCTCACAGCAGGAGAGAGCCACGGGCAACTTTTCATGATTTATTTTTGATTTGCAGTGCATGGGACACACTGTCCCAAATTCCCCCTTGCCATTATTCAGTGAGTCTACTTTTAGCTAGTTTTGATCCTTGTTCAAAAACAGATACATATTTTAGGTTGTTGCTATTTGTTTATACTTGAATGGGGATAAATTCTATGTGCTTTATCAAGAGCTTTAGATATTTAAAGAGCAAGACAGTCTGAGTGCCCAGCGAGAAAGCCTGGTTATGTTCAGCTCCTCGGTCTCTCGCTCTGGTTAGCGCCAAACCTTGGCTCAATAAGGCCAGCTACTAATCACATACTTGAAAATTTACAAATATCCTGTTTTTAATGATGTTAACTTTGCTGTATTTGTTGTCAACTACATCTTATTTTTCTAGGATCATTAGTAAGAACTTAAGGCAAATATCAAGATGAATTGGCTAGTCTTAGTATTAGCCAGAAGTTGGTCTTTATCTATAATCTTTTTCTGTATTTTCAGATACAGTATTCTGAGAAAGACAAAGAAAAAAACTTTGTCTTATTCCCTCCTAAAAAAAAAAAAACGTACCTGGAAATGCACTAATTGTGCAGCAGTTCCTCCTTGGCTCAGCCCCAGATCCCCAGAGAAGACTGTGTGCCTGTCTCTATTAATTGCTTATGTTGTATGGGTTCCCAGGCCATTCTCAGCCATGCGCATACACGTTTTGTGCCTTGCCAGGTATTGTGTCCTATTGTTCTTGGAAAAATACTTTGTGCCTTTATTGTCCCGCCCAGAGGCAGAAAAGACACAAGGACTGCTAGAAGTCAGTTTGGTGATTCTATTACTCCACGTAATTGTGGAAGGTTCTGGGAACTGGAAAAGTAATCAAGGTAGCACTTCCATAAGATATTCAAAGGAAACCAAATATTGAAATTCTTGGGAGAAAGGAGTCTTGAGAAGCTTGAAATCTCAGCAAGTTTAAGTGTGTGAGAAGTGGCTACTAACAACATTGCCAGCTTCTGAGAGGCCTCTGGGAGGAGACTGTAAACAGGCTGTGGGGGTCTCTGGAGAAGGTCGTACATTTTGCTAATTACAAGTGAACTAGAACATGCATGAGATTTGATAGGAAGAATGCTGGGGTGTGAATGAAGTGAGTTGACTTTCAATAGAAGGTCGAGAGACTCAAGTCATTTATTAGGCCAAGGACAGTGAATGTTTGCTCTCAGCAGCTGTGTGCTGAGGAAGAGGCAGCAGGAGCAGGTGGGGAGAAGCAGCTTTGCCTCTCAAGAACCAAAAGAAGGTGCCAGAAAGTAGGGCAGACCTCTGAGCCGGCACACAAACTCCAAAATGGCTGCTGTTTACATCACACAAGCTCATTTTAGGAGGAATTATCTCAAAATTATTATACTCTGAATCCCAAGGAGAGTCCTTTTGAGGGTCTTAGTTATACCAGAGGGAAAATCAAGGTCCCCCAAAAGGACACTTCTTGGGGTTCAGAGTATGGGCAAGGCTTAATTGGAAGATCTTTAATCTAGTACTCAGCTCATATGGCCTGTGCTCACCCAGGGATCCCCAGTGATAGGCAGAAGATGGGGGCTGGTAGGGGGGAGGTATCCATCGTGGCATCTACTACTCCAGATTGGAGTTGCTGAGTTTGGAGAAGTTGCAACCATTATTTAGAACTCTTGGAGATATCACTGGAATACTAATGAAGAAGGCAAAGGAAATCCCTTAGGATAATTTCAGGGTTGTCTGTGAAGAACATAAACAATATGATAGATAATAGAGTGATAACATTTGAACTGATAATTTTTTAAAGTATATAATAGAAGAATATTTGCATAATATCTCTGGAGATTGGAGAGAAATGAAATGTGTCAAACAGAAGGAACTGGATATGATGTCAGCAGCCTTTCGTCCCACTGTTCTCTCCTCTCTAGACTGTCTTCCATTTGGCTGTCCAAGCAATAGCACTAAAATATAAACCTGGCCATGCCACTTCCTACATAAAGCCATTCAGAGACTGTAGTCACTTCCATTCAGGAAAATATTCACCCGCTTAGCACAACCCATGGGACCTCACTGATGTGATCCCTGCCTTCTCCAGCTTCAATTCTGTGCTCATTACCCACTCCCCGACTCCCTCCCCTGACCCTGTGACCCTTGACTCTGGTCCTACTGAACTGTTTACCTATAAAGAACATGTTCTTTAAAGACTGTACATTTGTACACACTGTTCCCTTGACCTGGAATACTTTTTTTTAGTTTTATTTTTCTTTCTTAAGTCATCAAGACTAAATCTAAGGGTCTTCTGGGAAGACCTACTCAAGCAGAATTAATTACTACACCCCTCCTTTCCCTACCTGCTCCTTCATGCACTCACTATAACCAATGTAGTTGGCCCTTATTAGCATTTGCAGGTTTAAATTCCAAATATTATCAAGCAAATGGAACATCCATTACATATAAAAATTTGGTAATTTTGTAGGACTCCAGTTTGGATTACATCTGCTGGGAGGTAGGTTTCTAGGAAGTGGTCAATAGTTGTTGAGGGAACTTAGTCAACCATCCAGCATCTGCCTCTCAGTGTGATTTGTCCTCTGTGCTTGTGGTCATGTGGGCAGCAATCTCATGGAGGGATGAAACACTTGGTTTACCCCTACAATGTTACCTAATTAACGCTGCACAAATATCTTCTCATTTAACCCCCACAAAATTGCTATGAGTGCTTATTACAATTCCCATTTTTAGAGGTAAGGAAATTGACACTTAAGAGATGAAATTTTCCCACATTTATACAGCTAGCAAGTGAAGTTAGGACTCAAACACAGATTCTAACCTGACAGAATGAAATAGAGAATAAGAGAACTCAAGTAGCACTGGTGATTTCGGAAGTTGGTGAAAAGGGATAAAGACTATGAAGACATTTTTAAAATGTGATTACTCTTAGCTTTTAAATGGTTTTGAATAAATTAAACAGTGGGGAAAATTGTTAGAGAAGAATTTGCAAATTCAGGAATTCTTGATGGTCTCATGACAAATTTTCTGGACACAGATCTTTAGGCACAGCCCTAAATGTTGAAAACCTATTCTTCTATGGCCTCCCATCACTAAACTTGAAAAGCAATCCACAGACTCCACGTCTTTGGGCAGAGTGGATCCCATTTCTTTCTTTTGTGTTTCTGGGCCACCGTGGTTGCCTGGTTCTCCTCCCGCCTCACTGGAGTCTCTTTCTCGGTCCCCTTTGCTGGTTCTTCCTTATCTCTCCAGCCTCTACATGCCAGAGTACTTAGGGCCTCCCTTGGTCTACTCTCTGTCTCTATATTCTTCTTTGATGATGTCTTATCCCAGTCTCCAGGCTTAATTTTTCCCTATATGCTGACAATGTCCGTGAACTCCAAACAGCAATATCCATGTAGATGATCTAATAGACGTCTCAAATGTGAAATGTCTCCAACGTTCTATCTTCTCCTTCAAACCTCATTTTCAGCTTTGTACAGCTTAGTTGATGACAACTCTATCCTTCCAGTTGCTTAGACAAAAACCCTGGAGTCTTCCTTAACTCCTTTCTTTCCCTTATGCTTCACATCCAATCTTCCAGGAAATTCTGTTAGCTCTAACTTCAACATCTCTGTAGAATATAGCCACTTTTCACCATTGCTACCCTAGATCAAATAAACCTCATGTCTCTCCTGGACTATACAAGCACATCCTAATTCATTTTCTTTTTTTCAACACTTGCCACAAACCCACAAACCCACAAACCCTACTGTCTATTCTCAAAACAGCAGTCAAAGTGGTGCTTTCAAAACATAGATCATGTCACTTCTTTGTTCAAAAACCTCTTAAGACCTCCATTGTTAAAAATCGCCATATTTCTCAGAGTAGAAGCCAAAGTCCTTACATCAACTTATAAGGTCCTATGTGATTTTTGCACCCCACATCCTTGCCTACTGATATATCATATATTATTTATTTAGTAGGCTTATCGTCTCTCTTCTCTTCTAAAGACAGCAAGGATTTTGCTCTGTTTTATTTACTGTGTGTCTCCCACCTAGGAGACATTGGATACTCAAAAAGTATTTGTCTAACATTACAGCAGGATGTCGTGAAGTCTGGTCCTTAAAGCATGTATATGATTCTGGACTTCTATCATATGTGTTATGAATACCTTCACTGAAGTGAGTAAGGTGCAAGAAAATGTGAGAAATAATTTAAGAACAGCATCATTGTCACAGGCTCTTTTGTGATACTGGTTTCCCAAATGGAAAGCTCATTCTTAATGAAATTTTTTTTCAAATGTGACATCTTTCCAAATTAGTCAGAGAAAACAAACTGACCTCATGCCAATTTTACTTTCGAATGTCAATAGAAAATCACCAGTCTGCTGCTTTAAATAGTGGGAGGAGTCAGTAATTGCCTGGGGACCCGAGGGAACAGCATTAGGTGGTGGTGACAACAGATATTGTCTGTCACCAAGACTATTGATGGAAGACTAAATTCATCAAGATCTGAGTAAAAATTTCTAAGCCCTTTTCTCTTTTCTTAAAAATAACCCAATTTTTCTTTATAGTGCTTTAGAGTTGGCCACAAGCAGAGGTAAGTTTTGTTTTACACAGTAAATATCTTCCCCAAAAAGCTGCAGATCAACATTCCCTAAATTCATGAATGTAGAATGCATGAGGAGAGCTTACTCTTCAAAGGACCCTGAGAGGGGGTTTGGGGGGCAAAGAGAGCTCCTGCTGTGTGCTGGGCTGTGCAGAGCCCCAGTTCTCCCATTTCTAAGGAGCCTCCTCACCCCTTCCGTAAAACGGGTTCATGGTATCTAACTCATAGGGTTATTGAGAAGATTATCTGGATATATATGAAAATGATGTATAAAGTATAAAGTGATGTCTAAATATTGGTCTATGACTAAGCAGAAAAACATTTTCATAAATCAAAGCACTCCTCTGTAATAATGGGAGTAAATATGTAAATATGGGAAATAATCCTCCTATAATTTTTCCACCTTGGAAGTCTGGATTTTTCACATACCAAGCTGGGTCAGATTTCTGTTATCATTGTTGCATTCTTGTTCTTTAATCACTCTTGCAAAAAACCACTTGTACCCCCAAAGCTATTGAAATAATTTTTAAGAGAACTTTTAAAAAGTAAATAAATAAAAATAATCACCCTATCAGCTATGAAAACTGAAAATGTGCCTAGTCAGTTCATCATCTTGCTTCATTGGTCAATTCAAAGATCAGGTATTTCAGGTCAACAATTCCTTTGATGATTTTCTGAACTGCCCAAGGCCTTCACCAAATTGCTTAAGTAGGCCAGAGTTATGAATTGAGGTATGCCCTCCAAAAAGATATGTTGAGACCTAACCCTCAGTACCTGTAAGCGTGACCATATTGGAAATAAGATCTTTGCAGATGTAATTAAGTTAAGATGAGGTCATTAGGGTGGGTCCTAATCAAATATGACTGGCGTCCTTATAAGAAGAGAAGAGACACAAACTCCGATATACACAGAAGGAAGACAATGTGAAGACACATGGGGGAAACACCATGTGGTGACAGAGGCAGAGATGGGAGTGAAGTGTCCACAAGCCAAGGGATGCCAAGCCTCGCTGGCTACACTGGAAGCTAAGAGAAAGCACGGAACTGATCCTCTGCTAGAGCCATTCTAGAGAGCACAGCCTTGCTTTTAGATTTGCTTTTAGACCTTGATTCTAGACTTCTGCCTCCAGAAGCAAGAGAGAACAAATTCTGTGTTTAACCACTCAGTTTGTGGGACTTTGTTACAGCAGCCCTAGTAAACTAACATAACCAGTTAGCTATCCATGTGCACATTTGAGGCAGGCCTGGTTACTGTGATGGAGACTATGGCTTATGTCTCTACATTTGATCAATGAACTGCCGAGTCCCTGGTCCTGGTGGAAGACCTATGTAACCTTGAAGTGAGCAGTTTGGGGTGAATGTTCCTGAGTGAGCAGGTTTCCATCTTCTTTTCATATAATAACTGACTAGCAGTTAACTTCCATATAGAAACAAGATTTCTGTCTTGCTCTTCTAATCCTTTTGTCATTGTTGTTTTCTTCTACCACTCTCACATTAATTGTAAATGGCTTAAAGAAATCAATTTACTTTTGGTTTATTTTATAATAAATAATTTAAATAATTTAGCATTATTTTATAATGATAAATTTGCATTAGTGAAAAAGTTAAAGATGTTTATCTCAACCTCAAAACATGCTGTCAGAGGAACAGTCAGAAAGCAACTTAGCAAACTTCTAGTCCAGTGGTCCACAATTCTGGCTGTACGTTATAACCACATGGAGCCCTTTAAAAATACCAACACCTAGATCCCACCCCTAGTGCTTCTGATTTGATTGATACAAGGTGGGGCTTGGGCTTTGGTGTTTTTTTTTTTTAAATGCCCCAGATCATTGTAACTTGTAATCAGGATTGAGAACCAGAGAACTGGTCCAACCCTTTCATTTTACAGAAGAGAATGTTGAGGCCAAGAGAGGTTAATGACTTGTCCAGTTCAAACAGCCAAGCTCCCTGCCACTGCATGTGCCATGCTGACCCCACAGTAACCTGCCCCTCCTTCACTAGGATAACTCCTGGTCATGAGTCACAGCTTGGCTTAATTGTCCATGCCTCTGTGGGGCCTTTTCTAACCTACCAGCCCCTAGCCTTCCAGGCCAGGTGGCAGCCTTTCCTCTGTCCCTGTAGCTTTCACAATGACTCCCTTTATCACACAGATTGATTTTTCAGGCTTTCCTCCTCTAGACTGTGGACTCCTTTGGGGCAAGAAATAGCCATGTGGAGGGAAACTAATAGGAACTTGTTCCAAAGTGCAACAAAGGAGGATTCCAAATCACTTCCAGTTTCCTAATTCATAAGTAATTCATACTGTCAGATTCATCTCTGCCTGTTACTAGTGTCTCTTGCTTTTTTGCTTGCATTTATTTAATAATGCTTATTGAACTTCTGATTATAAAAGTAATTCACACTCATGGTGGGGAATTTGGAAAACATTCACAATTACACAAGTAAAATAAAATTCCCACAGAATCACCACCCGAGGGCCTGTTATTGATGTGCTTCCTCAATTGATCAAGCATTTATTGAGTACCTATCACATGCCACTTGGTGTCAGAACACTATGTTCAAGCCAGCCCTCAACCTCAGTGGCTTCACTCTCTTTATTTGTAACATAAGCTCCATGTTTGAAATTTTGTCCTCACAACAACCCCATATAGTAAGTATTATTTCCACACAAGCAAAAAGAAATTGCCTAGGTTTCTTAGCCTGGTTCCGGGATTAGCACGTAGGTCAGGCTGATGCAAAGCCTGTGCTTGCTCTATTAAGGCTGTTGAATTACCAGGCTCTAAAGGCTTGGTCAGTTCAACAGGTCAGATTCTGAGCTCTGATAGTAACCATAAAAACACATGGTTAAGAAACAGTGAGCAGTGCTGTCATGGACAGCTGCACAGGTTGTGCATTGTCAACCCTGAGAGGCATCACTCACATTAAAGTCTACATGAACAGCTTCGCAGGAGCTGTGTAGTGCCATGGACTCAGGGATGAGGGTCTGCACTGAGCTGAGGACTGTGTCTCTGGGCTGAGCCTGGAACACCTGCAGGTTATGGAGCAACATGGAGGGTTAAATTGCCTCAGGTAAGCTGTCAAACCACACTGTGCACTGAGCCACGGAACTGAAATGCCACATGCACACAGGCCTTCTGAAAAGCTCTCTGAAATGCCAGGAGAGAAACAGAACAAGAGGGAGAGAGATGAAGGGTAAGCACTTCAAGGCCATTTACCTGTCTCTTGGAAAAGCACTTTCTTTGAGAGGAATTGCTAGTGCAGGATGAGGAAGACTCTGCTGGTGGTGGGGAGGAGTAGTGGAGGATTGCTCCTTGGGCCGGCCAGCCTGCAGCAATGGCTTCAAGGCCAAGTTGAAAACTGCTTGGGAAACATCCACGCTAGTTCCTGGGCATCCTGGGGGAAGTGAATAAAGCCAAAACAGCTTTCTTCCCAGCGGTGGGGCGGGGTGACCATATCCCCATAGAACTTTGGAGCAAGGAACAAAGAGCTCTTCTCATAACTCAGAAAAATCATCAGGAGAGAATTGTGAGGACGTAAAATGAGAAAACAACAAAATAAACTTGTAGGAGACACAGGATGCTGTTTTAATAATCAACATTGTCACCTTAACAAACCCTAGCATTTCTGTGGCATTTGCAAAGCATTTTCATACACATTTGATCTTCCCAACGACTCTGTGAGATTGTTACTACCGCCACTTTACTGATGAGGAAACTCAGGGTCAGCAGGACCTGCGATATGGCCCATACCTATCAAGTGTGGCAGCCAGGGCTCCTGATAACGCATCTGAGCTCCCTTTGTAGGAGGAAAGTTTCAAAACTCACAGTGGGAAGATGTCCTAGGGCAGTCTTGGAAAGAATGGTTGGGAAGAAGGCCTGGAAAAGGACTGGTGACTCTTAGCTGGCTGCTCCATCTTTAATCTTGCAGGGAATGGCCTCTTGAACTTTCAAGATCTGACATCTGCCCGCCCTCCAGAGTCATTACCATCTGTTACCTCTTATTTTTGACACTCTGGACTCCTCCAACCTTAGCCATTATGAGCTGCTACTACTCTGCTTTCCTGAAAGATTATCCTTCCAGGTGTTTCCCCTGGTTATTTCCTATTCAGCAGTTGCCTCCTCCAGGGAGCCTGTCATAATCCCCATAATCTGGGTACCCCTTCTCTAAGTTCCCATAGCTTCCTTTTGCATACTTCCCTCAAAGCAATCATCAATTGGCTATTTGCTTAGCTGTCTTGGTAATCTTGTCAGTGCCACCTCCAACATAGATTTACAATTAAATCATTCCACTTCTACTAGTAAAACTCTAGGCTGAGCCATCATCATCTCTCACCTGACAACAGCCTCACCTCAGCTCTTACTTCCTTTAGTCCGTCCTCCACATGGCTGTCAGAAAGAGCTCTCTGGGTCTAAACGAGAGCATATCACTCTGCTGCTTCAAACCCTCCATTGCAGGCAGGAAAACTACAATTGGTGCACTGAATCTGGCCTGCCACGTGTTTTCATAAATAAAGTTTTATTGCAACACAGCCATGCTCATTTGTTTAAGTATGGTCTGTGGCTGCTTTTGACTATAATGGCAAATTGAGTCATTGCCACAGAGACCATTTGACCTGCAGAACCCAAAATATACCTAGCCCTTTACAGAAAAATTTGCTGACTCTTATTCTATTGGCTTGCCATCTGTTTTGGTGATCCACTGTTATGTAACAAACCAACCCAAAGCGCTCTCCCTTTTTACTTCTTCCTACCTATCTCTCAATCTTGATTGATTCTGAGGCTGTCCTGAGGATGTGGGTGCTATAGATTGAATGTTTATATCCCTCCAAAATGTATATGTTGAAATTCTAACCCCTCCGAGTGATGGTATTAGGGGGTGGAGCTTTTGGGAGGTGATACCCCATGAACAGGATAAATATCCAGGAGGCCCCAGAGGGCATCCTTCCCCTTCTACAGTGTTGGGACACAGCCAGAAGGCAGCCGTCTATGAACCAGGAAGCAGGCCCTCTCCAGACACTAAATCAGCCAGTGCCTTGATCTTAGACTTCCTGACCCCAGAACTGAAAAAAACAAAATTCTGTTGTTTACAAAGCACCCAGTCTATGGTATTCTGTTATAGCAGCTTGTGCAGACTAGGTCAGTGGACCTAACTGAGAGCCTGCCTATGGTGTTGGGTGGGCCACAGGGTTTTGATGGTACTCTGTGGTTGGGGTCTCCACACGCTTCAGATACCTCTGTTAGTCCTAAGACCTCCCCAAGTGTTTGGATTTGTCCCAAGATGAGCTTGGCATGTAGCGTGGGGGCCCTTACGACTTATAATGGGAGAGTTCCAGGTCCTAACAGTGAGTAGCTCTGCCCACCAATGTTTGTTGAGTGAAGAATGAACATGAGGGTCAATCCCAGCCTCACCCTGGTCAGAGATTCTCTATCCTGACCCCTGGTATGAGATCCCAGTCTTTTGGCTTCTCCCACTCGTGCTTGGCCCTTCCTTTCCTGCCCTTGCTGGATGTACCTGTCTGTCTCCTCTCTGTACTGCCCCTTGCACGGGGGAACAGTGAACTCTGCTACTGGAAACCTTGGAAAAGGACAGCATATACATATGTACATTGTAGAAGAAGAGAATAAAATGGGTCAGAATATCACCCCAGGCCCTTGCTCCAAAAGATGAACAGTTTCTTTCTCCTTCGAAAAATCTACTCAGTAAGGCATAAAGCAGAAGAAACCTGGCAATTCTATTTGAAATAGAATCCTCTTCCCAAATTACCATATTTCCAATTAGAACCACATCTTCCCCCTGGCCTCTGCCCCCTTGCTCTCTCTTCTGTGCAAAGCTGTAGTGGGGAAATGTGGATTCCACTGATTAAAAGGAGCCTGTGATGGGCCTGCCACCAGTGGGTTCTGAAGAGACACATCCAATTAAAACAGACAACATTTTCAAAGACCCTAGTCAGCATTTCATCTCCTCAGCACTTTCTCCAACATGTCAGTGTTACCTGTGGCAGTTCTTCTCGCCCCCCGGCCCCCAGCCCCCTGGCAACATGAAATTTAGGTCAGTAACTGCATAATCCACAAAAGCAACCCTGGTTGCCTCCTCTCCCTCCTCCCACCTTGGGAGTTGTATGTTTGGAAATACATAACTGGCCCAGTCATTTCCCCCCAGCAGACTTCAGGGTCTGGGGTGGGAACTCAAGCCTGGCAATGCTGGGAGGCTGATGGCACCTGTGATGAGACAGAGACTGAAACTGATGATGTGATTCAAGAATGAAATAAAGCCCAGCTCCCACCCAGGGGGCCAGCTGAGCTGTCTCATTGTAACATTAAACTCTATACTCTACCTTGCAAATCAACTGTGTGACCTGGGAGAGCCACTAACCCACTCAGGGCCCAGGTTTTCATCCATGAGATGGGGTGAGCTGGCTGAACCTCTAAGCCTCCCCTGCTGCTCTAGTGCCAATACTTCTCTGCTTTCACAGAGCCTTTTGGAGGCAAATACTCTTTCTCAGGGGTAATGGGGGTGCAGGTCACCCCACTAATCAGCTGAGTGTAAATCTGTGTCCACTCGTTTCTGGAGATGCCTTTGTGAGACCTGGGCAACCCCATTTCCCAGACAGAGAAATGCCACTTAGCCAAACTAGCAGAGGGAATTGGCTTCCTCCCTAAGCATCGCGCTTGCCATTGACACAGCACTGTTTTCTCAAACAGGAAAGTAAATTCTGTGCTGGGAAAAGTGAGAGACAGAGTAGGCAGGCTGGAGCCAGCCCAGGGGAAGAGGACGTAGAAAATGTCTCCTCATACTCCTCCTCCCTTAAGCAGGCCTCTCCTGTGCAGAATTCCTGGCATTTATCAGAGAAAAGCTTTTCACTCTACATTTTTCCACAGTAAAAAATAAGAGAGATAGACCTAGGAACAGCCACCCTAGTTTTGTCTAAAAGACCATCTGACCACAACTGCAGCCTGGAGAGGGCACACGGGGACACACTGGGTTAGGCTACGGCCATTCATCTTCATCAGTTGGGTCACACTTAGCTACAGGGACACAGAGCTGGAAGGGATCTTAGGTATTATCCAGTCCAACCTCCCCAGTCTCCAGGTGAGAAAATGGGCCCAGACAGGGAAGGTGACTTGCCCTGTTCACACAAGTTACTGGGAAGAAGGTGGACTAGGTATTCCTGACTGGCAACTAAGGTACTATCCATTATCTTACAGCCTTCATGCTATCCTTGTTTTCTTCTTCCCTGTTTGAGAATGAATGCAACTCAACAGGTATTTATGGAGCCCTCGCTTTGTTCCAGGCGCCATGTTGGGCATTGGGAATGGAGAAATGAATGACCCACACTATGACCTCAAGAAATTCACTGTGTCCTAGGGGAGATATTTATGTAGAGAAAGAAGTCTAGGTGAGCATGATAAACCCAGGCCAGATCCCTCACCTGAGCTCCTGAGCAACTGCCCCTTCCTCAGTAGTTGCACTGACTGCACTGAATTATGAGTTGATTCCACTCAACCCTGAGATCCTGGAAGACAAGGGCTGGCTTATTAATTTGTGCATCCACAATGCCCACAGCAGTGTTTAATACATGGATGGTGCTTAGTAAATATTTTTGAATAAATATGTAAATGTTTCACTTAAAACATAGTAACTAGGGAAGTTATTTAACATTCCTATGATTCAGTTTCTTTGTATATAAAATAAAAATAAGTATTTTATTTTCCAACTCTCGTGGACTAGCTTGAATTAAAATAACCATGTTGCTGAGAACTATAAAACTATGTGTGTGTGTATATATATATAATATGCACACACATATAATATACATGCCTTTAAAATAATATATACGTATTATTTGCATGTATATATGTTTTTAAATTAAATATACATACCTTTAAAATAATATATAGATAAATATTATTTTTAAGTGTATTGGCAGGAAGGCAGTGATGACCGGAATTGTCAAAATCCCAAAGAGAAAGAAAATGTTACCCCAACATTTGGAACCAGTTTTCCCCCTTGATATGGTTTGGCTCTGTCCCCACCCAAATCTCGTGTTGAATTGACATCCTCAATCTTGGGGAGGGGCCTGGTGGGAGATGATTGGATCATGGGGGTGGATTTCCCCCTTGCTCTTCTTGTGATTATGAGTGAGTTCTGATGAGATCTGGTTATTTTAAAGTGTGTAGCACTTCCCACTTCACTCTCTCTCTCCTGCTCTGCCATTGAAGACGTGCTTGCTTCCCCTTCACCTTTCAACATGATTGTAAGTTTCCTGAGGCCTCCCCAGAAGCAGAAGCCGGTACAGCCCACAGAACTGTGAGCCAGTTAAACATCTTTTTTAAAAATAAATTACCCAGTCTCAGGTAGTTCTTTATAGCAGTGCAAGAACAGACTGATACACCCCTCAAGGTATTTTCTGACTTCTAAGAGGCAGCCAAGAGACCCAAAAACTGGGCAGAAAATGGTGGCTAAAGAGCTGAGAAGCTAAGCAAAGCTTTCAGTGGTCATTTTTTGGAAGTTAAAAATTGGGATTAAGAGCCCACCAAGGTGGAGGGACACTGGTAAACACATGGAAGGTCAACACTCCAGGAGCAATGATGAATTGGAAACAGGCTGGACATCACAAAGACTAAAGCACAGATTCAAATCGGTTCAATTACGGAGTTGATTAACTGACTTGTCTCGATCTGGATTGCCTTCAGAAGCAGAAGTAAATCCTCTCTGGAAAAACATATCATCCAGAGCCTTGAAAGGCCTCCACCATTTTCATGCAAAATTACTGGCGTTCAACTTCAGATCATCAGATATACTAGAGATCAAGAAGAAAGGATGAAAACGAGAAAAATAGACAAGAGAAACAGACCAATAGAGGAGCCAGTTATTGGAATTATTAGACATAAATGTTAATATACAAAACAGGTATAACAATGATGGCTACTGATGGCAGTGGTGGCCCATCTGGAGTGGCTGCTGTGAAGATGCTGGCTGCAGCAGGGGAGGCACAGCAGGGGCTACATGCTCTATAGAGCCCACGGGAGCTAGGAACAGGTGGGAGCCCCGTTCCCCTTTGGAGTTGGCTGGGTGGGAGCCCCACCCTGCTGGGCGCAGCTGCAGCCACCCAGCCATGGCTGCAGACTGGGCATCTCTGTGCTCTCAGGGGCCTGGCAACCCCCCTCAACCCCCACAGGCTTGGAAGTGCCTGCTTCTGCTGCCTGGCCTCTTCCTGCTCCCAGTGCCTGCTCCGATTTCAGAGCAAAGTTGTGGCTGAGGCCAGTTGCTATTATGACTCAGCTGGGTGTGCACATGCTCAGGGCAGCACTGACATGCCAGTCCCCTGCTGCCTTGGCCCCCTCTAGACTTTGGGCACCAATGATCATGGAAGGGAGGCCAAAGGCAGGGCTGAGGGTAGCTCGGAGCAGGCCTGCAGGAACCCCTCAGCACAAACAGCCTGTGCGCTGTGGACAACATGTTGTTGGCAACAGGAGGCAGACAGGCTCCTGGGCAGAAAGGGGCATGCCACATGTGATGTCCCACCTTCAAGCAAGGGATGACCTGAAACATGAGGGCTGGGCTGCCAGTTCCTGGTGGAGTTCGTGGCTGGGAGTGAGAACTTATGATGCTTTATCTAGGCCCACTTATGGCTACCTATGGATATGTTAGCATGCACTTGCTCCCTTCAGAAGCCCACAAAAACCCCAGACTCAGCCAGACTCACAGAGATGTTGGGATGACCTGCCTGCAGATAGGAGCTAACCACTGCAGGTCTCTTTTCGGCTGAGAGCTGGACGCTAGTCAGGACGACCTGCAGAAAGGAGCTACCCACTGCATGTCTCCTGAGACCTGTTCTGTTACTCAGTGAAGCTTCTCTTTGCCTTGCTCACTCTCCAGTTGTATGTATACCTCATTCTTCCTGGATGTGGGACAAGAAATCAGGACCTGCCAAATGGCAGGACTGAAGGAGCTATAACACAAACGGGGCTGAAACACTCCCCCTGGCTGACCACATTGCAGGCAATGAAAAGGAGAGAAGAGTTGCAGCCCTTCACGGAGCTCAGAACTAGGGGCTCCCTGAGCCAGGGCTATGACACCCTCTTTGGGGCTCTGCAGTCCCTGGTGTCTCCAAGATTCCAGGCACCACTATGTTCCCTTCATTCAGAAATGGGTGCCCGCAGTGGAAGCTGCATGTGGTACATCTGGTCCAGCTGGAGTCTCACATGGAGCCAGCACCTGTGCCAGCATCTGGAGCTGCCTGCTCTGCCACAGCAGTCAGCACGCCTGGATGTGCACAGTGGCCAGACCCCACACTCACTTGCCCACGCACCCCTTGCCACTCTGCACCTGGCTTGCCCTTGGCAGGTGTGGGATCAGGGCTGAGAGCGTGAGCCAAGCACAGCCTGCCAGGCTGAGTGGGTGGAACGAACCCAGTTGGTGCAAGCAATACTCAGGCAGAAGGCGCCACCAGCCACAGAGGTTTCCAGCTGGCAAAGCGACACCCCAAGGATCCCGTGACACTATTAAATGTGTTAATATGTGTTTAATGCTAAGAATAATGCCTGGTGCATAGTAAATTGATATACTTGCTTGTTAAATATAAAAAATTATTTCGGAGTCATGTTCTGTTTGTGGAAAATATCAATCTCTTATTCAATGGACACTTATTGGGTCAGGTAGGTACTATGCTAGGTTCTATGAACAAAAATAAGGGGAGGGTCCTGACTTCAAGCTGCTCACAGTGGAATGAAGATAGCAAGGGAAGATCTTAAAGGGTTTTTCTAAAGAACAGAGAGAGAGTAATAATCAGAGGAGAAGTATATTGGGAAAATAGATATAGGTATACAGAATAGACAGGTAAATAATATGGCAGATACTGTGGCCAAAGATATGGCCAGCTGAAGTCTGATGTCTCATCAAAGCCTTTGGGCATTGGTTGGGATCATCTCCCATTCCCGGGGTAGCTAGGACAGTACCCCATTTTATATGGCAGAAAACAGAGGCCCAGAAAGGTTAACGGATTTTCCCTGGGCCAAAGGAGATTTGGCACTGAGGCCAGGATAGCCTTCTGACTGCCAGCCAGTGCTCTTTCTCTTTCCTCATTATGGCACTACTTCAGAATATGTGACTCCAGGCCAAGGTGAAGGAAGACACATATAGCAAGAATCTCTCCAGTAGTTTTCTTTAATCCTCCTTGGCAGTGTGAGTCTATATTGCTTTTTCTAAGACTTAGCTTTTAAAAGGCTGAAGATTCTGATTACTTTCCAGCTGAGGGTCTGCAGGTGTGAGAAACCCTGGCTGAGCCCCTGTCCAGGTAGGAACCCCTCCAGGACATTGATGGGCAGCATGGCTTCATTCCAGGAGGCCAGCTGTTAGAGCCATTGACCATCTGCAGCTCACTCAAGTTTTGTAGAATGTGCCCACTGTCAGAGGGCCATGGGAATCACAGGCACAGGCCCCTTGAGTTTTCCCCACTAGCTTGCTGCTTAGAGAAACGGCCAGATCATAACTGAAGATTTATGATTCTTTTGGTTGGAAGGCTCCCATCTCTCTCGGCCCATGTGACCTTCCCTGTAGTTGTCTCCATTTGCTTTTGGCTTCTTTGCATGGAAAAAAAAAAGGCTGTGCTCAGGAAGCTGTACTCCAAGGGAATAGATAGGACAGCTCAGAACAGCATCATGGCCCCACCTACCAGGATAAGAGCAGCATACCCCAGAATGGCATTCGTGGAACGGTAAGCCTATTTTGAGTAGATGCCTGCTGTCTCTGTGAATGCATGAGACAGTCTCCTTGCATGGGACCAATGCCAAGTCCTTTCAGGTAGTGAAATATCAAGCACAGGCTGTGCTGGAGGAAGCTCCCCTGGGAGGGCAGGTGGAGGCGACTCCAGAGTGGGTGGCTAGAAAGGAAAAGTCATCCTGTCTCTATTTAAGACATGACAGCAATATGAGACGGAGGAACATGAGAAATACCATGGGAGGTCACATGCATGACACACTTATGCCCCACACTCTGACATTTGTTGCTAGGGCCATGCTGGCCATGAAGTCATTACTCAAGTCAGTCTCATTTTCTTCCTAAGCCATTGATGAAGGAGAAGAATAAAGGGCTGGGAGAGCACTCCTGGCTTTAAATCTCAGCCTCCCTGCTCACCAGTGGGGTGATGTGAACCTTAACCTCTCTGAGTTTCAATATCCAACCTGTAAAGTGAGGATTATGATACCTGCCCTGACAACTTCAGAGGATTTTTTTTGAGGGGCAAAAGAGCTTGAACTTGTGTGAAAAGCACTTGGTTAACTATAAAGCAGTGATGTAGTCTCCAGATCTGCTGCCTGTTCACAAACAATGTTTCCAATTCACAGAAGGGCCTGGGCCAGAATGCAAATCAATAGTCACAAACATACTTTAGTTCAGGTGACAGTATTTTTATAGTAAGACTTTCTCATTTAAGGATGTAATGCTGGGGCAAATTCCTCATCTCATTGTGGATCTGGACTTTGAATAGCACTGCTGTAAACACAATACACATAGACATCTCTTGCCTTAAATTCCCTTATCCCAGGTCCCCTGCTCTCCCCTAACCCTGTCATCCTATCCAACTGTTGAACTCTTACTCATTTTTTAAGATACAGCTCAAGCATCTCCCAAGCAAGATCCCTGTAGCAGAACCAATTCCCTCCCCCTTGGGCCTCCACTGTGTGGCAATTATGAACGCAATATCTGTCCCCCAATTAGGCTGTAATGTTCTTGATGTCATCTATGTGTTCAGAGACTGGCACAGAGGAGCTTCTCAATGCGTACTTGTCTAGTGAATGAAAGTTAAATTATAGAAAGTGTTGTGTTCGCTCTGCCTATTTCTCAGGTGGGTGCCACCTGTTCAGGGAGCCTGAACAGCTGCCAGGTGTGGTGATTAAGATACAATCCTGCCTGAAGGCTGAGAAAGGAGCCAATAACCCTTTGAAATTTAAAGACTTTATGGAACTTGATTCATTCACCACACAATTATTAGTCACAAACACATGGCAGGCTTGCCATAAGGCACTGGGGATACAACTATGAATTAAATACAGTATCTGCTCTTCAGAAAATGCAATACCCAGCCTACCTGTGTAGGCATATGCTCATAGAAGGTGGAGTAAGGCCTGTTTCTGGTACCTGGAAGTCCAGCATCACGTGTCCACCCCTTGATGTTGGGTTAGGCAAGCTCTTTGTAGGCTGAGGCATTCATAATATGGAGTGGGTCAAAGTCTTGATTTCTGAAGAATCCCTCAGAGCCTCACTTGCAGGTGGGAAAAAGGATTGCTATTTAGATGACAGGAGAGAGAGGTTAGGATCAAGGAAGGGCAATCAAAAGACAGGGGTCCAGCAAGGGAGGGCTCAGCCTAGTTCTCAGGCCACAGTACCTTTCCCTCAATCTTCCTGGTTACCCCTTGTCCTATCTCTAGATGCAGCTCTTGCATTTGGTCCCTCCTTCCTTTGGACTGCCTCCATTTGTTTAGTTTACATCATTCTGGCACTTACTCAGCTCCTTTATAACTATTGGTTTGTAGGCCTGCTTCTCCTCCTTAGCTGTGCACTCCAGATGGCACAGACCATATTTCCTTCCTTTTATCTTTGGCCCCAAATGTGTATTTCTTGAATAAATGAATAATTATCTCCATTTATACAAATGAAGACCTAGGCTCAGAAATACTGTGCCCTCCTGACATTACAGGCTGGGTCAAGATGTGAGCTGGATCTTCTGACTCCTCTCTGGGGCTCTTTCCCTGAGGCCCAGCCACACCTGCAGGATGGCCCCATGACCATCATTGGAACACTACTACTCTACATCATCTTTCCTATCCTGAGAAGTAGAAACTGAGGCCTAAAAGCAGCTTATGGTCTAAAAGTTTGAAAATAATGGCAAAGTGAGGGCCTGAATTAAGTTTTCTAGTCTCTTAAGTCAGCAAATCTGGAAGTCATTCTTGACATCTCCTTCACAAATCATCTCCCATTCAAATTGTTGCAGAACCCAGCTAGGGTCCACTTGCCCAGTGCAGTAAGGCTAAACATCCATACAGAAGTTTGCAGCAGGAGAAAGGAAGGCATTTATTTTCAGGGCACCAAGCAAGGAGAACTGGGCAGCTCATGCTTAAGACTCATCCTCCCTGATGGCTTGCAAGTAAGGGCTTTTAAAGGTGGGGAGGAAGAGATTACAGGCAGTCATATATCAATACACAGAGGCTATCCATTGGTTTAACCTAAAAAGGTGGAACATCTCAAAGCAGGGGCTTATAGGTCATAGGTAGATTCAAAGATTTTCTAATTTGCAATTGGCTTAGGAGACAAAGCTTTGTCTAAAAATGTGAGGTCAGAAAAGAACGTTGGTTCTTGCTCAGGGGCATAGCCTTACCTCCAGGTCCCTCAGGAAGAAATTTAGAGCAAAGAACAGAGGTCAGAGTTCAGTTCTCAGCCCTCCCTTATCTGAGGCCTATGTGGCAGTGGGTCTATTTGATGGGGGCCTGGGGTTCTGCAAAACAGCTCACGGACATAAGTTGAGTCATCTTTAGTTTGTAGAGGGAACATCTCGTGACTCTAACTTCCTTGGCTCGTGTTTTAAGCTATTATTACCTTCTAGCTTATCAAGTTGCTCATTTACTTCTCAGGACTACCTGGGTACCTGGAATTTCCCCTGAATGAACCCAAGATTTTCCTTTATTTCCATGCTTAGAGCTGGGGACAGCAGGCCTTTAAGAGGAGTCCCTACTCTGTCTCAAAATTATTACTAAATCCAGTGGATTCTGCCTCTTTCATGTCTCTCATTTCTCTGTCTCCACTGTCACTGAATGAGGCCTTCAGCAGCCTCCTTCAGCCTTCTCCTGCCCCTTTTACCCCATCATTATCCTCCATAGTGCAGCTAGAGTGGCCTTTCTAAAAGGAAAACCCAGGCATGCCCTTTCTCTTTTTGTCTGACTTCTCACTTCTCCAGCCTTCTTTTCAGCATTCAACCCCTAACTTAGGGGGTTTCCCCAGACTGCCTCCCCCTTGCCAGCTCCAGCCTTTAAAACCCTCTCACCCTGCTCTGGAGTCCCCAGTGTCAGTCCCAAGGCCTTGAAACCACATTTTCCTCTGACCCGTCCCTTTGGGTTAATAAACTGGTTGCTCATCTGCCTGGCTTTGATTATTATCTCAGACTCACCCTGATGCCTCTGACAATCTCTGTGGGTTGGTCCAACAGCAGCCTCATCCCTACCTTATCCTTACCTCACTCTCTGAGCGACTCTAGCCCGAGTTATCAGTCTGGGTCTGATCATTTTAGCTCTCACTTGTCTGGAAGGGCTCCCAGAATGAAGGAATAAATGGCTCTCTCCACTTTCTCTCCTACTTCTTACTCAGGCCCCAGGATCCTCATCCTAGGCTGTGGTTCTTAGACAGTCCTCCTGAAGCTCCCTCACTCTATACCTATCCTCTCTGAAGTGACCCATTCTCCAAAGTAATATCACCCTTCCTTTCTCTATCCCCAGACCAAAACTTCCCTCTCCAACAGGGTGGCTGATACAGAGAAAGAGGGCAGGCATGGGCCTCAGGAGGCATGGGGTGTAGTCCCAGGTCCTGTCCCTTAGTTCCTGTATTCCTGTGTAGCTCCTGTCAGTGAAAGGTTTCTCCTCCTAGAACTGAGGTGAAGCTCAGCAAGACCATAAATGTGACAGCTCTTTGTATAAAAAGCTCATGGCTGAGAGCAAAGCTGAAACAGTGGGAGATGGATTTGCAAGCAAGGCTTTCCTCTATCGTGATGCCCTGGGCCTGCCAGTCTTCCTGAATTGAGGAACACCAATCCACTGCTTCATTTCTGTCTTTCCAACGGCTATGCCAAAACCAGGGCTGGTGTTGCAGCCCTCCTGTTAAGAACTACTGATAGAGAAAGTCCCAGCCACAAGGCTGTCCTAGGCTTACAACAAGGCACTTAGCGTTGTTTTATCTTATGTGATCTTGGCAACATTTTTATGAGTCAGGCAGGGAAGGTATTAATATCTCCATTCTATAGCCAAGGAAACCAAACTAAAAAATGTGGAAATACTTGTTTACAATCACAGAACTAAATTCAATGCCAGGTTTCTTAAACCTAAAGCTATATTGCTGCTCCTTGTAGACCAAAGTAATATAATTGACGAGGGGGCCTCACTCCTTCAGTTTTTCCTTTCCTTCCTGCCTTCTTTCCATTTAGTGGAATACTGGGAATAAAAAGAGACAGGCTCAGGGGCATGGGACTTAATCCAAGGTAATGAAAGCTAGCTTTAATAGAGATTCAGATCCCACAAAGAGCTTTGGGGCCCAGGGTAGGGAGCTGGGAGATAGGAACATGCATCTTTCAAAAGGACATATAAGCTCTATACAAACAAATGTGCATAAGGAGGAGAGCAATCATTACCTGGGAAGAATGTGCTTCAAGTTGCCCACTTCCATTAGGCTCTATTCTAACTCCATGTGAAAAGCTCCTAAGGGTGACAGCGACAGGGAGGTACCCATTTTCAGTCCCCTCCTTGGAGGCTGTATTGAAGAGTGGCCTTTCAGCATGGTACTGAAGGATGACTAACACCCCTCTTTTAGGCTAACTTGGAGGAATCTAGACCTGTCCCAATAGCTATGATTTAACATCCTTGGCCCTCTGTCATGCAGAAAAGAATGGGGTAGGCATGTGCAGACAGATTCAGGCAGCCCCCAGGTAGCTCTTAACATGAGCCCTAGGCACCAAAAGAAAGGAAAAGGCTCAGAATTTCTCCCTTTCCAATGAATCCCCCATAGTCTGGGCCTCTCAGCCCAGCTCCCTCCCAAACACTCAGCTCCCCACTCCTCTCTGAGAATCACCCCACCCACTGGCCCCCTGGGCTTGGAGCCCCATAGCCTGACTGAGTCAGCATGTCCTACCTTCATTCATGCTTGGTTCTGAAGGGGTCCAGTGATATCAGTAGTAACCCTGAGGCAGCCACTAGCCAGCTTCACTTCATAGCTTTATCTTCAGTTTCCTCTGCCGTAAAACAAGGGAAATGACTATACCTCCCCTGCTCTTCTCACGGGCCTGTTGTGAAGATTAAATGAGATAATTCAGGTGAAAGTGTTTTGCAAATTCTGAACTATAATTATGCTCACAATTATTAATATAGTAGTATGTCCACTGCCTTATTTGGGCCTTGAGAGCCAGGGAATGAATCCAGGTGGAGTCTGCAGACCATTTGCAGGAAGTAACCCACAAGGGTCACGGGGATGTGCTGATGAAAACGCACTGACTGACATTTTAGGGATAGAGAGTGAAGGGTGCTGCTTTACTCTCAGAGAGCTATGCAAGGTAGCATTTCCATGTCTTCTCTTTAGAGGAAGAAAGATGTAATGGAAGCTCCACTGTAATTAGTTCCCTGACCACTTCTGACAATAGCCAAACAGAAAATTCAAATCAGAACTCTCCCACCCTGGATGGTGCAGTTTGCTTTTCCAGAAACACCTGAAATCCCAGAAGGCACCAATTGTTTCTTCAATGCAAGTTTGGCTGCTCAGCAGAAGCACTAAACAGCTGGGAAGAGCCCGTGTTTCTCAGCCTCCCAGAATGGGGCCAGTAAGGAAGAGGAGGCTAAGAAAATGGCCATGCCCCTGGAGTTTCATTCACAGAGCTGGGCTGATCTTAACCGCTAGAACAGATTCTGTCCATACAGAATCTAGGGCTGTCAGTGTAAACGGACCTAGAAATATCCATTAGTTCCACAGCTTATGGGGCCATCTTTATGAGCCACACCAATTGGGTAGATTTAAGAACTGATTCAAAGGAGACTTAAGTTCAAATCCAAGCACTGTCTCCTAGAAAAGCCTAATAATAAGATTCCAGGATCTAAGGTAAGATACACTGAACTCAAATTCTAACTCACCCATTTGCAAGTTATGGTATTTAGTGTAGTTTTAGATAAGAAGCCAAGTGGTAAAAAGTAACAGTATTCACGTCTTTGTCGTGTTGTAAAGAATGAATGAGATAATAAATGCCTGACATGTAGAAAGTATTCAGTAAATTCTTGCGGTTCTGAATTGCTTCACCTAAGAAGCTTACACCTTGGAAGGTAGATAGACAAGGCAAAAGACTATAATTATTTGTCATAAGAAAATTAGTTCAATTGCCCAAGCTAGAAGCCCAGGAGTCATACTTAACTCCTCTCTGTCTCACATTCATCAAGGCCAGTAAGACAGGTCTAACGCCCAAATATCTCTCATATCTGTCCCCTTTTCAAGTTCTCTTCACTAATCAAGCCATTATAATATGCAATATATATTGCAATACTAGCCTCTTTATTCAACGAAGACATGCATGCCTGACAATTAGAGTTCATCATGTGAGATAACCAGTGTTTCCAGAAGGAACCAAACAATGAGGTTCTGAGCACCATTGCCCTTGGTAAATGTATCATTTCAAATAGATGGTTAAAGCTACCGGGCATGGCTTGGAGATCCCCTTAACTTGTGATACAAGAAACCCTTCATGATCTGGCCCCTGTCACTCTCTGTGGTAATTTGCACATTTATCAAACAGAAGTATTTGCTGTTTTTTAGACAATCCATGCTCTCTCTTTCTCTCTTTGCATATGCTATTTCCTCTGCCTGATACCTTTCATCTTTTCATCTGGGAAAACACTAATAGCCCTTTGGGCTCAGCTGAAGTGTCCCTTCCTCTGGGAAGCCCACTTTGGCTTCACCTACCCCCACATCAAGAATAGATTAGGTGTGCCTCTACTAACCTCCTGGGACATCCTTTTAATTCTTTCATAGCACTTGTCACACTCAGTGCCATCAGCTCTCTACTTGTCAGTCTCTCTCACTGTAGATGATGAGTGTTTTGAGGACAAAGACATCTTAACAACCCTTTGTGTACCTGCACTCAGAGCCATGCCAAACACATGAACAAGTGATGTCAACATGTCTCATTAAATGACTGAACTTTGTGGGGAGCATATCAGGTCTTCTAGAGTTCCTGCAAAGGGCTGTCTTTGTGAACTGTGTTAGAGCCTCTGCCGATTTTTTTTTTTTTTTTTTTTTTTTTTTTTTTGAGATAGAGTCTCGCCCTGTCACCCAGGCTGGAGTGCAGTGGTGCGATCTTGGCTCACTGCAACTTCTGCCTCCCGGGTTGAAGCGATTCTCCTGCCTCAGCCTCCGGAGTTGCTGGGATTACAGGTGCACGCTGCCATGCCTGGTTAATTTTTTTTATCTTTAATAGAGACGGGGTTTCACCATGTTGGCCAGGCTGGTCTTGAACTCCTGACCTCATGATCCACCCACCTCGGCTTCCCAAAGTGCTGCAATTACAGGCATGAGCCACTGCGCCTGGCCACCTTTGCTGATTTTTATAACCAGGGTTCAGTGGGCAACAGCAACCAAGTGTCAGTTTACAGCCAAATCAGGGATTGGACTGACTCAAGGCTGCAGTTCAGTATTTGTAAAACTAGGTCTATTTCTGATTTGTCCCTATGATTGGGAATAGCTCTTGATTTGGCAAGTGAAAGCCTAGGTGTTTTCTAGATTACCTCCTGCTCAGCATGGTGAGATTGTGGAAGCTCTGCTTAAGCCAGCTTCTTATCAAATGCTTTCTGCTTGGTTTAGCAGCCTGACTACGTGCTACTTATGCATAGATAAATGTTTTGAGAAGAAAAATATCTCCTATTATTATACTCACTTCTTTGTGCTGCCTTCTCTCTTAATCCCTCTCTCCTTTGGTAACCCTAAGCTCCAATTATGCCCAAACCTCTGCTTAGCCACCACTTTCTGCTTGGCATTTTAATGTCTCATCCTAAACTGATTATAAGCCAGCAAATTCCTTGAGAAGGAAAGGAGCATAGAATGTCAGGCTAGGCTCACCTCAGTGAGTTTCCTTTTCTCTCAGACACCTTACTTGGCCCCTCAAGTCCTGGCTTCCATTGGTAACACTCTAATGCTTTCAACCATTCTTAAAATTAAGCTTTTCTGTTGTTTGTTTGTTAGTAGGAGGTTTGGTCTGTTGTAAATTAGTCTGATGCAACTGACACAGCTGAAAGTAAAGTCAGTTGTTTCTCTTAAAAAATCCACATAATGGCCAGGCGCGGTGGCTCACGCCTGTAATCCCAGCACTTTGGGAGGCCGAGGCAGGTGGATCACAAGGTCAGGAGATCAAGACCATCCTGGCTAACATGGTGAAACCCTGTCTCTACTAAAAACACAAAAAATTAGCTGGGCGTGGTGGCCGGTGCCTGTAGTCCCAGCGACTCGGGAGGCTGAAGCAGGAGAATGGCGTGAACCCAGGAGGCGGAGCTTGCAGTGAGCCAAGATCGCGCCACTGCACTCCAGCCTGGGTGACAGAGCAAGACTCCATCTCAAAAAAAAAAAAAAAATTTCCACATAAAGGTTTTTACCTAAAGAGAAATTCTAGTTAGGTCTTAAGATGATAAAAATGCCGCTGAATCACATAGTAAAGGTTCAGTATGAAGCAAATTCAGTCATATACACTTAGGGTTAGAGAGGGAGAACAACCATTTAAATATTATGGGAAAATCTTCTAACCACTCTATTTAATGAAGATATGCTTCTGATTATCAGATAGGAGACATAAATCTTTTGTTCCCTCAGTCAGTTTCAGTGCAAACTACTTGCCATGCTGAATGTGATTCTAGAATAAAAAAAGACAGAACAATGTTTACACAACATGACCCCTACAAGCCAGTTGTTTCATCTTGTGTTTTACTTCTGTACAGTTTGTAACTGTTGGCTTGGACTTAATGAAAATGGTATTTCAATTTCCAACATGATACCTTTATAAAAGAGTTTCCATGCTATTTTGAATTCTATGCAATTTTCACCTTGCACGCTAACTCTCAAGGTCTATATGTGTGTCCATGTAACTCTACCCATGGGGCACCCATTTTTCTGCTCTAATTACCTTGCAATCCCTCTGCTGAAGCAAAGAACTTTTATGGGAGAAGGGTCATCATGCCCTTCTATGAAGAGTATGATATGAGAGCCACCCTCAGGAATAAAAGGAGAGGACAAAAATCCAAAGGCATTTTCTGTTTCCATGTCAACATGGAGCCAGAGGCTGAGAAAAACAACTGAAAGACACCTTAATTTTTGTTAATCTCTCACATTTATCTTTTTGATGTTTTCTGCCTGCTTTCATTGGGTGATTAAAATTTTTAAAGGCCTCTCTGGATGAAAGGAGAAACTCAAGGTTTGGGTAGTAGCAGTTCTGAAGAGCATCAGTAGCAAACTGAGTGTCTGGGGCCTGTAAGGAGAAAGGAAAAGAAGGAAACCTCAGCAGTAAGCCTGGGCTTCATCAGGTGGTACCTTGATATCTGTGCATTTATATTATAATCCTATAAATATGTACTTAAAAATAAAATTTGATAAGCTGTTTCAAATGGGAGCAACAACTTTATGCCTGTTATAAGAGAAATTTTGCTTTTCTCTTGAGAGGGAGGCAGGAGAAAAATGACAGAATCATGGAGGGATGGGTAGGGGAGATGGTGAGAAAGAGCCAGCAAGGTGGAGAGAGGATAGGACAACATAACTGGAAGGACCTCTGCTACTCCATGTGAAGGTTTGCTGAAGATCATGTTTGGTAGTATTCCCTTGAAAGCTCTTGTATTAGTTTGCTAAATCTGCCATAACAAAGTGCCACAAACTGGGTGGTTTAAACAATAGAACTTTATTTTATTGTCAGGACGTGACATCAGTAAGACGGCAAAATAGGAGTTCACTCACTCATATTCCCTAATAACAGCTAGAATTCTGCACCCATTCACGGACAAAAGTCTCCTTGTGGGAGCCTTGCAATTTAGTTACAGCCTACCTCAGCCATAGACTAGGGCAGTAAAGTAAAGAACCATCCAGTCATCCAATGGGAGGCTTCCCAGAGGTCTGCAGG
Organism: Homo sapiens; assembly: GCF_000001405.40. Classification (NCBI taxonomy): domain Eukaryota; kingdom Metazoa; phylum Chordata; class Mammalia; order Primates; family Hominidae; genus Homo; species Homo sapiens. The sequence continues at coordinate 94,684,385 of NC_000011.10, forward strand.
AAGCTACACCCATCAGCACACCTGGTAATAGGCCCACTGGCTGTGAATCCTGAAATGGAGCCTCACCTTAGCACCAGCCCCAAAGACCAAGCTCCTGGAGCCAGTCCAGGCCACCCAGGGGACAGACCTACCAACTGTGATCTCCACTATAAA